>NC_000023.11:109337542-109962542 GCF_000001405.40 Homo sapiens
CAATCAAAAGACTTCTTCTTTGCACGTTTTCACAGAGTCAAGGCTTTGTACAGGGTCGTTATTTGTGGCTCACTTCTTGTCTTTGGTTTCACAGGAGAATATATTTTTGTTGTTGAAGCTTTGGGGTGTGATGTGGTAGGTAGCACTAGGTATAGTGTTCAGTAAGTAGGCTCTTGCTCAGTTGTGTGACTCACAAATATTTCCTCATGTTTGCAGCTGTGCTCCCTCTTAATACTCTGAAAGTGTGGGCTCCTCTCCTATTTGAGTGCTGCCTCTATATTACAGCTTGGAAGTACCAGGCTCCTGACTGCTGCTCTGGGGTAATCTCAAAGTTTATATTCCCTCCCCAACTTGGAGGCAGCAGAGGAAGGGACCTTCACAGTGGTTGTGGACCAGGGTCTTTTACTTGTTTCCTGGAGGATCTACCCCAGAGGGAAGCAGTCAGTAACCACTCAGTGCAATCAGCCTGGTATGGGGGAACTGTGCTGTGGGCCCAAGCTGGGGGGCTCCCTGCCTGGTGATGGAGGGGTGGGTGGAACCAATGGGAAACAAACTGGCCTCCTCTCCTTGAGTCAACTGCAAGTTGTTGGAGGTGTGGATAAAGCACTTAGGGGGTTTGCTCCTTTGTTAACCCAAAGGTAGCAGAGATAGTACCGCTGCAGAGACAGTGGCAGAGGGGCTTTCTGTTGCCCCTGGGGGCATCCACCTCCAAGAAACACAGAGCTGATGTTACTGGGAGTGTTCAATCAGTAGGATAGGGTGGCTGCACTGCTGGTGTGAGCTGGGGGTTCCACTTGTTGGGAAGCAGGGAGTGAAGGGCTCACTGGGAGGAGGGATTGGTCTCCTTTCCATATGGCGACTATGGCATGCTGTAATCTTGAGTGTAGCTCACAGGTTCTTTGTTTCTTCCCCCAACGAGGGACAGCAGAAATAGAATCATTGCTGTGGCAGTGGCAGAGGGGCTGTTACATATCTCTGTGAGCCTCTCCCCAGCGAGACTCCAGGCCACTACCAGTGGGTATGCTTAGCTGTGGGTGGAGGAGATTGTTCTATGATCATAAGCCAGTGTCCCAGCCTGGTGAGGAGTGGGGGTGGGAATTCTCAGAGAAGAAGGGCTGGACTCCTCTCTGTTTGGTGGCTACAGTGTGCTGGAAGTGCCACCACAGTGATGGGGCACTTTGTTCCCTCCCCAGTGTGAGGACTGTTATGGTGGTACCATTGCAACTGCCATCACAGAGGGGTTACAGGTTGACTCTGGGATTTCATCCATGGAGAACTGCTGGGCTACCTCTGATTGAAGTGGTCAAGCAAGGGCAGGGGGGTTGTGCTGGAGTCCCAGGTCAGGCAACCCTGCCCAGTGAGAAGAAGTGAGAACTGGGACCTGTGTGGAGAACAACCTGGCCACTTTTCCATGAGGTAGATGCTCTGTTTGGGGTGTCTGGATGAGCCCCTGGTCCCTGTGGACTCTCCAGGGCCTGGAGACATCAAGCATGAGGGCTGCAAGACAGAAAAGATAGCAACACACTTCTCCAACTGTAAGCTCTATTGCAGACAGTTACAGAACTGCTGCTAGCTTGATATCCCTGGCTTGTGGCTGGTGGGGTATTGCTGGAGACCCAAGCAAGGATGACTCATCCAGTGAGGAGATACAGGATCAGGTACCCATTTAACAAAGAGTCTGAACACTTTTCTATAAGCTGCAGTATGCTGGGCACCTGCTCTAGACCCCAGTCACCTCAGAATTTCCAATACATGTTGCCAGCCTGAACACACCAGCAGGAGGAGGCTGGAGACCCAGGTTGGGAGGCCCTGCTCAATGAGGAAGAACAGGATCAGAGAACTGCAAAAAAAGCAGTTGGGCCACTTTTTTGTAGAACAGCTGTGCTATTCTGGGGGTGCACTCCAGCCCCCATTTGCCACAGACTCTGTAAAGTCTGAAGGCAATAACAGCTAAGGCTTCAACACAGCAAAGACGGCAGCCTGCCCCTCCCCCTGGGAGGTGCTGAAAAAGTGCTCATTGATCATCAGAGAAATGCAAATCAAAACTACAATGAGAGATTATCTCACTCCAGTGAAAATGGCTTTTATGCAAATGACAGGCAATGACAAATGCTGGAGAACACGTGGAGAAAAGGGAACCCTCATACACTATTGATGGGAATGTAAATTAGTACAACCACTATGGAGAACAGTTTGGAACTTCCTCAAAAAAACCTAAAACTTGAGCTACCATATGATCCAGAAATCCCACTGCTGGGCATACTCTCAAAATAAAATAAATCAATATATTGAAGAGATATCTGCAGTCCAATGTTTGTTGCAGCACTGTTTATAATAGCTAAGATTTGGGAGTAACCTAAGTGTCCATCAACAGATGAATGGATAAAGAAAATGAGGTACATGCACACAATGGAGTACTATTCAGCCATCAAAAGTAATGAGATTCTGTCATTCACATTAGTGGTGATGGAACTGGAGATCGTTATGTTAAGTTAAATAATCCAGGCACAGAATGACGAATTTTGCATGTTCTCACTAGTTTGTAGAAGCTAAAAATTAAAATAGTTGATGGCATACAGATAGAGAATAGGATGATTATAAGAGGCTGAGAAGGGTAATGGCAGGGTTGGGAGTTGGGAAGGGAAGTGGAGATGGTTACTGGGTACAAAAAATAGAGTGAATAAGATCTGGTATTTGATAGCACAACAGGGTGGCTATTGTCAATAACAATTTAATTGTACATTTAAATATAACTAAAAGAGTATAATTGGATTGTTTGCAACACAAAGAAATAATAAATGCTTTAGGTAATGGATGTCTCATTTATCCTGATGTGATTATGCATTGTGTTCCTGTATCAAAATATCTCATGTACCCTGTAAATATATACAACTACTATGTACCCACAAGAATTAAAAATTTAAAAAAAAAAGAAAAGTGCTAAGAATAGAACCCAGGGAAACAATGATATTCAATGGTTTGATAGAGGATAAGGAGCCTGCAGAGAAGACTGAAAAAGTGCAATCTGAAAGATGGGGGTGGGGAAAACAGGAAAGAATACTGCCATGGAAGTCAAAAAAGTAAAAAAATTTTAAGTAGAAGGCAGTGACCAATAGTAGCAAATGACACAGAAAATAAAATTAGGTAATAATTGAGATATGTACATTCAATTTCACAATTATTAAGAGGTAATCTTAAAGTATGTTCAGCCAGATTGCAACAGGTTGTAATAGGTTACAGGAGTGAGTTCTCACTGCAGTGAGACAGTGAAATGGATAGAATGATAGTTGAAGGAGTTGTTTCTTGAGGAGTTTTTTTGTTTGTTTGTTTGTTTATTTGTTGTTATTGGAATAACACTTGATGATTTTTAAATTCTGAGAGGGAACCCAACTAGAATATTGGAAAAGATTAAAGTCAGAGTTGAGCAAAAGGAAAATTAGTGAAGAAAGATCTCTCAAAGTATATATGAAGTGGGGAGTTCTAGAGAACAAGTAGAAGGGAAGAAGACAATGGTAGGTATAGGCATAAGTATATTTTTCACCAGGTCAAGGTAGAAATTTTGAGGTGCCCCCCTCCCATATGGCCTCTATTTACTTGATGATAGAAAAATTAAGGCAACTTGCTGTAAGAGTAAGGAGTAGATGAGGTGGAGAAGGAGTCTGAAAAGACAGGTTATAAATTTTGGAATAGGCATTAAAAGAATGGGGAATGTTACTGACTGAGGCAATACAGAGGTATTTCTGGGTAGTGTTGTGGTTCTGCTTGCTGAAAACTAAGCTTTTGTAAGAACTCCAGTGTGGTTGTATGATTATCTTTTTTCTAGGCCAAGGAGCTTGGACACAGAAGTAGAGATATGATAGCTTGAAATACAACTTTGTTTAATGAATACAATTTGAAGACTGCTGGGGAGTAATGACGTCTCATAGCTCAACCTATCTGGCCATTAAAAATGGTATGAGTTAGGCGGGCATGGTGGCTTGTGCCTGTAATCCCAGCAATTTGGGATGCTGAGGCAAGAGGATTGCTTAAGCCCAGGAGTTCAAGACCAGCCTGGGCAACATAGTGAGACCCTCTCTAAAACAATTAAAATTTAAATTAGCTAGACCTGGTGGCACATGCCTGTAATCCAAGCTACTTGGGAAGCTGAGGTGGGAGGATCACTTGAGCCCAGGAGTTTGAGGCTACAGTGAGCTATGATCGCACCACTGCACTCCAGCCTGGGCCACAGAGCCATATCCCATCTTAAAAAAATGGTATGAGTCAATTGTGTTTCACTGCTGAAGACTACCTCAACTATGTCATCTACATATATGATTCCTCCCATGAAAAGTTCAACATTATTGTCAAGGCTAAGAAATGGAAACTTGTCTATATTAGGAAACCCATTTCCACTTTCTAGGAGTGAGATATTGCCAATATCAAGTAAGATAATGCTAGCATCTAATATGTTATGTAGCCCACTAGTCTCTTTCTTCTCTTGGAGAAGGCTAGAGTTCATGTTAGAGATGGAGGCACATTATCTCTTCCTATTCTGCAGATGGCCCAACGTTTGTGATGGAAGTGAACCATGAGAAGTATGACCACTTCTCCTCTTGTACTGCAAACTCTCTGGCCCCCTAATCAAGGTTATCCATCCATGACAACTTTGGATCATGGAGATACTCATTATCACAGTTCACACCATCACTTCCATCGTGAAAAATCCAGATGGTTTCTTAATAGGAAACTGTGGTATGTTAGTCATACCACAGTTGGTGCTGTCCAGATTATCATTGCTGCAAACACTGACACCACCAAGGCTATGGGGAAGGTCATTCCTGTGCTGAATGGGAAGCTCATTGATATGGTTTTCTGTATCTCCAACATGTCTGTCATGGACCTGACCTGCATTCTGGAGAAAGTATACAAGTATAGCGACATCAATAAAGTGTTGAGTCAGGCATTGGAAGGCCCCTTAGAGGACACCCTGGCCTACGCTAAAGACCAAGTTATCTCCTGTGACTTTAACAGTGACACCCATTCCTCCATCTTTGATGCTTGGGCTAGCATTGATCTCCATGACCATATTGTTAAGTTCATTTACTGGTAGGACAATGAGTTTGGCTGTAGGAACCAAATTGCAGACTTCATGGTTCATGTGACCACTAGGGAGTAAGGGCCCCAGACCAGTGTTCCCAATGACAGCACAAGAGGAAGACAGAGGCCTTCAGCTCTGGGGAGTTCTATCTCAAATCTACCCATCAACACAATGAGAATCACTGTTCTCAACATGATTCCCATCTCAATCCCCGTAGAAGAAAAGTGCCATCAATATAGTTGACTATAGCCACCAGGAAAAAAAAAATGATATGGTTTTCCATGAGCAAAAATTTTAGGAGTCCATTGCCAGTTAGAGTATGAGGCATTGCAAATAAAGGCTTCAGTGCAGACACCATTTAGACATGGTGTAGAAATGGGCCTCCACTCATGGTTTCTAGGCATGACTGTTTAGGCCCTATGGAATACATTGAAACACTTTCTCCTTTCCTTTTCTGTGTCATTCTGTGCTGTATTTTTTTTCTCTACTGCTCTACTGATAGGGGTTAAAACTGGTTGTACATGTCTCTTTAGCCACTAGCACCCTGCAGCTGTGACACCATTGTGAGTGTCACCTTTTAACCTAGGACACCATGATATATGTCACAAGGTACAAAACCTAGTTACACTACCCTACTTAATAGAGGCAGTTGGCCCATTTAGGAGGAGGAAGGATATTTCCCATATGGGGCTTCTATGTGATACGGGAGGCTCTTTGTCATAAATGTGTGTATATAGAAGCAGGGGGCTTCCTGTGAGCTCCAAGGGTGGTCTCAAAGTCAGGGACCCTTCAGGTCATATTTCTGCCCATGTTTTTATTTGTGCATCCATTAAGAACAGATCTTGGTATGACCTAAGAATAACTGTTACTAAGCCCCTTGCCAGGCATTGGCTCTGTGGGAGGTCTTAAGCCAAGCACAGAAACTATTAACCAAGTTGGAGTTTAGGAGATTCTGTGAGTATAAAATGGGAGCCTGAGGAAATGTTGGTCTCATATAGAAAATTTGGAGTTAGTCACCCTGGCCATGTGTTCTGTGGGTCATGAGGAAGAGCCTTAAATTCCCAAAGAGCTCACCATTGAATTATACCATCAGGATCCATTATTTTGGATTAAGTCATTACTTCCTCTCTTTTAGGGTATTGGGGGAAATGCTCTTTAAAAATATACAGCTAGAACAAGGAGGGAGTAAGTGGAAGCACTGGAAGATTTGGGAGAGAGCCAGAAAATGTTAAGTTTGGGCTGATGAGGTCAAAACTCCCAACTCTGGGAAGGGCTGGCTCAGAGCTTGCTTCCTTCCTTGCTTGCTTTCTGTACTCAGCGTAAGGGAGCATCTGTCAGACCCAAGAAGGCACAGAACCACAAGTGCCTCGTCTCTTTAGGATGAAACTGGATAGTTGTTGAGCAGGAAGCAGCTTGGCACATAGAAATAAGTGATTGGGATTCCACTGAGGGAAGAAGATAAGACCTGGGTAAGCCATGGGCTTGTGCTGGCTTGAATTTCAAGTATCTTTGGGCTTTTAGCACTGTGAAAAGCAGGGAGCTCTTGAGAAGAAACTGAGGAAAGAAAGTGGAGATCATATGTTGTTAATTAGAAAAGAAGGAATGACAAGAATGCTAAGCTTTAGCTTCAGTTCTCCTTGTAAGTTGATGACAAGCCACATGTAAAGTTTAAGATGGGTATTTTTGAACTCATCCTTCTGCCCACTGGAGCAGCTCCAGCTGTATGGTAAAGAAACAAATGTGGCAAAACAGGATGTTTCAGGCTTTTACTTTCGAAGGGCCAAATGGAAGTAGAGATCTGGTCCTTTGGTCTCCTAATCACTGAAGATTGAAGGGTTTGTGACTCTCTAGGGCTGTATTTCTCACCCTGAGTAGGCATGCTGTTTTTTCAGGTGTGATTACAGGAGGGAAGAAAAGAGTAATCAGGTTAAGTAGGCCCTGTGAGGGAAGAATATGGGATTTCTCAGGTACAATGGCAGAAATAGGTGACCACTTCTGAGTCTACCAAGAATCCTTGGGCATTTCACTAAAACTGTCACTCAAAACTCCCAGATGGAATAATCTGTAGGTTTCCAAACAAAAAGATGGCGTCTTTCCTGGATTTCAAGCTTCTAGATACCTAGACCTCCTCTGGATAGAAAGAAGGAGATGCTTGACTGTGTATGCCTTTGCCTGGGGAGAATATAAGGAATTTTAATGATTTCCTGTGTAAAGTCGTGAGGGGCCTTGGGTAGCCAGTATAAACACAAGGCATTTCAGTTGATTGGATTTATGTTCCTGAAATCAGGAAACAGGCCAATGTAAGCCTCTGTTTAGCTCCATTCTACGGGACTGGAAGTTGGAATGCAAGGAGATGCTGCCTCAGTTTTTATCTTGTAGTCAGTGGCCACTCTGTTCTTTTTGGCTGTTGTTTCAGCTACTTAAATGAGTGTGTGTGTGTGTGTGTGTGTGTGTGTGTGTGTACAGTGTGTATATATATATATATATATATATATATATATATATATGCTACCTCACTTCTCAGGGAGGTTAGGGGCTGACAGAGGGTCTGACTTCCATGGATAGGATGACTGAGTCACAAAAGGACTCCCTTCAAGCCTGGGATAATATTTCTGAAAGATACAGGGATTAGATCATATGTTCTTGAACATCCTTTTCAGAAAATCCCTTGTGTAAGAAGCACAAAGGACATCCAGGAGCTTCCATTCTTCATCTGTTATCCAAGCCTATAGGGTCTACATCACTTTATCTCAAACTCATTTTTATACCCTGTCTTATGCAAAGAACTTGACACTAAGTTAGACAGCTCTGGAATCCAGCTTGGGCTCTGCCATCAGCTAGTTGTTTAAACTAAACAATTTACGAAGTAAAAGTAGCCACCATTGACTACTGTGTCAGCCCAATGCTCAGTGCCTTACATAGATGTTCACATTTCATCCTCACAACCCTGGGAGGTAGGGACTACTATTATCCTCACTTGAGGAGGATACTGTTTTCTAGTTGAGAAAACTAAAGTTTAGTCATTGACTCAAAGTAAATGGCTAATCAGTGGCAAAGTCCAAATTAGAATCCAGAATTGTTTCCAAAGCCCACCATCCTAAGCATTAAAGTAGACTGCTTCCACTCATACACTTTGTACTCTTTCTGTTCTGGGTCCTTGTACAATAGGAATAATTATTTGAAAATACCTAGCCTGCCTTCTTTATGAGAATGTTTCCAGGACAAAATGAGAGGATGGCTATCTCATTCCATGAACATTTATGTGTTATGGGAAAGACATTATTCTGGGGTGTGGGTATTCAAAAACAAATAAGAGGTTCCTTCCCTCCAGGAGATTACCATCTGTATATTCTGTCTTGAAATCTTGCCATCTGTGAAACTGCCTGGAAAAACATAAAGCATTATGCAAGTGCCTGTTTCCTATGATACTGTTTTATTGCATGTACAGTGAAGGAAAACTAACAGCCATAGGTACAGAACAAGCCAGGGTAAAATTCCACATGGCTTTCAGCTGCTCCCTACAAAACTTGGCAAGCAGCTGTTGCCAGTCCCAAGTGAGAATGAAAGGAGAGGAAATGGGCAGTAATATGAAGAGTGACTATAATGTAATGTGACTGCTGCTTTTTTGCAATCATATTAGGATGTGCACATCCTAAAGAGTGGTGTCCCCTTCAGACTAGTACCTTGGGAGGCTAAATCCCTGTACATTTATTGCAATGATGTTGCCATTGCTCAAAATATTTTTTGGAACTCCTCTTTAGTAATTGAGTTCAGAGCCTGGGGCACATCCTTTTGAATAACCACAGTGGTGATAAATCTTTGTCCCTTGAGGATGGATTTGATTTTAGCAAACAGCTAAAAGTCATTCGGAGCCAAGTCTATAGAATAAGGTGGGTGATCCAGCTCAGTAATAGAGTCTTTAATTTTTTTAAAAGAAAACAAAACCACTTCCTCTCTTCTTCATTCCTTTCCCCACCCTACTTTCCCCTTTCTTCCCCTCTCTTCTTCTCCCTTCCAAGTATGACTGTGAGCCATGAAGACCAGTTTTCTTGTGTGGTTAATAACCTAGTGTAAGCATTAAATGACTACTATACAAGGTCACAAGACTATGTAAGGGGTGAACTAAGATTAAACACTATGTCTTATGCAGATCACAGCATTAAAAACTTCAGCTAACAGGGAAGCTTTATGATGACAAAGGAACCTAAATAATGGAAATACATGAGCAGAGGACTATGGGTTATTCGTCTCTAAAGGTTTTGCTATATCCTGCACAGAGGACACAATTATATCATTGCTTGATGTCAGTAGAAATGTCCTGTGACTTGGTACTTCTTTCCAGACAAATCCAACTGGGGATAGGCCAACACCTCTGAAAACTGACTTTCCAAATAGATTATAAGGATGAAACAAGAACTCTCTGCTTCTCTACCCACCCTGGAAACAATAATATTGTAGGAGAGTCAGGGCTGTGCCTGAGCAAACTTGTGAAGGCATGGAAACATGTGTCTTTGGCAACCACTTTTTCATATCTGCCTCCTCAATTGCTATCACCACCTTCCCTTTATCTCCCTATTCCCCAGTTAAGGAGAAGAGTGTCCAGTTAGTGCATTCATGTTAAGAGGTTACAAAGACCATATACATTTTAGAAGAGGGCATCAGGGCTGTGATGAATCCAAAAAAAAGAGAAAAAAAAAAGGAAACCAGACAAGCAGAAGAGCTTGCCACATCAGGGAGGAGATATTTTAAGGCAAGGCCAGAATACCTCAAGTCACCCAAGAGAGGCAATATCTGCCACTCCTGTGCATGACATTATCCCTAGAGTGAGTTCTACCACAGGCTTTTTTCTCTCAAGTGTTGGCTTCCATTTTAAGAGCTAGACTTTGAACCACAGAATTTCAGAGCTGCCAAAGCCCTCAAGGAGATCCCATACTGTCATTTTAAAAATTGAAAGCTAGGATGAGTGCAAGGGAGAAGCAGGAAGAGTAATAGCCTGCTCCCAGATCACAAAAGAAGTTAATGGCCCTACTGGAGCTAGAACGCAGGTCCCTGGCTTCCCACCACAGTGGGTTTTTTTTTTCTCCAGGCCAGCAGTAGTTTGCAGAAATGCCTGCTTCAAAGGCTTTGTAAAGTGAGTCACACTTCCCGTGCTAGTTTCCTCTTGATACAAGAAGCTCTTATGTTTCTCAGTGGAGGAAGGAATGAGAAAAATGTCAGAATTCTATTCCATTTCCAGAGGCCCAACAGCTTCTCTCTTTTGAGGACAAGCAATCCCCTTGGGAACTCAGGATCATTGCTTTTGAGTTCAAGCAGCCAGCATGCCTTTCACAGCAACTCGAGTTTGTGTGTGTTATTGAATCCCCAAGATGAACTATTAGAGAACTATGTTTCCATGGGTCCCAGAGCACATGGTCTTAATTAGAATGTGCAAGAGAAAAGCAAATTTCCCCTTCTGAAGGTCTGAAAGTAACTTGAAATGCAGTCAATATTGTTCCAGCAGCCAATGCCTGGCTTCCAGCTGCTGCTTGGTGAAAATTCAAAACTCAAGATGACGCGTGGAGGGGTAGGTAGAGGTATAGAAGGCCAAACTGGGGAATAGAACCATAGGAGGACTGTAGTTAAAAGAGTACTAGGTTGTAGCTTCCCCAGGCTTCACCTCTGTCCCATTTCCAAGCCTCAACAAACTCAGGCAGAGCTGATTGCAAGCCCATCCCAGTATGGGGTTCTATAGTGAGACCCACTGGACACTAGATCAACTCCTACCTCCTATATAAAGTTTCCAGACTACTCTGGCTGACAGGAAACCCTCATGGCTTCTCAGCTCTTTCAACAAGAATATGATTACTTGCCGGGTGCGGTGGCTCACACCTGTAATCCCAGCACTTTGGGAGGCCGAGGCAGGAGGATCACAAGGTCAGGAGATCGAGACCATCCTGGCTAACATGGTGAAACCCCGTCTGTACTAAAAATACAAAAAATTAGCCGGGCATGGCGGCGGGCGCCTGTAGTCCCAGCTACTCAGGAGGCTGAGGCAGGAGAATGGCGTGAACCCGGGAGGCGGAGCTTGCAGTGAGCAGAGATCGTACCACTGCACTCCAGCCTGGGCGACAGAGCGAGACTCCGTCTCAAAAACAACAACAACAACAACAACAACAACAACAACAAAAGAATTGATTACTCACCATTGAGTACATCTTTCCACTATTATATCCAATTCTTCAGTCTTCAGTGGGTGTGTTACCTTCTTCCTTCTCAGCTATATTGCAAGACTCTTGAGATCAGAATCTATCTCTTCGTTTTTGCATATTCTATAGTGCCTGACTCAATTAAGGCCTTGCAGGTGACTGACCACAGAGAAGAGTTTGGACAAGGCACAGTAGCACAAATGGTCCTCTCATCTTTTGCTGACCTTTTCCATCCAGGTTGCCACTCTGATCTGCACAGTTATGCTGGACATGTGAACTATAGGAAAGGCCAGCCCCTGAAGAATCCACCAGAGATAAGGCAGTGGAGGATAGGTGAGTGCTTTAGCAGGGTTAGGCAGTGAGGCCAAGCAAGTTGGATAAAGGGCAGGCAGAAAGACATTAAGAAGAGGAATGTAACTTCCCTCCCCATTTTTATCGAGGGTTGGTTAACTTGCTGGAGGAATATCTGTTGGAGAAGGAGGAGTTAAGAAGAATCTAACTTCTTCCATCCTGATGTTTGCTAATGCCAGATTTGAGCCTTATAGTTATTTTTTTTTCTTTTCTTTTCTTTTTTTTTTTTCTGAGATGGAGTCTGACTCTGTCACCCAGGCTGGAGTGCAGTGGTGCGATCTCGGCTCACTGCAACCTCTGCCTCCTGGGTTCAAGCGATTATCCTGCCTCAGCCTCCTGAATGGCTGGGATTACAGGTGCACACCACCATGCCCAGCTAAATGTTTTTGTATTTTTAGTAGAGATGGGGTTTCACCATGTGGGCCAGGCCAGGTATCGAACTCCTGACCTCAAGTGATCCACCTGCCTCGGCATCCCAAAGTGCTGGGATTACAGGGGTAAGCCACTGTGCCTGGCCCCGCCTTATAGTTCTTGTTTGGGTACATCTAGGAGTCCAAGTTTTACTGCTGTAGTTGTTTATGTAGCAGGGGAGGTGGACTCAGGAGGGGAGGTTAGAAGAGCCAAGAAACTTATGGAAGCATGTCTGTGTGTGTCTATATATTTGTACTCTATTTTTTCACACTGTGTCCTAGCTTGGATGCTACTAGACAATCAAATCCCTCTGTCACTTCTTCTCTAAAATGTCACTAACACATCCCAATCCACACAGCTCCCACCGCCAATAATATAGTATATATATAATAGGTTAACTCTCACATGCTAAGTGGAAACACATGACCTATCAATCAAACGGGAATGAATTTTTTCTCAAAGATTCAGAGCATTGGTAGAGAATGAGCCCCAAGGTAGATGCCAAGAACTGGAAATAACTTCCCTGCAGGTAAGCTGGAGAGAGAAGCTGGTTCCTGGTTTGGTTTTGCTTTAGTTGTGCCATGAATCTCTAAAGCACCCAGGAAATTAGAAAGGGCTCTGACAAGGATTTCTGTGAGATTGCTCAGAAACAATGAGGGCAAATATGGTTCTGGACATTTTTTGGGCAAGTGTCACATAACTCATGGAGCTTCCTTGCTAACATTTCTTAGCCTGACCTGTCTAGGACAGCCACCTATGTTATGTCATGCCCTCAGGAGTTCTGAGCTAAACAAATGGCATTCAGGTTCTCTATAAAGCATTATTAGAGAGGGCCACCAGATCTTGGAAGTGAGATCTATTTTTTCCTCCCTTGTATACCCCATAGCACCTCACTTAAGACTGCCCACTCATTGCGACCAGCATCACTTGCAAACCAAAAAGTAAGAGCTAGTAGCAGCACACTGACTAAAAGTCAGGCAAAAGGGAGCATTTACAAACAATAATTAAGGCAGTTTCTCAAGAAATGTTTTAAATTAGGATGTTGTGGCGTCTGTCTGGGGTGATTTAAGCTGTTTCTAAAAGTTCCTTCTTAACCTAGGATTTCACCATCTCTAAGTTCTCCCTTCTAGAGGCCCAGATGGAAAACAACTTTCATCCAGGAGCCACGTGGCCCACCCTCATTGCCTCCTACTCTTTCACTTAGAATGTTTTGCTCCCTGCTTTAGGCACATGTTTCAGCCCTGACAGCTTTGTTGAAATATGTTGGTGCTTGTTAAGGATGCAAGGCAACAGAAGTAATTACGTGTGTGGGCTGATGGGTATCCTCGTGTCAGGAATTCCTGGAGTTTGAGCCTATCTTGGTGGGCAGGATGAGGTGGGCTGAGGGCATGGATGGAGAAACTGCCTTTGGATGAAGCTCTATATGTCTTTAGGTATCTTTTTTCCTTTGGAAAGAAATACACACACACACACACACACACACACACACGCATGCACGCACACACACATATACACACCCCCTTCCCAAACAGATTACAGGAAAGCTGAATGATAGACTTATATCCTTATCACTGGGGGCAAGAGATCAAGGGAGCCAAGTTTAATGTTTTCTAAATAAAATAGTTTTAAAATGACAGTACTAGTTACAGGATCTTGGGGATAATAAGGAGTCTTGAAAAAAAATCTGTTCTAGCACCCTTGCCCTCAAATCTTCAGAGAGTGTATTTATTTACTCTCTGTTCATTGAGGATGTATCTGCTGCTTTGTGTGTGTGTGTGTGTGTGTGTGTGTGTGTGTGTGTGTGTGTGTTACAACAGAACCAACATAGTTTCTCAGAATGTTGGCCTTAATGACTCTACTGCTGTGTTAAGTGTAATGGATACTGGTTCTGGAGTTTCACATGAAATCACAATGAGGTATCAGATCTCCACAAGCTGCTGCAAGAAGGAGACTACTGCTGACATGGAAGTGGAGACAGATAGCAGTTTTGGCCAATAGGTAACACAGTGGGATATAAGAAATCTAGTGCTCCATCTCCAGGCTGGAGCATTTAAGCTGCATGAGGAAAATCACGTAAGCACTTCTATAAATCTACTTAGACTATACTACTTCACAACTGCTACACTTTCTTGGAATTGTCCTAAAGTCCTTTTGAGTATGTTTAGATGCAGAATGAGGCATACCAGGGCAGGGAGGGCCTCCTGGTTCTTAAGTTCCTGCCATAATCGCAGTGCTCTGAATTTATCAGTCACACACATTCTGGTTGTCTAGCTATGTGCAAGTACGATCTCAACACAGCTCATTATCATGGCCCAGGAATACTCAGATGCAAGGTTTGCTTTCTTTTATTTATTCCTCCTCCCTTCTTTCCTTCCTTCCTCCCAACCTCCTCCCTCCTTCCTTCCTTCTTTCATTTGTACTTTCTCTCTCTTTATCTCTTGTCAACACCTCTTTTAGGATCAGAAATTGTAGCCGGTTCCTGGAAGTCTGTGCTGCACTCAGCACGGCTGGGTGGAAATAAGTGTGCTAACTTGGCTGCAACAGCTCCTGCATGGCACAGAGCTGACTGGCCTTGAGGTCTGGTGAGACCTGACTTTGTGAGGTCAGGGAAGCCCTACCATTCTTGCACTCTGCCCTCCATTGCTCTGGCTCAGCTCAAAGCGGAGCGCAGTGGCTGACCCTGTGTACTTTGGCAAGGCAGCACTGTTGTAATAGGCCAGGATGAGGTTTTTCTCAAGCCACTGTACAGTCCTCTGGGAGACTGTGGATGGCCCAACCTAGCTGAAAATTCACTTCCTCTTAAGACTTCATAAAGAAATTGTAAAATGTTCAATGACTGCCTTAGAGATTGGAAAGAATACAGCTGCTGTCAGGCCTGGAATACTCACCAAGGGAGGCTTTCCAAAAAGGGAAGAGTTCCTAGGTTAATGACAGGCAGTTAGCTCAGTAGTCTAGGGAAGAAGCCAAGCTGGGTGGAGGCAGTTAGTCAGGATGGGTAATATGGATTCTCCGTTTCTACTGACAACAGTGCCAGAGAAAGCGCCCTTAAACTGCAGCATGCAGATTTAGAGAAACTTTAAGAAACAGTCTGAGCTGCTGGCATGCAATGGCCTAGGCTTAAAGGAAGACATGGACAGCAGCTCCAGAGTGGATCTTTGACAGCTTGAGGGCTAGATGTATATACCTGGTGTGGAATGCAAAGACCATTCTCCAATATAACATTTGGTACCTCCGATCAAGAAGGGGCCTTGGATGGGTCAGGCCATGGTGCCCAGTCAGAAAAGACTTCTTTTTATCAATCCTTGGGATAGAAAAAAGAAAAATCCCTTTCTGCTTGAGGAGACTAAAGGAATAATAAACTAAATGATCGGCAAAATTGCTTTCATCTCAAGGAGTTGCTGAATATCAGCACCTGCTCAAATAGGGTGCACTTAATACATGAACCTGACCTAAGAAACTGAAAATGCTCTCTCCCAGCATTGCTTTGTCCTTCTACATAGGGGAGCAGCTTCAGCAAGAGCTAAAGATGAGGTTTCTTCTTGGACACACAGAGTATCAGGCATCTTCAGGTTGTTCTGATCATTACTCCACAAAAATCTCTGTACTGGCTTCCCAGCCTATGTTCCCTCTATCCATTTTCTCATTCATTTATTCCCTCATCCCTGACCTTCCAAATCATTCTCTCTGCCATCTCTCTCTTTAGAGTGCAGTAGTTTCTGCTTATCCTCAGTTTCCCTGTCTATGGTTTCAGTTATGTGCAATCAACCTCAGTCTGAAAATATTAAATGGAAAATTCCAAAAAATATACAATTCATAAATTTTTAAATGCATGCCCTTCTGAGTAGAGTGATGAAATCTTGCATCATCTGAGATGTGCAAGATCTGTCCCACCTGAGATGTGAATTATCCCTTTGTCCAGCATATCCGTGCTGTAGATGTTACCTGCGCATTAGTCACTTAGTAGCCATCTCAATTATCACACCCAAGAAACAGAGTATACACAGGCATACCTTGTTTTATTGCCTTTCGCTTTATTGTGCTTTGCAAATAGTATGTTTTTCAAAAATTTAAGGTTTGCAGCAACCCTGTGTCGAACAAGTCTATCAGTGCCATTTTTCCAACAGCATGTGCTCACTTCGTGTCTCTGTGTCAGCCTTTTTTAGCAACAAAGTATTTTTTAATTAAGGTATCTACATTGTTGTTTTAGACACAATGCTATTGTACACTTAATAGACTACAGTATAGTGTAAACATAACTTTTATATGCACTGGGAAACCAAAAAAATATGTGTGACTTGCTTTATTGCAGTATTCACTTTATTGAGATGGTCTGGAACCAAAGCTGCAATATCTTTGAGATATCCCTGTATAGGGCTTGGTACTGTCTGTGGTTTTAGGGATTCTTGGAACATATCCTCTGAGTATAAGGGGGACTACCATGGGTATATATTTCTAACTATATGTGACAGTTATGTGCATTAATCAGAATAATGTTATGCTATGTTACAATAACAAACAGACTGTAATCTCAGTGACGAGGCACAACTAAAGTTTCTTTCATATACACATAAAATCTGATGAGTGTCATCAGGGGTCTCTCCTCCAATTTTGGCAATTCCAGGCTCCAGGCTCTTTCCATTTTATGATGGCACCATTTCAACATGAGGCCCCAAGTTCTCTGTAGTAGGGGGAGAGAGGGCTAAAGACTCCTGTGAGATATTTTAAGGGCCAGGCTAGGAAGTAGCTTGTGTCATTTATTCCAAATCCCATTGGCAAGAATGTAGTCACATGGCACCCATATAATTGCAAGGAAGGGTGGGAAATGTAACTTTTCTATGCAAGCAGAAAGAGGAAGAAAACAAGACTTGATGAACACATAACATTGTCTCTTCCAGTGTGTGTCTGTGGTGCCGTGCCTCCTTTTCCATCTTGGTGTCAGTCCCTTGAGGAAGCTCGTTACCTCCCAACCCATACACAGCAAAGTATGGGTGTAACAAGGTGTTAGTGAACATGAACATGAACATTATCCCTGAGCTAAACTAATTAATAGGTAGAGCATGGCACCACCAAGGCCACAGTAGCATGTGAAACTAATCTGTGCCTCACTCTTTAACAGTAAAATGAAGATGTAATGCTTATCTTGCACTGTTGTCAGCATTAGAAATACCACATGCCAGACACAGATAGAAAAGGGACACCACAGTAAAAGGCTTCACTTTGCCCCATGAAGATTCATGGTTTACAGGGTGGTTCCAGAAGCATTCAGGCTGGCTTCCTCAAGATCTGAAGATGGCTGCCTGACTGTCACTATCAGTTTGGGTGTATATATTTCACTTTTCTGAAGAAACTGGCCTGTTTTTTCTTACATCTAGCTGGGGAGACTATCCAACTCTGCCCAGAAGGGCAGTAAGAGCTTCATTATATAGCTATAGAACTGTTTTAAAGAACTGCAATAGCTACCAGTTATTGAATGTTTGCTATGTGCTAACTACATTATATTATTCTCTAATCTGCATCAAAACTCTCCAAACTTTACAAATGGAAAAACTGAAGCTCAGAAAAGTCAAGAAAATTGCTCAAGATGGCACAGCTAATAAGCAACAGTGCAGGGCATGGATTCAGATCTGTATGGCCTCTAGTGCCCCTATGGGGGTATAGAGTGAGGGGAAAGGAGTGCTTGGAAGAGTGGCCACTTCTGTTTCAACTACATTTTTCCCTTCCTCTACTTCAGCTCCTTCCTCTGTTTGAACTTCCCTTCTGTCCACTCCTCCTTGTCTTAAGAGTGCAGCTCCAACAATATCTGACAAAGGACGGCAATTCAGTTTCGAAGCCACCTCCACACCATAGAAACATCCACTCAAAGAGGGTTTCTGGGCCCAAAGCAATCTTGTCTGTCTTAAATGGACACATTGGTCTATTAGAAAAATAGAATATAGCTGGAGACCATGACAATTAGTGAAGTGCCCTTGAGTTCTCAGCCCACAACCCCCAGCATGAAGCACTCTTTCAGTGATATCATGCACAGCTGAAAGGGAAACAGGCTTGAACTGACCTTGCTGAGCTTGTAATGTGGGATGAGAAGAGGAAGAACAAGGTAAGGAGGACTCTGCCACCAATCCAGCAGGGACCAGATAAGAATCATGCTGGTAAACAAGGAATGGGTTGCCAATGAAGCCTCCGTCAGCCCCAAATGAACTAAAGAAATTAACTAAGACCAGCTTGCGACAGGGGTGGGGTGGAGTGGAGAGGATGTCAGAGCTACATGGGCCTTCAGATAAGCCTAGTCCAATTCTGTCATTACACAAGTGTGGAAACCAAGGTTCAGGGAAAGGAGAAAACTTGCCAGAAATCACGCTAGTGTCAGAACCAGGACTGGAACTTGGGTATTTGGACTCTAAGTGGAAGGCTCTTTTAATCTTGTCAATACATATTGCAGGCAACTAGTATTAGAAAAAGAAAGGGTGTCCTAAGTGTGTGTGTGTGTGTGTGTGTGTCTTTGGAGAGGTGGGGAAGGGACCACACTGTGGAAAGTCTTCTGGTGCTACCTTGCTCTATCCAGGAGCTATACCAGATTATTGCTGGGGAACCATCAATTTGTCTGCCCACAAGATATTTGTGCTTTTAGCATATCCCCCTGTCTCAGAATGACAGTGGAAAGAATGATCCTTCCATCTTCTTGCCTTCTTGTTCCAGAAGCTTCCTACCTTACACCTTTACATCTGATTATTCTTCTGGGAAACTAACCAATGTCACCCCAGACCAGCCAGTAGGTGCCTCCATAAAATTGAGATTGTTAGCTCTCATGTAGACCAGAACTTCCCAAAAGCCAATGTGTGTACCAGTTCCAGTTTGTGACGGTGTTTCCACAGGAATTAGGACAATGCAGTGAGTTTTTTATGAATTAAATTTACTCTAAATCTATTTTGTCCTTTCTACATCTTTGGAGTTCAAATGTCATTTTTAATTGAAATGATAGAGATTTTCACTTGTACAGGTTTTTTTGTCTGTTTTTTTTTTTCACAAAATAAATGCCAGTCACCCTATATGACTCCCAAATTACATGATTTTTACTCTTCTACAAAACTCTAAACTCTGAGGACAATATATCTGCCCCCTCTCTGGGCCTTATTATCTCTACTTGCTGCTTATTTTCTCAACTTTGCTTCCTGTCCTGAAAGGTAAATGCAAAGCACACAGCCAGTGAGGTGTTAGTGATGATAATGCTAATCACTGCTCTATCAAATGCTTAATGAAGTGCCTAGGGGAAGGCACACACGTCATGCATGTTTGTTAACGGAATTAGGGGCAGCCACAGTATTATTAATAAACTAATTGCCTCGTTATGTGACATGCACACACCCCTCAGGCTCATCCACCTAGTCATTGGCACTATTAAAAGAAATAATGTGTTCCACTGGGGACACCCCAAGGGAATTTCAATGGTAAGCCTGGGGGTGGGGGAGGTTAGAAAGGTGCTCAAGTATATCAAAACATCATGCTATATACCTTAAATATATACAATTTCAATAAATTTTTTAAAAGAAAGTTGATTAGGGTTTTTATGACCATTGTCATGCTCCCACCTTAACATTCTAGTTTGTATAAAAAATCATCTCTTTTCATGTTAGAGCTGGAAAGCAAGACAAATGCAAAACCCTTAGAACTGGAACATGAAAGCTGCAAGGCAAAAAGACCATTCCCATGACCCAAAGCCACTTGATCTCTGAAAAGCCAGTGGCAGCCACAGAAAAGAATGAATAATATGCCCTTGGTCTGATGAGATACTGGTATGTGTTTGACTATATGATTTTTGGTCCCTTCCAGCTCTGCCATTCTGTGGGTTTATGCATTATAGGCTGCCTATTACAGTGATCTTTGATCTTTAAACCTTCTGATTAGACTAAGTCCTCCCTGAGCAAAGCAGCATGTTTCTTAAACCAGTGAGTTTTACAGCTTCCTGAGTTCTAAAAACCCTAAATATAACACTACTGGGTTGGTTGGTGATTATCCAGTTTGGAAAAAGAGTGTGGCATTCCAGCAAGAAACATATCCCACTGTGTATCAATTTTAAAGTAGAATGGAAAAGCTAAGATTCTTAACTTCCTTGGGTCCTTGGTAAAATAAAATGAGGAGTGAATGAGTAAAGGCATGCAAGCATGCTAAAAATCTGACTCTATTGACCCTGGTTCTAAGAAGCAGAAAACAGGGAGTGAAACTCCTGGCTTCCACTAGCCTTTCAGTTCTTTTTCTTATTGCTGGGGTTTCCATTGTCTTTATCACAAGCCAAATATCTAACCTCCACTCTTGCGGTACTTCTTCATTGGCAACCCAAGGAGGACAACGTATGTCATAGCTTATGACACTTGTGAGGAGATGACTCACAGGTCTTAGGGAACAGAGGACTCTTTAAGTGTGCCTTTTTCTCTCTTCTTTATTCACAAAGCAGCCTCAGCCTCTACCCACCACTACCCCACCACCTTTAACGCTCAAGATCCTTCTTGCAGCATGGAGTACTCAGTCTCACTGGGGGCATTAGCCAATGGCTGTGAAGTCAATTCATTTGAAACTTTGGGGAAAAGCAGATTTGTTTTCATATTTCATCAAAGTGATAGGGACAGGAGGTAGAGAAATTCTAGACAGAAAAGGGAGGGGTCCCTGGTGAAGCCCCACCATCAAGCCTGGAACCACGGCCCAAAGTGAGAACATCCCCATTTTCCTGATCTAATGTTGCTTTTTCCAAAACCATCCATAGCCCACCCTGCCCCACATCCCATACCCATAAAAACCCCTGACCCAACTGGCAGAGGGCAGAGAAGGAGAGAAGAGAAACAACAGCCATGTCAGAGAGAAGCAGCTTGACTTCAGAGGGATGGAATGACAACAGGACTTCCAGGGGAAGATCACCTTCCCACTCCATCCCTCTTCCAGCTCCCCTTCCCACTGAGAGCCACTTTCTTTGGCAATAAAGTCCTCCACACCACCCTTCAATTTGTTCATGCAACCTCATTTCTCCTGGACACTGGACAAGGACTCGGGTGCGGGTGCAAAAGGCTGTCACACTGACCATTCGCTGAGCTGTTAGCACTTCAGCCATCCACAGATGGCAAAGCTAAAAAAGCACACTGTAACACATGCCCTCTGGGTCTTCAGGGATCACGGGTACCACCCCAGATGCTGCCACAGGACCACACAGAGTTTTGCTCCTGCCAGTGCCCAAAAGCATTCACTCCAGTTCCTGCACCCACTCACCTGTGTGCTCCCATCCCATGAGGGGTCGAGAGCTGCTGCAGACAAATAAGTGAGGCACCCCTAACATGAGGCCCACAAAGGAGTCAAGGAAAATTTCCTGTTTCAAAACTAACTATTCCAGCCTGTGATCCCTAAAGGCATGCACAGGTGATGGATGTTGTTTAGCTGTATTGGATTTGGGCTCGAGGCAGGTAGATACCCACAAGGACACCGAGATATCTGATGACTTCTGATTACTTGTTCAGTGTATATCCATGGCAAGCCAGAGGAGGGTAGAACAGGATTCTAGGAAAGAGGCCAACTACTTCCATGAGCCTCGTGGTCCCCGGCCATTTGAGAGACTGATGATCGACCAAATTTTGAAGGACTAAGGGGCCTCTAGCTTGGTTCATGAGGTAGCTGAACTCAATGGATCATTAGCCTGAGTCCCTGCCTCAAATATGTAGCTCATTTCCAGGACCAGCACAAGTTTTGGCAAACAGAATCAGTTAAGATTCTGGCTTCATTTAGACTGGCTTTTTGACCTTTAGGCACACTCTGCCAGGGAGTGAGATTGGCTAGGTCCATTGTCAGGTAATTTATTTGCTTTTTGTCCCCAGGGGTTCATCTTAGTTTGAGAATATGAAAAGATAACATGATGTTACATGGGGTTAAACCAGTGAAAATGGTTACTGTTTTAATAAGGTTATCACAGAAATCATTCTCTATTAAGGTGATATTTGAGCAGAGGCCTTAAAGAAGGGGTGAGTAAATTAAGTGAAGGCAAAGGATTTCAGACAGAAGGAATGGCATATGCAAAGACTGAGGCAGGAGTATGTGTGGTATCTTTGAGGAATAGCAAAGGAAGCCAGTGAGCATTTTTCAGTGTCATCCATGTGCATCCTATTGTATTTGGAAGCAGACAACTCTCTTCCACCTTAGTTTGCTGCTCATGCTCTCTCACAACATGGGTGGGTTTATGGGTAATGTGACCCATGGTCTTCAAGACAGTGTGGCTGAGTTGTTCAGTCAAGGCAGAGCTGGGCTTTCCAAACACAGAGCAGATCTTTAACCCTGGAGTCTCAGCGGCATCATTAATCAAGGACTGAAATTTACTGGACTGTGTATCAATTCCATTCACATTTAATATTAAGATTATTTTGAAGATTTTGTTAGTTTGGGTTCAATCACTTTAGAAAATACACAACATTTGTTCCTGTTTGAATCAATTCACTGTATGTTAAGAAAAAAAAACCAACAATAGCAAACACTGGTTCAGGTCACAGTTCAGTAAGAATATTCAGCTTCAGTTGATCTGGGGTTTAGCGATAGAATGTGGCTACTTCCCATAGTTTGGTACCTGGTTGGGTTCCATTCAAATTCGAGTCAATATTCAATATCCACCAGAGACCCCTCTGTAGTAGACAAAGGTAGACATTCTTGAAGCACTGATGGTATCAGTGATGTGAAACTTTTATTAAAAAATGATTCAATAGATAGTTTTCCTTCTGTCAAATGTTTTGAAACAAAACTTCTTTAAAAGGCTGAAACTCTAGTTAACAAAAATGTTTGGTTTTGTTTATTTCATTTTAAAATTTGAGAGAACTTATTTCCACCTACCAGGTCAGACAAAACCAAGAGAGTAGACGCTCTGACTCTGTTTGATGAACATGCTTGCCACGCCCCCACCCTTTGACGTTCTCCAGCAGCTGCCTCATCCATCAAGTATTTGTTGAGCCAGGCCTCAAAGCTAGGAAACTGTTCCCTCAAGTGCAAAATAAATTCAGCATTCTAAATAGTCCAATGCCTTGCAAAGTCTGCAGTGAAAAATGTTATTTTGGTCTCCTTGGATAATTTCACATCATTTGAGTATAGTAGAATGAGAATGGGCCTTGGAATAAAGATGGGTCTGGGTTTGATTTTGCTGGTCACTTATCACCTCTGTGGCCTTGAGCAATTTGCTTAACTCCTCTGAGCCTTAGTTTTTTCCTTTGTAGATTGGTGTTGATAATAATACGTGACTCCCTGGGTTGTTGTGAAGATTAGAAATCACACATGTAGTTTTTGCCACATAGTAGGAATCTAGTGACAGCTGTAATCATGATGATGATATTTTCTGCTAAAGGGAATAGATTAGCAATTTCCTGATTTGAAACTGACATGTTAACTGGCTCTTAAATTAATGGTGCCTGGAGTTAATAGCTATACAACAAGGATGATGAGCTTAAAAGGAAGTAAAGATTTGGAAATTCCACAGTTATTTGATTTCTCATAGATAATCCAGATAATTTCAGCACCCAAACTGCAAATAAAAACCCACTTTGGAGACAATTTATCTGGTTTGGCTGTTTCTCTGGATCTGATTAAGAAGGTATTCGTCAGATCTCCTTGCCATATGTGTCAACCTTGCCTTGATTCCTTGGCTCTGACATGGGATTGGAAGAGAAGCAGAAAAGAAACTCCAAGTCTTGCCCATCTGGCACTACCTCTTTGACACTGTGATTTAAAATAAGACTGGAGAAACTTCCAAGCACATGCCAAGGACTGCCAGGCTATATGAATACCCAGCTGGTCTTCATATAGCATGGAAGGATGCAGATTAGCCAATGAGTTACTCCAGTGAATAACACCTTGGACAGAATCTAGAAGATAGCCTATTCCAAATTATCTCATTGCAGTCAGTTAGGTGGATGGTCTATTAGGCCTCTGGTTAGTAGTCTGTCTCGCTGGTTAGCATTCCATGTATTAAATTATCCTTCTGAAACCTAAGCTTATCTCTATGTAACTGACCAGAGAGAGAAACAGGTAGAACAGGTCAGAACTAAAGTTCTACTGAAGTTAATGTTTTCATTGCCTACAGCTGACTTTGAATACATTCAGTTTTCTCTTTCCCAAGATAGATGACACCACTCTGGTGAATGTCACAATTAAGTGAATTAGCACTCATTGATATAAATACAACATGGAATTTTAAAATCAGTTAACCTAATACAATGAAAGCATTATTTAAAAAAGTTAATCTGAAAAGCTGTTATCGAGTAGATCTGGCAGTTCTTAGTAGACACTTGTACTAATTGTGACTTTTCACAGTCAAAAGATTTGGGTCAGAGGAAAAGGAAACTAGTTGGTCGATATGTGATCCTAAAGCTGATCCATAGATTGGCAATTTCACACCTTTCTCCCATGGGGGAGGAGAAAGCTGAATAAATATATTATTCACATAAATAAGTGAATAATATGCTTACTTCCTTGTAAAGTCTAAAGACTAAGTCCATTTAGAAAATATACGTCAGGACATTCTTAAGAGCGTAGACCAAATAATGAAAAGTTGAGGTCTTTCCTTTCTACTGATGTGATATAACTAACCAACTAAGCTCGTCCAAAAAATAGTCTGTGTGGATTTTTCAATCGAAGCCAAAGAGGAAGAGATAAAATGCAAGATCAAGGAGCAGACTACAAATGATACTGTCACATGAAGACCTAATTAGTCACTAATGATTCATCAGTTTCATAATGGAAACGGTTTGGAATATATGGAACTGAAATACAGAAGTTATTAAGGACACTTGGTGCATTTTCAATAGTGGACACTCTGCTGACAGCCAGAGTTGGAATTTAACTATGCACCTGAAACAGGGAGAAAGGAAGTTCTAGTCCCAGCTCTGCCACTAGCAAGCTGTGCAAACTTTGAAAGGGTACTTTCTTTTCTGGGATTAGTTTCCCAGTCTGTGAAATAAGAAGGTTGAAACAAATGATCTTTGAAATCCCTTCCAGCTTTGAAATTCTATGACTCTATTTATTGGGACCATAAAAAGGAATGACAAGGTACAAAAACTGAATATTTGAAGGCCTATCAGCAGGACATTTTGGTAAATGACATTTTGTCATCAACCACCAAGAATTTCTGTCTGTTAGCCAGAATTCTTGTCAATTGAGAAGAATGGTGTGATTAGTTATTGAAATGTTTACATTTGGCCTTATAATTTGGGGTTGCATTTTTATTTGAAAAGGTGCTCCTAATGCTTCAGGACTTCACACCATAAACCAGAGATAGCCATGTATCACTTAACAATGGAAATACATTATAAGAAAAGCATCGTTAGACAATTTCATCATGTAAACATCATGGGGTGTACTTCCACAACTTTTGATGGTATAGCCTACTACACACCTAGGCTATAATGTATAGCCTATTGCACCTAGGCTACAAAACTGTACAGCATGTTACTGTACTGAATACTGTAGTCAAATGTAACAATGGTAAATGCAGTTGACTCTTGAACAATGTGGGGGTTAGAGGCACTGACCTCCAATGCAGTCGAAAATCCACAAATAATTTTGACTTGCCAGAAAATTAACTACTAATAATCTACTGTTGACCAGAAGCCTTACTGAAACATAAATGGTCATATATACACCGATTATGTATCCACAAACATTTAAAAAAGATTAAAACAGCCAATTAACACTTATTTTGTATGTTATATGTATTATATACTTTACTATTACTATAAAGTAAGCTAGAGAAAAGAAAATGTTATTAATAAAATCATAAGAAAGAGAAAATATATTTACTATTTATTAAGTGCCCTTGGATTATCATAGAGGTCTTCATCCTCCTTGTCTTCACATTGAACAGGCTCAGGAGGAGGAGGAAGAGGAAAGGGTTGGTCTTGCTGTCTCAGAGGTGGCAGAGGCAGAAGAGGTGGAGGAGGTGGAAGGGGAGGCAGGAGAGGCAGGAACACTCAGTGTAACTTTTATTGAAAAAATCCACATATAAATAGACCCATGCAGTTCAAACCCATGTTGTTCCAGGTTCCAATGCATTTGTGTATCCAAACATAGAAAAGGTACAGTAAAAATGTGGTACTATAATCTTACGGGACCACAATCGTATATGTGGACAGTCTTTAACCAAGTCATTCTTCTGCGGCACATGACTGTATTGAAGCTGCACTGTAGAGGGCAGATTTAGGAAGCATTGGGAAGTCCAGCCAGCCCCTCCTTGTTCCCTCTCTGCATGCCGAAGATGGCACTCTTAGAATGATTTATACCAACAGTCTAAAAGAAGTCCCAATCTTCCCACCAGGCTTGCTATCTTTTCTAACCACATTTAACATAAGGTTTTGCCATAATTAACTATTTGTTTCCAAATATATTTATATTTCTAATTCTTGTGGGAAAGCCTAGTTTATAAATTGGAGTTAAAAAAGAATTTGTGTTAATAACAAAACAGGCTTGAAATTGAGTGATTCTGATAATTCATCTGTCCAAAGAATAGACTAAACTTCTATGACAGTGTGATGGGGAGAAAGTTACAAATGTATTTATGTTCACAGCCTTTTCCCTGCCCGAGTGCATCAAGGAGAGTTTGGTTTTTGTTTTTTCAGATTCTCACAATTCCAACCACTCTCTCCTATTATTGGCAAATTTGATTCTTTACCTCTTGGGTGCAGAATCAAGAAGAGAAAAAAAGAACACATGAGAGGTAGGGGGAAAAGATTTAAGCTACAATCTAAGTCAATATGCATAATAAAGTGCTCAGAGAGGGGAGTATTGAGAAAAGTAATTGTTCAATCTGAAAGTACAGGAAAAGTTGGAGGGTGGCAATGAATTGAAGAGAGAGGCACTAGAAACCCCTGGAATATGATGCAAAAAAAAAAAAGAGAGAGAGAGAGGAAAGGAGATTTTAATGAGTTCTCCAAGATTTTTGCTTAATGCGAGAATTTAAATTGTTTTAAAATTACTTTTGGTTGCTAGACTATGTCTTTGATCAAGGCACTACTCTGATACTCATTGAGAAGGGTCCTTACTCCATAAAAGTTTTATTAATTTCATAAATTCATCTCTCTGTGAAGTTGAGTGCCTTGCCCCTGTAGACATGCAATGACACTTCATAGCAGATCTGGCAAATTGGCTTTTCCCAATAGCTAATCACCAAAGCCAGCATGTAATTGGCAGAGACCACACATTCTCCTTGAGGCAACCTTCAGGGAATTTGACAATAAATTTTCTGTGACCCAAGAGGATAACTTGATACAGAAGACACTTGAGAGCTGATAAGGGTCATGTTAACTGTCTATTCTTGTAGGTTCTCTGTGCCAGGTCCCTATAGTAAGACAGATCAACAGAAAACAACTTACTGGAGCCATAATACCTTAGCTTTCTGGGTGGGGGAGACCCTTAATGGCTTAAGATTTGACATTTTACAGCCTTTTATTCCTTTTTGAAGAGGAAGAAAAGATATTTCCATTTGAAGATTGTGTCTATATCTTTTATAAAACCAAGTTGTCCATTATAATAAACAATATCTATTATACAGGATTCACATGATAAATTCCTCCTGGAATTCAGTGGCAGGAAAAAGAAATCTCTCTAGGCAGATGATCGCACAGGCATGTTGCTGTTGTTGTTGTTGTTTTGGTTTTTTTTTTTACTTGACAGAGAACCATGCAACTCAATTTTGTTGTTTTCTTCCCTTTTTGCTTTAACTACCAAGAAACTCAGAGTGAGATTTAGTGGGCAAATACGGTGATTTATAATGGGACTGTCTTAAGCTTCTAGTTATGTTTCTTATAACTTTTTCTGGTTTGGGGTTTGAACTGACCTGTTTTCACGTGTTCTTAACACTTGAAAACCACTTAGGTCTGTTTTAAGAAGGTGTGTCAAGGAATCGTAGAACCAAAAACTCTCAGAGTGGGAATAGAACTTGAAATATCATTTATCCTAACTCCCATACAATGCACAAAATATCTACTCTGTTCCCATTACACCATCATTTAACTTCTGTTTGAATATCTCTAATGACAGAGAACTCACCATCTCTCAGACTCTAACATTCATTTTCAGATATCTCTGACTACTAGAAAGTTCTGCCTTATGTTGATTTTATGTCTCCAGCTTCCATCATTTGATTCAGATTCTGTCTTCTGAAGCAACATAAAACCTGTTCTCCATAGTATCCCTTCATATCTATTAAGAGAGCTATCTTGCCCTTCCTTTGTCCCTTAGTGTCCATTTCTCTTGGCTAAGTATTACAATTCATTAAATTGACTACCCTCAATGCCACAAGTTAAAACCATAGTAAACAATAACTAGATTCTTTTCAATGCACAAATGAGGAATGTTTTCGCTATCAAAGGTTACCGGTCCTCAAGAAAAAAAGTTAACCAATTATGACATACTAAAAATGTGACTTAATTTAGCTCTTTAGTATTTTATGAAGGAAATATAAAAACACTCGAACACTTTTCAGATACAGAGCAAGGTATCTAACCTCTAATAAACACAAGAAATACAAAATATACTTTGTTTTTAAATAATAGCTATGAAGTTAGATATATATGAGTATATATGTATATATATACGAGTATATATATATACTCGTATATATGTATATATATACGAGTATATATATATACTCGTATATATGTATATATATACTCGTATATATATACTCATATATATACTCGTATATATGTATATACGAGTATATATATACTCATATATATGTATATACGAGTATATATATACTCATATATATACTCGTATATATGTATATACGAGTATATATATACTCATATATATACTCGTATATATGTATATACGAGTATATATATACTCATATATATACTCGTATATATGTATATACGAGTATATATATACTCATATATATACTCGTATATATGTATATACGAGTATATATATACTCATATATATGTATATACGAGTATATATATACTCATATATATGTATATACGAGTATATATATACTCATATATATGCTCATATATATGTATATATACATATATACATATATATGTGAGTATATATATACTCACATATATATACTCATATATATGTATATATATACATATATACTCATATATATGTGAGTGTATATATACTCACATATATATATGAGTATATATATATACTCACATATATATATGAGTATATATATATACTCACATATATATGAGTATATATATATACTCACATATATATGTGAGTATATATATACTCACATGTATATATGTAACTTCATAGCTATTATTTAAAAACAAAGTATGTTTTGTATTTCTTGTGTTTATTAGAGGTTAGATACCTTGCTCTTTATCTGAAAAGTGTTCGAGTGCTTTTATATTTCCTTCATAAAATACTAAAGAGCTAAATTAAGTCACATTTGTAGTATGTCATAATATATATATAGTATGTCTCATATATATATAGTATGTCTCATATATATATAGTATGTCTCATATATATATATAGTATGTCTCATATATATATATAGTATGTCATATATATATTTATAAAAATATATATATATATCTCCACAGGTGGTATGAGAGAGGGTGATAGTAGATAGACAGATGGGAACACAATAAAAACGTTAAATAACAAAAGAAGGGGTAAAAGTGCACAGAAAAAAGATACATACACAGAAAGACATGGAAATATTCATTTATTTATTTAACATATATTTATTGAGTGCCTGTCATATGCATCAGGCACTGTGCAGAGTACAAAGATGAATTAAACATAGTTCCTGCCTTCAAGAATCTTGTAAATTTTTTTTAAATCTAGGTCAAATATAGTTGCGACAAGAAGACAAGTAAACAACCATAAAATAAGTTAATGTTACATAACCATCAAAGAAGTATAGGTAGGAATTTAGAAATGGAGACATATGATTATAGTGAACAAGGAAGGCTTTTGATGAAAAGAGATATTTGACTAGACTTTGAAGAATGGGTAGAATTTGGACATGTGGTGGTAGGAGACAGAGAAGGAATTTTAGGTAGAAGAAACAGCATGATTAATGGCATAAAATCAGAAAATGTCAAAGGAAAGAGCTAATAATAGATTTTGACTAGAGAATAAATTGCAAGAAGAAGAGTAGAGAAAGCTAGGTTGGAAATTAACTAAGGAATTTATAAAACTAAAGGAACATTGAAGTTTCTGGAGCAGGAAAATTACAAGAGGTGAACTGTGATCCCAGAAAAATACACTTAAATACAGAAAAGATACATACAGAAGGAAAAAAGTTATTTCTCTGGAGTCGCATAATCATCTTATGATATGGTTTGGAACACTGTTACTAAAAACCATTAAAATAGTGTTGTACTTTCTAATTATAAGCCTAAGTGGGGGTATTTTGTGTTAATGTTTGTCTTGTGGGGTCAGTGACTAAATCAACCCAAATCTGACCAATGAGGCAGGTTCTACAGTTTCACAACCATCCAGAAAATTTAATCTGACCTTAGATTGCTCCTGGACCAAGGGATGTCCCACAAAACAAGTTGGACTTATTTCTAAACCACATCAAAGATGTCCCAGTGAAGTTAAAATACTGCCACTAATAGTGAACCAAAGTGAGTATATAGGTTAATGGTCACCTCTACCCCCAGTCTCTCTTTGAAAGAGATTCATTATTGCTTGGCCTACAGCAAACCCAAACTAGCTCTATCAGCTAGTCCCTGAGAGGGCTCATTCTTATTACCAATGCTGCTTGAACAATTGTTTTTCCGATGATCTATCATTCCAGGAAGCCATGTCATGAGAAGTTCACCTGTGTCTATTCCCCATGATGAGCTCGATCACCCCTGAAGTAAAGCTCTTCTTTGGCTAGTCTATACCCAGTGGATACAAAATTGTACTCACAACTCAGGAAATTTCCTGTCTCTGGAGGAGAAAGTTGGTGTCGACAAGTAGTAATCAGATTCAGTTCTTATCTTGCTTTAAAGTTCGCAGATTTTGTTCTCCCCTGACTTCTCTCACTATAGGAGCTACCATTTGGATATTGGGCACATTGAAAATATTCTTGGTGTTCTCCAAAGTCAGGCATCTCCTCATGTATTTCTGAGACTTTAGTTCTATAGGACCTGGGTCCTGTGCTAAAAGCTACAAATGAATCCATAGGGCCAGGCAGAATTAGAGGTTTATTCTCCATCCACTTGGGCCAGATCATCTTAGATAGGGGCATATATGGATTAGATCCTGTCTGCATGGTAAAGCCGATTTAGTGATCAAGGAATCTGCTATCTTCCTTCTGTACTCTATTTCTTTCTGGATTGTGATGTCAGCAGTCACCTAGCTCAAAACACCCCAAACCAGAGTATTCCTGCCAAGCCCATGCTTGTACATACACAGTTAGGGATCTTACCCCCAGAATTTCTAAGAAGTATTCCTAAGGGTCAGAGGTTTTCCTTGATAATTCAGATCTATTTTTGACTTGGTAAAGCAAGTTCTTATTTACTAACTAGACGGTAACTTTAAAAGGATAGCTTCTCCTCTCAGAATCTTCATATTTTCCTTCATACTATAACAGGGTTGATAGTTTCCAAAGGCCCTGCCAGTTCTATGATTCTATGTGTATATTCATTTGCTTGGAATTAGTCACCTTTGAAAGCTCTTTAGTGGCATCTGGAGCCACTCTAATTTGTAGTGAGCCAAAGTGAATATATAGATTAATGGTCACTTCTGCTTCTCTCTTTGAAAGCAATTCATTATTGCTTGGCCTACAGCAAATCCAAACTAGAAAATAAGTAAGATTGCAGGGGTTTTACAAAGCATTCCAGGAGAAACACAAACAACACACAAATAACAGACATATAATGTCTTATAAAAGGTAAGTTGTGTCTATGTCTATGGTCTACTCGTCAATTATCTTGACCCGAGAAGAAGGCGTGGACCACAGAAGGGGTGAGAGAGAATTCTATTGCACAGACTCCACTATTTTAATGGGCTATAATCAACCAGTCAGATGGGAAATGCATTGATTAGGTACACCAGCTTTGGCTGGAGAAGAGGTTAAAGTAAAATGGTCAATCCCCTGTGGCCTTTTGGCTAATTAATGCTTACTTGATTCAATTGAGTGTTTAAGTTACATTCAATTATTTGATATCACATAGATGTGACCACCCAGTGCATGAAGTATTACTGTTTGGCTGTTTGCCACCTCCTACTCCTTGCAAGTTGATTCCAGTTGGATTAAGGACAAGAATGTAATTAAATGAGTAGTTTGGTAATAAAGTTGTTTATACTATGTCTAAGACAAGGTAGGAAAAATGAGAGTTCTTGCAACAATACTTCTTGTTAGAGTTGCTTTATGTAGTAAACCAAGTTATGGCCCTCTGATGAAGTAGATAGCCATCTGCTATCTCTTCCTGCTTCGCTATCCCAAGTGCAATGAAGAATGACTGGATCGCCTGGGCGATAGAGCGAGACTCTGTCTCAAAAAAAAAAAAAAAAAAAAAAAAAAGAATGACTGGATCACTGAAAGCTGCCCAAAATCTAAACAGATTCAACTTCTACCATCAAAAATATGAATAATATTGCCAACAATAAAATAAAATAAAAGCAAACTGGGTTAATTTCAGAATCAGCTGAGTTCAGGTATTCTTTGGCTAGGTAGATGCTATAATAACATGCAATAATCTATGAAGTGAAGCCAAACAGGGAAGATAGAATAAAGGATCTAAAGGAATTTTGAACAATCCTAACTTCCTGTGTGCCTTTCTGTGTTTTTCTAAATTTTCTACAATGAACATATATTGCTATTGAGGTCCGTAAGGGAAAAAAAATCTAAAGAAAAGGACTTATATAATTCCCCATGGGATGATCATTTTATTCAGTTATGTTGTAAAGTACAGTAAAACCTCAAATAAGCAAAACCTAACTTGCAGTTCTTTCAATTTGGCTTTGTTTTTCCAATAATTTATTTTTAAAAGATAAATCACAAGAAAACAAGCAGATATGAGGGATGTGATAAAACAAATTTAAATTTGTTTGAAAACTTTATTTAAATTGTTTTCTAAATATTTTATTTTATACAAGGAATATAAGGGTACTTAGGAAAACAACTGGGGAGAAATTTTTACTCCCTCTTAATGACCAACTCAAGCCAGTGTGCTAGTAGCAACAGACAAATAGAGAAATAATCAGTTGTATGTGAGAATCATGCTATACCTCACTAAATAAATCAAATAGTATATGAGAGTAGGGAATGGTTTTTCTTCTGATCAAATAATTAAAGCACTAAGAAAAACTGAAGAAAACTTAGTTTTGGTCAATGCAGAAGGCCTTAATGAAAAAGAATCTAAAAATGGATGGACTCATTTTACAAAGGGCCTCATGATAAAATCAAGCAAAGGATGATGTGATCATAAACAAGACAGAATTAGTAGGCTTGACAAGATAAACTTGGTTGACATGCTGGACTAGAGAAATACTAAGGAGGGAAATAGGGGATAGGATCAGATACAGAGTTAGGAATCACTCTCAGTGGGTTTTGTTGCTTAATAAAAGATTTTGGCTGAGCACTGTTCATTTTGCAGGCCCACCCTGGAGCTATAGGTCCTAGGGCTAAATAACTGAACTGTGTTTGGGAGAATACAAATTCATGGAGGCTCTGGAGCTGCAGCCCCACTCCCACTCCCTTGCCCTCAATTATCCTTCCATATGTATTCTGCAGGACAGTGCTACCATCTCTGGAAGAAGTGAAGCTTTTTTATTGCCTCACCAAGAAAAGATTCAAATCTTGGAGCCCTTTGCCCTAGAGCGAGAGAAAGAGAAAACAGTAAGCATGCCTTACATATCCTAGGCCTTTCACAGGATTTCAATACGAATAATTCCAAGCCCCCGCGCCACTACTATATTCCATAAACAGCTTGCAAATTCCTCAACTTTCCTGGATTGTTAAACAAATAAACATTATCACATTTGTCACCCAAACTTCTAGTTAGGTCTTAAAAGCTCAGCTTTTGACTGAGACCTTGTTAAAAATAGAGGATGATATTTTATGTGTCCTTCTCTGGCATGTCTGGAAAAAGGAGTTAGAAACTCTGCTCAAGGAAGTTGAAAGGCAACTTAAGCCTTTTCTGCATCCTCTTAAACAGCTTTGGCATAGCAAGTAGACCACCTGAGGCTGGCAGAAGTTGGATTCTGTTAAGAGATAAGTAGTCCAAGGGCCTTTGACTGAAGGTTGAAGGAAAACTGCTGGGAAGAACTTTTCACTCTAAGCTCAGATTCAGGGTGAGTTGATAGTGGAAAAATTAAATAATAGTGAGAAAGGTATCAAATTATACCTTAGGCATTTATTTCTTTAAAAGGGGTTGTACTAAAAAGAATTAACTGCTTTACTAGCTGATATGTTTGGGTTCAGCTGTTTTAATAAAGAGATTTTTTTAAATATAATAAACGAGAGGAAAAGCTTGCTTAACTATTTTAAACATGCCTGAGACTTAAGCCTTATTGCTTTGGTCCACGTGACTGTGGCAAGCCACTGCCAATAACCCCTTGAAAGTGGAATCTGGAAAACTAAAAGCATAAAGTAAAAACAAATGTTCAAAGGGATTTATTTTAGGAGAAGGGGTAGAGGGTTGAAAGGCAGGGTGGGCAGGAAAAGGGAGGGAAAATACAAAACTTTAAGGGAATCGCTCAGTTCAATCTATGATTTTTATATCTTTTACCCTGACAATATATCTTACATTTATTCTGTCATGTTTAGAATACTACCCTGAGTCCCAGTTAAATACTCATCTAGCAAGGACAATCCAATTATGTTGCCTAACTTAGGAAAAGAGACAGTGACAGTTTTGGAAAGATTTTGAAAAATGAGCAATAAGAAAACAAAGAAACTTCTTAGCCTTCAGTTATCCAAACAACACAATTAACCAGACTCTTCTCCCTCTTTCTTCCTTATGCATTCCAGCCAATTGAGGTCACAATAGACTGGGATTCAGATGTATGTTTGCTGGAAGGCTTTTTTTTTCCTGGAACTAATCTTATAGTATCTGAGTTATAAATTATGTTCATTAAATACTTTCTAGAGATTAAAACGAAATGAAAAAGAAAACATACTGCCTCCTACTTTTTTTCTGTGAAAATAGAGAGCTTCTCATCTTAATCCAAGTTGGGCCTGCTACTTTGGAATGACTAAACTTGGAGGTGGCTCTCTACTCTTCCATAAGGTTCACATCTATTGCAGTTTACATTCATACGGCCTTGCTAGTGATAGCTGGGTATTGAGCAAAACTTTTAAAAATTACTTCCCAAGGTCCTGCTCACACTGGAATTAGGTCATCCTCAGAGGTGTAGTCATTCACTAATTTCTTGCCCAGGCAGAACAATTTCTTGAACTGAAGTGAGCTTTCCCATTGCCTCACCAAGAGAAGATTCAAATCCTGGAGCCCTTTGCCCCTGGGCGAGAGAAAGAGAAAACAGTAACCATACCTTATATATCCTAGGCCTTTCACAGGATTTCAATATGAATGATTCCAAGCCCCACACCACTACTATATTCCATAAACAGCTTGCAAATTGCTCAACTTTCCTGGATTGTTAAACAAATAAACATTATTACATGTGTCAGGTTTGCAAAATTAGACATTGCCATTTACAAGGGTTTTACAAATTTAACAAAAAAGAGAGCATGTTAATATACAGGTGGTCTTCAACTTACTAATGAGGTATGTTCTACACATTTATAAATCAATGATTTGGAACTTGGAGTGGCTTCCTCCATAGTAACAGTGCTATATGTGTGGTGGTCAGGTTTCTAGCCAGTCCACAAAGGCTGATTTAACCCACATGGAGCAGAGTTATATTAAAGCTCTGGTGGGAGTCCTGGGTCCTGATAGCAGAAGGAAAATGTGCTTTCTCTCCATTCGTTGAGTCCAATAAAGACTCAAAAGGTTTAAAAGAGGTGGAATCTAAGCTAACTTTTCCACCTTCATACTTATTTTCACCCTTCTTCTATTTCCCAGGGATCCACTGCTTTTGTGTTATCCCAAGCCTGCCAGTGTGACCCTCTATTCTTCAAAACTGCCAACTTCCCCATTTCTCCTTGTCCTAATCAAAACGAAACTGCCAAGTCCTCCTGAACAGTTAGCTCAGTTCACCTTCATTATGATATGGGTGATTAATTGTTTCTCACCCTCAAAAAAGCACATCTATGATTAAAAGAGGGGGCTTGTCAGCCCAAAATTAACCTCAGTAGGTGAAATTTTATGGAAAGTAACCAGATGATACAAAAACCAGGTTTGAGAAGTAGTGGATATTTGGGGACACAAGATAAGAGTTATCAGGTGACGTGTAGGGCCCTGCTTCAGAGGCAGCCCCTGTAATCACTTCACCAAAGCTGTGCCCCCTTTCATAGCAGTTTTTCTTCCTCCCTGGCCAACCCCACAGGGCTCTCTTAAAGGTTTCAAGTTTTTCCTCAACATCTCTTATGATGGTGGCAGCAAGTCAGTGGCATTCATAGGTATCATAGGTCTTTTGTAAGTTGGGTCTATCCCAGTAAGTGTCAGCCTGTAAATTCACAGAAAGTTGGAAACATTCTGGAATAGGTGGTGTTAGCAAGTAACAGCAACAGAGGAGTGCTTGGACTTAGGACAAGCCTTCTGAAATTTGTCAGGGATGTACTTCTTGGGGATTTTTGTGATTTGTATAGGCCACCAAGGCCATGTGGTCAGTTAACATGCTGATTGAAGTACATGTGTTAATGAGGCCAGGACCAGGGATGGATTTCCTCTCTTGACCCAGTGGCTTCAATCTGTTCCATATATCTACAGTACACAGAAGCTGGCCCTCTGTCAAGGGGTTCCAGATGAGTGAATTTACAAATGACCTAAGCAACATGCATCTGCATGTCAGGAAAGCACTACCAATCACACAGCCAATGATGGTAAGTGAGTTGCAGTATTTTCTGCTGCAAACTCCAACACATTCTTAGGAATGGATGGATTCTTGTACAGTGCCTCCAATGCCACACTACCCTTCCAAAGGGATAAATCCTTCAAGAACTTCCAAACACTTTCCTACAGAGAGAGAGAGAGAGAGAGAGAGGCTAGAGAGTATGTGTCTGGATCTGTGTGTGTGTCTGTCTGTGTCAGAGGTTGTTCCTGTGTTTCCCTAATCACAGGAAAGAATGTTTCTGGAAATTGGAAGACTGTAGAACAAATCCTGGCCCCAGGTGTCAGTGAGTCAGAGGGTGATTCAGGAGGCTGCAGAAGAGCCACACACTCAATACAGAAGCCTTTGTGATGCATAAATGTTTACGACTAGTTCAGAGTACCTGTTATTGTTGTAGAAATGAAGATGCATTGGGGTTTCCTTAGGACAGAAACAGTCACAAAGAATCAACAAAGTCATCAGAGGCCAGTGGGAGAATATGAAAGTATGTGGATGCCTTTAGTAGTGGCTGCTAGAATTGTGATTATTTTGGGACATGTTAGAGAACAAGGGAGCAGGAGTATGTGGAGATGCCTTAATGTTTACCTTAGAATCTTGTGATTTCCAAGGATATGTGGAGGGAGCAAAGTGTTTCAGGGCCAAAGTTTCCATGGAAGAGAGAATAAGAAAGCAAGATTTAAAAAAAAAAAAAGCAAACACGATAAAGAAGAGAAGAGATACTGAAAAGAGCCCAAGAACACAATGGATTCCTCAGAGATAAATACCGATAAATATGTGGAGAGAATTCTTGATAATTAGATGGTTGTTGCTGCTTCAGAATTGTACCATCCTAGTAGGGGAGGAAGGATGGGAGAAATTGTCCTGAATACAAGCCAGGCAGTCAAAGAGTAGCCAGTCTTATTTTGGTTGGCAAAATTGATCCTTTGAAAGGGATCAGGCAGTGCCTCCGGAGGAAATGACATAAACATCCCCTCCAAGGTGGTCTTGTCAACAGATCCCAGGAATAGCCGGTAGTCCTACTGCTATTGCCTAGACAGATGTAAGTCTCTAAAGATCTGATGTGGCTCACCATGTGGCCCAGGTGCTCAACAATAAAAGAGACAGGTGTACCTGCCTGATAATTGGATAGCAAGGCCAGCTTTGTTAGCATTCAAATATGTTGTCAGGGCAAGAGGTAAGGGTCTCTCTCGGGCCAGGGCAGACAATTTCCCACAGGTGCAGCTCACCCTGCAGCAGGCCTCCCCACAACAAGGTTTTCACCCATTTTATTAGAGCTTGGAAATTCTCCAGCTCCATCACACTATGCCAACAGAGTATAGGCTGACACTGGCACGCATGCCAAAGGAAGCCCCAGATTTGAAAATTTGGCAAGCTGCTGTGCTCTGTTTTCCTCCTGGCCATTACCTTATGGCTTGTTTCTCACCAACTGCCTTTCTGCTTTTCTTCTTTGGAAGGCTGCAATCTCCACTGGTTGCAGGCCATGGCCCACTTGCCTGCAGGGCAGGGGAGACATCAAATAGGTAGTGAAGAAAGTGTGGCAGAGTATGGCATAGGAAGACTCCAATTAAATGTGAACTCCACTTACCCATCTTTGTCCACTGGTGGGGGCACAGGAAGGGGCTTCATGAAGCCTTTTTTCCCAATCAGCCAGAAGGTTTCCTCTGTGCCTTTGCCCTTATTATAGAAAACATAAAAAATCTTAAGCCTGCTATAATCAATTTTCCAAAAGAATATAAGCATTCAGGTTGGCTCAGAAATTGCCTCACCACTCCCTGGAGTCTTCCTCCCTACGGGGCTGAGCCAGAGCAGCCAGATGAAAAGTGAACACTATATCAAGCTGTCATCCAGATGTTTTGTCTACCGCCACCATACAGCTTCATCATTGGGAATGTGTGGATGTTTGGCTTGACAGCAACCAAATGTCTGGATGCTCAGTTGAAGATTTTGCTTATCATTTGTGCCCTGATCTTTTGGCATTAGGTAAGCCATTGTCTTCTGTATCTAGAGTACATATATTCAGATTCTACCTACCCGCTTACCGTCTCATTCAATGGCTCTCACCAAACCCAAAAAGAGAGTAGAAATGGAAAACAGGCTGTTAAATTTTAAGCCTAAATTATCCTGGCTATTTTGAGAGGTCTACATTTGTGCAGTGTTCTTTTCTTCCAGCCAAGGGACTCTTACAGGTAGGGTAAGACTCCAGGTTGGCCTCCATCTATAGGTCAGTTACTTGGTTGTCAAGAACCACAAGTCTCAGAAGAGAAAAGGAGTGTAAACTCAAGCTAGTCACCCCAGGGCCTGAGTGATGACCTCAGAGGAGTCAAATTTTCTGCCTCTGTTCTGCCTTTCTCTCTTTCCAGTAAACTTTCCTCTCAATGTGCTTCTCTCTCCTCCTTTCAATTCTCTTTCATCTGTTCTCTCATTTCCTCTAATCCATAAGAAAAAAATGTGTTTACCAAGACTGAGAAAAGTAATGGGATGTGTTTCCAACTCATTAATCTGAAATATGGTCTCACTCACAGCAGCTCTCATTTGGAGCAGTTCTGAATTGTTTAACTTAGAAATTCCAATTAGATTTACCCCTTTAAATATCAAGTCCACTGTTCCCTATTTTATATCACATATATTTATCCCTTAACAATAATGACAAAAACCATAATAATTAGCACATTTAATTGGAGAATCTCAAAGCATTTTGCAAATATTTGATTCAAGGCTTGAACAAGCCTTCTATGAGGCAAGTAGAAAGAGCATACCACTATAGTCCAACCTCCATTAACTGGCATCAGACTCTCCCTAAGCCTCAAATAGTTCAAATAATTGGACTATTTGAGCCCACTCTGTTTTCAGAAGAGGTAAGCAACTTGAAAATATATTCCATCACTCATTCTTTCATTTATTCCACTCCTCCTGTACTAGGGCTGGGAATACAGAGATGGTTCCATCCTTAAGGAACTCACAGTACAGTTAAACACAACCATTAGGCCATGTTATAGGTTCTAAACACATGAAGCCCAACTCCTCTGATTCCAAAGCTTTTTCTTTTTACACAGTACCTAGTGTAGTGTCTTATACAGACAGTTGCCCAGTAAATAATCAGACTGTTTCATTAATTGAAACTCTCAGCCCTTGTGCACTTGGAATACTCAAGACACCACTGGATCTTATTTTGGAAAAACATGCTATTAAAGTTCAAACTCAAGGGCCCCCCACCCTCAGCCATATTTGACTGTTTGTCTTGAGATCTAGAGGCTAACAGAACAGCATGCCAATCCCCAAGGGAGCTTTGTAGAGGGATTGTCCAAAGATTTGGGTGGGTCTTAGGACACACTGGGATGCCAAAACTAATGGTTGCAAAAGAGGATAGAAGTGTTATGGACTCAGGCAAGCTTCCAAATCAAAGAGTATGCAGGGGAGCTCCAGGGGCTCTCTGAGGTTTTGGAGTCCATCCAAAAGAATTCTTAGAATCCCAGTTCTCTGTTTACCTACCTGACTTCCACAATTTTGCTAAAGGGAGAAAAAGAGAGAAAACAAGTATGGCAACAACTAAAGCCTGAACCAAACTCTTTGACCCAATATCAATCCCCAAGCAGTCCTAGAGATCCCCCATATAAGAGCATCTTACTTTGGCATGATGCTTATGAGACATTTTGGTATCTCCTATCTTATTTAATCCTCACAAAAATCTGGAATGTAGGTTAATTATTAATCTCATTCTGCGAATGGGGACACTGAGATTCCTGGAGATTAAATGACTTGTCAATAAATAGGCACAGCTGGGACTTGAAACCAGCTCTACTAGACACCAAATTTTAAATGCTCTTCCTTCCATACCACAAAGCTTCTCCAACACACTGGAGTCAAAAGGCAGATCTAGAGGCCAAAAAGCAACTATTGGGAAATTTGAAGCTTGTGAGATTAATGAGCTTCCTGATAACCACAAGTCAGATGAGGCCTCTATGTGGACAAACGAAAGCACAGAGAGAGGGTGAAATTACTTGTCTGATGTCAGACATTAAGTCAGTGATGGGGCAAGAATTTGAGGCAAAACTTTCTGACCTTCATGGATCTGTCAGTACAATCTCACTATTTCTTAATTGCCTGTCTGTGTGCATGTGTGTGCTCATAGACATGCTCATACACACACTGCTTGTGTGTGTATGCTGGGGTTGGGATATGAGTGGGAAAGACTGGGGAAAATAAAACAAATACTAATACTTAGGAACCTGAGAACCAAATACTGTTTAACCCCAGAATTCAAAGACAAGTTCAGAAAGTGCCCACTTCTAGAATGTAAATTAGTACAGCCATTATGGAAAACAGCATGAAGATTCCTCCAAAAAGTTAAAGTAGAATTACCATATGATCTAGCAATTCCACTTCTGGGTATTTACTCAAAATATTGGAATCAGTCTGTCAAAAAGATATCTGCACTCCCATGTTCATTGCAGCACTAGGCACATTAGCCAAGTTATGGAATTAACCTGTTTATCAACAGATGAATGGATAAAAAAAATTTAGTGTATACATACAATGGAATACTATTCATCCTTTAAAAAGAAAGAAATTCTATCACTTGTGACAACATGAATGGAATTGAAGAATATTTGCTAAGTGAAATAAGCCAGGCACAGAAAGGCAAATACTGCATGTTTTCACTTATATTTGGAATCTAAAACAATTGAATTAATAGAAGCAGAGAGTAGAATGGTGGTTACAGAAGCCAAAGGTGGGTGAAATGAACAGATGATGGTGTAAGAACACAAAATCTGTTCAGTGAGGAAGAATATGTGTGATTTTTTCAGCTCTATTGCATATCATGGTGAATATAGTTAATAATGCTGTACATTTCAAAATCACTAAACGAATGCATTTCAAATGTTCTCACCACAAAAAAAAAATGTTAAGTATTTGAGGTGATGGCTATGTTAACTAGTTTGATTGAATTATTCCACATTGTATTAATAAATCATAACATCACTTTGTACCCCATAAAGTACACAATTATTAATTGTCAGTTTACAATAAAAAATTACAAAATATTTTTAAAGTGTCCACCTCTGGCAACAACATAAACTGGCTGAAGAGCAGTCATTTGAGAAAGTCTCCCCAGAATGTAAATCTACCTAAAAGTTTCTGGTAAATACAGCTGATAAGCCTAGATATATACAAAAATCTCAGCAAGGAGCCCCACACTTGTCAGAAAAATAGTGACTGAAACAGGACTCATGTACGAGAAAAGGTAATACAGTGATTTATCACTAGCCCACAAGGCGAGAAATATTGAAAAAGTAGAACTGGCCAGTTAGGCATTGATAATTTGTTGCCTGTATAGTACAAGAGGGGCTTGAAGTGGGCAATGGGCAGTGGGCCCAAGAGGCTGAGCTTCTCATCTCTAAATGAGTCCTCCCCCAAGCTACTTCAGCTTCCTCACTTTGGTCTCTTTCTTTGTAACCTCAACCCAGCCAATTACTCAACTGCCCTATGTTCTCCTCTCTCACCCAATTAATCCATGTTTTTGATTCCACTAAGGGAAATAACGTAAAGTGTCATCAACCTAGTGGAGGAGATGGCGTGGAGGGAAGAAGGTTCTTACTGGATATAAACCTTGAGCCCAAGAGAAAAGGCTTTAATGGAGGAATTTCAAACATCAGTCAGCTGGAAGGAAAAGACATTTCTAGCCATCAACTTTGAAATCACACCGGGCTCACCATCAAATGTGATATTTCTGCCCCATGTACTAGAGCAACTCTTGCTTCCAGTAGCACAGAGTGGATGAGGAGTGAAAATATTGAATCAGAATTTCTGAAGTGTGCTGGCGACATGGTCTTATTGGGGGTATATTGCATGTCCCTGGTGGACCAGAAACCCCATGTGCCCCAGCCCTTATGATGCAAAGTACAACACCTGTTTCTGGTGGGGAGGTAGAGGGTACAGACACAGAAAGGATCTCTCCTCCTCTCCTGACCTTTCCTTGGGCCTTACTTCCTCTCCTCTTCCTTGTTCCCTTGCCCCTTCCTTTCCTCTGAGGCGCCCTCTTCTCTTCCCTCTTAATGTCTCCTCCTCATAAGGACCCTGCCACAACAATAATCCAGGCCCAATGTGGCATCAGAGAAAGGCTCTTCTTCCAACTTGCTGTGAAATGTTCCCAAATTCCCTGGGGTTGGGGAAACCATGAAGCTGCAAAGGGCCCTTTTGAAGTTAAGTCCTGATTTTGTACTTGAAACACCCAAAGATGTGAGTGCTCCTGAATTGAATTTGTGGGACAATAAAAACCATTGGGACAGGGATGCATTTTCGTTTTTCAGTTTCAAAAGTGGCAACCCTTCAGCTTTTAAATGAGGGGCCTCTGCCCAGCAATGCAGAGGAAAAGGTCTTCAGGAAACCAAGCTGCATTTCTACTCCTCTGTTGAAATATGACAGAATGTATAGAAGGATCACAAAAGCTTTGGACAGTTAGATTCGCTGCCCAAGTAATATCCCTGTCCCCAACATTTTACTGTCTGAGTTCTCTGCAAGAGGTGGGAAAGGAGCCTCTGTCCCCTTGTAAGTGACTCATCCAACCTCCTGGAAGATACTAATGACCTATTGGAAGGAAAAAACTAGGACTAGCCATAGGAGGAAGTTGTCAACTAGAGTTAGACCTTCCAAACTTTAACATCTGAAATCTAGCTACATGTAACTTGCCACTGTTTAGAAAAGGAATGCCAAAGTCAGAAGCTAATTGTGCATCACTTAGTGCCCTGCTCTTGCTTTGCCCAAAAATAGTCACTGAGAAAATCATCTTTATGCAGCATGGTGTCATGGAAAGGTCACTAAAAAGGAAGTCAGGCTTCCTGAGTCTTGACCTGATTCTGCTATCAGTTGACTGTGTGACCCTGCTCAAACTACTTCACCTCTCTGGACCTTGGTTTTCATCTGAAAATGAGGGAGTTACATTATTTTATCACTGAGCTCTTTTACAACTGGGTCAACCGGTGGTCTTTGGTCATTCAGAAATAGATAAATAGAACACAGTGGAAATGGCAAAAAAAGAAAACTAAAATTATTCTAATCCTATATCTCAGGTCTAGTGATAACTCTAACAGGGAAAAAGGGGCTACAAAATGTTTGCCTTTCATAGAAACTGACTTTGTTCCTCCTGGTTTCTTAGGGAAAGAAAAAGTCTCTCTGCAAATAGTGTGCCAATGGGTGCCTTTCACCCAGGAAGGGTGGCCACTGAGAAAGTGAATAGAAAATCCAAACTCACAATTACTATGGCTTATTGAACAATGTCTGGCACTGCCAAAGAGTGAAAAAATGTAGGTTAGAAAATGTAAATAATAGTGCAGCTCATTGGAAAGCCAAATTCTGTGCAGTTCTTTAAGAGAGAAAGATACAACTTACAGTCTGAAAAATGCAGAAAAAATCTCAATACTCCTCCCCACTGTAGCCATATTTTAAAGAGAAGAAAATTGAGGCAAAATGGAGCAATCTTTTGGGAACCCCAAATGGGGCTGAAGATTCTGCCCAAGTTATAGCTCTGAGTCTCAGACTCCCAGGTAAACTCTTTCAGCAGACCATGACCTCTCCAGAAGCAGGTGTATCCAAGTAGTCTGGCTCAAAAAACAAAAAGACATTATACCTTGAGCTCTGTTCTTCCTCGAAGCTCCACTTCATAGCCCTCACTCAGATTTTGAAGAATTGTAACAGTGCTGAGACTGACATGAATGCGATAAGCTGCAAAAGAAGGAGAGACATGATTTGGGCTCCTTTCTCACTGGCAAAATTAATGAGAAAATGTCAATGTAATAAATGTCTTCACTTGTAAATGAACTAGACCATTAGCAACGTCCTGAGAGAGGTTTACTTAGGGTTTCACAAGAGGAGGAGACGGAGTGATGGCCTTCTTCACCAGGCCGAAATAAGGCATTAGTTGTAGCACCTATCAGCCTCCTAGACACTATCTTAAATGAAAGGCCATGCAATAGAAAGGTGTTAATTTAACTCAAAGGTTGAGATGGAGAAACCAGCATCTACTGTGCTCTCAGCTGAAACGTGACGTCATTTGAAGAAAGCTTGACTTCAGCAGCTTCTTTCACAGGCTGCTACTATGGCTGAACTCTCATGCTTTACATATCTTAGGCAAAATGATGTCTTTTCCATATGCATTCTTACAACTCTCTCTCAACATTGCTACACTTAAAAATAAAACATCAATGAGAAATATCCCAAGAACTCTTTCAACAAATATTTTATGAAGACTGTACATTTATAGCTGACGTTTGGGTGGGGGCACCTAGCTGTGTTTACACATGAATGTACTATTTTCTAACCAATGATCTCAATCTGGGATAAGAGATTTACATAGGGAACTGCCACGTTAAAATTTTATTTAGAACCTAAGGGTAATTATTTGATTAAGAATAATCACTTGTTCACTCAGGTAAGATCCTTGACATTTCTAAAAACTGTCACCCTATGAAGTGAGACCTTGTTGAGGTTGAGTCTTAAATAAAAGTCCAAGGCTAGTTTTCACACATGCTTGAGAAAATCATTTTTTTTAAAAAAAAAGCTGATTACAACCTGAGTAGGAAGGCATGGCGGGAGAGAACTGCAAGGAGTTTCTGCTGTGTATACTCACAGTGACTTTCTTTCTCTTGATAGCTCAGTACTGTTGTTTGTTTGTGCCTTCCTCATTAACTCATGATCATCCAAAGCCCTTACTCAAAAAAGGTTGACCTATTCCTAAAATACACATGCCCAGCCAGTATATTCCTAGCCAGTCCTATGTGTGCATCCCACAAGCATCTGGTCTTCAGGGAGCCTTTCAGTAGAGTAATCTTGATGGTAGGGAACACACAGCTTAAAAGAGAGATAGCTCATACCAACCACCATCCACTTGTATGGTAGGGAGAATCACTCCAGGACTGGGTCACGAGTCACTTCCATTCCAGAATCTCAGTGGTTTCAACTGAGCACAAAGGAGATATTGATGAAATAATTTTTTTATTAATAGATATGTGACATGTCCTGATTTCATATCCAATGTGAGGAGAGGCTACCTCTCTACAGATCTCCATTCAGTTGTGGAGCTTAATGTCATATTTGGGTCATAGTCATTAGCTTTTAGAAAAGCACATTAACCAGCTCCTTTAGCACAGAGAGCACACGCGTATACTTCTTTGTATGCTTCACAATAACTTCCTTGCACAGTCAGTGCTTAATAAACACCTGCTGTGGGTGATTCACTCCATTTTCTTCGTTCTAGCTGATCACTGGGCAAGGTGCTGTCTACATCTCAAAATTCAATTTCTGGTCTCAACTTTGTATTTCCAATGTGAAATGTGTGGAGTTTTCCCTGGTTCAGACCAGAATATGACTTCAGCCTTCTACAAGCTTACATCAGTCCAGAATACTGTGCCAAATCTGCATTGCAGTTCCATGATAAATTTCACTTCATCTTGGGTTGCACTTCAAGAGTAAAGTCATATGCAAAGTTATATTAATGCAGCAGTTCCTGGATGACTACTTCCATGGCCTCTGCCATATCTAAGGAGTTTGAAGACTTTCCCAGATGTCAGAAAATTTATTCTGACAACAGCTTCTAAGTTCCATACTGCCTCCTTAATCATGGCAGCACAGGCTAGATTGACTAAGACTGGACCCATTGTGTAAGCCTGTTTCTACACATGAGTGATGGGAAGTGGGGTCAGACAGGGCACCACCCACTGTGATACAGTCCACCATAACATCAGGGACTAGTTTGAGTACAGTGCTGAAGCTTGGGAAGAACTCGTCTTGCCAGAGTTAAGCCCTTCTAAGGGCTTAAGTGGTTTCTTCCCTTTTTTGGTACAAAATCCATGAAAAATGAAAACTGCATATAGAATTTAATGTTATTCTCTATGCTTTTCCTATAGTAGCATAAAAAATGCTTTGCTCAACCATGATATAAGCAAAAGGCACATTGTGATTCTGTAGTGGTAGTAAATAACCGAGTAAGAGTTGAGCCAGCATCTTACAAACAACAGACAAATGGCATATGGTTTGTACAGTTTTCTTTTCAAAGAAGCAGAGAAGAAATGGTATCTTTGATAGTATGTCTGTTTTGATAGAAGCTAAGGGTTTTATATACAGGGAAGTTGCAATAAATTATTTCAGAATTCCAAGCTACTTGGATTGAGGGATTATTGCTAGCTAAATTGTAGAGGCTATTTGATGAAGCCAGAACTCCTGGGGTCCTAACTGGTTCAAAAAGGGGACTGCAACAGCAAACAGCAGCCAGCTGGGAGGCAGCTGGCTTCAGTGCGTCTCCACAAACTAGTTGAAAAATGGAAAATATTAGTCCCTTATGTAGTTCTTTTCTCAACATGACTCCCACAAACCCACAAGCCCGGCCAATTTTTTTCTTTACCCAAAATACTATTTTAGCTGTTTTTATCAAATTGAGTGGCTGTTTTGGTGTCACTTAGCTACAGCTTCATTTCTAGAGAAAGAAAGGTACATGTTCAGTCCAACATCACCCCCTACTGGTTTGCCATTAGAGACCAGGAAAATCCGTGATAAATCTTAATCTTCTCAAATTATCTTTTATTTTTCTTTAAAACATTGAAACATCAAGTATCCTGCTCTCTTTCACCTCTCTGAAGAAGAATCACCTTCTCAATAGCAGAGTGGTGCCATCCTATCCATCTCTCTATTAGGTACTCACGTAAGCCTGTAGATTCCATCCGAGAAGCTGTGTTCACAGTGTCTCCAAACAAGCAGTATCTGGGCATGGTGAGGCCCACCACTCCAGCAACAACCGGCCCTATAGAGTATCAGGGGGTTGGAATTACAGTCAACAGGTATGCACCCAATGCTAATAGAGGAATAGTGCAAAGAGGAAGGAATGTATCTTTGTAAAAGAATAAAAGTTGCCATCATATAGCTCTGTGAATCTGAAGAAAGACACAATGAGTAGTGAACTCTTTGCCCTACAAGAAAGCAAATTTATAACAATGCAGACATGACTGCCCTTCTGATGTATACCTTTGTTCCACGTAACAGTTACACCTGAGATGCTTATATTTGTCAACAGGGACAAACAAGTATCAAACCCAAACCAGAAAGGCCTGGGCAGGGATTCAGGGTCCAAACATGTTTGTTGTAAGGAAAAAAATGTGACTTTTTCTTGTGCCTTAGGGTTGGAAGAAAGGCTTTCATGGGTTTATCTGGTTCCCAAACTGTGTCTATCAAGAGAATTATTCTAAAACATTTCAAAAATCTGAAAACAAATAGAGCTGACTTTCAATTATCTGTGTTGGGGCATGGAAAAGCAGTATGTATATATAATCAAAGGATATTTTGCATTTAGCATTTTTTGTTCTTACATTTTAATATGGCTGTGTTAAGTGTTCAAGGTAATTGAGAAAACTTCAGCAGCCGTACTGAAAAGTCAGTTTGGGAGTATCCAGAAAGTTCTTCACCTTCAACTTTCTGGTTTCTGCTCTGATTTTGTTTTCCTAAAAAGAGATAGGGGGTCTCACCATATTTCCCACGCTGGTATCGAACTCCTGAGCTCAAGTGATCCCCCCACCTCGGCCTCCCAAAGTACTGGGATTACAGGCATGAGCCACCATGCCTGGCCTTCTGCTCTGTTTTTACGGCTAGGCACCAAGGGGAATAAAAAAGAAATGTAACACATAGTCTCAGTTCTCCAGGAATTTATAGTCTAATTGAAGAGAAGATACTATCAAAGAGGAAGCAATTAAGCAGTAACCCAAGACAACATATGGCTGAGGCAAGAAGCACAGACAGAGGTGCTATAATAACTCAGAAAATGGGAGGAGGTGCTTATTAGGACCTGACTCAATCAAGAAGGGTCCAGTGGAGAAGGTAGGATTTGATCTAGGTCTTGATGGGTGAGTAGGATTTGAACAGTGGAAAAGGGACATAAATCAAAGGCTTGTGGTTGGGATTGTACAGGGAATTTGGGAAGCTCTTAGAGAGAACAGTCTGCCTAGTTCACATGGCTCACGAGAAACTGGAGACAAGGTTGGATTAAGTGGGTTGTACAAGATGGAGGATCTTGAACCACTAGAGAATTTTGAGCAAGGAATTGCATGATCTTTTTTCTCAGATCAGTGTATAAAATGCATTGAAAGGGGAAAATGTAAAACCAGGAAAACCCTCCAGATGGCTGCTGCAGTAATCCAAGCACAAAGTACTTAAAAGGAGGCAATGATAAGAAGTGGATGGCCATGAAGAAGTAATAAGAGAGACGTAAAAGAATCAACAGATTTATTGGCTGTCTGATTGACAACCATGAGAAAATTGCCATGAGCTTGTGAGTTTATGCTGATTTGTGGGAAAAGATGACTTGAAGTTTTAAATATGTTAAATTTGAAATAATGGTGAACCCTACAAGAAGAGGTATGCTGAGGGGGGTTGGAAATGTGAAACTGAAGCACAAATGACAGATGAGGGCTTTTCTCTAAAAGAAAAAATCAAACGCCTGCTATGTGCTAAGAACTCTGGATACAAACATGAGTAAGATATGCTTCCTGCCACCAAGGAGCTTAAAGCCTAATGGAAGGACAGACAAGGAAACACAGATTATGCTGATGACTATGAGAAGGATGGATGGTAAGAGGCAAGAGTGAAAGCAAGAAGATGCTATTGCAGTGATCCAGGCAAGAGATCTTGGTGTCCCAGGCTTGGGTTGTGAGAGTGAATAAGAGACAAGAGAGATCAATAAATATTTAAAAGGTAAAGAGTGTTCAAGACTTAGTAGTTAGTTGAACGTTAAAGGTCAGAGTAAGGGAGGAGTCAAAGAGAATGACTCTCAAGACTAACTGGAGTAACTAGGTCAATGGTGGTACCACCAACTGAAATAGAGAATAAATATAAGAAGAGCAGGAAGTTTGTATGGGTAAAAAAATAATTGTTTTAGATGTGTCGAGTCTAAGGTCCATGTGGAACATTCAGGTGGGCATATCAGCAGGAATTTTGATATAGAAGGCTGAAGCTTAAGGGAGAAGACTGCACTAAAGCTGTGGAGTTGGAAGTCATCAGCGTACAAGTGGTAGTTAAACCACAGATATGAATGAGATCACCCATGAGAGTATGTAGGAGGAGAAAAACAGTGGATCCTGACAGAACACTGGAGAAGACCAATATAAGGGACAATTAGAGACAAAAGGAATTATCAGACAGTGGTAGGAAATGAAAGTCAGGTTGCTGTGGGTTGAGTAATAAATTAGAGGTGAGACATGCAGACAGCAAAAAGATCACAAGACTGAGAGCTTTGCAGAAAATGTTAGAGAACAGGAAGAGTCAAGAGAACCAGTAAATAAAGTGAAAAGCAGCATTCACAGAGTGAGGAGCATGTCATAAAAGCCAATTGAGGAGCATTTTAGGGAGGCTTGTCATGAATTCCAGATGCTGCAGAGGTAAAGGCAGACAAGGACCGGGGAAAGTGGTGAGAACTGAAGTCAGATTGCAAAGGGGCTAAGGAGGGAGTGGACAGTGAAGAAATGGCACAGTGGATGTCATTCATTTTTTTAAAGAAGTTTGGTAGGAAAGGGGTGAAAAGGATGGGGGAAGGAAAGGAGCCTAGAAGAGCAGAGCAGAGAGAAAAAGGTGGGGAGTGGATACAGAAGCAAGAGGAGCTAGTAGGTAATGAATGTGGGAGGAAAATAATTCAGAAGTAGGGATTTTAATTAATTAAATGAATTATCCTAACTACAACATATACCTGTTGATCTTGTAGCATAGTCAAACATGGAAATATTGCCTCTAACCAAAATGGTAGATTAAAAGAGTTTAGTACCTGGAACAAGGAGCTGCTGCCCACTGTGTTAGTGCAGGTACTGGGAGGAGAGTAAATTTGGGTAGGCATAAAGGAATTATGCAGCCCGGACACCTGGATAATCCGGTGGCCAGGAATCAGGGGAGAGCTATCTTTTTCCCTTTCTTTTTTAGTCTTCCTAGAGGCGCATTAGAATGTTTCCTCTTACTTTAACTGGTTATTACCTGAGTGAAGGCCAATTCGAATTCGGACCGGCACTTCTGGCATGTGCCGCATCTTGAAAGTGCCCACAGAGCTCAGGATATCTAAGGACATGTTTGCAATCTCAGCTGCATGCCTACTGCCATTCCTCTTTGGGAGGCCTGAAGCCACCATGTAGGCATCTCCAATGGTCTCTACCTGGGAATTAGGAAAAATAGAATTAGCAAACAACTTATTTGTGCTTCTTTTTAGCACAGAGCTGTAAGGGTATAATGGAGGCCAGGTGGTCTTGTTGTAAAGTGAGAAAGGCAGAGAGGGACTGTCAATGATCCACAAGTCTGGCTGCATGTTAGAATTGCTTAAGGAGCTTTATTAAAAATACTGAAGTCTAGGCCCCACACCAAGAGATTCTGAAATAAGTGTAGCTACCTCACAGGCTCCTGATTGACCTTAGAAAAATACCAGGCTCTGAGACATTTGGGGAGAAGAGAAAAGGGAGATTTCTGGGACTGTCCCTAGGGTGTCCATGGGGGAGCATCTTAGGAGAAAGTGCCTATGATGCTTCCCAGCAAATGTTTCTATAGATTATTTGGGGTAAATAAGCTAGGGTAGCCTTAAGGAAAATATAGGGAAGGGGAAAGGAAGAACATTCCCTCTGCTTTGCCTTGCTAATACGATGAAGTTAGTTTTGCAGGCCTATTGGGTATGAGAACTGAGTCTCTTTCCACCAGTTACCTCCTCCTCTCCTACTGCTACCTCCCTGAGGAGCAGCAGTACTGGCCCTCAACTGCTTTGCAGGGGACGGTTAGGGCTGGACACTTGGAAATAAAGCCAAATCTATGTTCCTCACCTTCCCCACAGAAGTGTGCTCACTTTTAGATAACCAGTAAGTTGAAACTTTTTGGGTAAATCCAAAAAATAACTAAGCTGAAGGGACTTTTTATGAAATGCGCCAGTCAGACTGTGTTACTACAAGTTTGAATCCAGTTAAAACCCATGTGTTCCCAGAGAACTGCACTCACAGAATACAACAGTTAAGAACATGAAACTCTGAAGTTATACCATCTTGATTAGCATTTAAGATTCAACACTTACAAACTGTGTGGCCATGGGCAAATCACTTAATCTCTCTGTACTTCAGTATCCTTATCTGTAAGATAGTGATAATGATAGTAAAAACTTCGTAGGGTTTTCTAAGGAATAAATAATTTAATATATGTCAAAGCATTTAAAACCTGCCTATTGGATGATACTATATAATTAGTTCAAGCTATCACCATCATCATCATCAACATTATCATCATCATCATCATCATTATCAAATAGGTACATCTTGAAACCAGCCCTGGAACTGTGGGTATGATTCAGCTCCAGAGAAAGAAGTTTAGCAATCAGCAATAGGCTCCTCATCATGAATTACTATAGCCAATAACAATAATCCTTTCAATCTATAGGACTTTCTGCCTCAACATGTTTCCATCCAAGGTCTCCCTTACCTTGTGCAATTTGAGGAAAGGATACCTACCCTCAGATAGGCATGCCAGCCTGCACACAGGAAGGAAGGATTACAATGTAAATGCTACATGCAAGGGGAAGTCAGTGGCTGGCCATTATCAGAGATTAGTTGTTGACCCTTTAGCTTTGATGAGTCAGTCACCCAGGAGGCCCCAAGGATATGGATGAGGAGATTAGAAGAGCAGGGAGTATGGGCATGCATGGTCTTGGTGTACAGACTGCTGTGGAAAATTGTGGGTTGTGTCAGTCAACACAAGGGTGCTGAGGGAAAAGGAGGTTTAGAAAAGGGTGCGATTGGGATGCAGATAGTGGCAGGAAAACTGAAACTGAATCACTAACTTCATAATTCTACAGTAGCCTTCTCACTTCCATTTCAGATTATCAAGTACCAGGGGAGGTGATTCAAATTTTACAGGTAAAGAAAATAAAAACACAAATGAGTTTGGTCATTTGCTGCTGGTTCAATTTTTATTTCCTTTGCACTGTGCTGTTTTTAATAAATAGGGCTGAAAAAAATAAATTTCATTTTTGGATTTATATAGCCCTGCTCTGTTCTGAGAACAGCCCATTAACTCCCTACTGCAACCATTAAGTACCAAAATATCTAATGGCCTATTGCTAAGACCCCCAACAATTGTCTGAACAGAATCAGCTGGATTGATTAAACCAGTAGCTGTGTTACAGCCCACGCTGAATCATCTTTGATTTTAGTTTCAACTGAATTAGCTTTCAGTGATTTGTTTTTCTCTTCAGGCTGCTTGAGTTCAACAAGTTAAGACAGGTACTCTGATTCCATGGATTTTTCCTGCATCGTGGTTTCCATGTGTGCTTCTTGATTAGCTTGCAGCTCCTGCTGATTGACAGGTATGATGTTTATTTCTGAGCCCTATTTAGGTGGCTTGGCCTAGCCCTGAGGCTCTCTATCTGACCTGAAAAGGCCCTGTCTAATCTGAGATAAACACACTTTCTTGTGTGTGATTTGAGAGCTAGAACATTTCAGACTACTGTGAAGAATCCAATGAATGGAGCTACTCATTCTCCAGCTCTACTTTGGTCCTGGGACAGAGAAGCTGTCTAAAGTTTAGGATGCCTGGGGCATCTTTCTCCATCAATAAGACAAGTATCCATGATGCAGACAATGTAGAAATGTCCCTGCACAGCTATGAGATTTTTCGTCATTTTTGCCTAGAGACAAGACAACATATGTAAAAAAAGGTAAGGAGGCATGGCATCAAAATTAGTCAATGCAGTCATTTTGCAAACTCTAATAGAAAGAGTGAAAATTCAAAGGCTGGAGGAGTGAGAGAAGGTGGGAACAGGGGCTTGCCACCCCACAATTAATCACTTCCCCAGACCTCAGACCAATAGGCAGCTTTTCGGTTACCCTGTAGCAATCCCAAAGAGCCTCGAGTCTAATATTTCCCTGCTATAATGTCAAGTTCTCTCCATATAAAACAGTACCTGAAGGAGGAGACCAAATTTTTATAGCATGTATTAGATCTACACAAACCTTACCAAGATGAACTCTGTAGCAGTCACCACCTATGGGCAAAACACCAATACTTCCTCTTTATCCCCTTCAGTGCCTAGTACAGTACTGCCTACACTATTAGTACTCAGCCACTGATGTGCAATAACTCTCTTGGTCCCAACATCTTCTTAGTCCCAATTCTAGAAAAAAAGTTCAAAAGAAATCTGACTGGCAATCTTTTGCTGGGTTGAAAGTTGCTATTTTGTAAATTGGGAAATTACATGCATTCTACCCGGCTCTCATTTCCAGTGATATACCAATGGAAGGGGTGTACTATTTAATTTGTTATTCCTAAATAACAATATTCCATAAATTTTATTCTTCAATTTTAGAATACATATGGATGGGCCTCATATAAAAATTTCACTATGGAATATATTTTCCTGCTAATTAACCTACCTTGTAGACATCATGACTGCCAATTATTGCATCAAAGAGTGTGTACAGGTCATTCAGAAGATCCACGACCTCAATGGGCTCACTCATGGCTGAAATGGTTGTGAAGCCCACAATGTCGCTGAAGTACAAGGTGACCAAGTCAAAGCCCTCAGGTTCAACTGTGCAGCCCTTTTTGAGAGATTCAGCAACTGATCTGAAAAGCAGACACAGCTATTCCTAAGATGACACTGGTCCCCCTTCATGCCACATACACCTGCTAAAAATACACCAAATAAACCTCTAAAAATCACTGCTAATAAATGATGAGGAAGAAAGTGTTACATGGATGAAAACATTAATTCGTTCATTTATTCTACAAATAAGTGTTAAGTGCTTACAATCGGTCAGGAACTGTGCCAGGTGCTGGAATACAGCACTGGACAGACCTGGTCTGTGCCTTCATGTGGAGGGTTTTCATCTCTCTATACTTCTAACTCAGACCCCTGGGGAATGCTCCCAGGTGATTGCCCTTTCATGAGGCTAGTTTCCTTAATTATCTCCTAGAAGATCATGTTACAACATAATAAGTAAGGTGCCCTGGAAAACTTGGAAACTGTAGCAACAGATAAGGTTTTCAGCTAAGAGAGGAAAGACCTGGAAAAACGACCTTGCTACTTTCCTCTAGGAGCTCAAAGAACTGCTTTCTTTTAATCGGTCAACCTCCTAGCAAAGTCACGAAGTGACACACAGAAAAAACAAGCACAAAAACTTAAATGACCAGCATGATCTACAGGTAGTGGAAAATTAGGATGTGTGCTCTGCTCCCTTGGTTTCCAATTTTACTTTGATTTAAAGGTGTGACTAAAGCCCACTAGGAGAAGAGAAGGTGCAGGACAAGGGGAGGCAGCAGTTAGTTGATGGGTAATTTTTTTCTTTCTCTTTTTTTTTTTTAACAGAACACACTGTTATAAGGATTCACACTCCTCAGGTGTTCTCACATACGGTGGTAGCATCTGTGTTAGAAGCTTTTCCGTTTTCTGTTTTTCAATTTCCAGCTCTTCAGTCCGCTCCCGAATCAAATCTTCCAAGTTGCTAGAATATTGCTCCAACATCCGAAGCATAGAATCAATAATATTGGTCTTCTTCCCTTTATTAAAAGTTTTAAACTGGAAGTAAAATAGAAAAGGGAACCAGAAAATGCTTACTCATCAAACTCAGAGATGATGGAGCAGGTCCCCTTATCACAAATCCATTCCACCAAAATGCCAGGGCAGGAAAGGTGAACCCAGATATAAATAGGAAAAGTCACCACCCATCCTCACTGTCACCCTGACCCATTTACAGGGCACTACCACTGCACCTCTTCCCCCACCCCCGACCCCACCAGTTCTTCCCCTACCCTTCTGGTTCTTTCAAGCCTGAGCAAAGGTGTTCTGAGCCGGCTCCTTCAGTTCTGAGATGCTATCACGTGAATAGTAGCCACTTCTAAGACAACAGGATTTGGTCTTGAGCCCAGGCCAATTTTGTGTGAGGTAAGGGGAGAGAGGGCCCAAAGTACCATTTTACTCTTCTGGATCATCAGTTTACTAAATCATTCTTATCCTCAAATGCCACTATGTTGCCAGTTTTTGAACAATGAGAGGTTCCTTGACCTCTTACAGAGGGCTCAAGATCCACGTGATAAAATCAACCCCTATTTCTTACCGTGGAGTCCAAGAATAGTGGTGTCCTCTAGCACCTGTCCTTTGGTCAGTCAGAGTGATGTAAAATTCAACTGATTTTGCCCCCATTCTATGCCCTGATGCCTTAGAGATGTCTGCATGTCACAAATTTTCAATACGCCTTTTTGGGACCTTGTCTATCTACAGTAACAGGGAGCTAGGCATAGTATTAGAATCATGAGGGGTAGCCCCTCTGTACTGCTATAGTCAACATGCACATGACTGTGTTCACAACAACAAAAAATCGGAGGTGGTTTTGCTAAACAGACATCTAGGGCTCTGTCCCAGTGAACCTCTTATATATAGCTGGGCCACACATGCTCCACCTAGCACCCAATGCCCCAAGGCCAACACTAGGAGTTTCCCTTCTGAGCCTGGTTCACATCTGCAGGTCCATCAAAGTCCTGAGGATAACCTCGTAGCCAGTTTAGATGCTTTGGGCTCCCCCTATTGCCTAACCCAGGGAACCTCCCTCTCCTCCTCCTCCTCCCACTTAAGTTTTATTAACTGCAGGAAGTTAGGTGGCTAGCCTTGTCATCAGACAGCCTAAACTTCCACTGAAGCATTTCAGTGAGGGCAGCTATAGCAATGTCTTGTTTGAAAGTCTCATGATGTACACTCCCCCTATCTATCACTGGCTTCTCTGCTGCCTTCTGAAATAACATCTCTAGCATCAACACAGGGGCAAATGCTCTTTCTCCTGCCTCATGGTAAGGTTTTAGAAATTTGACCTTCATGGTCCTTCGCCTCTTCCATACTATTGAACACCTGTTTGAGTGTCCTCAAGAAACTCAGCCGGGCTAATGGAGGCATTGTTAGCTGGGGACACGGATGACTTCATAAGCAGGGCCCCTCAGGCTTTCAATCCAACTCTTTCTTTCTTTCCGCCTCAGATACCTGCCACTCATAAAGCATCTCATTGCTGTACTCCAGCCAGGCACAAAAGCCTCTCTGCCAGAGCTGACACAGCACTCATGGTGAGCACCCTCAGTTTTGGTGTCCTGTAATTTCAACAAAGCCTAAACTGCATGCTCCAACATTGGAATTGCGCCTTAGCTTCCACAGCAGGGCTCACTCTGTCCTTTCCTTCACTCCCCTTTCAATCCCCACCTCTAGGGAGAGAATCACCCCCTTTAGAAATTCAGTATCTTAAGGAGGAAGGTTATCACTTTTCATGTACCCCATTGCCTGGAAACTTAAGGAATCTCCTGCTTTTGCACGCCACATTTGCACTTTCTCTTTCTTCCATCTTGAACACCCTTTCAAACACTCCATATTTTTCCTGACCTTCCAAAAACAACCTGAAATTACCTAATTGGTACACTCATGAGAGTTCTCTGGTATCCCCAAAGTAAACATGGCTCTGTGAGGAGCCCCATCTATTCCATGATACCCATCATCTAATAGTTTCAATGCCATTGCCTTACAAATGCCTGATGGTTCAATTCCATCTCTGAAAGGTTGATCAGGTCAGATTGTGGATGGTCTGGAACAGAGGTTCAGACACAGAAGAACACTAGAACCAATCTTTGGGCTCTTGAAGGATGTGCTGATGACACTCCAGCACCAAGAGCCTCAAAGTAGCCACTCCCAGGCTGTTCCTCCAAGAGGAGTGCCCTTACCCCTTGCAAGAGGTTCCTTCCACAATATGACAAGGACCCAAGGAGTTAGCCTTGTGTAGGCTGACTTCAGGAAGGCTCCTGGGCAATGATAAGATTCAGAGTCCTTACCTGGTTAAATATTTCATCAAAAGTTGGTCGTTGTTCTGCAGCCTCAGCCCAGCACTGCTTCATCAGCTGGAGACATTCTGGAGGGGCATGCTCAGGAGGAACTACTGGTCTGTACACAGGAGGAGGCTTCTTAAGTCTGTTTATGATTTCTGTCCAGATGCGAGAAGAGAACCGTTTACAAATCATGGAAAAAATGACCAAGATTTGGCAAAGATAACTGACTTTTAGCCAAGAAGGGGGTAGGTTAGGAGATAACACAGAAGGGCCATCTCCTTTGCTCTCTCCTTAGGTGGCCTGAATATAGACTATATTTGAGCAAAAGCTGCATTAGGCAATGGGGGAGGAGTGAGAAATTAATCAGTTGGACTCTTGGTATCATTTAGGCACTTTATTCTGCTTCTGCTAGGTTTTAGATACTGCCTATCTGATGGCAATTCTAATGCTCTAACTTCAGGGACCTGGCTCCCCTCACCCATCCCCAATCATCTAAGCCTTCCAATCCCCACAATAGACCCACTTAACTCTTCTTACAAGCCCAGGCCCAGCCCAGGTCCAGGTCTCTACCTGGTGTCTAGGCAAAGGGAATTAAGAACTGCAGTAAACAGTTCAAGGCCTCATCAAGATCCTCCTGGTTGACGGTCCATGAACTCCACTTCCAGTGGAATATTTACTATATACCAGTAATGTGCTGAACGCTTTGCATGCATTATTTCACTGGATTCTCACATACAAACAAGTGAGGTAGGCACTCTTATTTTAATTTTATAGCTAGGGAAACTGAGACATGAAGAGAGTAAGTAACTTACCCGAGGTCACATGGCTAGTAAGTGACAGAGTTCAAATTTGAACCCAGACAATCTCAACCTGTTACACTGTCCTGCTTCCAAATGTCTCAGACTTCACGTGGGAATTCTTAGACTCCCTATTCAGACCCAACAGCCATTAGTGACAAAAGGTCTAGAGCAGTCAGACTGACCTTTTTACAAAAAGAAAACTCCCTGGCAGCAGGAAAAAAAAAAAAATCATTATCTCTCAATATCCCCAGCAACCCACACTGGGGCCTCAAACTGATCTCTCTGCTTCCAGCCTACCCTTCTCCAAACCTTTCCTAAAACACAGATCTGGCCGTATCACTTTCTTGCTCAAAAGCCTTTTATGACTCCCCATCACCCACAGAGTAAAATCCAGGCTCTTGTCCCTATCTCTTCAGGCTCATTTCTCATCTTTAATCCCCTCCCCACCACCTCCAATTCTAACTGCCACATCAGGAACCAAGCTTTGCTTGCCCCACCAGTGTGACCTTCCCACCCCTGAATTGGCTATAACACTCCAACAGTGCTGCTTTATCCCTAATACGAGCCCCTTGCCTCCATAAAAGAATTCCAGTTGTTGCCTCTGACTTCTCAGCTCCTTGTGACATCACACATTCTGTTCCTTTAACCCAGGTCAGGCTGTACCAGTAATGATTTCTCCATTACAGCATCGTGCTCTCAGTACAACAGATTCCATGAGCATGTACTCCCTGAAACTTGACTGCCTCATCCATTCTCTGGCAGATGAAGTCTTTGTCCCTTTCTCAGAACACCATCAAGTTGAATGGGCCACCTCTCTGCTTAGGCACAGCATGATTCATGCCCTTAAGGATCTCACAGTCCAATTGCAATAAACAGTGGCAAACAATATAAGTGCTCTAGCTGAGATAGGCACTTGTGAGTATAGAAAAGGCAGCTGACCCACACTAAAGAAGTCAGAGAAGGTTTCCCAGAGAAGGTGACATGAGTTGGATGAGGCAAGATTGGGAGGAGGTGGAAAAATTCCACCTCCTAGTATGTGAAAAGGCACAGAGATGGGAGAGACCATGATACTTTCAGGGCCCGGCCAGTCATGTGGTTTAGCTGGGATATAGAGAGTGACAGAAGATAAGCCTGGAGAGGTAGCTAGGGGCCAGATTGTAAAGGGCCTTGTATGTCATGGGAGGAGTCTCACCTTCACTTAAAAAGTGATGAGGAACAGTTGGAAGGCTTTAAGTAGAGGAATAATGTGGAACCCTGAGTGGGACAAAGCCTAGCTAAGTGGTTCTAGTTTTTCTTTCTTTTTCATTTTTAAAAGTTTTTATTTTGAAAAAAAATTAAACTTCCAGAAAAGTTGTAAAAATAGTACAATTGCCTGTACACCTTCACTCAGCTTCCCCTATTGTTAATAACTTACAGAAAAATAGTACAAAGGAAATTAACATTTGTACAATAATATTACTAGGGTTCTTATTTGAATTTCATCAGTTTTCCCTTAATGTCCTTTTTCTGTTCCACAATCCAATTCAAGATCCCATATTGCATGTAATTGTTGTGTCTTTGTCTCTTTCAGTCTGCGATAGTTCATCATTCTTTTCCTGTCTTTCATGACTTAGATGCTTTGGATTAGTCCTAGCCAGTTATTTTGTAGAATGTCAGCTGGGGTTTGTCTAAAGTTTTCTCATTATTAGATTGAGGTTATGTATTTTTTTTTTTTTGTCAAGAATAACACCGAGGTGACATTATGCCCTTCTTAGTGTATCATGTCAATGGGTACATAACATGGGTGTGCTGTATTACTGGTAATAGCTTATTATTGGTAATCTTGATTGCTTGTTTAAGGTGGTGTCTACAGGATCCTCTACTTGTAAACTCTGTTTTTTCCATTTGCAATTTGTAAGTATCTTGTGGGTTCATACTTTGAGAATATACAGATATCCTGTTTCCCCTCAAAGTTTTGTCTACTGATTTTGTCATTATTGATGGATATTGCCTAATAGCCAAGTGTCTTGGTGGGAGATTTGGATGGAAGCCTGGAGCATGTCACAGGGAAACAGTGGTAAGGCCTTGACATCCAGAAGCATCATGAGGGATACTAAAATACTTGGCAGGGAGTGTCTCAAAGGAGTAGAGGGGACTGTGAAATTAAAAAGAAAAACAAAAGGGACTGGCATCAGTCCTGTAGGCCCTTGTTTTACATCACAGTCTGAAAAAAGGCCAGCTTCTTGGGTGGCGAAATTTCTTCCAGATGCCTAAAGCTGTCTGGCTATAAGTCCCACCTGTACATAACTTGAGCTGCTTGCAGACTATCAGGCTGTTAGCACTAACACTCTTCTGGAAAATCATGACAGCCTGAGTTGGTCTGATGATCTCGGTCATGGTGGACCCCTGGGGCCCTTTTCTCACCTCCCGCTTACCTTGAGCTGGCAGATCCATCATGCAGAATGGGGTACCCCGGACCATCACTTCTTGCATGATGATGGCAAAGCTATAGACATCTCCTGCAAAAGAACCTAACCTGCTGCCTCTTGGAGCTCTCAACAGTTCAGGGGCCGTCCACAGCAGCTCTAAAAAGAAAGCATTGTGTAATGAATGCAGGGAGGATTAACTGACAATATCTGCAATGCCCTCAAGGGCTCAGAGGGTACTGTTTTATTGACTGCCTTATATTTTTATTAGACAGACTGCCATGCTAGTGCCCCCCATCCCCCAGGGTCTGAATCTATTCTTCTAAGGAATTATGAACAGAGAAAACATACTACTCTCTCCACCCCAGGACCACGCAGGCAGACACAGCAGCGATGTGGGAAAGGGCACAGAAGCTCAAAGTATAGAAATTCTCTGGTGCTTGCTTTCTTGAGCCTGCAAGTAGCAGTTGGCAGGTTTCCAGGGAAAGGCAAGTGTGCTACCACACTGGTTGCCATGGATTTGCTGTTTGCTGAGATCTATATGTGTCTGGTAATTTGATTGTGCTGGGGCTAAGAGATTCACAAGTTGCTTTCTCCAGGTCTCCTCTAAAAGGATTAGAGTTACCCCAGCCTTCCTATTCCTTGCAGTGCAAAAAGGTGCAACAATTCCTTCAACTCAGTTCTGCAAATATTTATTGATGGTCTACTATGTACCATGCCCTGTGCTAGGCACAGAGGTGGTGCTAGAGATGAATCAAACTTGAGGAGTTCACAGACCAGTCGGAAACACAGACATATGCACCCCTAACTGCAATAAAAGAGAGGGAATGATGAGGGCCACTACATAGTAAAGGGAAATGAATCCATTAAAGGTCAAAGTTAAACACCCATTGTGTGCTCTGCTGCATTTCAGGCCCCGTCAGGGACAAAACATTATTTCTGCATTCAGAGTTTATGGCAGTGAGAATGTCAGAAATTTTTCTTGGGTGGGGGGCACTGTAAGCAATGTATAAAGAAATATAATTTAACAATAGAAATACAGTACTCAAAAGCTGGAAGAAGAGTGTTTTAGATTGAATTATATAAAGTTACCATTTCTGTGAATCAAAAACAGTTAGATATTGGCAATTTCATCAGGTTCAAACTAAAAAAAAAACTGAGCTGATCAAATTAATCCAGGAAGACTTCCTGGAAAAGTTAAATTTTAAATGTGCTTGTTAGGAAGGTCAAGGATGCAACTTTCTGGAGCTGAGAAGGTAAGGGCTTTTTTCTCCCTAGAAAGAACAGCATGTGCAAAAGAACAAGAGGCAGAAAGGAGCAAATTGCGGGTGGGGGGATGCCGGGTGGTGGTAAGCAGATTAGCTTGACTGAAGAGAAGGGCTCTGTTAAGGAATAATGAGAAATGAGAAGTGGGGTTGATGAAGTGGGGGAGGGCGGGTGTCTGGAAGAATGGGGGCAGAAGGTGAGAGGCCCTGAGAGCCAAATGAAGGCATTTGGAGTGAATACAAAAGGCAGTAGGGGTGCTGGAGCTGGAGAGGGATTTGATGAAAGCCCTGTTTGGGAAGATTAATCTGGCAACCTGCACAAGCTGGATTGAAGGAGAGAGGCTGGAATCAGGGAGATCAGCTAGGAAGTTATTGCAGTAAGAGCAGGTAGTGAGGTGAGAGGGGCCTAAATGGGGGTGGGGGTAGTAGCAGCAACACAGTCAACCAGATACACTGGAAGGCTACAATGGAGAAGGAAGTGACAGGGCTAAGGATAGGCTCCCTGTGCCTTGAGAATGAGAGGGAGTTGGAGTAAACAACAAGGTGACATCCAGATAGTGAGGTTGGAGACAAATGTCTGCTAAGAGTGAGGGTATCAGGGAGAAAGTAATGGCTAACTTTTCATCTTGTTAAATTTTGGGTATTGGGAAGAGAGTCCAAGAAACAAAGTCCTATGAAATAGGAAGAAGGGTGAAAGGTGAGAGATTATTTTGGTTTGTTAGCAAAACCCAGGAAAGAGAAATCCACCATGGAAATTCTTATTTTCAGCCAATCCTGATCAAAATGGTGAAATAAGAAATTCCAGTTTCACCACCAATCATGTACCCATCTTCTCTCTTTGCTCTTTAAGTGTCCCCAGGCTTTGTCCCCCAACCAGACCCCTCTGAGCTTCCACCCACCATCCACCACTCACTCACACCCATGAAAGTCTCCAAAACACTCACTATAGTGATTTTGCCCCTATGTCTCCCTGCCTAGGAAGATTTATATTTACAAATCAAACGGAAAACAATGAATGATACTTGAATGATTGAATGTCAAAGGAATACATTTATAGTTGCGGGATTTTAGGCACCATGGTTTTGGAGAGGAGTGCAAGGATGAATATTTGAGAGCAGGAAAAATGGCATGTGGCTGCTTCTTTTTGGCATCCTTTCTCCCTGCACATTTAAAAGCACAAGATGGAAAAAGAGGGCAAAACTCTCTGGTAAAAGCTGGGTGATTAAATACAATCATTACAAAATAGTATTTCCAAAGAGCACTTACATGTATGTTGTTAATGGCTATAATGAGGCTTTTCTGCACTATACTTATATAATCGAGAGTGGACAGTAATGAATACATTTACAATCCGCCCCCATTTCCTCATCTCCACTCCAGAACCAAGTAAGAGCCACTAACTACCATTAGAGTTGAACTCTCGGGAAAACTAGAGAAATTACTTTGGTTTGTTTTTTATCTGCTGGAGCCACTATTAACTCTGAGCTTTGCTAGGGTGATAGAATTGACTTTGGAGAGCTACTGTGGTATAGTATAAAAGAACACAGAACTGGAAGTCTAGAGACCCGGGTTCAAAATCTTAGCTTGGTCACCAAGTAGCTACCTTTCTGAACCTTGGCTTCCCTATCTATAAAATGGAAGTTGGGTCAGATGACATCCAATGGCCTTTCAATTATGAGATTCATTTAGCCTCATATCTAAGGTAGGGAGACAAGTTCCTTTATTTCATTTTATTTTGTTCTTTTGTTGATTCAACAAATATTCTGTCAGGAACTGTGAAAGGCACTGAGAAAGGCAAACCTGTTTCCTGCCCCCACAGAGCTTGTAGTTTGGGTGGGGGGAGACAAGGTTAATTGAATGAGTAATGCTAATGAACTATGGTATCACAACAAAGTTCAGGGCCCTGAAGGATTATAAAGAGGGCAACCTAGCCCAGCATAGGGGTCATGGAAAGCCTCTTGAGGCAGTGGTACTTAAGTTGAACCCTGAAGAAATAGAATTTAGCCAGACCCAGATGAGTATATGAAAGAGTGGGAAGAGAAGAGTGTCCCAGGCAGAAGACACAGCTTGTGTGGAGATTTAGTAGTAAGAGACAGCCTGGTGTAATGTAAATAAACAACTAGAAGCAGTTCAGCATGGCCAGAGCATAAAGCAGGGGGGTAGTGGTTAGCATGAGAGGTCAGCAAGTTCCAGGCCATGCAGGGCTCAGCTCGTAAGCCATGTAAAGGAATTTGATCTTTATCCTTAGAGCAATGGGAAGCCATTCGATAGATTTAGGCACAGCTGTAACATGATCAGATTTGCAGTTTAGAAAGCTCCTTCTGGCTGCAGTGTGTGAAGAATGGACTGACCATCCATACTGCCACTGCAATTTGGAGAATGGAGTAATATGATAAGAGGGAGAGACAGAGACAGAGACAGAGGAGACAGACAGACATAGTCCACCCAAAAGCACAAAACCAGAAAAGAGAGCCCTGCAGCTATCCTTTACCCACCCTAAGACTAGATTTTCTTAAGTTTCAAAGTTGCCCATCTGGAAATTAAATGGAACTCTGAGAAGCTAGGCGTTTTGTTTTTTTTTTTTTTGAGACAGAGTCTCGTTCTGTCACCCAGGCTGGAGTGCAGTGGCGCAGTCTCGGCTCACTGCAACCTCCGCCTCCCAGACTCAAGCGATTCTCCTGCCTTAGCCTCCTGAGTAGCTGGGATTATAGAAGCGCGCCACCACGCCCAGCTAATTTTTGTATTTTTAGTAGAGATGGGGTTTCACCATGCTGGCCAGGTTGGTCTCGAACTCCTGACCTCGTGATCTGCCCACCTCAGCCTCCCAAGGTATTGTGTTTTATAGAGAATTGATTTTGACAAAATACTAAGTACTTGCCCTCTCTACAGGATAGGGGCTAGAATTCAGAAAACCTGAATTTGAAGTCCTAGAACTGCTGCTAAGTCACTGCAGGTTTGGAGCAAATCATGAGCTTCAGTTGTCTCATCTGTAAAAGGAGGGAATTGGACTAGATGACTCCCTAAATTTAATAACCCACAAGTCTTATAAAGAGCAAAGTCTTATAAAGTCCAGATACCACCAATGACTGGACTCTCTGTCTATGCATGTGTCTCTCTCTCTCTGTGTGTCTTTCATTCTTCTTTTCTTTTATGTAGTAAAGTCAGCAGTTTTAAAACTTACGCCAAAGGTAATTTTAAGAATATGGATATATGATGTAGTTTTGCATCTCTCTGTCTCTGTCTATCTTTTTTTGGGCTGTTTGCTTTTCTGTCTTTTGTGTCACTATCTCTCTTCTTTATGCTTGCAATATTGGTTAAAACATTTAATGCCCACATTTCCTATACGTATTTCATCATATTTGTTCTCTTTCTTTTTCCTCTTTCTCCCCCTCATCTATCTGCTCCTTCTTCCCTGGTTCTCACCCACCCACCCCCATCTCAGATTTCTCCTATTTCTTTGATCTGTTATAACTCCTACTGGCATTGTTTAGTGCTACCACTGGTGCACTAGACAGAAGACAAAAACACAAAATGGACGTTGTTGGTGTGAAAATTGATGATATGAACTGGAGTTATCTTATTATATCCAATTAAATTGGAGTCCAGAGACCATGGGAGAAAAAGAAAAGCACTTGGGGCACAAGTGCCTGCCCAGGGATAATCTTGCAAGCCAGATACCGAAATGACCTTCTATAATCTTAATATCAGTTTTACCTAGTAGCTGATGAAAGAAACTGTCATGACTCTAAGACGAGTTTTACCTACAGCCATCACTTACCAATCGGAGCTTTCCTGCTCCCCAAAACTTTGGTAGTGCCAATGAGTTTTCTTTAAAAACCATATATAACATTTCTCTTTCCAATAAAACCCCCAACTTTTCTGTGTTCTTTGGACACACCAAGGACCACCCTGGTCTATGTGCATGCCACAAAATGAAATTCTGTTTTCCCAAATAAAATGTTTCATTTAAAGATTTGTCCCTATATTTTTATTTGACTTTGACACAGGCATGGCTACTTATTTGCTAGAAGGCCACAGTTCTGCCTGAAGCCTTCCCACATAAACCACAGAGCATTTATTTGCTGAGAGATCACTCCTCGCTTCTTCCTCTCTGACAGAGACTGTGCTGGTATGCTCTAGTGACGTCCCATTCTAAAATGTACGTTGTGGGGGTCCAGCTTCCAAATTACTCTCCATTCAACTTGACAAGTATTTATTGAGCACCTACTGTGTGCCTAGTGCTCAGCAAGTTTTTCCAGGGACTGCTGGGGTCTCCAAACAATACATCCTAATCCTGCCACAGCAGGAACTGAACATTATTACACTGGCTTTGTTCAGAAAGCTTGGCTGGGCCGAGGTTACAGCAGGCCTACTTCATTCAAGTCCCTTGGCTTGGAAATGAGGCTGGATTTTCAACAAAAGTGGAGAGTTGAAATCAGCCTGAGGCTTTAATTCAGTGCATATTTTCATTTGAACTTTGGAGTTACCTCGTGTGCATCAGAAGGGTACAATTCATTGCTTACCTTCCATAGAAGATTCCTCTTCAGAGAGTCTCAGCATTTCTAAGATGTCGTTAAAGCCATAATCTGTCACTTTTAGTACAAAACGCCCATCTACCACACAGTTTCGAGACTTTAGCCTCCCATGAACAAACTCTCTGTGGTGTAAGTACTTCATGCCCTGTAGATGACACAACAGGATTTATTTAGCAACTCATTTAACTATTTTGTGCTTTTAACACCAATTTCTGAGATTGTTAATGGCATGAGCTATTATGATCCAGAACTCAGCTTTTTTCTCTTCTATGCAGGCAAAGTAAACCTTTGACAACCTGAGTCAGTTTTCAGATCCCTCGTAGCTCTAAAATTTTATGCTTTGATAAAGAATGTTATCTTGTGTGTGCAGAGAATTATGTGTTACTAGATTTATTAACATTTCAGATACAGAATGGATCCATATACATATAATTACCAGGAATTTGGAGATTTTGATTTTCCCCAAAAGTTCTAACCCACTCTCACCCATTATTGGCAAGAATGGAAACTGGGACAAACTTGTGCATGGGCAATTTGGCAATAGCTATCAAAATTTAAACTATGTGTACCCTATGATCCAGGGGTTCTACCTCTCCTCCAGAGAAATGCTTGCATGTATACACAAAGAGACAAAGATAAGAATGCTTGTTGTAGCTTTGCTTTTATAATAGTATATAATTGGAAATGCACTAAATATCAATAAGGGACTGGCTAGAGTGTGGTACATTCACACTAGGGAATATTCTGCAGCACTTAAAAAGAATAAGATAGATCTGTATGTAGCTGACATAGAAACAACTCTAATCCATAAAGTAAGTGAAATATAGTAATTACAGAACTATGTGACAGCATGTATATTTAACAAACAAAAAAGTCATCTGTAATGCATATAAATACACAAGAAATTAATTACAAGGTGGGTTGCCAAATTGTTAGCAGTAGTTAACTTTGAGGGGGAGTATGAAGAAAGAGGGTTGAGTAAATGCGAGTATTTTTCCAATATATGTCATTTGCGTTTTACACTTAATATATTATTTTTGTAATTAAAAATAGGCAACCAGAAAGAAGAAAGCTGTCTAGTGCCGATCTCTGCACTTGCTTGGCAGCCTTCATATGGTATTCAAATGTGACCAGGACTCTCGTTCAGATGGATTTATTCATTCTGTATATACATACATTTATATTCTAGTACAGTCATTTCAGAACTTTGTTTGCTAAAAGTCTTTTTAAGTATCTGGCTCTTTTGCAGTGTGACACCCCTTTGTACTTGGAATTCTTTTCACCCTGTGCTCTTGGATAGTCTGCACTCTTCAGTACTTCTGAGTAGAGTCTACAGTGGGCAAGATTCCCCCCATGTTGTCTAACGGTTGCTTTTCATTCATCATGGCCTTGAGGGGATTGTCATATAGAGGCTCCTCCCTTAACTCACTGGGCTTAGCTTACAGTGTGAGCAGAAAAAGTACTAGAATAAGAATCAGGAGATTTGGATTTTATTATCAGCTCCGCCACCTAATAGTTGGCTGAGAAATATTTATTGAGTACCTACTATATGTGCCAGACACTCTATAACAACGAGTACCTCATTTAACCTCCCTGAGCCTCTGTAAAAGGAGGCTAATCACACCTATCTTAAAGGGAATTGGCATGAGAGAATGTCTTTCCCTTTCAAGGCCCCTGAAAAAGGATTAGGCTAGCAGAAAAAGGTCAAGACTATGATCAGTATGCAGGAAGCCCAAAAAGTCATTGAGTATGCAGATCAGCCCTGTAAAAAATGCACATATACACAATTTGCATATCATTCCATGGCGTTCATGGGATCCCCAGAAGCTCCTCCATGGGACTCATCTATGAACCCTACCTTGGCTGTCAGGAATCTTTGGCTCAGAGAATAAAGGTGATGCCTGATAGATCCACTGGTCTTTTGGTTTTCCAGTGGCACTGAGTTCCACATACACAGCCATTGTATGTAAAGACCTCTCACCTAGTTCTAGACTGAGCCACCATTTAGAAGGGTGAAAACTAGGAGGTAGGGCTAAGTAGCACCAAATAATCTGGGAATGAGCACTTTCCCACATCCACAAAGCAGAGAAATTGGATGAAAGAAAGGATCGCTTAAGGCAGAAGAGTGCTTAATGGCAACAGGAAGTAAAGAAAAATCTGGACCTCAAACTGGGGAGAGGACAGGCAAACCTTTTCCATATCTGTATCATATAACAGATATGGACAAAAGGACTGTGAGAAGGGTGGTGGGGTAAAAACTTGGGAAGGAAAGTGATATGGTTTGGCTGGGATCCCACCCACATCTCAACTTGAATGGTATCTTCCAGAATCCCCATGTGTTGTGGGAGGGACCCAGGGGGATGTAATTGAATCATGGGGGCTGGTCTTTTCCATGCTATTCTCATGATAGTGAATAAGTCTCACGAGATCTGATGAGTTCATCAAAGATTTCCACTTTTGCTGCTTCCTCATCTTCTCTTCCCGCTACCATGTAAGAAGTGCCTTTTGCCTCCCATCATGAATCTGAGGCCTCCACAGCCATGTGAAACTATAAGTCCAATTAAACCTCTTTTTTATTCCCAGTCTTGGGTATGTCTTTATCAGCAGCATGAAAATGGACTAATGTAGTATGTTGGTACTACGAGTGGGGCATTGCTGAAAAGATACTCGAAAATGTGGAAGTGATTTTGGAACTAGGTAACAGCCAGAGGTTGGAACAGTTTGGAGGTCTCAGAAGAAGACAGGAAAATGTGGGAAAGTTTGGACTCTCCTAGAGACTTGTTGAATGGCTTTGACAAAAATGCTCATAGTGAGATGAACAATAAGGTCCAGGCTGAGGTGTCTCAGATGGAGATGAGTAACTTGCTGGGAACTGGAGCAAAGGTGACTCTTGTTATGTTTTAGCAAAGACACTGGTGGCATTTTGCCCCTGCCCTAGAGATTTGTGGAACTTTGAACTTGAGAGAGATGATTTAGGGTATCTGGCAGAAGACATTTCTAAGCAGCAAAGCATTCAAAAGGTGACTTGGGTGCTGTTAAAAGCATTCTGTTTTAAAAGGGAAACAGAGCATAACAGTTTAGAAAATTTGCAGCCTGACAATGCAGTAGAAAAGCAAAACCTATTTTTTTAGGAGAAATTCAAGCTGGCTGCAGAAGTCTGCATGAGTAGCAAGGAGCCTAATGTTAATCCACAAGACCATGGGGAACATGTCCCCAGGCCACATCAGAGACCTTCATGGCAGCCCCTCCCATCACAGGCCTGGAGGCCCAGGAGGAAAACGTGGTTTCATGGGCTGGGCCCAGGGTCCCCATGCTGTGTGCAGCCTAGGGACTTGGTTCCCTGTGTCCCAGCTGCTCCAACTGTGGCTGAAAGGGGCCAACATAAAGCTTGGGCTGTGGCTTCAGAGGGCGGAAGCCCCAAGCCTTGGCAGCTTCCATGTGGTGTTGAGCCTGCAGGTGCACAGAAGTCAGGAACTGAGGTTTGGGAACCTCTGCCTAGATTTCAGAAGATGTATGGGAATGCCTGGATGCCCAGGCAAAAGTTTGCTGCAGGAGCAGGACCCTCATGGAGAACCTCTGCTAGGGCACTGAGGAAGGGAAATGTGGGGTCAGAGCCCCCACACAGAATCCCTACTGGGGCACTGCCTAGTGGAGCTGTGAGAAGAGGGCCACCATTCTCCAGATCCACCGACAGCTTGCACTGTGCACCTGGAAAAGCCACACACACTCAATGCCAGCCCATGAAAGCAGCCAGAAGGGAGGCTGTACCCTGCAAAGTCACAGGGGCAGAGCTGCCCAAGACCATGTGAACCCACTTCTTGCATCAGCGTGACCTGGATGTGAGACCTGGAGTCAAAGGAGATCATTTTGGAGCTTTAAAATTTGACTGCCCCACTGGATTTCGGACTTGCATGGGCCCTGTAACCCCTTGGTATTGGCCAATTTTTCCCATTTAGAACAGCTGTATTTACCCAATACCTTTACCCCCATTGTAACTAGGAAGCAACTAGCTTGCTTTTGATTTTGCAGGCTCATAGGCAGAAGGGATTTGCCTTGTCTCAGATGAGACTTTGGACTGTGGACTTTTGGGTTAATGCTGAAATGAGTTAAGACTTTGTGGGACTATTGGGAAGGCATGATTGGTTTTGAAATGTGAGGACATGAGACTTGGAGGGGCCAGGGGTGGAATGATGTGGTTTGGCTGTGTCCCCACCCAAATCTCAACTCAAATTGTATCTCCCAGAATTCCCACGTGTAGTGGGAGGGACCCGGGGGAGGTAATTGAATCGTGAGGGCTGGTCTTTTCTGTGCTATTCTCGTGATAGTGAATAAGTCTCATCAGATCTGATGGGTTTGGCAGGGGTTTCCACTTTTGCTTCTTCCTCATTTTCTCTTGCCACCACCATATAAGAAGTGCCTTTCACCTCCTGCCATGATTCTGAAGCCTCCCCAGCCATGTGGAACTGTAAGTCCAATTAAACATCTCTTTCTTCCCAGTCTCAGGTATGTCTTTATCAGCAGCATGAAAATGGACTAATACAGAAAGTAAGGAGTGAAATGATCACAACAATCTGAGGAAAATAAAATATCCCAAAACATTAAAGTTCTAATCTACAGAGAAAATCCAAGATTTCCTCAGTCTTCCCATTAACCTTTATGAGATCCAGCAAGAGTGATGATTTAAACATCCAGTCAAGTTTCACATCTTGATTTGTCAGTATGTCTTCTAGGCTCCCTCGGGAACAGAATTCTGTCACAATGGCAAACATCCCCGAATCATAGAAGAAACCCAATAAAGGGTTAATATTCTCATGACGCAAGTCCTTCATCTGGAAATGAGAGACAGAAATGAGAGTCACAGCTGTCCTGTCTCAACTGGGGACCACAGTTGAGGGCACATAACCTTCTCTTGACCCTTCTTATGATTGGTTGTGTGGTTGACAGAATTTTGACTCCCATGATGATCTCCAACCCCTAGTGTTACTCCTGTGATTGTGTTTTGTTATACAACAAAAAGGAGATTATCAGGGTGAGCCTAATCTAACTAATCACGTGATCCCATAAAAACAAAAGAAGAGTGCAGAAGATAAATCAGAGAGATTCAAAATATGAGGACTCAACAGACCATTGTTGGCTTTGAAGATGGGGGAAGGAGGCTATAAGCCAAAGAATGTGGGCAGCCTCTAGAAGCTGGTAACCACCCTCAGCTGACACCCAGCAAGAAAGCGGGGACCTCAATTAATATAGTTTTGCTGTGTCCCCACCCAAATCTCATCTTGAATTCCCATGATTCCCACATATTGTGAGAGGGACCCACTAGGAGGTAATTGAATCATGGGGGCAGGTCTTTCCCATGCTGTTCTCATGATAGTGAATAAGTTTCACGAGATCTGATGGTTTTATAAAGGGGAGTTCCCCTGCACATGTCCTCTTGCCTGCCACCACGTAAAACATGTCTTGCTTCCCCTTCACCCTCCCCTATGATTGTGAGCCCTCTCCAGCCATGTGGAACTGTGAGTTCATTAAACTTCTTTCCTTTATAAATTACCCAGTCTCAGGTATGTCTTTATTAGCAGCATGATAACGGACTAATACATTGATCCTATGACCCCACTGAACTGAATTCTGCAGGCAACCTGAAGAAACCTAGAAATGGTTCCCCCTCACCCCAGCCCTGCCCCCTGCCACAGGTCTCCAGATAAGAGCACAGTGCAACTGACACCTTGACTTCAGAGTTTTGAGATGCCAAGCAAAACACCCAGCTGAGTCGGCATTGACTGCTGATCTACAGAACTGTGGGATAATAAATTAGTGATGTTTTACGCCACTAAGTTTGCACTAATTTGTTACAGCAGCAGTAGAAAACAAATTCAATGGCCAAAGGGGAAAATTTCAGAGAGGGATCTCTTTTAGCATAATTATAAGTGAAACTCAAGCTGCAGATTTCTCTCTGATTCCTTTGGGACTTTCTGGAATGGAGCTCAGTGGCTCAAGAGGACTAAAGAGAGATGATACCGTAAAATGTAGAATAGGTTGTCTTTCTATGAATACTCATCTACCTAGCATCTATTAAAATAGCTTCCCTATATAAACATCAGGCCAGAGCTTATACAATTTTTTTCAGAAGAAACATTTAGAATTTTGGCCACACTTTCTCTTTGCATTCATTCATTTTATTTCACTAATGTGAGAAGCATTTAGTGCATGTTCACAACATCCAAGACACTGGAATGCATGCTAGAGAAAAAGAGACAAACAAGATAAAATCACTGTCCCGAAAAAGCTCACATTCAATGAAGGGTGATAAGCAAGTAATCCAACAATTGTATTTTGTTGTGAAATGTGTTCTGAAAAATGGGGGCATGGGATGCTGTAAGAGCTCAAATGTTAAGTATCTAATTCACCCTAGGGTAGTCAGAGAAGGCTTCCCTAAGGAGGTAATATGTGGACTCTCTCAAAGGACAATTAAGAGTTGATCAGGTGATGATGACATGATGAGAGGGGTTGAGAGTGATAGCACATTATGTGGAGAAAACCACAACAGGTTTAGGGTGGCCACAGTGGAGTGTAAGGAAGAGAATATTAAATACCAGACTGGAGAAATGGACAGGAGCCATATCCCATGAGACTTTATGAACCATGCTATGGAATTTGAAATTTATATTGTGGGCACTCAATAATTATCATTTATTATTATTACTACTTAAATGAGGGATGAGAGAGAGGAAAAAAGACTCCATGATCACTCCCAGATTTCTACTTGGATACCTGGGTAGACAGTGGTGCTACATATTAATATAGGGAATTCAGGGATGAGGTAATAGTGGATATGCTGGTGCCCCACCCATATGCCTTTAACCATGCATCCCCCAACTGCTGTGAATGTTGACTGATAACTCATAGTTACTCCATTTTCAAAAAAAAAAAAAAAAAAACTGTCCTAGAGCCCAAATTAATGGTGAGCCACCTTACCTGAGAGGTTAGGTCCCACCCACAGGCCTCAGGCAGTAATTTACTCACTGAGGACAGTACAAAAGTCCAGCTTCCTAGCCTCAAGGTAAGATTCATGGTATAACTTGTGCTCCAGCATTTCCCCATAAGATCATACTGTTGCTAGTTTCCAGCTGAAATCAAATACTTGCTTAACTTTTACCCTGTCCTATCCTAATTCCCTCACTCTTTACCTGAAAGCATTTTCTCCATAAATAATTTGAACAAGAATTTCCATCTCAGGCTCAGATTTTGGGGAATCTGACCTAAGACAGATGGAAAAGCACATTTGGGGGTGGAAAGGCTGATAAATTCAGTTGGAGACGTATTGAGAATGAGGTACCTACAGAACATCAAGGGGGAACTATTTTAAAGACAGTTGTATATTCAGGGTTTGAAACTAAGGAATGAGTTCTGACCAGTATAAATACATGTGGGAATTGTAAGCAATTAAATTTTAGGTAAAATCAGTGGGAACAAATGAGATTACCCAAGGAAAGTATAAAGAAAAAGAGAAAAAGGAAACATCAACATTTGAAGAGCGGGAAAAGGAAGAACAGCCTGCAATAATAAGACTTAGAAGAAAGGCCAGGAAGTAGAGAAAAGCCTATTTAAAACCATATTGTTAAAACCACAGGATTAGTTTCAGGAAAGTGAGAAAAATGCCTGCCAGAAAGAATTTCAGGAAAGTGTGATAAATACCAGAGAGGTCAGGTAAGATGAAGAAAAGTGTCTGGTGAATTTCACCATTAAAATTTATTAATTATAGAAACTTACAACATGTTTACACAGATATGTATATCTATATCTATCTAAATAGATAGAGAGATAGGCTTAGAATGGTAACAGTGTACATGAACAGCAAAAGGCAGATCTGAGATGTATTTTGGAGCTATAAATCACGTGACTTCTTGTGTGGGGAGGGGAGGAAAGAATGAAATAAAGAATTATTCTATTTTGAACACGGAACGGATGGTGGGCCATTTATTGAGATGAATTACACTATAGGACTTAGAATATGAGCTTGCTTCTTAGAATATGATCCAAGCAAAGGTTAAATTATCCCTGGTGGGAATGTCAGCTATTGACCACCAAGGTTGCCTTCTAAGCATAAGGGCCTGGCACCCATGACAATTCTCTTCATCCACTGCAACCTAAACCAGTTAAGGTGGACAGAAACTCAGCCCACAAACAGCAAAATAGGCATTGCTCCTAAAGTTCTATTTTCTTATGAAGCAAGCAGCCAAAACTACTGGGCTCTGGAACTCTGTTGGAAGAAAAAGTAAAAAGTTGTCATATTCAATGCTACTAGCTGTTCAACACAAATGTATTTTCTCTTCTTCTTGGGCAGAGAGCTAATCCATATTTTCCAGTCTTTCTTGGACCTAAGTGTAGCCATATGACTGAATTCCAAGCAATGGAATAGAAGAGGAACCGATATATGCCCCTTCCTCTAGGCAATAAAATGGGAGAGGAAGTGAGACGTGCCATTTCTAGGCTAAGGCTTTTATACCCTCTTCCATATTATTTTCCCACTTCTATGGGTGAATGCAGATGATGACACGGCCCTAAGACATAGCAGAGCCATGAGATGGTTATAGCCTGGGTCCCTGAGTCATGATATTGGAAGAGAGTCACCTGCCAACAGTACAGGAATACCCACCTTGTGCTGTTATTTGGGTGAAAATTAAACTTCTGCTGTGTTTGAGACATTACATATTTGAAGGTCTATTTGTTAAAACATCTAGCATTACACTAATGGTACTAGCATGGGAATAATTCTGTCTAGATCTTTGATAGATCTTTATAGGCATCCATCCTCAGCTGTAACCAACAGAGAAGATCCCATATAAAGAGCAGGTAGATGCCTACATGCAGTCATGTCCTACCAAGATTCTGGACAACCCCAGGATGCAGAGAAAGTTTGCAACATCAGCTTTAGCAAGATGAGCATTTACAGGGTAGACATATACTTTACCTCTTCCATAATACCTATCTGGCTGGCTACCATCAAATGTTTAAGAGTTGAATGTGTCCTGTCTCTCAAGGATTTTGTTAGCTTCATATTTGACAAGACACCTTTTTTTTTTTCTGAGATGGAGTCTGACTCTGTCACCTAGGTTGGAGTGCAGTGGCGCAATCTCGGCTCACTGCAACCTCCGCCTCCCAGGTTCAAGCGATTCTCCTGCCTCAGCCTCCTGAGTAGCTGGGATTACAGGTGCATGCCACTACACTCAGCTAATTTTTCATATTTTTGGTAGAGACAGGGTTTCACCATGTTGGCCAGGCTGGTCTCGAACTCCTAAACTCAAGTGATCCACTCGCCTTAGACTCCCAAAGTGTAACACGACACCTTTAAGCATACAGCCACCAGAGACATCTGTTCCTAAGTCAAATACTGACCTAAGTTATCTGAAGGACTCCTTCACCCACTTGAAAAAAGTTCCTAGGATGTCATAACACCAGAATTAATCTCTACGTGTCCCTCTTCCACAGCAGCTGAAATCCCATCCTAGAGGTGGGTATGTATACCTTTATGAAAATGTCATTCTCCACATAAGTGCTCACCCGCAGCTATATCAGCAATTGCTGTCTATTTTGACAAGAAAATTTTCTTTCTTCTTTTTTTTTTTTGAGGCAGAGTCTCGCTCTCGCTCTGTCGCCTAGGCTGGAGTGCAGTGGCGCAATCTCAGCTCACTGCCACAACCACCTCCCAGTTCAAGTGATTCTCGTGCGAATCTCCTCCCAAATAGCTATTTCTCCTCCCAAATAGCTGGGATTACTGATGCGTGCCACCATGCCCAACTAATTTTTGTATTTTTAGTAGAGACAGGGTTTCACCATGTTGGCCAGGCTGGTCTTGAACTCCTGACCTCAGGTGAGCCGCCCACCTCGGCCTCCCAAAGTGCTGGGATTACAGGCACGAGACACTGTGCCTGGCCTCGACAAGAAAATGTTGTACCTCCATGAGTTAATTGGTGATTCATGTCTGTTTCCTGCATTTCTTTTTATTTTTATTTTGTTGTAAAGAGCTATTGTTCAAGACCTCCTATCCCCGTATCAACCTACCCACTATCTAACACCCAGAAGTCAATGGTCATATAGAACACATTAACCAGGTACTAGTGAAAGACTTCTGATCCTATATTTCCCACTAGCAATATTTTATTCATTTAAAAAACTTTTTAGTACCTATTATTTGCCAGTCCCTGAGAGACAGACCGGGGACAAATGATGAACAAAATGTTACATGGTTTCTGACCTCTTGTTTTAACCAGATGATTACACAATGATACAAAATTTGCGACTCTGACAAGTCCTATGGAGGAGAGTTACATAATGTGAGTATGTATAATTGGGGCTTTGACCAATCAGAGAAGTTGGGACAGGCTTCATGGGAAGTAAGAATTGATCTGGGAGTTAAAAGATGAGTGGATTAAACCATGCAAAGAAGGGAAGGAAAAGTATTTTAGGGGTTGTAATAGAACAGGTAAAGGCTTTGCGCTGGGAGCATATCACAACCCAAACACTAAGTAAAAGCCAGTGTGCCTTAAGCAGAGCGGTTGAGGGAAATATGATGGTGATATAAGACTGAAGAGACAGGGAAGAGCCAGATTATACAGAATCTAATAGGTCATTTTAAGTAGCTATTTATTTATATTAAAAATGATTATAGGGACATTGAATACCAAGTAGGGTGTAGTAGGTTATGGCAGACCACCATTCCTGATGCTACAGCTTTTAACAGCTAGAAAAATTGAAAAAATATATTAAAAAAAAAACCACTGGGGACATGTAGGTGCAAAAAAAGAATCTAAAACTCAAAGATGCAAGAGCCCTTCTAAGATAACCAGGCTGTTGTCAGCCATTTTCTTCCCTGAGGACATCTGCTGATTTCCAGCACAAGCCAAAGATTGGGCTTAGCCTAACAGAAAGAATTTGCTGGGAAAATGCAAAAACTGGTAATGCTTTTGGCAATTGTAGAAGACTGGTATCACAATTAATAAATTTCAGGAGGCCTAAATGTGAGCTAGTTTTCTCCCCACAGCATATTTTCTGAGTCTGGGGGCTATAGAGGAGACTAGAAAGCTTCTGTAAAATTGTTTGAGATCTTCTGTAGTTTCCAAATATTTAGAAGACAAAGTCTCACTGAAGAAATAGGGCCTGCAACAAACATTCGGTTGGTGTCTTCCTCAAGAAATTTGCCAAATTTGGAAGCAGCATGGATTGAGAGTAGAGGAAAAAGGTTATGAAGTACAGTCTGAATATCCCAATCTTTCAAAGTGGAGGAGAGAGACTTGTAGACTTTTGGAAGGATATGCCTGAGAAACAGTAGAATTAGTGGTGGACTGAGTCTAACTAAAACTGCAACACAGCTTCAATCCTGCTCAATCTTTGATTCGATTAATGTGATTAGTTCCTTACCCAATCCACCTAACAAATGAAAAGAGAAAAGTCCTTGCTGGTAGAAATTATGACCTGGAGCTTCTACCATTTATTTACATAAAATATCTAGCATAAAATAAAAAACATTAGATACTTGGGAATGCATAACAAAGTCAGAAGACAATTGAACACTGTCTTTAAATACTCAGTAGACAAAGAAACCTATAAAATATGAATCAAATATTCTAAAAACCATTTGAAGACAGTGAAGAGTGACCGAAAGCAGAAATGGAGGTAGAACTATATTTGAAAGACAACTAAAATGAGTAAAATTTGGGTTTACCTACAAGAACAAAAAAATAGTTCTTTAGAGCAACACCACAGGATCCAGAGTTTCTAAAATGTATTATTGATAATATTCAGTAATGAACCAAAAAGCCTTAGATGTACAAAGAAATAGAAAAAAATGTGACCCATACTCCAGGAAAAAAAAAGGTCAATAGAAATTCATCCCAAAATGACACAAATCTTGCAATTAGCAGAAAAGGCCTTTAACACAGATTTTATAAATATATTTGAAGATTTAAAGGAAAATATATGCAAAATGAATATATGGGTATAGAACATGGCAGAGAAAAAGAAACTATAAATATGAACCAATTGGAAAGTATATAGCTGGAAAATATAATAACTGAAGTAAAAAAATTTGCTAGGTGGGCTTAGGAAATGACATAAGAGTAATGAACTTGAGGAGAGATCAATAAAAAATACCCAGTCTGAAAAACAGAGGGAAAAAGGATAAGTGGGGACAATATCAAACAGACTAACACATAGGTAACTTGAGTTCTAGAAGGATATAAAGAAAATGCAGCAAAACAATTTTTTTTAGAAATAGTGGTCAAAACCTTTGTGAATTTAGTAAAAGACATCAACTTAAAATTCTAAGGAGCTCATTGAACTTCAAACAGAATAAACACAAAGAAAATGCCCTGCATATATCATATTCAAACTCCTACAATCCAAAGATGAACTTAAAGATCTCAGAAGTTCAGTGACCCACCAAGGAGATTAAATACAAAGAAAGCAATACCTAGACATTTAACAGTCAAAACCCTGAAATATGAAAATAAACTTTTGAAGGTAGTCAGAGAAAAACAGTACACACTACATACAAAGAAATGAATAATGGCTGACTTCTCATCAGAAACAAAGAAATGCAAAAAAAAAAAAAAACCAATGAAACGAAATCTTTAATATGCCAAAAGAAAATAAACACAGATAACTCATAATTCTGTACCAAGCAAAAATATCATTCAAAATCAAAGACATTATCAAATAGACGAAAACTGAGAAAATTCATCATCAGCAGGCCTGCAATACAAGTAATGCCTAAGGGGAGGATCTTCAGGTTGAAGAGAAAAGATGCTAAATGGTAACTTGGCTCTATTAGGAGATAATTAAAGTTATCAGAAATAGTAAATATGTTGATAAATATAACAGAATATATTTTTATTTCATTCTCTTAATTTGTATGAAATGCATATGAATGTTTAAAACAAATTTTAACACTATATTATATGGTTCACAATAAATGTAGGTATACATATGATAACAATAGGGCAAAGAATAGTAGGCTAGTAAATGGGACACTGCTGTTACAAATTTCCTATGTTTTAAGTAAAGAAGTGGAATATTAATTCTAAGAAGACTATGATAAATTCAAGATGCATTTAAGCAATTCCTAGGACAGTCACTAAAACGTGCAAAAATGTATCGCTAAAATGCCAATATAGGAAACAAAACGGAATATATGAAAAACACTTTTATCCCAAAGGAAAGCAAGAAAAGGGAAACAAAGGAACAAACAGAGACATAGATGAGTCAAATAGAGAACATATAGCAAAATAGATGATGAGAAATCTAACTGTATCAATAAGTGCCTTAAATGTAAGTAGCCTAAACATTTCAATTAGAAGACAGATTGCAGAATGGGGAGATAAAAAGCAAGACACAAATGCCTGCTCCCTAAATAAGATGAACATTAATCCAAAGACACAAATGCATGGAAAGAAAAAGTACAGAAAAAGTAAATCATGCAAAAAACTAATTAGCTAAATTGGCTATGTTATTATTGGACAAAATAGAAATCAAGAAAAAAGTATTATCAGACATAAAGAGGGACATTTCATAATGATAAAATAAGACATAATAATAAAATGTATATGTGCAAAGATGTGCTGGATCATAAGAAGAATATTTGATGTGCTGGATCATAAGAAGAATATTTTGCATATTTCTTACCATCTCTGTGTTCAGTGACATCACATGGGTAGCCCCAGATTAGTTACAATGGAGGTACTCACAGCACAGAAATCAGAAAATGCTCCAAATTAGGGATCTTTTTCAGAAAGCCTGTTGTTAAACATTTACTAGCACACCAATATGTACGTACTTAATAACAGAACTTCAATGCACCTGAAGAAAACACTCACAGAATTAGAAAATAGGAAAATTTTACGGTAATTGATAAAGCATATTGACAAAAATGCAGTAAGGATATAGAAGATCTGAATCACACTATCAACCATCTTGACCTAATTGATATTGATAGGACTCTATACCAAACAACTGTACAATATGCATTAATTTCAAATGTATGTGGAATGTTCAGTAACACAGACCACATGCTTGGCTATGGCCAAAGTTTTTGATAAATTTCAAGATTAAATTTGCAGATAATATTCTTTGACCACAACAGAATTAAATGAGAAATCTATTAATTATGATATCTAGAAGGGCCACAAATATCTGGTAATTAAGCATATATTTCAAAATAATACATGGGTCAAAAAAGAATAATGAAATCATAATTACTTCAAGCTGAAAGGTCAATGAAAATATAACATAAAATTTTGCAGGATGCAGCTACAGCAGAGCTTAAATGTAAATATGTCGCTTAAATTAAAAAGAAAGAATGTTCAAAAAATAAGAATGAATAAACCAAAAATAAGCAGAAAGAAGGAAATAATAACAATAAGAGCAGATAAAAATAGAAAATAGCCAAAATGTGGAGAAAATTAACAAAATCAAAACATTGTTCTTTAAAACAAAGTAATAAATTTAATAAATCTCTAAGAAGACTGATCAAGACAAAAAGAAAAAGAAAAAATTATTAATATCTAGAATGAAAGATATGGTATCACTACAGATCATACGGATATCAGTAAGATGATAAAGGAATTTTTAAACAACTTTATGCTAATAAAGTCAATAACGAATTTGACATTTCTTGAAAAACACAACTGATTAAACTTGGCACAATATGAAATAATAATCCTAAGAGCCCTATATTTAGCAAAGAAATTGAATTTGTTTTCAAAAACATCCCCACAAAGAAAATCCAAGGACCAAATGATTTTATTGATGAAATTTATTAAAAATTTTAATAAATAATACCAGTCTTACAGAAACTCTCAGAAAAAGGCAAAGACTTCCAAACTTGTTTTATGAAGCCAAACATAACCCTGACAAACATTAAAAGTATAGACTAATTCTTCTTAAAAACATAGATGCAAAATTCTTTTAAAAGATTAGCAAATATCGTCTAGCAATATATTAAAATGATAATATATCGTGACCAAGTGGAATTCATCCCGGGGATATTAGGATGTGCTTAATATTTCTTTCAAAAACTATGTAATTCACCATGTTAACAGAATAAAAGAGCAAAACCACTGAATAATTGCAATAGGTAGCAATATAAATATAAAACCTCTTTATGATTAAAAGAATCATAGAAACTCAGAAATGTGAAAAACTTTCAGGTAACATCAAACCTAAAAATAAAACATTGATTCCTTTTCCTCTAAGGCCAGGAACAAGGCAAAGATGTCTGCTCTTACCATTTCTACTCAACATGTATAATAGTATCAAAACTTTGATAAGAAAAAATAAAGAAAACTTAAATAAATGGTGACATATACCACATTAATGGACTGAAAGACTCAGTATTATTAAGATGTCCATTTTACCTAAATGTCTCTATAAATTCATTGCAATCCCCATCAAAAATTACAGAAAACCTTGTGGAAGTAATAGACAGGCTGATTTCAAAATTTATTTTAAATTTAAAGAATTTACAATGTCCAAAACAATCTTGAAAAAAAAAGTTAGAGGCTTACACCACTTGACTTTAGGAGGTACTCTATAGTTATGATAACCAACGGAGTGTGATATTGGCATTATGGTTACACTAATGAGTGAAGGAAACAGAACAGAGACTCCAAAAATATATGCACACATATATGGTCAGTTAATTTTTCACCAAGTTACAACATTAATTCAATGGAAAGCTTTTTAAAAACAATTGTTACTGGAACCCTGGGTATCTATATGCAAAAAATGAACCTTGATCATTGTCTCAGTCTCTACACAAAAAGTAATTCAAAATGGATCATAGGCCTAAACCCAGAATCTTGGACTAGACAAGGATTTCTTAGGCCACCAAAAAAAAAAAAAGAAGAAGAAGAAAAAGAAAGAGAGAGGGGGAGGGATGGAGGGAGGGGGAAAGAGAGAGAGAGAGAAAAAGAGAAAGAAAGAAGAAAGAAAAGAAGAGAGAAAGAGAAAGAAAGAAAGAAAAAGAAAGAGAGAGAGAGAGAAAGACAAAGAGAAAGAAAGTAGGAGGGACAAAGGGGGAGGAAAAAGGGAGAAGGAGAGGGAAAGGGAGGGGAGTTGGAGGGGAAAATAAAATGATAAATTGGACAATTGGACTTCCTTGAAACTAAAAATGTTGCTCAACAGAAGACATCATAGACAAGCCACAGATTGAGAAAAATAATTACAAAATAAATAGTTCAGCAAAGGCTATTCAGGATATATAAAGAATGTCTGTAATTTAAAAACAAAAATACAAAAAAGTCCCAATGTTTAAGACTGGGCAAAAACTTGAACAGGCTCTTCACACAAGAAGATATACAAGTGAATTGTAAACACATTAAAAGGGTGCTCAAAAACTTTAGTCATCAAGAAAATGCAAATTAAAGTATAAGATACCATTTCACACACACTAGAAAGGCAAATATCAAAAAGACAAATGTTAAGAATTTAGAGCAACTGGAATATTTCCGATGGAAATGTAAAATGTCAAAACTGATTTGGAGAACAGTTTGGATGTTTCACATAAAGTTACACATACAACTACTCTATGACCCAGTTTTATTCTTATGTATCTACTCAAGAGAAGTGAAAATATATGTTCACAAAAGACATATATAAAAATCTTTATAGCTTTCTATGAAAAGATGGCCAACACCACCAATTAATAGAGAAATGAAAATCAAAACCTCTAGGAGATATCACCTTAACCCCATTATGATGGCTACAGAAAATAAGTGTTGGCAAACATGTGGAGAAATTGGAACACTTGTGCACTGTTGGTGGGATTGTAAAATGGTGCAACTGCTATGGAAAACAGTATGAAACTTTATAAAAATATTAAAAATAGAGCCATCTTATTAGCCAGCAATCTTACTTCCAGATATATGTACAAAAGAAGTGATAGCACAGTCTCAAAGCGGTATTTCTACACCCATGTTCCTAGCAGCACTATTCACGTTAGCCAAGAGGTGGATGTAACCCAAACATTTAACAATGAACAAATGAATAACATACAATGGACTATTACTCAGCCTTAAAAAGGAAGGAAATCCTGTCACATGCTACAACATGAATGAACCTTGAGGACATTATGCCAAGTGAAATAAGACAGTCACAAAAACACAAATACTATATGATTACACTTACATGAGATATCTAAAGTAGTCAAATTCATAGGAACAGAAAGAGTGGTAGTTACCAGGGGCTGTTGGAAATAGAAAAGGGGAGATTTTCAAGATCAGATTTGCAAGATGAAAAAGCTTAAGATTTGCAAGATGAAAAAGTTCTGGAGATATGTTTCACAACAATGTGAATATGCTTAACACTACTGAACTGTATACTTAAAAATGGTTAAGATGGTAAATTTTATGTTATGTGATTTTTTTTACCATAATGAAAAATGTTTATAGTTGCCTTATTCATAAAATTGTCAAAAAAAACTCTTCTAAAAAATTAGAATCAAGCCAAATGTTCAACAGGAGAATGATAAATTGTGATATAGTCATAAAATGAAATACAACTAGGCAATTTAAAAAGTGACCTACAGGTATATGCAAAATCATATGTTAATCTTAAAAAGCATTGTGCTGACAGAAAGAAGACAGGCACAAGACACTGTATCATTCCATTTACATAAAATCAAAGAACAGAAAAAAATACTAATTTATTTTAATAGATATCAGAATAGTGATTGCCTATGGGATAGGATAAATTACTGAAAAGGAGGACAAATGAACTTTCCGGTGTAATGAACATATTAGTAACTTTTTTGGAGAATGGTTACATAGATACATGCAATTGTCAAAATTCACTGAACAGAACATCTAGCATGTGTACATTTTATTTTATGTTGATTATACCTGAATAGAAAACATATTTTATAAACACAATGAAACATTATGCTAAGTTAAATGAGTGAGTCACAAAATGACAAATACTGTATGATTCTACTTATATAGGATATACGAAGTAGTGAAAATTCATAGAAAAAGAAAATAGAATGGTGTTTACCAGGAACTTCAAGAAGAAGGAAATGGAGAGTTGTTTAATGGGTACAGAAATTCAGTTTTTCAAGGTGAAAAAGTTCCAGAGATATGTTGTACAACAATGTGAATATACTTAACACTACTTAACTGTACACTTTAAGGTGGTAAATTTTATGTCTTTTTAGCAGAATTAAAAATAAAAAACACTATGAGATAACCTCATCAAGTCACTAGAATGACTAAAATTAAATTAACTGACAACATCAAATATTGGCAATGATGTAGACCAAAGGGAATTCTCATAACTTGTGTGCAGGAAAGTAAAATGAGAAAATATTTCACAGTGTGTTATAGAGTTAAGTGTATACTATTCTTTAACCGAGAAATTCCCTCCCTGGTATTTCTAGGAGAAATTCTCAAGAGAAATTCAAATATGTGTCCATAAAAAGACTGGTTCAAGAATATCCATTGCACTTATATTGACAATAGCCAAAATTGCAATCAACCCAAATGTCCATCAGCAGGAAAATGGATAATTAAATTGTGCTATATTTATGCAATGGAATACTACTTAGCAATAAAAAGGAACAAGCTACTTATACATGGATGAATATCACAGTCTTTCTGTTGTCTGTTTCCACTTATATGATGTTTTAGAAGGAGCAAAATTAATGCAAGTTAAACAAACAAACAGAAAAACAGAACTGTGGTTGCCTCTGGTTTTCGGTGAACACAAATTTTCTAAGGGACACAAGTGAAATTTTGGAGAGAAGGGAATGTTTTATATCAGGGTCAGCAATCTTTTTCTATAAACTACAGATAATAAATAACTTGGACTTTGCAGATAATACATGGTTTCTGTTGTTGTTTTCTTTTGTCATAACCCTTTTTAAAATGTAGAAAATATTCTTTGCTTCCAGTCTGTAAAAACAGGCTATGGGCCATAGTTTGCTAATCCCTATTTTATATCATGATAGAAGTCTAGATTGTAGGGGTCCTTTTATCAAAATTATAGAGAAATGATATGGGCATTTCAACGTGTGTAACTGTACCTAAAAATACAGAATTGAAAATTAATAATAACCACCACCAAATTAGGGATGTGAGAAATGGGTGAAGGTATAGATGAAAAAATACAGGATAGTGATGATTGTTGAAGGTGAGTTTTGGACACATAAATGTTATACTATTTTGTTTATTTTGCATATGTTTCTTCTTTTCCTTTTTTTTTTTTTGGTTTGGTAGCGATGGGGTCTCTTTATGTTGCCCAGGCTGGTCTCCAACCCCTGGGCTCAAGCTATCATCCTGCCTCAGTCTCCCAAAGTGCTGGGATTACAAAAAGTGGTTTTTATTAAAAAAAAAAAAGAAAAATTTCTGGGTGGTAGCTGAAGCAGTGCTTAGAGGAGATTTTCTAGCCGTAGGTGACTAAATTAGAAAATAAGAAAGGTTAAAGTCAACCATCACAGCTTCCCACTCAGAAAACTAGTAAAAGAGCAACAAATTAAATACAAAGTAAGTAGAAGGAAGGAAAAATAAGAATATAGATCAATGGGACACAAAGCAGGCATACAATAGAGAACAATCAACAAAGTTCAAAGTTGATATTTGGAAAAGATGAATAGAATTAATAATCCTCTAGCAATGCTGATTAAGAAAAAAACATAAATTATCAGTATCAGGAATGAAACAGAGAACATCATTACAGATCCTAAGGATATCTAAAAGACAGCTTGAGCATATCATATACAACTTTGTGCCAATAAGTTTGATAACATATATGAAATGAACAACTTCCTTTAAAGCCATAACTTACCAAAACTGGCACAAGAAGAAACAGAAAGTTTGAATAGTCCAGTATCTATTAAAGAAATTGAATCTATTATTTGAAATCACCACACAAAGGAAAGAACAATAGGAATCTATTAAAGAGATTTAAGCAGAGAAGTGATAAAATCAGACTCAATTTTGAAAAGAGTAGTTTGCAATGTGAAGAATGGATTTGAGAGTGGATGTGATTAAAATACTTAAAAGACAATTGCAAGGTGCCAGGGGTTAGGGGGAGAGAGGTGTGAACAGGTGGAGCACAGAGGATTTTTAGGGGACTGAAACTATTCTGTATGTTGCTATAATGGTGAATACATGCCATTATACATTTGCCAATGCTCGCAAGATATATAACACCAAGAGTTTACCCCAATGTAAACTATGGACTTTGGGTGAAAATGATGTGTCAGTGTAAGTTCATGATTATAATCAGTGAGCCACCCTGTTAATAGTGGGAGAGGCTGTGCATAGGTGGGGACAGGAGATACATGGGAACTCTCTGTGCTTTCTGCTCAATTTCCTGTGAACCCAAAATAGTTCCAAAAAATTAAGTCTAGATGTTGGTGTGGATGTAGTGAACAGGGAACACTTTTTTTTTTTTTTGAGATGGAGTTTCACTCTTGTCACCCAGGCTGGAGTTCAATGGCATGATTTTGGCTTACTGCAACCTCTGTCACCCGGGTTCAAGCAATTCTCCTGCCTCAGCCTCCAGAGTAGCTGGGATTACAGATGCCCACCACCACACTCAGCTACTTTTTGTATTTTTAGTACAGACAGGGTTTCACCACGTTGGCCAGGCTGGTCTCGAACTCCTGACCTCAGGTGATCCACCTGCCTCGGGCTCCCAAAGTGCTGGGATTACAGGCATGAGCCACCATGCCCAGCTGAACAGGGAACACTTCTACACTGCTAGTGGGAATGTAAACTAGTACAACTACTACGGAAAACAGTGTGGAGATTTCTTAAAGAACTAAGAGTAGAACTACCATTTCATTCAGTTTTCAATCCCACTACTGGATATCTACCCAGAGGAAAAGAAGTCATTATGTGAAAAAGATACTTGTACACGCATGTTTACAGCAGCACAATTTGCAATTGCAAAAATATGGAACCAGCCCAAATGCCCATCAATCAACGAGTGGATAAAGAAATTGTTGTGTGTGTGTGTGTGTGTGTGTGTGTGTGTGTATAGATATGATATATATGTATATATATATATTATATGTGTGTACATATATATCACATCATATATACATATATTTATATATATGATGGAATACCACTCAGCCATGAAAAGGAATGAATTAATGGCATTTACAGCAACCTGGATGGAACTAGAGACTATTATTCTAAGTGAAGTAGCTTAGGAATGGGAAACTCAACATCGTATGTTCTCACTCATAAGTGGGAGCTAAGTTATGAGGATGCAAAGGCATAAGAATGATACAAAGGACTTTGGGGACTCGGGGGAAAGGGTGGGAGGGGGGCGAGAGATAAACGACTACAAATTGGGTTCAGTGTATACTGCTTAGGTGATGGGTGCACAAAAATCTCACAAATTGCCACTAAAGAACTTATTCATGTAACCAAATACTACCTGTTCCCCCCAAAAAACTATGGAAATAAATTTTTTTAAGAAATTAAGTCTATGAAAAGAAAAAAAGACAATCTTAGTAGCTCTAGTGGGAGATGATGGTGCTTGGACCAGGATACTAATAGTAAAAATCGAGAAAGAGAAGGACATTGGAGCTTCAAGGAAAATGGAGAAGCTTTGATGTATGGGTGGTAGGAAGTGAATTAACCAATGAAGTATAATGGAATTATGAGGTAGTAGTAAGGGACATTTAAATATAAGAAACCATGAATTTATAGTGGAAACAATATACTTTGCTGCATAACTTTCTGCTACAATATTTGGCTGTTCAAGTGCAAGCACAAAGAAAGTTAAGAGTTGGGATCATACAGAACTAGAGTTTTGCAAGTGTGTCTGACCAAAAAGACAGAAATATTAATAAGAACATGTTCAAATGATAGACTATAGACTCTGAATTGGACAATAAAGTAAATAAAACAAGGGCTTGTGAGTTTGGAGAAAGCAGAGGTCAGTAGACTGGAAGACCTGATATAGTCAAATATAGGCACAGTTGGGATAAAAGGAGGTTGTAATCAGAGAGTGTGATGAATTCATAATTTGGGAGGTGAAGCATTTTCTTTTTTCTATTTTTTGAGACGGAGTCTTGGTCTGTCGCCCAGGCTGGAGTGCAGTGGCGTGATCTCGGCTCACTGCAAGCTCCGCCTCCCGGGTTCACGCCATTCTCCTGTCTCAGCCTCCTGAGTAACTGGGACTACAGGCACCGGCCACCACGCCTGGCTAATTTTTTTGTATTTTTAGTAGAGACGGGGTTTCACCGTGTTAGCCAGGATGGTGTCGATCTCCTGACCTTGTGATCCGCCCGCCTCGGCCTCCCAAAGTGCTGGGATTACAGGCGTGAGCCACCACACCCGGCCAGGTGAAGCATTTTCAGTAGCAGTTATAGAAGATGGAAAAGCAGAAGGTATTAATATAATGGTAGCAGTGTTTGGCCAAAGTAGAATGGAAGAGAAGATTATTAGGATGATATGGCAAAGAATGAAATAGTCAAGATATATAGTTGTCCACAGTCCATGTCCAATTGATGTCACCAGCATAACAGCAGGTCTTGGAGTAGAGAGGAGGACCATGATACATATCCCAAAATATTCAATAAATTAAGGGTAGCGAATATGGAGAGTAGATGGAAGTAACAGGAGGTGTAGAAGATGCTAAAACAGAGAATGGCATTAGCCTCAAAAGCTTGTGAATGTGTTTAACAAAGGCAAAAGAATCATTGTTTGGGAAGCGTCATCAGTAAGCAGGGGATACAATTTCACCACATGGTCATGATCTTGAGGTACTGAGGCATAATAACAGCCCCACTGGAGAAGAAATGGCTACAGGGAAGATAATATTCTCAATAGAGGCTCTAGAATGGCCCCAAATATTTTTTCACAAAGTAAACACTTTGTTTCACAGCAACTGCAGTTTCCTTCTCTTCACATTTCTTAAAGAAAGAGACACTCTCTAACAACTGAGAATTTCCTTTAAAGAACTCCAGGATACTTTCCATTTGCCTTTATAGGAGTACAGGGAATATGCCAATCAGTTCCACATTATGGGGAAGAACATGAGACTAAGAGATACAGCCTAATTTTCCTGCACGCAATTTTGCAGAAGTTGTGATCTTAAAAGATGTTGGAAATTATCAGCTCTGTGGCCTTCTGACTCCAGCTGTTTGTTTTTCAAGGACATCCATCCCATTGTGCACTGCTCCTTTCTATATCTGGCTCACAAAGATCTGCTTTCCATCTGGATCCTGGTACCCAGCCCTAACGTTTTGAGGTCATGAATACACATAAGTAGTCAAGGCAGTGCTGGACTCACAGTGACACTATGATCAGATCCACCTCCAGCTTCAAAAAAGCATTCAACTAAAAAGCATTAAAGCACATCTACATGGTAAATTCTAGAAAATCCTGGCTTTCTAAGTTTGAGTTACACTCTATACCTGACATGGCCACCCAAGTCAGTGAAGGAAACACATAAACAGATGTCATGAGGATAATGGGAAGGCAGTTTTTTCACTGTCAGAGAAGGAAATTACAAATATGGAAAAGTTAAAAAAGAAACGGAATTAACACTGTGGCACTGGATTAGAATTAGAGAGTTTAGTATGAATTTATGGTTTTAGATAGACAGATTGATTGATATGAATATTATAGATACTAATTGAATAAAATAAAAATCCATATGTGCACACTGATATAAATAATTGAATGAATAAATAAATGAGGAAGAAGAGAAGATTCTTTCTTATAATAAAATGTCAACCAGTAAATGCAGAAACAATGATGGAATACGACATTTATCAATGGATGTCAAAATTATTGGGTAAAACTTTGATGAAGAACAGGATATTTACATAGATTAAAGTATCTCCCCCAATGTTATGTATTAATTACAATGAGATAAATACAGTTACTCTCCAGTGGAGGAACTTGGCAGACACCACCTAAATTAAGTAATCAGGTTAACATCACCAGTAATGGGATGATCAACATCATCCTGATAAAGTGCCTCCTGATAAAGTGCACTGAAAAAGACACATAACTTCTGTAGTATTCCGGCTGAAGATGCATAGTCTAAATCGATCTTGAGGAACACAGGCAAACTAAAATTGAGGGACAGTCCATGAAATAATTGATCTGAATTCATCAAAAATATCAAAATGAAGAAAAACAAAGAAAATCTGAGAAACCGTTACAGATTAAAAGCAACTAAAAAGATATGACAGCAAACTGAATGTGTGAGACTGGATTGGAAACTGACCTGTGGGAATATTAGCTGTATTGTATAAGACCATTAGTAAAATTAGAATATGGGAAGTAGTTTAGATAATAATATTGTAGCAATGTTAAATTTTCTGATTTTGATCATTATACTGTAGTGTTTTTAGGAAGTACACACTGAAGTATTTAGAGGTAAAAGGGCATAGGGTCTACAACTTACTCTCAAATGGCTCAGAAAAATAATGTGCATAAATATATAAATAGATAATAAAAAGCAACTAGGCAAAATGTACACAATTGCTGAATCTTTGAATTATTATTGAAGCTTTTTGTAGGTTTGAAATTATGTCAAAATTAAAAGCTACCCCAAAAAAGATGTCATGGACACACTCTACCTTGGGTCAATACTTCTAGTGTATCAGCTGTCTCAGGTTTGGCCTGTTTTGGCACCATAATTTGGATTACGAAACCAGTGTAGAATTGTCTATTTTAGTTCTGACCTTGATCCCCCTTCTGGACTCATGTCTCATTATCTTGCCTTCATCTCCAAGCATTACAATCACGTGTAAGAAAAATACCAAATTGGCTGGGCGCGGTGGCTCACGCCTGTAATCCCAGCACTTTGGGAGGCTGAGGCGGGCAGATCACCTGAGATCAGGAGTTCGAGACCAGCCTGACCAACATGGTGAAACCCTGTCTCTACTAAAAATACAAAATATTAGCCAGGCATGGTGGTGGGCACCTGTAATCCCATCCACTCAGGAGTCTGAGGCAGGAGAATCGCCTTGAACCCAGGAGGCGGAGGTTGCAGTGAGCTGAGATCGCACCATTGTACTCCAGCCTGGGCAACAAGAGCGAAATTCCAGCTCAAAAAAAAAAAAAAAGAAAAGAAAGAAAGAAAAATACCAAATCATAACATCTCTTCCTAACCTATAGGGCATGTCCTATCTTCCACAGGCCACATGTCTTCCATTTCCTTTGTTTTCTCACTTGTTCAGTGCTCTGGAAGTAGCAGTTGCCTCATTCAGATTTGTTGGAATGATTTGAAATTGCTCACTTCATAAATGTAGAGCAATCTGTGATTGCCTTTTAAAATTGCACTTTCAAGAACCTGAAGGGACCCAAGATAGTATTCACAAGTCTTGTATGGACTCAGTCTAAGGAGGAGCCAAGATTTTAAAATGGCTTAGGAAGGATCATCAGTATCCCTGCCTTATCTACAGGCTGCTTTCTTAAGCAAGCCATCCAAGGACTCCTTGAACATAATTAGTGGGATTAGGGAAATAACCACTTTTCAAATAGAAATTACCAGGTGACTGGAAAATGAAGATTTGGAATGGTGATGGGATATTTACTTGATAATAATCATAATAGCTACCACTTGATAAAGAAGCTATGTGCCAGGAAATGCGCAAGATGCTTTACGTGTATTGTCTCTTAAAATCCTCATCCAACCTAAAGGGTAGACATTAATATAACCCTTTTGTAAATAAGGAAACTAAGACTTAGGGAGTTTAGATGACTTGCCCAAGTTATTACAGCTCTTACATGGTAGAGCCGAGATTTGAGTGCTTCATGTCTCTTTGACTCCAGAGCACATACCTTTGCCATTGCATGATATGATCATACCAACCCATTAGCAACCCTGCAGTTTCCCTGCACTGATTTGTTAAGGGGTCTTCCTAAACAGCTCTGATGTTAGTTACTTTGGAGAACAGATTTATTTTAGTGGGAATTTACATAAACGAAGATTTCTCATACCATTTCGAACACATCACTTGCTCTTGATTTGATGGACTTAAGGTCTCCAAAATCTCCAAGGGAGAACTTTTTCAGCCACACCCAATCACCCTAGAAAGAAAAGGAGGAGAATGAATAGTGATGAAACTTAGTTGCCAGCAGTTTTAGAAAAATGTCCCTTCCACATAAAGGGTTTATACCTATACCAGCAATCCAAATAGACATTTTCCTTCTCTCCCACCCTCCACCTCACAGACATTCTGCATTCTGAGCTGAAATGAGGTCATGCACAGAAGTTAAACTTAAAAATTACAGTTACTCAAGACAGGGAAACAATTGCAAGTATGTAGACTCCAGAAACGGAATGATACCACTCTTTGCAAAGCCTTTCTTAACTAACTGCAGGAAGTGCTAGGTCATTTCACTTTTTCATAGCTAAATGATGTAGCACCAGGTTCCCTGCGATTAATGGTGATAGTTAGTGGTTGCAATTCCCACTGCCTTGAGGCGTCTGTAGAGGGAAATGTAGGGTGGGAGATGTAGTGCAGCAAATGTTTCCTGCATTTACCTTGATCCATTTTTCTCTCGTGGGACAGGCCATTCGTGTGTGTGTATGGAGGGGGGGCTGTCTTATGCTTTAGTCACAATCCAATTGTCTTTAATCTAGATTAAATATTTTTTATTTGAGTGCTCAATGTACTACCATAGTAATGTGAGTAATCTAGAGTCTTCCAAAAGTCTATTTCTGACTTATTAAGTAAAAAACTGCTATTTTAAGGCTTCTGTCAAGTTAAAAACAACAACTATTTTATTGTTTTCACTTCAACACCAGCGCCTGATAGATAACCTTTTTCTACGTGCATAGCCTCAAGGATTCATCAGTCATAAAGCCCTATTTAGTTTCCGTCCAACCCAAATTGTTTTAAAAAAAATATCAATATAGATTCTTTTTTCTCCATAATAGTAATAATGCCTTACATTTGCACAATGCTCTCTACTTTTCAAAGTGCTTTCACATCCATTACCTACAGCCTGGAGATTCCATTTCGGGCTGCACCAACTTGTCATCAAGTAGAGATAATAAAGCAGAGGGCACTGTGCAGTCAAATTCCAAAAATAAGAGTGTAACCGGGCCGGGCGCGGTGGCTCACGCCTGTAATCCTAGCACTTTGGGAGGCTGAGGCGGGCGGATCGCGAGGTCAGGAGATCGAGACCATCCTGGCTAACATGGTGAAACCTCGTCTCTACTAAAAATACAAAAAAATCAGCCGGGCGTGGTGGCGGGCGCCTGTAGTCTCAGCTACTCAGGAGGCTGAGGCAGGAGAATGGCGTGAACCTGGGAGGCGGAGCTTGCAGTGAGCGGAGATGGCGCCACTGCACTCCAGCCTGAGCGACAGAGCTAGACTCTGTCTGGAAAAAAAAAAAAAAAAGAGTGTAACCACTCTCTTATTAAGGAATATATCCAGCTATGGCACTGCATCTGGAAACCTGCCAGAGGCAAAGGCTAATGGAAGCTGCAGGCTTCCGAGTTACCTGCCAGCACTTTGTATTAGCATTTACTAGCCAAGGAGCTCAAAGTCCTTTAACTAAGAAATGGCCCTCAGAGACCTTCAGCAGCTGGAAAAAAAAAAAAAAAAGAAAAAAAACTGCACTGGCCAGGCTCAGTGCCCAGAGAGTTCAGAAGGGTAGTACCGGATCAGTGCCTGCCTGCAGCAGAATGGTCAAAGCATTTGATCCAGTAAATCTCCAAGTGTGGTCCCTGGACCAGCTGCATCAGCATCACCTGGAAACCGGTTAGAAAGGCCAATTCTCAAGCCCCACCCAACACTTAACGAAATCAGAAATCGTAGTAGGGTGAGGTCCAGCAAACTGTGTTTTAACAAGCCCTCCACGTGACTCTAATACAGGTGAAAATTTGTGACCCACCATCCCAGCCTTTGCCTTTTCCTCGTATTTATGGAACTCTCCTCACTCACACTCTCTTCATTTACCTCTTACTACGTTTCCTTCATCAAAATCTGCTCTCAGTCAGGGATCGAAAAGTCATTCACAGAAGTCAGGAGGGCCTGACACAAGCTTGAAGTTTTACCCTTCAGAGAACTTTGTCCTTTAGCGGGATCAAAGGCTACCTATTAAGCTGAAAGAATAAAACTCTAACCGAAAATTTATGGAATCAGCCTATGTGTGGGAAAGACTGGTGAACAAAAAAGCCTTCCCGGCACCTTTGCAGCTATGTTACTGAGCCCATGGTCACTGCTAGCCACTATGGCACCTTTGTGCTAGTTAGAAAGGGTATTTTCTCTCAAATTTAAAAAATCTTAACTTTGTGAGTATATCATCATACAGCCTGTGGCAGCCCTGTGATGTTAGGCAGCACACCCTGGCTGTATACATACAAGTACCATACTCTCATTTATGGATACATCCCCCAGACACCAGGGAGCACATTCCACTAGCAGCATGGATGCTCTGCACATCACCAAATTCTATCTGCCCAGTGAAGCCTCCTTGTCACCTTTGGAGTCAGGCTTTAGGAGAGGGGGTGAGAAGTCGAAATTGGTTCTCTGAGAATATTAGGCAGGAGAGAAAAGCAACCTCAAGAAACTTCTGGAACATAGTCAAGATAGTACATACCCAGCTACACATGAGTTTACCAGTGATGATGTATGTGCATAGCTGGGAGTGCCAGTATAGATGTAGATGTGAGAAGGCTCTTCTACCACCTCATTCCAGAACTAGGCTGGGAAGCCAGAATCTCTGTGCCCACTTTGGTACCACTCACGCATAAATTGGCATATGTTACAATGTGAATATTACCCTCTTAGATGTAGTTCCCTTTTGCAGTACACAACCTGAACATCAGTACTCGCAGTCCTGACTCTGCCTCAAACCTGGTACCTGATACCTTCTTCCTAGAGCCAGCCCTATTGCAAACATGGGCTAGCCTTCTGTCTGGCTTATTAAGTGCCACGAGCAGCTAAGCAGAGCTTTTTCATGCCAAATCAACAACTGTGAGAGCTGGAAAGGGTCATAGGTATCCATAACACAATCCCTTCATATTTTGATAAAGAAACTGAAAACTTAAGAGATTAAGTGACTGTCCCAAGGTCAGAAAACTAGGTAGTAAAAGAGCCGCAAATTGACCCAAGGTCTTCCATCTCCTACTTTGTTGCTCTTTCCTCTCGTTAGGCTTTCTTTGGTTTGGGAGATTTGTGTGTGTTTGTTTTAAGATTTAAATAATTCTCACAAACTTTGTAAGCAAATTTTTATTGAGTCTGTGTGAGTTCTACTTCATGAATAATGAGGAAAAGGGAGGAAATGGGCAAGTTTTATCTTCACCACACATGCACTATTTGTTTTGTTTTTTTCTTTTAAGAGAGAATGATAAAATACTTCACTCATCACTCACTTTTTAATTAAGAGCAAGAAACATCAAACTCTATTCACTAAACTTTTTAGAAGTAATTTAAAGTCCATCAGTTTTGAACTAAAGCCACGGTGTATTAATAAGGGGAAAGAGCACTAGATCCTAGACCTGGCCCTGCTTCAAACTCAAGGGTGGCCTTAGAACAGCCACTCAATCTGCCTGAGCCTCAGTTTCCTCACTGATAAAGCTAGACTTACTAGATGATTCTTTAGGACTTACTAGGTGATTTCTGGACTTACTAGATGATTTTTTAGCTCTGATGATCTGCGATTCTGTGATAAGAAAGAAAAGATGGTTGACGGAAGGGAGGCGGCAGGGAGAGAGCTACAAGGGATATAGAATGTGAGAAGACAGAAAAAATGATCTGAGAAAGAGAGATGAATGGAGAGAGAGAAAGATGAGACAAAGAGGAAAACACAGGGAGAAGCAAAGAGGAAAGAGTAGTCAGAAAATGAAGAGGGAAGATGAATTCAGTGGGTTCTCTCTGAATGTGTCAGGGTTACACTGCTGCCCACCACACCCCATCTCACCCAGACTGTAACTATTAGAGCAGATCCTGACATGTCCCCACTGCATCTGCCATTCACAGCTCTTTCTGCCTGGCAGTCCGCTCATCTGGCTTTCCTTTCACATTTCAAAGGCTATCTGTGAAATAAGGGCTGATTTTCCCACACAATTCCAAAGGTTATGCATCTGTGTGTACAATAAAAGTGTGAATTTGTGTGAGCGTAGTACAACGTGATGGCATGTCCTAAACCTGTCTTTTGCTATATCTGCTACTCCGGGCACCTTATCTGGAAATTCCAGGTCTTCCAATGACAATTCTTATGAAAATTTAATTTATTTTCTCCCATTTTGCAGGTTGCCTGTTCACTCTGATGGTAGTTTCTTTTGCTGTGCAGAAGCTCTTTAGTTTAATTAGATCCCATTTGTCAATTTTGGCTTTTGTTGCCATTGCTTTTGGTGTTTTAGACATGAAGTCCTTGCCCATGCCTATGTCCTGAATGGTAAAGCCTAGGTTTTCTTCTAGGGTTTTTATGGTTTTAGGTCTGACATTTAAGTCTTTAATCCATCTTAAATTAATTTTTGTATAAGGTGTAAGGAAGGGATCCAGTTTCAGCTTTCTACATATGGCTAGACAGTTTTCCCAGCACCATTTATTAAATAGGGAATCCTTTCCCCATTGCTTGTTTTTCTCAGGTTTGTCAAAGATCAGATAGTTGTAGATATGTGGCGTTATTTCTGAGGGCTCTGTTCTGTTCCATTGATCTATATGTCTGTTTTGGTACCAGTACCATGCTGTTTTGGTTACTGTAGCCTTGTAGGATAGTTTGAAGTCAGGTAGTGTGATGCCTCCAGCTTTGTTCTTTTGGCTTAGGATTGACTTGGCAATGCGGGCTCTTTTTTGGTTCCATATGAGCTTTAAAGTAGTTTTTTCCAATTCTGTGAAGAAAGTCATCGGTAGCCTGATGGGGATGGCATTGAATCTATAAATTACCTTGGGCAGTATGGCCATTTTCACGATATTGATTCTTCCTATCCATGAGCATGGAATGTTCTTCCATTTGTTTGTATCCTCTTTTATTTCATTGAGCAGTGGTTTGTAGTTCTCCTTGAAGAGGTCCTTCACATCCCTTGTAAGTTGGATTCCTAGGTATTTTATTCTCTTTGAAGCAATTGTGAATGGGAGTTCACTCATGATTTGGCTCTCTGTTTGTCTGTTATTGGTGTATAAGAATGCTTGTGATTTTTGTACATTGATTTTGTATCCTGAGACTTTGCTAAAGTTGCTTATCAGCTTAAGGAGATTTTGGGCTGAGACAATGGGGTTTTCTAGATATACAATCATGCCGTCTGCAAACAGGGACAATTTGACTTCCTCTTTTCCTAATTGAATACCCTTTATTTCCTTCTCCTGCCTGATTGCCCTGGCCAGAACTTCCAACACTATGTTGAATAGGAGTGGTGAGAGAGGGCATCCCTGTCTTGTGCCAGTTTTCAAAGCCAATGCTTCCAGTTTTTGCCCATTCAGTATGATATTGGCTGTGGGTTTGTCATAGATAGCTCTTATGATTTTGAGATACGTCCCATCAATACCTAATTTATGGAGAGTTTTTAGCATGAAGGGTTGTTGAATTTTGTCAAAGGCCTTTTCTGCATCTATTGAGATAATCATGTGGTTTTTGTCTTTGGTTCTGTTTATATGCTGGATTACATTTATTGATTTGCGTATATTGAACCAGCCTTGCATCCCAGGGATGAAACCCACTTGATCATGGTGGATAAGCTTTTTGATGTGCTGCTGGATTCGGTTTGCCAGCATCTGACAAAGGGCTAATATCCAGAATCTACAATGAACTCAAACAAATTTACAAGAAAAAAACAAACAACCCCATCAAAAAGTGGGCAAAGGATATGAACAGACACTTCTCAAAGGAAGACATTTATGCAGCCAAAAGACACATGAAAAAATGCTCATCATCACTAGCCATCAGAGAAATGCAAATCAAAGCCACAATGAGATATCATCTCACACCAGTTAGAATGGCAATCATTAAAAAGTCAGGAAACAACAGGTGCTGGAGAGGATGTGGAGAAATAGGAACACTTTTACACTGTTGGTGGGACTGTAAACTAGTTCAACCCTTGTGGAAGTCAGTGTGGCGATTCCTCAGGGATCTAGAACTAGAAATACCATTTGACCCAGCCATCCCATTACTGGGTATATACCCAAAGGATTATAAATCATGCTGCTATAAAGACACATGTACACGTATGTTTATTGCGGCACTATTCACAATAGCAAAGACTTGGAACCAACCCAAATGTCCAACAATGATAGATTGGATTAAGAAAATGTGGCACATACACACCATGGAATACTATGCAGCCATAAAAAAGGATGAGTTCATGTCCTTTGTAGGGACATGGATGAAATTGGAAATCATCGTTCTCAGTAAACTATCGCAAGGACAAAAAACCAAACACCGCATGTTCTCACTCATAGATGGCAATTGAACAATGAGAGCACATGGACACAGGAAGGGGAACATCACACTCTGGGGACTGTTGTGGGGTGGGGGGAGTGGGGAGGGATAGCATTAGGAGATATACCTAACACTAAATGACGGGTTAATGGGTGCAGCACACCAGCATGGCACATGTATACATATGTAACTAACCTGCACATTGTGCACATGTACCCTAAAACTTAAAGTATAATAATAATAAAAAAAGAAAAAAGAAGAAAAAAAAGAAAATAAACAATAATGAAATAACAGCAAAAAAAAAAAGAAAATTTGATTTATTTTAAACAGAAACTAGACAATGGGTCTTCTTTAAAACATTCCTAATAGAGTACTGTTTCAGAAGACACACTACTTCTTTGTTTCATCTGTTAATGCGATTGGCTTATGTTCCCTCTTTGAGTCCTCTTTAACCTCTTTAGTCAGTCCTCTTTAGTCAGGCCAGTTTTCTAGCCTCAGCTGCCTTCCTTCACACCCTGCCATCAGCCTAATATTGACTTCACCGTGTAGGTATTATTCTCATAACACCCTCCTTTTGTAAAAATAAAGTCCCCATTTGGCCTACACGATTTGGCCTACACCATTTAGAAATACTCATGATCTGACTGACCAATAGTCATTCTGGGAACTAACTTAGCTCTCTGCCTCCTTCCAAAATGTGAAAAGATCTGACAGACTCTTAAAGGCCAGTTACATACAGATGTTTATTTTTTCCCCTTCTCAATTCTACACTATAACCTTCCAGCCCCACCAAGTAAAACATACCACAATTTAACACATAAATTATTCCACAGAATCAGAGAATGATAGCATATTCAGCCAGAAAAGGCCTTAGAGATCTGTTAGACCAGCAATTCTCAACCCAGGCTGCACATATCAGAGAACTTTAAAAAAATACCAATACCTGGCCCCACCTCATGCCAACTGAATCAGAATTGCTGAGGGTGGGGCCTGGGAGCAGGTATTTCTTAAATTTCTCCAAGGAGATTCCAGTAAGCAACCAAGATTGAGAACTTAGTTCAACCCTTCATTTTACAGATAAAAACCAAGGTTATGGAGATTTACTTCAGAATCCCAGAGGTGTCAATACATTTCTAAAGCCATCAGCTCATTCCATTTGACATTCAAAAGCCATCTGATTACCCTATCTTAGGTCTTTGAGAGAGTAGAGCTGACAATTCCCCAATACCTCAAGTTTACATTTGAAGCAGTTCTCCTCTTTGATTGAATTAAGTCCAAGGCAAGATCCAGAGGTTTCCTGCTACTAATTTAAGTCAAAGCCCTCACATAGACTGAACAAACATACACCATGCCAATGTTGGTGTTGAAGGCCTATAGTCCATTTGTGCTGCTATAACAGAATTCCTATGACTGGGTAATTTATAAAGAGAGGAATATATTTCTCACAGTTCTGGAGGCTGGGATGTCCAAGATCAAGGTACCAGCAGGTATGGTGGTCTGGTGAGGTCTGTTGTCTGCTTTCAAGATGATGCCTTGTTGCTGCATCCTCTCCCAAGAGGAGGAACACTATGTCTTCGCATGGCAGAATACAGAATAGCAAGCTAGCTGAAGGCTGCATTAAGCCTCTTTTATAAGAGCCTTAATATCATTCACAAAGTAGAAGCCCTTGTGGCCTAATTACCTCTTAATGTCCTCACATCTTAATATCATCACATCAATCTGTGAAATCAAACAAATCATGTTCTTCCGAAATACAATGTTGGGATATGCACAAGATAAACATTTCTATTCCAAAAATGAGAAGTAGGCAAGAAGAAAGAGGTAACAGGTCCAAAGTAATTCCAAAATCCAACAAAACAAACAACATTAAGTCTTAAGTCTTGAGAGTAATCTTTGACTCCATGTTCCAATTCCCAGACACACTGGGGTGGGTGTTGGGCCCCCAAGGCCCCAGTGGATTCCACCTTCATGGCTTAGCTGGGTGCAACCCATGCCACAGCTCTCACAGGTTGGAGCCAGTATGACTGCAGCTCTCCCAGACTGGCATTGCATTCTGGTGGCTTTACAGGTCTGGGGTGTCAAGGGTGGCCATGTCCCAAAGCCCCACTAAGCATTGTACTAGTGGAGGATCTTTGTGGTGGCCCTGACTCCACAGTTCTGCTGAGTATTGCCCTAGTGAGGACTCTTTGCGGTGGCGCAGACCCCAAAATTCCACTGGGTATTGTTCTAATGGGGACTCTCTGCAGTGGCCCTGCCCCTGTGGCAAGTCTGTGCCTGGGTCCTGAAGCTGTACAAGACATCCTTTGAAATCTAGATGGATGTATCCATGCCTCCATACCTCTTGCACTCTGAGAGCCTGCAAAGTTGGCACCGCGTGGATACTACCGAGATGTATGGCTTGCATCTTCCAGAGCAGTAGGCCAAGCCACACCTTGGACCAGCTGAGTCACAACTGGGAAGGCCAAAGAGCCCTGCACTGAAATATGGGAAGCAGAGATTTGAGTCAGCCCCAGGCAACAAGCCCTGGGATCTCACAGGTGCCCTGGACCGCATCAGTGTCCTGGGCCTCTACTTTGAAACCAGTTTGACCCTCAAGGCCCCGGCACTCTGGGCCTGTAATGGACATGACAGCTTTGAAGATCCCTAAAATGTCTTTGGGGTCATTCTCCCATTCTCCCGTCATCTTGATGAATAGCATCTGGCTTCCTTCTATCCATACCAATCTCCTTATCAAACTTTTTTTTTGTCACACTCTTGGTTTTCTCTCCTAAACATACTTTTTCATTCTTCACATGGCAAGGCTGAGAATTTTACAACTCTGTATGTTCCGATTCCCTTGTTTTTTTTTTAAATACATTCTGTCTTTAAGTCATTTCTCACTTTTTGCATCTTACTATAAGCAGTTAAGCTATTCAGCACCCTGAATGCTTTGCTGCCTAGAGATTTCTTCCACCAAAAATCCTCATTCATTGCTCACGAATTCTACATTCCACAGGGTCCTAGAACATGGACATAATTCAGCCAAGTTATTTGCCAATTTATAAAAAGAATGCTTCTTTTCCAACTTCATTCCTCATTTCCATCTAAGACTTCCTCAAAATTGTCTTTAACGTACATATTTTTACCAATGTGGTCATTCTGTTCACGACCACTTAAGTAATCTCCAAGAAGAATCAGGCTTTCCATACAGTTCATCTCTTCTTCCAAATCCTCACCAGAATTTCCCTTAGCACTCCACTCACAGCAATCAAGACTTTTTCCAGCATTCCCTTCAAAAGTGTTCCAGCCTCTCCCCATTACCCAGTTCCAAAGCCACTTCCACAGTTTTAGGTATTTTTTTGTAACAACCCACTGCTCTGGTACCAATTTCTGTCTTAGTCTGTTAGTACTGGGTAATTTATAAAGATCAGAAAATTATTTTTTACAGTTCTGAAGGATGGGATGTCCAAGATCAAGGTGCCAACAGGTTTGGTTGTCTAGTGAGGGCTGCTCTCTGCTACAAAGATGGTGCCTTGTTGCTGCACCCTCCAGAAGGGAGGAATGCTGTGTCCTCCCAGAGCAGAAGGTAGAAGGGCAAATTAGCCAAACACTGCATGAATCCTCTTCTATAAGGGTTTTAATTCCATTGATGAGAGAGGAGCCTTCATGGCCTAATCACCTTCTAAAGGCCCCATCTCTTTATACCATCAATTGGCCATTAAGTTTCAACACCTGAATTTTGAGAGGGACACATTCAAACCATAGTAAGGTCCCTGTCAATTATTTATCTAATGGAGAAGAGTATTCACTTGAAAAATCCAATGTGGTTGACAATCTAAAAACTCATTCTGTCCTGTTTTGGACTTTCTTTGTAGTTACTGTTAAGTTGAGAGTGTTTGCTGCTCTTGGGAGTATCTTCAAACAAAACAAGGAAACCACACTGAGAAGGCCTCACTTAGAAGGAACAGAAAGGCAGTCTAGTTTCCCTTTTACCCCCTGCTTAACTCATTCCTGCTGAGAAGAAACAGTTCATCTCTCTGATGCAAGATTTGTTCTGGTTGCCAAATTCTAGTATCTTAGATCAGGTGGTACAGGGTGGCCTCTTAAAGCTTGAAACACAGAAACCTCAGTGGAATAAAAAGGATTTCTATTTTCAGCAGCAGAAAGTAACCTGTTACTCCAAGAGGCAGAACAGGTGAAGAAAAATAAATAACTGAATAAATTTTAAAGTCTCAGTATCAGAGGATAACAAGTACAGGAAGAACAACTAGAATTTGAAGAGAAGGGTACCCCAAACCCTGCCATGCACACGCATGTCTCTAGACATCTCATTACAAACAATAGACTCAGGGAGTCATTTCTTCTATTGTTATCTATATATCTTCTGGAGTGACAGACACATTTAAATGTTTGGGTCTCAAGAACTTTTTTCTACATGCATAGTAAATACATGGAGTTGAAAGATCAGTGAAGTTATAAATAAGTAGATTTGTTGCTGAGGAAAATAATTGCTAAGAATGTCAACCAAACGAGTCCATAAGCAAACACAGACACCAAACTGGAAAGACTTGCCAAAAGCCCCAGTATTTTTACCCAAAGACTAATTACTAAATCATTGCCTCATTTTGAAATCCAAGAAAGCAGTAGATTAGACAGCTGTTGAATATCTTACCTCATAAATCGCTATGTTGGAGTTTTCATAGGTAGCTGGAGTTAGACTCCCTGAAGAAAAGGAGAGTCTTGGGGACCTCCCACTTTGGACCTCTGAGGTAATCTGGAAGCTTACACTGGCACGACTTCCTCTCTGTGAAAGGATTAGGAAAGAAAAGTTATGACCAAAATACTCATGATTTGGCACAGAGCTTATCTGAATTTTCTTTTTTATTCCTAAGAAAATAACCATATGAGTTGAACCCTGTAAACATGAGATTGATTCATTTTCCCTATCCTTCTGAACTTTTTTTTTCAGTTCAGTGTTGGTACCCTGTTTAACCACCATGCAGCACCAAAAAATTATAAAGGTGCTTCCACCTCCTAGAGAGGATTAAAATACAGATGGGGGCAAGAAAGAATGCCAGTCATAATTTAATCTGGGACCCTCACTTTATAGACAAAAAAGTAAGACCAAAAAAAAAAGATGAAATAAGTTTCCTAATATCATATAGCTAGTCAATTATTTAGTTACAAGATTATTGTTTGTAAAAATCTGACATTTAAAAAAAATCTATAGCAGACCTAGGACAGCATCCCACCTTGCTGACTCTCAGGAGTGGCTCTTTTTGTGATACTATGCTGAATGGCATACTTCTTTGTGCAGATAAGATTAACGGCAGAGGGTATCCCAGAAAGCAATAATAGTAGAGAGTGAGCAGATCACATGCCTATATATAATTTATGAGTCTGATGCTTAAATAGGTCACATTCTCTATTTCTTGATTTTTGAACTTGCACACATAAGTCTGGTAGGAAAGGGCTCGGAACTGCACAGTTGAATGACAAGAGGAAGAGTTACCTGCAATCTGTGTTAACCTTTAAAATTGAACCTCTGTATCTTCAATTGAACCAGTAGACTTATTTCACATGAAGACATATAAGTCAACAGGTTCCTCATATTCTCCATACCTCCAAATGTGCCTTTCTTAGAATTAAAGCAATCCAGAGCTAGCCGTTACCTTTTGGTATTGTCTAGGAGTGCCCCTACCCTCAACTCCAACATCCTTATTTTATAATTAGGAAACAAAGACCTAGAGAAGTACATCGGGACTGGGACAAGAATCTTGGTATTATATTTTCTAGTCCTGTGCTCTCTCTACAACTACATTATGCTTTATTTTACTTTGCTTGCCAATAAAAATTAATCTTAACTACTTCCCAACACTCTACCCCTTAATAGTCTTTGATCAACTAAAGATTACACCTTAGTAGTCTTTGATCAACTAAAGATTACACCTGAGTTAGCCCAGAGTTAAGCTCCTTCTATGAAGACTATCACAAAGTTCCAAGACAGTGGTAAACTCTACCCAGCCCGCAATGTGCTGAAATCTCAACAGCTCAAAATTCAGACAAGATGTAAAACTTGACTCTTCACATAACCTCTGTATCAACCTGAACACTCCCCAACAGAGCAAGGTCAGGGAGGAATCTATTTCCCTTTCATTCTTTATTTTCATATCTCAGCAGGAGTACCTAGATCTGTATATTGAGATATAGACCTCTCCATGAAGGGCAAAGGAGAAAGTGAGAGAATTGCCAAAATCCACACACATTTTGACTTCAGATTCATTTTCTTCTAAAAACTTCCTTTCTTAACCTGACTTCTCCTAACCTGCCAATTTTTCTAGACAGAATTAATTTTATATTCACTAAGAGTTTACACTTTCAGACATTCCGTTTGGATGGAATTCTTGGCTTGGCTTCTTGACTGATTAGGCACAGCCAGCTGCAAGTTTGTGACTACACAGCAATTAAGGAAAATGTATGCTTCCCCTATCTTTTCCCATCAGAACCTCCAATACAAGCCAAATGCCAAAAGGGATCTGGAGGCCAAGAGCTATGTTCTTCTAGGGTAATGCCATCCTTTTCCACCTCGGCCAAAATAGTAAAAAAAATAAAATGAAATAAAACAATTTATTTTTTTTTATTTACAAAAGAACATTCCCTACTATAAGGCTACCCATCCCTTATAAGAGTATACCAATCCCTTAGTAACGGTAATAGCCCTCTTACTATTCATTTTTCTCACTCATATGGTAAAAAGTGATGACTTTTTATTCTCATGTCAAAATTTATGCACAAGTGAAAAAAACTATCATGGTGAGCAAGATTTTAAAGCCCTAGGTACTTTGTTTACCTGAAGGTAGCACTGCTTAGCTATTTATGGTAATTTTGTGAGGCCTGGTATGCTTTAGTCACCCAAATATGGTTTATGTCCCAGTATAAAAAAGAGGAGGCATAGGTGGAGGTCTTATAGACTACACTGGACTATTGCAAAGCCTATACAAATAAAAGCCTCATTCAATCCAAAATTGAGCTATGTGTATCATTTTGATATGTTAGAGCTAAAACATCTAGGCAATTGATATGAACTGTCATTTTGACATGGATACCACCAAAGAAGTGGGGATTTTACAAATAGGTTTATTGCTTTTGACTGAAACTTTACTATATTTTGCTACATTTAGACAATAACTTCTAGTCATCTACTTTTACTACTAAACATCCATTTCTCGATAAAACATCCTGTCACAAAAGTGAATACTTTTTTCTTAGTATTGGGTTATATATTAGGATTGCTTCCTAGCTTGTATTTTAACATCTATACTTTCTACTTAAGGCAGGAAATTTTATACAAGGCATGTTGAGTATGGCAAATCCAGACAAATTCCACTACCATGAGTCCTAGGGTCCTTTGGTGTCTCCAAAAATGGGGACTAATATCAACAAATTTTTATGTCACAAGGGTGGAATGTAGGCTTCAGCCACAGTGACAGTTTTGGCTTTCAGCAATATGTTTCCAGGAACACAATATTAACCTTACAAAAAGATCTGATGATTTAAATAAGTAAGAATTAGGGTTATAATTGAAAATTAAATCAAACAGCTGAACAATTAATTTGACTCCAACTGCTCAGGGTAGTACCATGTAAATCCATTCTCACCCAGCCAACTAATTAAATATACCTTTCAATTTCACATTCAGGCAGAAGAGCAGTTTGGTCACTGAGACAACAATTAATTCTCAAATCTGGCACAGTTGTGTAGCAAGAGTAAACGGCACATGAAGACAACATAATGTATTTGTATACTTTTCCTACATCCACTACCATACTATAAATTACAGTCTAGTGTCTTTACTGTGGCCACATATACTAGCACAAGAAGACACACTAGCTAGCTTTGACAGTACTCTTCCCTACATATTCTCTTCTCCAAGCTTCTGTTTATACTGTTTCCTCTGCCTAGGACACCTCGCCTATGGGGCCAGACAGGTAATATAAAGACGTGAAATATGCTGAGTATAAGACAATATAGAGTGGTGGGAATTGTATCAAACTGCAAAGAACACGCCTTTTCCACAAAACGCAACTACTACTGAGTTATAGCCGATTGTCATGATGAGATCCAAGGTTGACAGATCTTAAAACTTTTAAAGAAAACTCAGAAATCCAGATTTTTATATGTAATTTCACAATTTCAAAATTCTGGCTTTTTTTTAAATAACTGTGAGGGTGAAACAAAGGTGGTTACCAGTTTGTGACCTAAATAAACCCTATCATTCCTTCATTGACTCAGTTTTTGTGCTGAGTTTCTGAAAAGCCTCCCTCCACTGATATGCCTCCTCTGAAGTCCTACCACATTCTAGTTTCTTCGTACAACATGGTGCTCATTGTCTCTCTTGTGTGGTATGATTTGTCTCTCTAACTTAACTGTAATCCTCTTGAAATCTGGGACTACATGTCATCTTTCACAAGGCCTAGCCCCAGGGGTAGGACATAGAGGCACACCTTTAATGAAGATCACCAATTACATTACAATCACAACCAGAGAAGACCTTTTGGTGAAATCCAACTCTTTCACTAGTTGTTTAATTCACCAAACCTTCACAAGCACCTACTATATTATAAGCATTATGTCAGGCTAACATTTTAAAAAATATATTGTTGCCCTTGAAGAAATAGCCATCAAATGTTGAGTCCAAATAAACAAAGAACTACATAAAGTCAAAGCTAAACTATTGCTCCAAGTGCACTGCATTCACTTCCACAACACTGTTCTAAGGCTGCACTATTTAATAAAAGTGTAACATGAGCCATATATGTAATTTTAAGTTTTCTAGTAGTCACAATTAATAAACAAAAGGAAACAGGTATCCCAGGGATGAAGCCCACTTGATCATGGTGGATAAGCTTTTTGATGTGCTGCTGGATTTGGTTTGGGACATATCTCAAAATAATAAGAGCTATTTATGACAAACCCACAGCCAATATCATACTTAATGGGCAAAAACTGGAAGCATTCCCTTTGAAAACGGGCACAAGACAGGGATGCCCTCTCTCACCACTCCTATTCAACATAGTGTTGGAAGTTCTGTCCAGGGCAATCAGGCAGAAGAAAGAAATAAAGGGTATTCAGTTAGGAAAAGAGGAAGTCAAATTGTGCCTGTTTGCAGATGACATGATTGTATATTTAGAAAACCCCATCATCTCAGCCCAAAATCTCCTTAAGCTGATAAGGAACTTCAGCAAAGTCTCAGGATACAAAATCAATGTACAAAAATCACAAGCATTCTTATACACCAATAACAGACAAACAGAAAGCCAAATCATGAGTGAACTCCCATTCACAATTGCTTCAAAGAGAATAAAATACCTAGGAATCCAACTTATAAGGGATGTGAAGGAACTTTTCAAGGAGAATTACAAACCACTGCTCAACGAAATAAAAGAGGACACAAACAAATGGAAGAACATTCCATGCTCATGAATAAGAAGAATCAATATCATGAAAATGGCCATACTGCCCAAGGCAATTTATAGATTCAGTGCCATCCCCATCAAGCTACTGATGACTTTCTTCACAGAATTGGAAAAAACTACTTTAAAGTTCATATGGAACCAAAAAAGACCCTGCATTGCCAAGAGAATGCTAAGCCCAAAGAACAAAGCTGGAGGCATCACACTACCTGATTTCAAACTATACTACAAGGCTACAGTAACCAAAACAGCATGGTACTGGTACCAAAACAGAGATATAGATCAATGGAACAGAACAGAGCCCTCAGAAATAATACTACACATCTACAACCATCTGATCTTTGACAAACCTGACAAAATCAAGAAATGGGGAAAGGATTCCCTATTTCATAAATGGTACTGGGAAAACTGGCTAGCCATATGTAGAAAGCTGAAACTGGATCCCTTCCTTACACCTTACACAAAAATTAATTCAAGATGGATTAAAGACTTAAATGTCAGACCTAAAACCATAAAAACCCTAGAAGAAAACCTAGGCAATACCATTCAGGACATAGGCATGGGAAAGGACTTCATGTCTAAAACACCACAAGCAATGGCAACAAAAGCCAAAATACACAAATGGGATCTAATTAAACTAAAGAGCTTCTGCACAGCAAAAGAAACTACCATCAGAGTGAACAGGCAACCTACAGAATGGGAGAAAATTTTTGCAATCTACCCATCTGACAAAGGGGTAATATCCAGAATCTACAAAGAACTTAAACAAATTTACAAGAAAAAATCAAAAAATCCCATCAAAAAGTGGGAGAAGGTTATGAACAGACACTTCTCAAAAGAAGACATTTATGCAGCCAACAGGCACATGAAAAAATGCTCATCATCACTAGCCATCAAAGAAATGCAAATCAAAACCACAATGAGATACCATCTCACACCAGTTAGAATGGTGATCATTAAAAAGTCAGGAAACAACAGGTGCTGGAGAGGATGTGGAGAAACAGGAACACTTTTACACCATTGGTGGGATGTAAACTAGTTCTACCATTGTGGAAGACAGTGTGGCGATTCCTCAAGGATCTAGAACTAGAAATACCATTTGACCCAGCCATCCCATTACTGGGTATATACCCAAAGGATTATAAATCATGCTGCTATAAAGACACATGCACACGTATGTTTATTGAGGCACTATTCACAATAGCAAAGACTTGGAACCAACCCAAATGTCCATCAACGATAGACTGGATTAAGAAAATGTGGCACATATACACCATGGAATACTATGCAGCCATAAAAAATGATGAGTTCATGTCCTTTGTAGGGACATGGATGAAGCTGGAAACCATCATTCTCGGCAAACTATCGCAAGGACAGGAAACCAAACATGGCATGTTCTCACTCATAGGTGGGAATTGAACAGTGAGAACACTTGGACACAGGGTGGGGAACACCACACACCGGGGCCTGTCGTGGGGTGGGGGGAGGGGGGAGGGATAGCATTAGGAGATATACCTAATGTAAATGACGAGTTAATGGGTGCAGCACACCAACATGGCACATGTATACATATGTAACAAACCTGCACGTTATGCACATGTACCCTAGAACTTAAAGTATAATAAAAAATAAATAAATAAATAAACAGGTAAAATTAACTTTAATAATATACTTTAACCCAATATATCTAAAATATTTAATTTTGACATTTAATTAACATTTTTAATTTTTTTAATTTTTTTTTTAAATTTAATAAGATATTTTACATGTTTTTATACTGTTTTCTAAACCCACTGAGTACTTTACTCTTATAGCACATCACAATTCAGACTAGCCACACGTCAAGTGCTGAGTAATTATTTGTGGCTTGTGGCTACCATGTTGGACAGGGCAGCAAAAGAAGAGGATACTCCTTACCTTACTGCCAAAGTGGGGATTGATAAACGTTACATCCTCCAAAGTCAGTAGAATTCTATTGGGTCCTTTGATCAACTGGATTTTATTTATACGACGCCTAAAACAAACATGAAATCAGAGGGTCACAAGGGACTGGGTGTTTTGGCAAAGCCAGGGTTAATTTGCCCTAAGATAGCACTTAAAGAATATACAAGGTATACAAGGTAATTGGGAGGATAATCACACATGGATTTTTACCATAGTACCCACAGGAAAAGAAGGAAGCAACCCTGGCCCGCACAACTTGCAGTTACAAAGACCAAAAAAGAAAAATTAAAATGCTCTTGAAGAGGCACCAAAAGAGAGGTGCGAAGGCTCTGCATGGGAATGGTATCTCAGGCTAATAAAATGGTGATCCCACATCAAGGACACATTCAAAACAACACCTCTGAATACATTTAAGGAACTCAACACCCTTTCTCATATGCCATAGTATTTATCCTAATAATACCAGGGCCAAGAATCATTAATCTCCATTTTATAGACAAAAACACATTAGAGAAACAAAACAAAATTGAGCAAATTGGCATGAGATCTCCTAGCCTGAGGCAGAGCTGGAACTTGAATCCTTACTCCCTGGCTGTGGGCCCAGATTTCTGCCCATAAGACACTTGTCTTGTAAAGTTGCATCTATGTGTTGCCAAAGCAACAGGTTGAAAAGTGGAAAAATTCAGTCAGTTGGTTGCTTTGTCTACATGATTCCAAACAAGTAGGCTGACTGAGTTTTTTTCTTTTACTGAATTGGTCTCTTGTCTGAGCATTACAGACACAGTTTAAACCCGATTCTCTCTAAACATGCCCATTAATTTGTAGTGAATGTAATTATTTTCTACAGGTCAATTACTAGACATATAGGAGTTTATGATGTGTATTCACGCAGTCAGGTAGGTCTGACTGGGTAACTTGAAGACCTGGAGGGAATCTTGATTAGTCGGTATGCTCGTTTTGTTGTTTTGTCTTGGGGGCTCTGACAGCTACAATTTGGCTTTGCTTTTTCCATAACCCCATAATGGTTACTCTGTGGAATGTGTTAAAGCCAAGAGCCATGGTGGAGAAAACAACCACTGAATCAAAATGCTTCGTCAAGTTGCTTTAAGGAGAAGTTTACAATGTCACTGCAGCTTTAAGTATCAGCAACTCAGTTTTTCTCAGTGATTCCACTGGTTTGTAAACAAACAATTAACGTGTTTCTAATTGTCTGCCAACAAATATGTCCCTTATCACTGTGGGAGCTGCTGCCCTGCAGAGAAAATTAAAAGAGCCCTGTAGTGGATTCTTGGGTAGAGCACATGAATCTTTTGGCAAAGTACAGCATCACTCCCTAACTGATCTGTTTCATATGTGTGGTGAATTGTCTTAAAACAGGCACACCTGTAAAAATAATCATGCTACAGAGTACACTCTAGTAGAAAGCAAACTGGACTCCCAATCCAGAGACCTGGGGTGTGGTGCAGATTCTGCCATTAATTAGCCAGGTCCAGGTGACCTTGGATAAATAATTTATCCTCTTCATGGCTCAGTGTCCTCATCTATCTAGCAGGATAATAGTCCTTGCATTACCTGCTTTATAGAGTTGTTTTGAAAATCAAATCAGATAATGTATGTGAAAGTGCTCTGAAAAGCATAAAGCATTATAAAAGTATGAGGGATCGTTATTATCATTATCATCATTAGTATAACAAAGCGCGGGAGAGCTTTATAGAAAGGCGATGCAATCTGGTTCCAGAGGAGTAGAGAGAAAGGAGGAGTTCAAAGAATCCTTTGTTTTGGGGTGGTTGGGTTCTTTGCATGTCTTTCTTTCTGAAAAAAAACTTAAACAATCAAAACATACAGAAAAGGAAGGAACAGAGAGTTACTCTCCTGCAAGTAATCACCGTCTATTACAGAATCTCATCAGCTGCTCAGCTCTTCTGATTGCAGCCGTGGTGGGCAGAGAGAGGGAGGAAGGCAGCAAAGAGGGGGTATCTTTTGTGCTTTGTTAGCTGAAGAACCAAGGACCAAGTGAGTCTGGGAAATGATGTACCTCTTTCCCATCTCTGAGTTTTCTGTGACCATTTGAAGTACGAATTGTCTCAAACTCATTTTCCTCTCCAATCATTTTCCTCTCTAATCATGTCCCTCTCCAATAATTTTCCTCTCCAATCTTTGCCCTTCAGCCCACAAGCTTCAAACAAACCCCTCCCCACTGTTTTTTTCTTTTCTTTTTTCCTTCCTTTTCCAAGAATTGCAGACTAGGCTCACTCAAAGCCCAAAGAACCAGTCCATACAGTGGGAAAGACCAGTGAAAACTGTCAGTTGCGGCGGTTGACAAGTAACATAAACAGCTGAGTGATTCCATTTCCCACATTGCCATGGGATGTTTTGGCATTAGGTAGACAGAGTCTGTCACTCCTCAAATCTCTCTAGAGAGGGAAGCTTTTTGATTGGATAGAGTTTATTTTTGCTAAGAATCTAATGATGTTAATTAAATACTTTATTCTTTGGCAGCAGCTAAGTTAAAGATATTAAATTTCTGTTCTTAGCAGGAATATGTCCCAGTTACAGAAATTAAAAGAAAAACTTCCTTTGAACTAGTGTCTTTATCAAGTGTTTTAACAATTCATAAGTTACCTACGACTCTGTGCGACTTTATCAAATTTCTAATACTGGGGAAATTGGATAATAGAAGTTTTCACAGCTATGCTAACATTTTAAACACTAAGAGTAACAACTGTTATGGTTTCAATCCAGGATTTCCCAGACTTATTAAAATATCAGAGCTGGGAGGGCTCTTAAACATCATCTAATCCAATTTCTTCATTGCGCAAATAAGAAAATTCCGGCCAAGAAAGGTTAGGGGGCTTACCCAAGGTCACACAGCTATTTAATACACTATAGAAATTTTTTTCTTACAACTCACCAAAACAGCCTCACTCCATTCCCTACCAATCCATGACATATTGTTGTCAGGACCACCCTTACTAAGAGGTGACAATGATGTGGTTTGCAGGGTAGCAATGGGAAAATGGGATGGTTATAATTTATTTTATTTTTCACTTTCCCCCAATTATTCCAGTATGGAGAGGGTCCAAGTGTTAAAATGCAAAGTTTATAGGAAAGAGGTGTCATGTTAGGCCATCTTCAGCCACTTATCCCTGATTCTGAAGTAGCTCATTAGATTATTTGATCATGTACTAAGGGATCTGAGAGAGGAAGACAAAACTTGATGATAATAAAGATGTTGATGATTAGACAGGATAACTTTTGCCCAAGGAAGCAAGATGGTAGAAATCTAGAATGTGATACCCTGGACAAAAGGCATGAGTATCAAAGTGAAGATCCTGAGCTTCCAACAATCAGCAAGAGAGTTCCTTGTGTCTGGGAAGGGGTTGAGATTTTACCATTTATTGAGCACCTACTATGAGTCACATATCGTTCTAGGTGCTTTACTTATTTTAGTTTACTTAATCCCCATTATAATCCTATGAGTTCATACCATTATTGCTAGAGCTTGGATTCTAGCAAAATCTGCCTAATTCTTGGAATTCATTAAAATATCTCAATTCCATTCCCTATCATCACATATCATTTGGGCAAGGAGATGGTTATAGGAGACTCTGCTAGGAGAAAGGAGAACAACGATAGGGAGTAGACAGGCCCTAAAGTACTAGTTCTCTTATTTCACCATTGTGTTGAGAGCCAGATCTATTCACAGGCAACAACACTGACAACACAGCTGAGGAAGTTATTCTTGGCATCATGAAAACACTTCACTCTAAATGGGGCCTGTAGGAATGGTAAACCACTGTGGAAAAAAGAAAATCAGTGGGTCATGTAATGAGGCAATTGTACCGAAACAGGACTTCCTGGAAATCAGTATTAACAAGGCTAATATGGGCTTGTATTTTTTATATACAAAAATAACAAAAAATGTACCTTATAAAGTAAGCAAATCCATTAATAGACAGCAGGGCTATAAGCAAAGTAAGGCAGACCATCATGGCAAAGGCAGGGTCGATGCCTGCAGAGAGTGAGAGGAAGAGGAAGAATGGCATTATCAGAGAGAGGCAGTAAATAAAGGGCACCACAGAGTGACTCCTCATGCTTTCTGGTGACTCTAATATCAAGCCACATCTACCTAACCTAATTCCATTTTTTCTCAGCACAGTCTGTCTTGTTGACTTTATGGACACAGAAAGCAATTTCACTGTTGTGAAGCAAAACCACTAACCACTCTGACAATAACAAATCACATGAATTAAGGCTGACCAGAGTGTTTCTTTGGAGGAAAGAGTCCACAAATGGAAAACTTTGAGTACCTTAATTTAAGTTGGACAGCAATAGAGTTCTTGAGAATAAATATGTTATCTCACCTGTGAAAGTTAAGTATTATCTTGCCTTCATAAAATAAAAGGCCTTTTTAATTCACCTGAGCCCATATGAGTTATAGATGAAAAACGTGGTACTTCTCCTTCAAGGGTGAGGGTAAGTCTGGTTTTGATAATTAGTGTTTTCATCAGAATGTAAATTAGTCTCCATAAAATCTAAATATTTGGATAGATTAGTAAGATTTTTTAGGGAAATATGATGTGAGTGAAGAGGTAGTTGGGTATATCATGTTAAAGCAAAGTAGAAATCAAAGCCCCTTTCAAATAGATGCATTTGGTTTTAAAAGTGTATGGTATACAGTTGCATAATAACAATATGGGTCCTTCCAATGATCCCCTCTGGCTCTGAGAGATTGGACAAAGTTTCCCCTCTTCCACAAGCTAGAGGAGTTCCACCAGTCAATCAAACTGCAAGTATTTACTGGATACCTACTGTGTTGGGCAGTTGGGCAGCATAAAAATTATTAGCTATGGTCCCTACCCTCAACAAGCAATATATTTGGGAGTGGAAGTGGAGAGACAATCAGTACACAAGAAACAATTGAAAAGCAATTTTGTGCTAAGCTGTGAGGTACAGACTTTTACTTCAATGGGAGTTCAGAGAGGAGAGAGTATAGGTACGGTATTTCTGTGGTAGGACCTGATTGGCAGGATTTGGAAACATCAAGGGATGGATAGGGGACCTTGAAAGCAGGAGAAACAATCATAGGTCATAGCCTACAAAAGAGCAAGAAGAAGGCTAATGTCTTCCTCTTTTTAGAGTAAGCTCTTTGGGAAAGAGTGGGATTCTTTTTGAAAAGAGTGGTGGGGAGGCTTTTAAATTGTGGATGGTTATTCAAGGCTGCAAAGTACCTCTCATTGTTCTTATTATTTTAAATTAACTAGATAGAGTGCCAAGAAGTGTATGTCACTCGAATGCAAATAACTGATTTTATGAGTGTTTCAATATTAAAATGTGCCTTCTCCTAAAGAGGTTCCCTTGTAACCCAAGCTGAGCCAAATTGACTACTAGTGATTTTGCATTCCTTACCTCCATGGCAGATCTTCCCTTCTGCAAACCAGCATTTTGCATCTGCTCTAGGGGGCCTGCCACCAGGGAAGTGAATAGGGGTCCCTCCGAAACGTAGCAGCTCCATTTCCATGTCCACAGTGTAGGTGCTATGGAGTTCCCATTCTTTCAAGTTGGTGTCCAGGATTACATATTCTGAAATTCCATTTCCATTTGAATCTGTCCTCATCAACTGGTTGAATCCATGGAACTGCATGTTTCTGGAATGCTGAACCAGGCTGGCAGCACCAGCCTGTCCATTTTCTTTCATAGCATTATTCATGGCTTGTGCGATAAAGTAAATTGAATTGTAGATGGTTCCAAACAACGGTGAAACCTATTTTTAAAAATTACAATTATCTTGAGCCCTGGTCGCCCTAGAGCGATCTCAGAGTATATTCCAAGCCTGTGTTCATTATTATGGTCTGCACATCTGAGTGAAGTAGAGCTATGAAGACCCAGAGGAAAAAAATTGTTTCTAAGGACTTGCTTGGTTTCTCCCCTGAATTTTTCTGTTTTTTTTTCCCCCAGGCTGTCACATCTTTAAATATATCAAATATGACAATTTTATGAGCAAACCAAGTCATACATAATATATTTTTATGCTCCTAAACTAAGAAAATGATTTGGAATTATAAAGGGCACTTAAGAAAACAAGTATAGAATAGACAAGGGGAGTTCAAAGTAAATATGCCAGGTTAATTACTGGTGCACTATGCATGGTAAAATCATTTTGCTGGCACTACTAGAGTGGTAGGTGTGTGTGGAAAGACTGTAAATAATGTGTCTCCACAGTCCATGTCTGTATCCTGTCTTAGTTCAAAATGGCTATTTTTCTAGACACATGCTCCCCAGAGAAAGTGAACATTAGAATTCAGTTTTAAACACATACCTACACATACACACATGTATGCACACGCAGACATCCACCCTGACACATACGCACCCAGCTATCTAGAGCCAAAGTTTGTAGAGTATAGAGAATGTGAATTTTAGTCAGAAAACCTATTGGTGTGCAAAGTGGCAAAGCTTCAACAAGAAGCCACTTTAAAACAGTAAGACTGCTAAGGTGGATAGCATAACTATGCCTGCTAAATAAATATGGTAAAAGCAACAATGTTTTTGTATACTATGCCCAGATGCACTGCCCATTAACCTTGTAAGTTTATTTTTGGATAAAATCTTGTATCTTTTTTTCCAAAAAGGTAGAGAGGATGAGCAAACAATTCCTCCCTTCTCTGTACCTCCCCCGACATGGCCCCTCACACACGCGGCCATGGCTTCATGGTTTTCCATGTCACTTCACTTCTAGGATGGAGTTCAAGAAAGCTATGGTCATGCCATTTTACTGAGCATCAGGGAAAGCTGATACTTGCTACTTTGGTTTCACAAGATCTAGAAAGCTAAGCTCCTGTAACAACCTTCATGTGAAAAAAAAGGGCTTAAAATTGAGTGAATCATTTTTTATTAGAAATAAAAGTCAAGATGCAGAGAGGTGTAGCAGATAGCAAGACACTGCCATGTCTTGTTAATGTAGAGTGGGAGTTTTCAACACCAGCTGCACATTAGAATTACCTGAAGAGTGTCAAAAATAGCAATGCCAAACCGAACCCAGACCAACAAAAAGAGATGCTTTTAGTTTGATACCCCAGTAATCAGCATTATTAAAAGCTCCTCAAAGATTCTAATATGCATGCAGGATTTTAAGACATCAGTATAGAAGATGATACCCTGTCCTGTGATCAGTGCCTAATGCCAGAATGTTTGAGAAAGTCATTTATCAGCTTTCTCTGTGCTTCCATTTCTTCCTCTGTGAAATGAGAATACAGAATCATGAATGTCTAAACTTTAGAAGTCATCTTGTCTAACTATCTTACTTTATAAGTAAGAAAGGGAGACACAGAGAAGTTACATGACCTGTCAAGTTCACCTACCTGAGCATAAAATAAGGAGTAAAATCCAGGTCTCCTGTTTCTTAGTTTAGCATTCTTGATTGGAATATATGTCCCCTGTGGTCCCTTCTGGCTCTGAACTCCTGTGAAAATTCCTAATACTTGGTATAGTTCAGGGACAAAATTTAGCTTGTAGACATTTTTATAGCCTGTTTAAGGGTTCTTCATCTCGCTGACGTCTCTCTTCATACTGGAGTGCCCCACAGCTCAGTCCTTGGTCCTCTTCTCTGTCCACACTAACTTCCTTGGTGATCTCTTTTGCTCTCATGGCCTTAAGTACTAGATCTATGCCATAACTCTCAGATTCATACTTCCAATTCAGACCTATATCCTAAATTCCAGATTGATATAGTCAATGGCCTACTTTTATATCTCCACTTGGATGTTAAAAATCAACATACCCAATGTTGAACTCATGATATTCACCCCAAATCCTCCTGATCCATCTACAACGAGTCTTGTCAGTCTACGTTAATAGCTACTCCATTCTTCTAGTTGTTCAGGCCAAAAGCCTTGCCCCACATAACAGAGTTAACTACTAGCAGAGCAGAAATCAATACCTCAGTCTCCAGAGGGTTTTATTCCAATGATCTTCCTTCATCACCCTGTCTCAAGATGTACTCTGTAGAAACAGATCATGAATGGATGGCATGTGCTGCCACCAAGGTATCCACACTTAGTTGCCTAGCACATGCTGAGCTCCCTTAAGAGGTTTTCACTAATTCCCTCTCCTGACATTCTTGGATGCTGTATTTGATTGTCTTTGTAATTTCTGCAAAACCCTGACTGTTTTCTGGGGGCTTTGGTAGGTTATGACAATAAGTGAAGGATGGAAAGTGGAGTATAAAATCAATACTAGTAAAACAAATAAGTGAAAACACACACACACACACAGGGCAGCAAGCTCCTGAAAGCAAACAGAATGCTAGTGTTCTGTTTTGAAAGGCACAGAGCCTTCTGAGAAAGAAACTGCATCTACCTACAGCCAAAAGTGAAGATTAAAACTCAAAAACAACATTCCCACCTCTGAGTTGATCCAACACACTGGGTTTTCAGCTGGCCAGGCTGTGCTGGTCTTTGTGCTCTGATTGACCCATTGGAGCTGACTGACAGAAACTCCCCAAGACGACTGAAACCTGAAGCCTGTTCTTCAGGATTCTCTAGCCTAGACAACACATGTACTCACAGCCACAAAAGTATGGTAGAGAGACTTATAGCATAGCTATAGCAACAGCATTGACTTGCAAAAGAGGGGCTGTCACGATGGTCCACTGTCACTTCAAGGCCTTGGAGTTGTGCTGTAGTTGGTTTGAGTTCCTGCTTCACCCATGGTGCCCTTCAGCAAAGGGAATTGCCTCTTCCCAAACATCAAGGGCACACAATGTTAGCATCACTCACAAAAGGTCTCTAGTTGCACTTGCCACAAATAACGAGAAAGAGAAAAGGTAAAGGGTGGAACACAGGAAGAAGAGGCATTCTCTACAGGCCTCTATCCAGCTTCTCACTACAGCTCCAAAAAAGTAAGACAGAATTGGTAAGAACTTCTGTCAGAGAGATGACCTTGTTGACATCACAGTCCAAAATGGTGAGACCACTGATGATTAAGCCCATTGTTTTTGCCTACTGTATAGACCTGAACCTGAAAGAATTAGTTATGAATGATAATTAAAACATATCATTGGTTTTTATTCTGTTACTTTAGATAGCTCTACCTGAGGCTTTTAAAGTTTTTATCCAAGAGAATAAGGTCTGGATCAGGAACAGTAATATATGAATTTGTTCAGCATAATGGTTCGTGCTGTTTTTAAGTTGACTACCATCAGTTCAGATTTACTGTGTCTGAGAAGACACAAAACCGCCTTCCAAAGAATTTTATCCTCAGAAGTGTACATTAAAACATGCCTAGCTTGAAAAGCCATCACTTGAAGGACAAAATGGCACATCAATTTTGAACAAAAAGTCAGGCACATGCACAGATCAAGAAACCAAAGGATAATTGAATTCTTGTTATTAACGGCAGTACCTCCAATAATGCATGATCTCAACCCTTGGGCATAGTCAAGAGATGGATAAAAGACCAATGTGTTTGATGTGATGCACATCAACACAAAACCCTTATTTTGTATAGAATGGGGTAGAAAGACAATCTTAGCCACTGTGAGCTGCAGGCAACCTTTTCTGACAACCTTGTTTGGTGGGCCCCATTCTGGAATGTTCCAGTCCTAACCACATCTGCTGCAGCCTAGAATTCCCCTGCCAGGCACCCATATTTAGGGTAATAGAAAACAATAGCAATAAAGAGCATAAGGTCCCCAAGCTTTCTAAGAAATCCTGAGGATTTCCTTTGCTTAATCAAATAACTGTACATTTGGAAAAATATCCAAAATATGTGTTCCAGCCATATACATTTGTGGCCAATAGAATTTAACTGAAAACAAGCATTGGGAATACAATGAAAAGGAAGAATGTAGGCATCAAACCCTAATTCAGAATTCTAATTTGGCCAAAATATAAAGGTACAAAGTTATAATCCTTGCCCAATCATCCTGAGACTAAATTAAGAAGTTCATCACTGGTGTCCCCACCCCTCAGATCTCCCTATTCTGATTTATTGTTCTCTTTTCACAGGTTCTCATAAGGCCCTAGTACCTCCTATATTACAGGAAAACAATTCAATAAATCTATTCAAATCAAAGTATTAGTCACTTAGCAATGTTACTTTGCCTGAGTAAAGCATTGGCATTAGATATTATTAGCACAGTGGAATAAAACACAACAAGCCTAATGTGTGGTTAAATGATCAGGATCTGGTAGCAGACTTGGGTTGGAATCCCAGCTCTGCCACTTCCCAGCTGTATGACCTTGAGCAAGTTACCTTGAGCCTTAGTTTCCTCAACCACAAAATGTAGATATTAATATCTAATTTGTAGGTGTTGTCTGAGGATCCCATTGGATCATTTATGTAAACGACCTGGTACAGAGTAAACACTGAATATACAACAGCTGCTATTATTTGTATTTCAGAAGAGGAGCACAGGGCTCTGGAAACATTATCCTGGAAGTATAATGTTCAAGTCCCTTGTCCTAGTTTTGAACTGGTGATCAAGAAGTACTAGAGTCCCAATTTTAGATCCAATTTCCTTAGCACCTGAAATGGAAAAACTGTTCTCCTTCATTGGGGGAAAGATCTCATTTCTATTTTGATCTCTATTATATCCCCTGCAGAGTGCCTGACCCACAATAATAATAATAACCACAACTTTAATAATAATAATGGCTAACATTAATTGAGGGGTTATCAGGTGCCAGGCAAACTATTTAGTGTGTTAATTCATTTAATCCTCACAAGAACCCTATTAGTTAGGTACTATTGTTATTTTCAATTTTAAAAATGAGGAAAAGAAGACATGGAGAGCTTAAGTAAACTTAAGGCAGTCTGCCTTCAAAACCCATGATCTTAACCTTCATATTAAATCTGAGCTTAATAAATACTTACTAACTTAATTAATAGGCTTTGGTGAACTCACCAGTAAAATAATATCACATGCACCCTTTTGTGACTTATTTTTTCCTTCATGACTTTCCATAGACTTCCTGATTAAAAATAATGAAATCAAGATTTTTTTTTACTTCACTCTCTTTCTCCTCTCAAACATCACTCTCAAACAAAGAGAACAAGGAACAGAAACACTAAATCTCCATATCTAATGGTATTAGGAAACATCTGTAACCCTGTACCACAGAATCTGAAAATAAAAAGTTGCTACAAACATGGCAACTGATTTAGCAAAGTGGGGAACAGTCAAACCTAAGTGCTTGCAGAGGGAATTACTGATAAGCAACAAGCAGATCTGCCCCTTAAGAATCCTGGAAAGAGTAATTACAACCACCAAGTACTGTAGAAGTGAAGGTGAGGCCAAACACTAAAAGAGCGAGGGCTCTTTGAATGTCTGTGTAATAAACATGTAGACATCCCCCATACCCACCTCTACCAGGAGGTGCAGACGTCTATAGGAAACAGATTAAATTGATTCAGAGCAGCTCCAGAGCTGGGGCACTAGACGAAAAGGAAGTTGGAAATGAGGTGGAGCACAAAAAAACAGTGATGAAGTTAAAGTTTTCATGCTTAATGGTGAGAATCCCAGTCTCCTCCCAACATTGCTTCCGGAATACTGACAGCTATGATTATGACTCCCAAGAAGATTAGAAGACTCTTCTCTGAAGAAAAAGACTAGCTCAAGAGCCAAGGCCTACAGATATTGACCAAAAGAAGCAAACAAAAAGCAACTGTTTAGCCAATTGCCCTGTACTGAAGCCCACTTGTCAACATATCCATCATGCACATAAACCTTCAAATCTGCAGACATCTAAGGAAAACTTTCAACATGAAATAAAAACATGAAAAATTAGGAACTGAGGAAAAAACGGATAAAATAGAGAGCAGAAGAAAACTTCAAAAAAACTATAATGAGTACCTCAAGAAAATAGGAAAAATACTATATTGATAACAACAAGAATGAACTCTTGGAAATTAAAAATATAACTAAATCATTCTTAAGAATTAGTAAAAGTGTTAGAACACAAAGATGAGAAACTCTCCCAGAAAGGAAAACTAAAAACAAAAATATGGACCATATAAGATAAATAATAAGACAATTAAAAGATCAACCAAGGACATCTTATATCTTATATATCTTATAGTATTTCCAGAGAGAAGAAAGACAATGTTGTTGAAGAAATTATCAAATAAACAATAGAAGAAAATTTCTCAGAAGGAATCAGCTTCTAGATTGAAAGGCTCCACCAATACAGCATATCATGTGTCAAAGACTCATACATCATCATGAAATTTCATAGCATCAGAAATAAACAGAACATTTTAAAAGTTTCTGAGAGGACAAAGAGGAATGGAAATAGGTTGTATCAAAAGATTAGGAATAAGAATGACATTGGTGTTCTCAACACCAACAGTGGAAATTGGAAGACAATGTGACATGTCTTCAAAGGACTGAGGGAAAATGATTTCTACCCTAGATTTGTATACTCATTCAAACTATCAATCAATAGTGAAGATGAAATAATGACTTTTCGGACATGCAAAATCTCAAAAATTTACCTCCTGTAAAAAGCTACTACAGGATGTGCTCCACAAAAATGACAGATTAAACCAAGAATATAGGTCATGAGATTCATAAAACATAGATCCTGCAGAGAAGAGAAAGAAAGAGGCGTTTAAGAATTATGAAAATAGAAAACTAGCATAATATTAATAGCTGTGCAGCAGCCTTAGGGAGCAAAATGTTTAGATTGGAATAGGAAGACAGAGAGCCCCAGCAAAAACAAATGAAATTCATAAGGTATTTAATAGGCTTTACTATGCATAAAATTGTTTTGACAGGATTTTACAGCCTTATCAGAAAGTATGGAAAGACTTAGACATTCAAATTAAGGTAAACAAATTAAAAATTGAAGTAATTATTAACCCCGGTAAAAATGAAGTTACATGTGACAAGAATTATAACCATATTATTTCATGTGGATTAGCAATAAATGATATTTACATAGTTACTATGTTAAAAATACTAAATATGGATTTAACTATAAATTGGGACATAACCATATTTAAGGTTTAAAGGAGAGTAAGGAAGTACAAAAAGACTAAGAGTGCTCCTCAACTATAATAGTAATACAACAAATAATGCTCAAAATTGATTAATCGAGAGTCACCAGTAGCAGCATAGCATTTAGAAACATAGAAGTAAATACCAGAATAAAGAGCTAAAAAAATATGAAAGTGGTTGCTTCTGATGAAGGGAAGAAAGGAGGCCTTATAGACTGCTTTGTTATTGATATAAACCTTTTAGCATTTCTTGACTTTTAAAACTATGTGTTTGTATCGCTTTGATAGCTTTTTGTTCATTTCATTTTTTACTTGTTAAAGAAGCAAGGGTACAAATTAAGAGATGTTGCAGACCACTGCTGTAGGCAATGCTCCTTGTACATAGAAATCTCTATTTCATTGAAAGTTATTGGGCAAGGGAGAAATACAGCCATCTTGTTAATGCATTTGCTTAACCATTTATTATCTGTCTCTCTCACTAAAATCTAAGGTCTATAAGGGTGGCAATGAGTGATGTGCTAGTAAGTGTTTGACAACAGCTATATGGAGAGGGAAAAAAAACTCTTATTTGTAGCATTTGCCTGTTTCTGCGGTGTAACTACTACTATCATGCCTGATTTCAAGCTACCAATTGATGTCACTGAATGGAGAGCTGGGAAAAGATGCACAGAATCAACTTTTCTGGACTGGCTCTAACATACCATTGCTAGAAACCCTGTCTGTCTTGTATAGTGTTCTATCTTGGGTTCAACATATTGCCTAGCACATCAGAGGTGCTCAATAAATAGTTGTTGACCTGTTGACCAAATAGGGAACAAACAACAGAAGCCCAGGGATAGGCAAATATCAAACTACATAATTTGATCTGAGAATATGCCATTTATAATTTTGAAAGCTGGAAATATTGAGAGACTCTCTGCCAGTAATCAGAAAACTTCAAGAGAGTAGGAAGCTAAAGATTGTAACTTAGATGCTAGGTCACCACCAATCAATAAGGTCATCCTAGCCTCAAAGGAGAAAAAGTGGAAAGAAAGGTAGCTGTGAGCCAGGCACTCTGACAGTCACTTTTTACATGTTACTTTGTTTAATTTTCACAGTAGTCCTAGAAGATATAGCTCACTTACCCATTTTACACATAGAGAAACTGAGACTCAAATGTCTAAGTAACTTGCCGAAGGGCACACAGCTAGTAAAAGTGAGAGCTTAACATGCAGTTTCTGCTATACTGGCTGCCTTCTAAAGTACCTTTGAGCAAGATAATTTAAGGAAAATTGGGGTTTTGTTTATCAGAGACATGAAGATAATTATCTCACCCTTTTATCATTCTTCAGTTATGAAGGTCCAGACTGGGCACCTGCAAACTGAGGGGTACAAATGCATCCAAACAGGCTTTTTCATAAGCTCTGGATTCTTTGTTGTAGCTATTCTATTTCCTTGTGTAAAGCAGAGTGCAGGCTGCCTAGCAACCAAGCTAATGGCGTCTTTTTTTTGCCTTAATTACCTTATGTTTTCCACAAGCTCAAAAGGATTGATGCAAATATCAAGAGAAGAAGGTCTGAGTTTTTATATCAAAATACCTGTTCATATATATGAACAATATACATACACATACATACATGTGCACACACACACACACATACACCCTCTCCTTCCTTCCTTTGATCCTTTGATTAAAATAGAAATTTGACTTTAATTGTATCTATGTGATGCCATATCATTGGCTAAAAAGTACAAAAAGTTACCATCTTGTTGCTTGCCTATAAACACATCAAACAACTGGTTTGACCGACCATTTTTAGCAATTTGAGTTTTGCAATTCTTGACTAAACTGACCAGTTGTTTTCAGTTATGTGTGTGTGTGTGCATGTGTGTGTCTCCTAAAAGACAGTAATACTTATTATAAACTTATCAGTAACAATAAAGTCCAAATCCAGCATTGTTAATATCTCTGTTATTAATTTTTTTATTAGAACAAGAATCAGCAAAATATTTGATATAAATCCTCCGAGCAGAAAGAGATACATAAACCTAAATTTCATTTGAATCACTATTCAGACAGAGAAGCAGCCCACAGAATGATGAAATAAAGGACAGATAAAAAAGAATATGAATATCAGACACAATCAACTGCCTACCTAAGTCTTCTTTCTTGCTAACAGAATCTCAATTTTGTTCACATTTTTCCAGCAGCTATATATTTTGTTCACACTTTTCAATCACAGTTGTCACATTCCTCCTTCCAGATTATTGGTTTAGGCATGGGCATGGGACACAATCGTGACAAACAAGGTATGGGAAGAAGTCTACTTGGGGAGATTCTGGGAAAGATTTCCTCACTCTTTTTTTTTTTTTTTTTTTTTGGAGATGGAGTCTTGCTCTGTCGCCCAGGCTGGAGTGCAGTGGCGCCATCTCCGCTCACTGCAAGCTCTGCCTCCTGGGTTCACGCCATTCTCCTGCCTCAGCCTCCCGAGTAGCTGGGACTACAGGCGCCCGCCACCACGCCCGGCTAACTTTTTGTAGTTTTAGTAGAGATGGGGTTTCACCGTGTTAGCCAGGATGGTCTCGATCTCCTGACCTCGTGATCCACCCGCCTCAGCCTCCCAAAGTGCTGGGATTACAGGCGTGAGCCACCATGCCCGGCCGATTTCCTCACTCTTAAAAAGAGACACAAGGGAAAGACAGTCTCTACTTTCACCTCTGGACATTGCCACCCGTATGTGATGTCTGGAACTGTGGCAGCCACCTTGGGACCATAAGAGGAACCAGCTCATGAGGGCAAGCTTAGCATGCTATGGCTTGTAAAGTGGAAAGATGAACATGTTTCATTGATGACATCATTGACTGCTGAATTAACCAACCCTGAAGCCCTATCTTCAAATTTTGAAAAAGAATTATTACTTAAACCATTTTGTATTGAGCTATTTCTTACAGCTGGAAGCAATATGACTAATGCAGTATTCTAGCAAATGCCAGAGCTTTTAAACTTATGTGTATGTTGTTCTAAGTACTTTTGAAAATGTCTGCTTTCTACATCTGACCTCCAGTGTACAGAAACGTCCCTCTGTATTTTTTCCAATCTAAATGGCTTCTTTTGTCTCCCCATCTTCCTCTCATATTCCTCGTCTTCTTTGTATTCATCCTCTTTGTTTTTGTCTTTGCTCTCCATTGTTTTCTCTACTTTCTTCCCCTCCTCACTCCTTTTTCTTTCTCTAAGCCTTCAGTGGCTATGATTGGAATCTGAAATATGCCTATACATACATTTATCTACACACATATAAATACTATTTCTTGTATATCAGAAGGGAGGACTTCTTCCCCATTCCAAGTGGCCTGTCTTCACCCACTTACTCATTCCTCCCCACAAAGGAAAAATGAATTAATCTGACTGGTTAGTTTGGAAGGAGAAGTAAGTATGTGTAGCTCAGCCCCTCCTGTCTTCTTTCTCTTGGGAGCAGACTACCTAAAAGAAGCAAATGCTCTGCTGTTCCTCTCCAGACTACACATTTTAAAAAAGACCTGCCCTCATGGGGCAGGACTGCAGTGGTCCAGCAATGCCATTGGCCAGATGGAGAAGTTTGTTTAATCCTTGGGTTCAGTATTGGGAAGCTCAAATGCCTACAGGTAGAAGCCGCATCCTCCAATACCAGTGTTATCAAAAATAAAGGAAATAGTTTCTTATATACTAGCTCTTTTGCCTTATTGTTAAATTAATTCAGAACTTACACCACAAACAGGACTTATTTTTATTAGGCTCCCTTGAACAGCACCAGTATATATTAAAGTTTTGTTTATCTGTTCTTAAATACATTTATTCTTCCTGACTATATAATGTCATCGTGGGCTGCTTAAAGATAAAAGAACAAAATCTCAAATAATATGCCTTTGTTTCACAAATGTTTTCAGCAAACTAAAGATGTTTTTAATTTGTCTGTGGTTGCCTGCCATTGACTGGGCCTCCTATGGAATTGAGACTGTTGGTCTGAAAATAATTTACCATGCTGATGTTTTAGGTTCTCAGCTCATGACAACCTATGAATGTGTACTTACTTGATCGAACTCCAGCTTCTCAGGAATTTCACCTCTTGCTGCTGCCTCTGTGAAGGCTTGATAGAAGGTCTTTTCTTGGGACTCCACTGTAATGGTCAACACTGCATCATAGGCTTCCCGGAGCTTTGGGTTGTTCCTTAGGACCCGGTAGGGGGTGTGCTTATAAGGTAAACTGTAGAGCAGGGCATCATAAGGAACAAAGACGTAGGTTCCATCAGTCATTTTCAGATCATGAGCACATTCCAAGAGATGCATCTGAGTCTCTCCCCCAATCAAAGCTGAATGCATACACATGATGATTACTGAAACCAACAAAGCAAGGAGGTTATGGAAGCAAACTGTTAGTAAAGCACAGTACCAAAAACTACAGAGAGGAAAAATAAATGTGTTCTAACCAATTTGTAAGTGGTTTCTTATGCCTCCAAGATAAGCAAGATGTTGTCCTGAGCTGAGGCTGAGGTATGCTCATGGACTCTGGATTGGGGATAGTGACAAGAGAGAGATGCCTACAGGCTGCAGAGCCTAATACTCAGACAGGAACAAGAACTAGTATAATCAATGGGGAGTAGCATAACAAAAGAGGCTTTAGGGTTGGAAAAATCAGCTTTACATCGTAACACCACCAGTTTTAACTGTGTACCCTTTTTTAAATTACTTAACCGCTCTCTGTCTCGTCCATAAAATGGAGATAACAATATATACTTATGGGATGGTAGTGATGATTGAAGAAAGGAGACAAGTCATTTACTTAGTACATAGCACACAATAAATAGTAGCTACTATATACCTAAGAATTAGAAGAGAGAATAGTAAGAGAGGATGGGAGATGTTACCACAGCCACTATTGCTTTTTATTGTCCATCTCCTACAAACATGCACTCTAATACATTTTGACCAATTGTTCTCATCCTTACCAAGGTCATTATAGACAATGAAAAGCACTAACTCACTCACCTATAAATGTTACTACAGGTTGAGTACTCCTTATACAAACTATTGAAGACCAGAGGTGCTTCAGACTTCAGACTTTTTTTAGATTTGGGATATTAAGTATAATATTTGCATTATACTTACCTGTTGAGCATCCCTAATCCAAAAATCTGAAATCTGAAATACTTTAATGAGTATTTCCTTTGAGAGTCATGTTGGTGCTCAAAAGTTTTCAATTTTGGAGCATTTCGGATTTCAGATTCTCAGATTAAGGACGTACTCTGTGTAATATTATGGGTGAGATGTCCAACTTTTTAAAATCTAACTTCCCTGTAATTGAAATTACTATGGACTCAATTTAATTCTTCCTAGACTTATGAAACTATGTTGTTTGGCAAGGTTATGCTAGAATAGAGTGGATTCAAGGGGGCCACGGTTGAAAAATGGCAGCTAGATCATGAGACTGAAAGTCTTATATCCAATTTTACCCTTGGCATGCTAAATAAGTTTAGTTTAAGCCCACTTGTGCTTCAGTGCCCACATCTTTAAAATGTAGATTCCAATGCATTTTACAGGTACACTGAGTAGTTTAATTAGATAATGCCTGGCAAGCATTCTGAGCTCCTTGAAGAAAGGCAAAGACTCTATTGCTACTGGTAAATATTAATTATACATGTTTATATGGAACCTTTAATCTCAAGAACTAAGGGTGCTTAACTACATTCAATGACTTGTCTTTGGCATTTGCATATTGTTTCATCTATTTTCAAACACCTTTTTACACTTGCTAAGCACCCCTAGAAAGTTTCCCTTTGAGCTAGAGCTGGTACCTTTTAGTTTTTAAAGTGTAACTAATAAGTTATGAAGTTTATTTAAACATACCACACACATATGCACACACCACAACATGACATGAGTTTTCAAATGACCATTAACTCCTTCAAAATAATTACGCTAAGAGGTTCTACATGTATTCTGATGTTCAGACCTTCCTTAGAATTCTCGAAGGATATCTTTGGAGCTAGTTCATGAGCCCCACAAGGAATTCAGCCTCACTTGTTTATAATCACACATTGTATCATGGGAAAATGGAGTGCCAGAGATGTTTGACAATGCAAGAGTTGGATTTAGAAAAAGAAAGTAGAACTGAAGACCTCTCACTCTCTACATTTGGCTGAACCATTAAAAGTAAATTAGTTTGGTCAAATTAGTATAGTCATAGGTCCATTGAGGCGGGGAAAATGAGTTTAGTCAGAGGCTTCGGTTGGCCAGTTTGTCCAACAGTATCCTCAGCAAGTAGATCAGTATTAGCATCTTTCTTCTGCAAATCAGAGATTGAGTGATTTGTTCAAGGTTACTCAACAGTGATACAATTTGATTTAATTTACTTAAAGGAATATTAAAATGACTTTACTGCATGGAAAATGTTAAATAGAACTAGTGTTTGGTGCTGATTGCAATACAGCAAATACTTTAACATACATTACACGTAGTAGGTGCTATGGTGATGTGCCATCAAGATACACACTTCAGCACTGAAGCACTCATTCCACCAGCTGCTGGGTGTGTTAGTAGCTGATAGGTGACTTTTCTCTGAGAGTTGGCCTCAGCTAAGGAAAGGCACCTCTCTCAAGGTTACATCCTCTCAGTAGTGTGCTGGGGTTCGCTTTTGCTGGTTCAACTTTCAGAGATTTTGTGAGCCAGTTAACATCATGTTATTAGCTTGAAATTGACCACTGTGGGAGTGATTACACTATGGAAATCAGCAAACACTACAAATCAAAACTTTTTTCCATCTGAAGATCTGACTGTTAAACAATTATTATTACACACTGTGCCCCTTTCTGTGGGTGAGACTGAACCTAATGACAATTCCACATGGAGGTAGAACAGCCCAGACTCCTTATCTCAATTCTGGACAACTCTGAAGGGTCATACCAGCTCTAGAGCTCCCCTCTAAGACTGGCTGAGGCCTTTGTTGTGGCTGCACTGCAGTTCAGTTCTCTCTGCCCAATCCTACTGTCTTCTCTTCCTCACAGGTGTTCTCCTTGAAAATACTCATTCAGTAAGCTTCCTGCACTCAAAGCTCCATCTAACAGGCTGCTTTCCAGGGAAACTGACTTGTGACACTGGATTAGAGCCCCCACCTTACCCTGAGATAATTTTTATCCTGGCACTTACAAGATTTATTGCTGTTATTTACCTATATCAGCTTCTACTACCAAACTGTGAGCTCCTTGAGGTCAGGAACTGTGTCTTATTTATTTCCATATCCTTGTACATATTATGCACACAATGAATGTTGTTTAGATGAATGTTTGTAAACTAACAGCCTCTTCAGGAAGAGAGCTTGTACACTTGGGTATTTTTTGTGGGTTCCTTGAGATATGAGATATGGGCATATATTGATTGTTAGGATGGAGGAACAATTGGAAGTGATATTTGCTGGGCAGGTAGATACTGCCATGCCTGTTGTTCATGCCTACTATCATTAACTATGCCCAGTACCTTACCCTCAACCCTAAATCTCTCCTCTTTATTTTTCTTTCATTGACCCATACTGACCATATTTCAAAGGGTCCGAATTTTTATAACTGAAAAGACCCTTTAAGACCAAGTAGGCCAACCTGTCCCCATCATTTTATAGAAGAAGAAATAGGAAACTCAACAGGGAATAATCACAGGCTCCTCTATTTTTTGCCTGGCAAGATCTTGCCATTGAACATGATTAAAGTAGAAAGCATAAATACTGAATTCAAACAACAGCATCTTAATTTAATAGATTGAGTGCTTCGTGAACAGGGATTTGTAGATACATCTGTTCTACAAGATAATTTTACTAAATAGTTTTATTATGTTAAAATTACATTCATTAAAATGGGATTTGACCTGTAAGTTGTTGTCAGGAAAGGATTAGTGTACAGAAACCTTAAATCCTAAACAAGGCCTGGGTCAACAGGTGGTCACTGAATAATACTAATTTGTAAGTTTCCATCCTATCAAGCTACTTTATAGTCAAAACAAGGACCAGGAAATACACCCTTCTGAGATCGCATCTCACCAGGATATGACACCAGCACTTTCTCTGAGCTACTTGAGCTGTCTAGTGTCTATGTCTTTATATTGTGGCACCAACCATAGCAGGCTGTCTAGGACCCTTTCTTTCACTAGCAGCAGGAAATGCCATGAAACTCCGGGAGAAGCCAATTTCCATGTCACTCAATTCCTATTTCTCTTCCTAAATTAAAATATTATATCAAATATTTTCTTGAGAGAGAGTAACTGTGTTTCTGAAAAGGCAAAGGTCACTTATTTCTCTCAGATTACTGGCTATGGTGTCCTCCATGGAGGAAACTGGGCCCAGTTTCACACCTTGCAAGATGGAAATGATTCCACTTGCTGCTGCTAAAGGAGTCCTTAGGAGCCATATTCATATTTGTGAGCCATCGATATTGCTCACAGTCCACAGAGACACCCCCCCATTCTACTGTCTTTGCTCTTTATTGTAACCCCTTTGTGATATTTCCTGCCACTGTCATTCATTTGAACAGTTGCTAACAGGGCGGGGAGGGGAGGCAGACCAGAGGAGGAGGGCAGCATGCAGATTTATCCCAAGTCTCATCTTCTCTCAGGATTCTTTCCTATCTGGCCATATTGTGAAAGAAGCACATTCCTACACTCTCCCTCTCAGTTTTCTCCCACCCAGCCTAATAAATGGCTGTGTAAGAGGAAGGTGGGAGGCTCTGGAAAGTGCATGTTTCCCAGGCCCCATCCCCAACTGTGACTCAGTGCAGGAGGCTCTCAAAGTAGACTTTTGGAACACTATACTAGGTGATGTGTGGCTATCTCTATCAGCTAAGGATACCCCACACGTTTTTGGCCATAAGTCCTGAAGCTACCACTTACTTAACTACCACTGGTGTTGAACTGGTCCAAGTAGCTCAGCATGATGGCACACAAATATAACATTCAAAGACTATTCCATCTGCATCAGACCATGTTTTTTTCCACACTCAAACTTGTATTGCAATTTGTACAGCAATGTTGCCTTAACATTGCTGCCCAGCTTGAGATAAGGTTTTATATTTCTCCATACCTTGAAACATATGTTTCCTCCTGTTTTTCCTAAACTGCTATGTACATAAGGCCTCTTAAATGCAAGAAGTCTAGATGTTTAGAGATTTCCTCTTGTGTCAAGCCTTCAATAATTTGATCATTAGTGATCATTTGCCATTCATGAAAGCCAGTTGTCCTCTTGCCATTTATATTTACTTACATTTGGTGTTACATTATACCAAATCCTATACCAAATTCCCTATTGATGCTAAGGCTCCTAGTCATAGTATTATCAGTATCACTGTTGTTATCAGTATAGGAAAACAGGGCTGACACCTGGTACGTTGAGGCACATAAAAGAATTGTATCTATGGGTCCAAAAGTTAAGAAAGAAAGGTGGAAGGGCTGAATTATATGCCACATATAGAACACAGGATCTCAAGTGAGTATGCTTCAGGAGGTAGTATAGTATTGGTCTATCAATAGACCAGTGGTTCTCAGTGTGGTCCGTGGACCAGCAGCAGCAGTGTCACCTGAGAATGTGCAGTATTAGAAATACAAATTCTTGGGCCCCACACCAGCATTCCTGAACCAGAAACTCAGGAGGAGGAACCCAACAATCTGTGTTTTAATAAGTCTTCCAGGGGATTCTGATGCCCACTGAGATTTGAGAGCCACTGCTTTAGACTACTCCGAATATATATCCTGGCTTTCTCATTCACCAGTTGTATGACATTGGGTAAGTTATTTAACCCCTTTTAGCTTCGGAAGTCTTATTCATAAAGTAGGTAAACAATAATTGCCCTTACTTAATAGGGGTGATGCAATAATTGGATGACATAGTCCATACAAAGCCCTTGAAAAATTACTAGCACATAGTAAATTCCCAATAAATATTAACTATTACCATTATTTTTATTGCTATCTTTTTCTTATATACAAGAATCTTCAATAAATGAGAAGAAGCCATTCTGTCCCAGGCAATAAGATAGCAATCAGGTACCTAATTTTGGAAGAGCAAGAGAAGGCTATTCCAATGGTGTCATATTTACTTAACATCATGTTGTAATGAAGCATTCCCAATTTGGAAGGATTGAAAGGAAATCCCAAATGGTCCAACATCCCGGTAAGCCCAGATTGAAAGGATTATACAATCAGCCAAGCACAGGGCTGATCAGCAAGAAGGCGAGGAGAAGAGAGGGCTTAGAATAGCCATTTGAAAAGTTCTCTAAAGAGCTGCAGGTAGGGCCTCCTGCTAACCTTCGCAGGAATTAGAAGAGGAACCCCTCCTGAATGAATGCAACCCTACAGGTGCCCTGCTTGGTAAGTAAATGACCTTTTGTGCCATTGGACAAAAACTTCCAACAGGGTTCATGGTTTGAGGAGCAGAGACTGGACTGGATTTTGGCCCTCAAGTCCAATCAGCTAGGTTTCCTTGTGCAGGGCACAACCTACATAACCACACACAGCAGCCCTGACTATAAATTAAGGCCTTTGTCTTTGATTAATAACTCTCCTATTTGACTTTGTCAAAGCAAAGAAATAGTTGCTCCCAAGGCTTAAGAGAATTGAGTTGAGAATCTGGGAGAGGCTGAATCCCCCTACTCTGAGACTTTATTTATTCCTTCTTTAGTGTTGATAGTGCTTACACATATGTACTTATTACTGTGAGACTCACAGGTATTGTAAAACTTGAAAGAAAATGCCTATCTCCTGGATAATCCTGAGAATTAATTGAGATCTATGTGCAAATGCCTTGTAAAATGTAGAGAGCTGTTTACACGTAAAGTAATAGTATGGTTGCTTTTATTGTCTCTATGGCAGCATATAGTAACACCTCTGCTGTTTTCCCACCCAAGAGTGCATGGCTATTATTATTGCTATTATTGCCTACTATTAAATCTATCATTGCATTGATATTATGTAAGTGCAAATTAGACCTGTTTCTGAGAAAGGCGCTTCCTCTAACTCCAGTAAGTTGCCAATGAGAGTTCCTAATTGGAAATATTAACTTATAAGAACCAGAAGTGTCATACCAGCCAGTAATAGGCTGCTCTTCTCTCCCCTCCCACACCATCACTACAACCACCACTGCTACGGCCACGTGGCAATGCCATCACTGCTTTTGCGAACAGATCAGGAAAAAAAAAAAAAAACCTCCCAATTATTCCTACTACTTCCAAATATTTCTAGGCCCCTCCAAAGGAAGGGGTCCCTTTCCACTGTATTTTGTATGTCACAAAGTGTCCTCTCTGAAGGTTTGCTTGGGGGTCCACAGTGTTAAAAAGTAGCCTCAAATCCAGCCAAGTAGGGAAGAAGTCAGGCTCTGCCTTCCTCAGACCTTCTCAGCTGAGATCACACAAAAAGTTTGTTGTCTTTTTAGTTCTTCTCAGTCCAGATAGATAACATCCAGGAATACTTAGCAGCCTCAGTCCCAGCAGTTGAGAGGAGCTGGAAAATTAGCTAAAGATTTGATCCGGTATGTGCTACGGATGGTGTGTTGCAGTCTTCCTCACTGATGTGTTGACCCAATCTGTACTCACTGGCTTCTGGCTTGGTTTCTCACCAAATCTCCAATTTTCTAATGGGACAAAAGATGTGGCCTGACCCTTAGGCCACTTAGCTAAAGCTCTGATAATCTATTTTTGTTCATTCTCTGGATCCTGCTTTACATGTTCCCATGGGTTGGGGCATTGTTTCCAACAAATGATCAAGTGGACAACAAGGGCAAGGTCTATCTTACTTTAACACTCACTCCCCTTCCACCATTCCCCCTGTCACACCTCACCCACCAGTTGGCATGCCCTCAGATACAGACATGTGCCTGTACCATGTATGGGTATTACACACTCCTTTGAACAAAGCACAGTGAGCTGCCTGAGGTTGTACTCAGGCCACAGCCCAACCAATGGCTCAGTTCCCCTGCCCCCACCCCACCCACATTCTGACTCATGTCACTGAGGTCCCAGCATGCCTCATCTGAATCTGCCTATGTTTTGTCAAAAAACAAAGGAAAATCCTGCAGTGCAGAGCTTTTGTCTTCACTCCCTTTAATCTCTCTTTCTGAATCCCTCCTCCACTTCCTGTTGCTGTCCTTGCTATTCAAGGTCTTCGTTTGCTCCATAACCATCCTCTCTGGGTTTTTTTCTCTGCATCCTCAAAATTTCCATTCCCTTAGTGAGCAGATCTGTACTGTAATAAAGAAAACAATCTGACTAAGCGAAGTCATATTAAAACAATGGGAACTTAAAGCAAGAAATATTTATTTGATTATTATTAAGTGAAAGCAGCATTTCTCAACTCTGGCTGCACGTTACAAGCGCCCGGGAAGCTATTTAAAATACCTTTGCTGGGACCCACCACAGACCAATTCTAGTAGAATTTCTGGAGGTGGCGCTGTGGCACCAGTATTCTTGAAAAGATGTCCAGGTAATTCTAGCATGCAGCCACACTGAGAACCCTTGACGTAAAGGAATCTCTAATGGTAGGGCAATAATATGTGCATTTGCTCCCTCCCTGCCTCAAAGGGGTTGTGGGTGGTTAGCACTCAATCCTAATTCTTCTCAGTCTGGCAGCCCAAAGAGCTTCAGGGCCTGGATTTATTTAACATTTTATGGTAGAGGCCAAAATGTCATTTCAAAGTATACAAATGGGTGGGATGTGAAACATTCATGGAATATAAACTTGCAGGAGACATTGGGCTTCAAGAAGATTTGTAACCTATTATAAAGTTATGATACTAAATATATTAGCCTGTTTCTGGCATGGCTCCTCCTGCAAATGATTTTATGTCTTTCAAAATAATTCTATGCTCTGCTTTGAAAGTATCAAGCTCTATTATGAAGTAATCAGAGCCATACTGATTGCTAAACATCACGGAATCTTGTCAACTGGAGCTGGAGGCAGATTACTGTAGTTCTGGAACTAAAAACTCCTCTTGCCCTCATCCTCTTGTGATCATCATAATTAAGGTCCAATACTGAAGCCACTTGAAACTTAAAACAGGCTTCTGATTATAGGCCAGGCCTAAGCTGGACCATTCTCTAACAAACATTTCCTTAACAATGGTTAAGGAAATGACTGGGACCAGGACTAATCCTTGAAGGAATCAGTTTGTCAAATAGTTTCTGAGATATCCATCCTAAAGTGGTGGAGTGGCTGCAGTGGGGGAATGAGCAGCGTTCCCATGAATCATAGCCATCTCCAGAGGAAGGTAAAATGGAGGTTAAAAAATTGGAATAGAAAAAATCAAAACTAGGTGTCACAAGGGCTTGCCATAAGTGTGAGTAAAAGAGATCTGATTCAAGAGGACCAGAAAGGGCCCCCTTTTGCCAAAATGCACCCAACTAACTTTGAGAATGATAGCTTTAGTGGGTCAAGTCCTTTGCTTCACATTTTGTCTATCGTCTCTGCAAGAATCGTCTTTGAACATTAAGCTTCCATTGGAAGGGGAAACTTAAAATTTAGACAGTCTTTTCATTTTAATATGCTTTCATTCATCAGCTAGGTGCCCCCCATATCAACTAACTGTGTGCTGCAAAAAGAAAAGCCCTGCTTTGAGAAAAGGCAGAAGGTATGGACATTTCGGAGTCCACAGAAGACAGATTCTAAGTAAGTGTCCCACAAGGACACTGGGTACCGTTGAAGGAAAGTATCCAGAAGGGAGTCAAAAGTAAATCTCTCCTCAGTGACTAGAACAAACAAAAATGAAGCCATAAGAAGACCCGCGCCTCCCCATACCATTTTGGCACTTTCGAAGCTACCAAGGTCCTAAGGGCAGAAAGAAAGGATGTATGGCTACAGTGCTCTTGACACCATTCTTCACTCAGGCGCTAAGAGCAGGCACTAGCATTCACAGGCATATGAAGCACAGAGTTCTTTGTACTGTTATTCAGTTCATAAAATAGGCTCTGTTGAAGCAGGGCAGTCTTGGGACCTGTGTGTGAGTGAAAAAGGGCAAATGTGTAAAGAAATGGGAAGGGATGTGCTACCCTAGGGTGTGAGGGTAGGAAACCTTTTGGAGATTGTAATCTCTTTCCCTGAAGTCACGTTTAAATTTCAGCGGGAGAAAGCACTCACTGCGAATTCTGTCTGCCTGGTGAATCCTCTGGAGGGCTTTCCGCATGCTTTGGCTGTCTTGTCCTGTGGTCAGGACGACCCCTACAGGTAAGCCGTGGCTCCGAAGAGCACTTGCGACTCGATTGGCTGTATGCACCCAAATGTCTTCATCTGAGGAAATGACTCCAGCATGAGCCCACTGGAAATATTTCATGACAGTTACAAGCACCCGGATGGGAGAAGGGAGTGTCCGAGAAAAGGTCGGGTAGCTAATTTTATTGTCTAATTCATAATTCACACAAGCCCAAGAGAAAATTCCTTTGTCCCAGCTGTTTCCCAGGAGCGAGGCTGCCTCGCAGTAGCCAGGGTTGGTAGGTCCAATAAATCCTGAGGCCATCTGGTGGTGGGAAATGAAACTGGAGAGAGCCCTCGAAGTCTGGCAGTCTTCATTGAGAATCACGTATTCAAAAGAATAACTCAGGTCAAAAGATGGGTCCCGGTTGATTCGCTCAATGGCTAATCGCGCAGCAACCTCAGGCAGGGCCTTTGAAAACAGCGAATCACAAGCCCAAGGGCCCACCACCCCTATCTTGTAGGGGAGTGTCCACACCTGCTGCGGAAGGGACATGACAGACAGAAGGCACAAGCACCACAGGAACTTGGCAGATGCAAGGCCATGGTGTCCCAGCAGTTTCCTGAAAGCCGCAAACCAGAGAACAAGGCGAGAAAAGCGCCCGAGTCCCAGGAACATAGCCCTCCTGCTTCCAGCAAGCTAATGACGAGATACTGGAGAGTTATTCTGCTTTCCCGACACAGACGGTGGTGTTTCCAAATGCCTGTCAATCAGAGGAAAAGGTTTGTTACTCACATTATTTCTGAAGCTTCTGGAAATCATCGGTTGTGAAAGAATGGCAAAAAAAAAAAAAAAATGGCAGTGCCCAAACTAAAAGTTTCTTTCCCCCATCCTGACAAAACTCCTCCTCTTCCTGTACCCCGTATCTCAGTACATGGCACATCCATCCACTGTTTGCCCACTTGCTTCTTTCAGAAAACTGGAAATCACTGAGACTCCTTCTCTTCCCCCACATTCAATCTATCACCAATTCCTATTTATTCAACTTCAGTAATAGCTGCCCACCTTACAGTGTTTTGAAAATTACATGAGTTAACACACGGCAAGTGCTTATAACAGAGCCTGGCAAGTCATTGGCATTATATTAGACATAGTATCATTATTATAGTTTTCAATATGTCCATTTTTCTCTCCCATACAGCTCTCTTGGAGAGAAATAGATGTAAACAGATAATAACAATGCAGAGTAAAAAGTGCTATGATTGAGGTAGCCCAAACAGAGAGACAGAGAGGATCACCTAAACCCAGATTTCAGGGGAGGAGAGAAGGGAGGAAGAACAGTCTCTCTGGATTGAGTACTGAAGAAAAGTTAGCCAGGTGAATGAAGTTGCAGGAGTAGTTTGGTGCTAAGATGCTAAGAGCCTTCCAAACAGAAGGAACAACATGCAGAAAGACCCAGAGGTAAAGATAGATAGATAGATAGATAGATAGATAGATAGATAGATAGATAGATAGACAGACTATATATATATGTGTGTGTGTATATATGTGCGTGTGTATATATATGTGTATATATATATGTGCGTGTATATATGTATGTGTGTGTGTGTATACATATATATATGGATTCTTAGAATTCTAAAGCATTTGTTCTGCTTGAGTCTGTGATGTCAGACAAGGCAAGGGCCAGATCACCAAGATATGCCATGATTGAATACTGTACCCAATGGTTTTAAGCAGGGAAATAGTATTATCAGATTTCCATTTTAAAGGATCTCTCTAGCAACAATGTGGAGAATGAGTTGGAAGAAAGCAAGACTGGAGGCAAAGAGACCAGTTTGGAGTCTGTCACAATAATCCATATGAGAAATGATGACAGACCAAGAGAGTGGTAGTGAAGACCTAGAGGAATGGGATCATCTCCTCCAAGATTAAAAATATCAAGATTAAGAAAACAGAAATAACAAGAACTTGGTGACTGACAAGATATAGAAGGTAAGTGAAAAGAAAGGAGGACTCTAGGATGATTTTGAGCTTTTCAGACCTAGGAAACTGATTGGAAAATGGCACAAGTCTCTGAGATAGGAAACACTGGAGGAAGGAGGTGGGAGAGACGATGCATTCTGATAGAGATCTTGAATTGGCCAACAAGTGGCAATATCCAGTAGATAACAGCACATACTGGAGGGCCTAGGAAAAAAATAGAAAGCTGAACAAGAGTTATAAATTCTTAATAGAAAGCTGAATAAGAGTTATAAATTTGAGTGTAATCAATTGATAGAGGGTAATTTAAAACATGCCTTTTGTGGAGTAAAGAAAGAAGACAAAGGACAAAACCCTGAGACCCCACAACACTTAAAGATAGGTCACAGAGATGTTAATAAGGAGAATCCTTAGTAAATCCTTAATTCTAATCAAAGATCAAAATAATGGCATAGCTTTCTTCAGGGCTGATAATCAGCGCTGGTGTGCACCAATCAGGCCAAACTGGTTGTTTATGGGCAGCAACAATTCTGTCTGTGCCAGCCCTGTTGGTTATTATCTTGACTCTCACTCCTAATTTTATGAGAAACCTTGACTCCTGAAGAGACCAATCTGAGGCATATCTAGTGAATCTTAAAGACCTACCACAAATAGTATGCCCCAACATTCGTATATTGGTGAAAGCTGATTTGAATGAGAGTCAAGAAAGTCTTGGGGGAGCAAACAGTTCACAAAACAACATAAGCCAGTGGCTGAGGGGTGTGTGGGATGGGGGAGGACTTCTAACTTTGCTTTGGGGACAGTGGAAAGATGATTCTGAGCTGATTATATGCATAAGAGCCTCAAATTTATTCCTAGGCCCTCAAAGATAATCCAGTCTAACCTGCCTCCAAAAAATTAGATCTATTCTGTGCACTATGTTGAATGCATGAGAGTGAGATACAGGATGGATGAAGTGTGAGGTGTTGACTCAGGCTTCAAAGAGCTCCCAACCCAGAGCTGAGCTCTAGTCAAGAGCCACAAGCTTCTCTTCCAGCTTCTTCCAGCCTCCCTCTTTTCTCTGCCATGGCAAAATTTGGGAGGCAGGACACTGTAGGAGCCACTCATCTGGAGTAATATGGGAAGGATCTCTATTTCTGGTCTGTATTGTGACAAGGATATTGAACTACATTATCTCTCTGTCCTTATAGGCCTCACTCTTTTGACCACTAGGAATGTGCAACAGTGAGGACAGCTCTATATGGGAAACAAAACCCTATTCACAGCAACAGGGCAAGAAAGCCGACATACTGCCTCTTCTTCCCCAAACACACTAGTTTCATGGGTTCCTTCCCAGTATCTGTGCATTTAATCCAGAAATTAGCACTTAGACTAACAAAGTCTAAGATATACTGAGTTCTTGCTGTGTGTCAAATGCTGGGCTACACTCTTTCCATGTATTGTCTCATTTTAAAAACTGAATTTAAAAAACTCATCACAGTCCTTTGAAGTAGGTGTTATTATCATCACTATTTACAGATGATGAAACTGAGGCTCAGAAAGGGTAAGTAACTTGCCTAAGGGCAAACCACGGTAGAATGGAGATTTGCACCCCAGTTGATTGAGCCCTGTGCTAGATAGAAGTTCTGCAGATAGCCCCTCATCTATGAAGTCAATGAGACTACCATTATTATACCTGCTATGTTACTCAAACTGAGTTCGAATCATTCATTTGCAGTTTAAAGAAGTTCCCCAGTCACCCATGAAAGAATAAATTAGGTAGAGTTGGGGAGGGGCAGAGTAAATTGGGAGGAGCCACCAAGAAATTCATTATCCAACCAGAAGTAATTTGCTACTAGTGTTCAAGCCTAGCCCTGGGACTGCCCACTGACTCCTCACTCAGGGCACAGTGCTGCACAGCTGGGGGTGGGGAGCACCAGTTCCACTGTATTCTATGTAAAGCTAATCCTAATCTTTGAGAATGGAAATCTTGAGGGTACACCCTTCAGCATATTAGCCCCAATTTTCAACTTCCTCATCTGCAAAGTGGGGGTAAATTTAATTTAATCATTTTGAGATAAAGAAGTAAATAAATTAGAATACTAAGTGCACAGTTGTCTTTCAATAAACACTGGTTCTTCCTCCCTATTTGGAAAGAGGACTGCACTGGGAATCAGAAGGCCAGGGTCCTGGACCCAATTCTGCACCAACTCACCATGTGACCTGAACAGATTGTTGCCTACTCTAGGTCTCTCCTTTTTCCCCTTTAGCTGGACTAGCAGATCAGCAAGTCCCTTTATTCTCTGACCTCCATCCATCCTGGGATTCTGTACTTTGTCTAGGCAGTTACTTTTCTAAACCTCTGCACTTTGAAACTGCTGAGTTCATTCAACATTTTCTAGCCTTTGCTGCTCTAATTAGCTTCTCACTGGAGTTGGATTCCCCCAAAGTACTTGCTTCTATCTGGTAGATCCAGTTCCTGATCATTTTTAATTTTGGCCTGGAATCCTCTGTCAAGCTTCTGTGATGTGAAGACCCCACTCCCCGACAATGCTGGAGTTATGCTACACTGAAAACCTGGGCTCCTAAAATCACTGGTTATCTTATTATCATTAATAACAAACACACGTTGAGAAGTTGGTCTGTGCTAAGACTAACTACAAAAAAAAAATGGGAGAGTATAAGGGCCTGGCCAAGAAATCTAAACAAGAAAAGCAAGCATGTACCTCAGGAGGGAGAAAACCAAGTTAGTAAGTTCCCTGCTTGCTTTTGCTTAACATTAAATCTCCAGTGCCCTTCGCAGTGCCTGACACATAGTAGGTGCGCAAAAAATATATGTTGAATTAATACTGAAGAGGAGATATGGAGCACAAATAAAATGTTTTGTATTACCATGTTATTTAAAATGCTCTATTTTAGGCCTTAATCAAGACCCACCTTTGGCAAAATTATCAAGGGGTAAAGTTTGTCTTCAGACTTCTAGCACAGCTCTCTCTGCCCTCTCGTTAATGGAGAGAAAACAACTCTAAAGAAAGAAACTCTTTAAATGATTTGCACTAATATGTAAATGAATGATAATATTTGACACTTTCCTGTATTCCTCCCCAACCAGTGGTGTTTGTTCTCTCTTAAGGGCTGGGGAGAAGTTTATGCCAAAATAATTAATCTCTAATAATATAATGTCTATTTCAAGCATCAGTTGCAGGTAGGCAAAGGAGGATGGACTACTTTTTGAGCAAAAAAATGAAGAAACTTTTGGTGCCCCTCAGATCAAAGTGATTAACTGTCCATTCTAGGTGTAAGGCTGGCATTTTTGTGTTATAATCCAGGTAACTCCTAAGCACAATGCCCACCCCAAATTCTAAAAAGTTAGATTTTTTATACCATTTCTAAAATTCATACAACACGGGTCCCTCCTCAGGCCACATGCCACAAAGTGTCCCTTGGCATTCACTCTCAGTTTTTGTTGCTCTTTTCCCTTTGTTAACTGCAAGATAAACATTTCCCAAGCTGAAGGTCTGCCCTTACATTTTTTCTGGTACCGATGTGATGCATTTGGTGATATTTCTAACTCTGTTAGGACTCCCTGGACAACCAGAAAGTTTTATGTTGCTGTAGGATTTAGTCTTGATCCCCCAACTCAAGATTTTACAGAAGGAAACTTATTCTTTAAAAAAGAAAAAAGAAAAAAAGAAGGGAAGGAAGGAAGGAAGGGAGGAAGAGAGAAGGAAGGAAAAGAGGAAGGGGGAGGAAGGGAGAGGGAAGGAGGGAAGAAGAGAAAGAAGGAAGGAAAGAAGGGGAGGGAGGAATGAAGGGAGAGAAGAAGGAAGGAAGGAAGGAAGGAAGGAAGGAAGGAAGGAAGGAAGGAAGGAAGGAAGGAAGGAAGGGAGGGAGGGAGGGAAAGAAAGGGGCAAGATAGGGGGAGGATGCCCTAAACCTCCACCTGCTGATTTTGGTTTAAGGAAAAAAATTAGCTCACTAAAGTCTTTCCTGGGGTTAATGGGAAATGTGGATATAACTAAAACAAAGTTTGAAGGTATGAAATTTTGGAAATAGAATACTACTGGCCCACAGTTGTTCTGGGGCCATTGCCTAGGTTACTCAGGTGTGAACACCTGCATGGGATCAGACTTCCATGGAAAGCGGCTAGAGCATAGGGATGCATAATTTCATTTCAGGTAGTTTTTACAATCTGATGGGAAGCCTGGCTTCACACAGAAAACCACCGTTCGTTAAACATGTACAAAGAAAGACTATGACAAATAGCTCTGAGGGAAATGGCTCCTCATACCAGCTTGTCAAGCCGAGGACTTCTATGAAAGATTGATTTGTCTTTCTAATTACAGCCTGAATCAAGTTAACAGCTTGTATAAGACAACATCAGGAAGCAATAAAAAAAGAATCATGAGAGAAACTAAACGAAAGCTTGGATGAGAGCCTTTGAGCTCAAATCTTGACTTAAAGTATCTCGAAGGCTCTCTTTAACCCTTCTTTCCTTCTTTCCTTCATTCTTTAAATTTTTTTTTTTACTACATATTGCAGTAAAACTAATGTATCTCAATCAGCGTCTCAGCTCCCAGGTGGGCTGTGTCTTTTTTCCCCCCATTACAATCTTTCTTATAAACAAGAGCTGTCAACTACTCACCAAGTAATTCACCGCTCAAATGTCTTCAGTTTACTGCCTGCGCATGCAGACCACTGGCATAGCTACCTCAGTGTGTCCATTTCTTTGCATCCTCTATGCATTCACAATCCTGTCAAGGACTCCAGTCTGTTGACAAATTCCATTAATGGGGTAAATAATTGAAAGCGTTAGTAAATGTTTTGAAAATCACTCTTCAGCATCCGCAGACCAAGACTTGGATTAGGATTTAGAGTGACACTTCTAATCCTTTAAATTGATCCCACCTGTAGCAGAGTTAGTGCTGACCTAAATGCAATGACCCAGAGATTAACAAACAAATAGAGTCCTCTGGATAAATACGTCCTCCACAGACTACTGCCTTCTTTTACCTTTCAAAGTCAGACACAAACTCTCAGATTTTGCCTCTGTGTTCTTCCTTGTTCCATTCTGTCTAATAACCACCAATCGCCCTTTCTCCAGGACAGTTCTAAATGCCAAAACATTCATCAGCTGTGATTCCAGCCCAGAATATAAAAGGTGATCCAGGCTGGCTCCCTGCAAAATTCAAAGCAGGTGAATTTTGTCTCCTTCTCCTATTCCCCTTAAGTGCCTTCACTGCCTTTCCTCCCAAGAGAGACTCCCTACTTCCCTCTACACCTTTGTACAGAGACATTGTTTCCCCATACTTTAGATGTATTCCTTTTCCTTAAGAAGTCCCTCTCTGTCCTGGGCATCATTCACTCAGGGCCCTGTTCTGGATTCCCAACGTGAGAACTGAGGTGTTAAGGGCTAAAAATGACTTATATTAAATGAGAAATGTTTTTTAATAATAGTTTTATTGAGATATAATTTATCTACCACAAAAGTATATAATTTAGGGTTTTTTTAAAGTATATTCACAAGCTTGTGCAACATTTTCATTATTCCCACAAAGAAATTCCATTCTTGTTTAAAAGTCACTCCCCATTTCTCTCCTCCTCCTAGCCCCAGGCCACCACTAATTTACTTTCTCTATGGATTTTCCTATTCTGAACATTTCATATAAATGGAATCATACAACATGTGATCTTTTGCGAGTGGCTTCTTTGTTTGAATGAAAGAAGGACATGGATGAAATTGGAAATCATCATTCTCAGTAAACTATCGCAAGAACAAAAAACCAAACACACTTTGTTTGAAAAACAAACCGTTTTCAAGGTTCATGCACGTTCTAGCCTGTACCAGTACTTCATTTCTTTTGTGGCCAAATAATATTCCACTTTTTTGGGTATACCACATGATCAGTTGATGGAAATTTAGGTTGTTTCCACCTTGGGCTATTATGAATACTGCTTTTATTACTTTTGTGTAAAAGTTTTTATATGGACATATTGTTTTTATTTCTCTTTGGCATATACCCAGGGAATTGCTGGGTCATATAATAACTCTATGTTTAACATTTTTTGAATTGGCAAACTGTTTTCCAAAGTATATGCACCATTTGGCATTCCCACCAGCAACATATGAGGGTTCTTTTTTGCCTACATTCTTACCAACACTTGTTACTATCTATCAGTTTTTTATTTAAGTATGACAGGCATTTTATATGTACATTATACTTATATGTACATCTTTATGTTCACAACAACCATGAAGGTGGATATTACCCATTCTTTCCATTTTGTAAATGAGGATGCCAAGACTGAGATAAATTAGGCAATAATCATACTTACTGAGTGCCAATGATGTGACAGGCATTTTTGGAAGCCCTGTCTCCTTAGATCTTCACAGTGACCCCACGAGATAGATACTATTTGAATTCCCAGACATCCAGAGAGGTTACAGTAACTTACCAAAAATCACACAGCCACTGGTCAGTAGAGACAGAATTTGAACTCAGACACTCTAATTCTAGTAAGTAATAGAGCCAGAAAATTTAAACGCAAGACTATTTGGCTCCAAGAAAGCTCACGTTTATCCTTGATATATTCCACTAATGCACCCTTGTGCTATCCCTCCAAAGACTGCTTGCACTCTAATAGAGTCTCCAGAAACACACCGTGACTACCCAAAGGAAACAATCCCTAATTGTAGAATTTCAGGTGACCTGATGGAAATACTGGTGCAAGTGAGGGCCCCAGTTAGCATTCTCTATGTAGTGCTGCATGGTGCCATGAGCAACCCCAGTATGGATTTTATGAGAAGGTTCTGATGAGGACTAGGATGTTCAAGGGACCATCATTCAAGGAATGTTCCAAAATCCTGAATAGACATAAGATTCTAAATTTATAGGTAGAAGTAGCTGGGAATTAGCACATAAATAAAATTTCTAAAGTGAATTTGCTTCTTTTGATTAAGAGTTCCACAAACACTTGTTGCTCTACGGACTTTACATATACTAGCTCAATGGATCATCACAACTGTCCTATGGGGTAGGTATTATTATCATCCACATTTTATAGATGAAAAACTGAGGCACAAAGAGATTAAGTAATTTGCCCAAGCGCATACAGCTAGTTTCTGGTGGAGCCATCTGTGAAAATAAGTACTCTAGCTTTAGAGTCAGGACTCTTAACCACTGCCTCTTAATCACAGTATGGGGGTCATTGGATTTATCCATACACTCAAGAATTCCCATTAGATCTCTAAGTTTTAGTTATAGTATAATTAAAGATGATTTTAGAACAGAAATCTAAAACCATTTGGGGTCCTCATGAATCTAAAATTATACAGATACTTCAAATCCATTCACGAGTACAAACTTAAGAATTATTCCTATACACCTTTTAGAACTGCTATGTCAGAAACATCAGCACACTGTATGATTAAGTATTGACCTTAGTGTTCTCATGGACTTACAACACCAGAATGTTCACGGATTCTACTACATGTTGTTGGAACTCGTATCAGTTCCTGTCTATGTTTCCAATATCAAAGCCTAACAATTTACAAAATTTCATCTTCTCTGTATGATCTTTACTCCCTAAGGTGCCATGGAATGAAAGAATCCAAAATAGCACCCTCTCCCTCCACAAAACTGTGAAGCCAGTCACATCGATTGAGCTTTCCTCTTAACATTAGTTGCAAAGAAAAAAAGTAGCGCTTTTACATTTTATATATACATATATTACTACTAAACACTACAGGGAACTCCTAATTACATACATCATGGGAAATGGCCTTACATAATATTAGCCTAGGATCCTTGCATTCCTTTGGAGACTAAGATGCAGGGCTGGGGCATGAGGTATAAAAATGATTCAGAATGGTGTGCTTCTAGTTAATCATCCAGAATAAGGCTTGGACAAGTAGCTCCTTGTCCTGGGGGAAGTGAGAACCTGGGGAACAAGGGAGGTGATGGACAAAGATAAATTAGAATGAGAGAGGAAAACTACAAGAAAGGATGTTAGGCAAACTTACACATTTTGCTTCATTCCAGTGAGGGCTCTGAACTGTGATTCTCGACCTTCCTTTAGATTTTTCACCTAACCCTACCTGACAGAAAGTTATTTTTCTGATTCAGTAGTAATAACAAAATTCTCCGTCTGCTTATAGTACTAAACAAATACTTATAGTACTCAACAAGGCATATATTGTTTCATAAAAGTAGAATAGCTTTGGGCAACAGGCAAAATGATAATTTCCAATTTTTGAGCATCTCCTTTCAACTGGCACTGTTAGCCTTACTTCATTTATTTCTCACAGCATCCCTAAGAGGTAGGGAAAATTCTTATTCTCACTTTAGAGATACAGAAAAAAAAAATAAAGTACAGGAAGTTTATGTGCTCTGGCCAAAGTCACACAGCTGATACATGGTGGAGCCATGATGCAAATTCAGGTAGCATAGTTCCTGGGCCTGACGCTGAATAACTTTGCTATACTGCTTCAGGATGCAAAGAAGTTATTGAAGTGTATTACGCTGTATATTTACAGTATACGTTATTTTGTTGACATATATGTGTGTGTATTTATGGCATTATAAATGAGTTTGCTTTTCTTCAGTTTTGAGTGGAGAAGTGACCCAGCTTTCTGCCACATTCAGCCCAGAAAACGTGACCCGAATAAACCTCAGTGCTGCCCTCTAGTAGTCAGCTCCCACACTGAAAGTAAAGCCAAGGTTGTAATGACACCACGCGGCCGCAAGATGTCAATATTTTAACATTATTATCAAACTCCTCTAAGATCAATTTTTTTTAGAAATTAATACGGGTTGCCTGATTGTTGTAAAACTATGTTAGAAAATTCAGAACAGTAAAAAACAGAAAAAAATTTTTGCTTTTATTGAATCCTGTATTTTTCCAAAGTTATACTCAAACCAGGTATACAATTTTGTAAACTTATTTTTTTAATTTGACATGGAAACATACCTATGTTCTCACTAAGGGCACAGGATTTGGAGTCAAGCTGACCTGCCTTCAAACCCCATCACCATATTCCCTAGCTGTGTGACCTGAGGTTAATTACTTAATTTCCCTAAAGCCCTAGGTTTCCTCAAATGAAAGAAATTATGATAAACAGAACTATTTCCCAGCACTGTTGTGGGGATTAAAAAGAATGATGTACATTAAGTGTCGCACACGGTGGGTGCTCAAAACATGGCATTTCTTTAGACCATGCTAATCCCATGGCACTCTTGTTTTTAGAAGCTCCACTCTACATTTTATCACATATACTTTGACATGTACACACCCCATATCCCATGTCAAATAAGTATATATTTTGCTAAAAATTTGAGACGATTTTAAAATTTTGCCTTTGAAATTTATTATCAGTTATGCTTCTTAGCAGAGATTATATATACTAAAGAATTCTTACCAACTGATACAATCTAACCAACCATTTTTCCAATGTGTCAAAATTGTTCTGAACACAAAATGAAATAATCTATAAAAATGATGAGTTACATTTTTTGACATTTACTTAGACATTTATAGACTTTAATTTTGCAGTTATCTTCATATTTTGAAGCCAATAACTTTTGTCAGGCTTCAAACCCCTTTGGCAGATCCTTGGGAAGTTCATAGGTCTTAGGCATTTTCCTTGTAGTGCTCAATGGATTAAAATAAAAGAATCTGGTAAACATTATTACCACTTCACTTATGCATTATTTTATGGCTACAGAATATTTAATTTTGTATATGTTCCAAAATGTACTCAATCATTCCTCTAGTACTTAGGTTGTTTCCAAATTTTCCCTATTATAAATGATGCTACAATGCATATCATTAAATATAAACCTCTTTTCAATATAATAGGATTATTAATTTATGATAGAGTCCCAGAAGTAAAATTACTGAGTCAGAGTGTATGAATATCAGTAATGGTTCTTAACATGTATTGTCCAATGACTTTCCAAAATATTTGGACCAATTTATGCTCTCACCAATGGTCAATAAAATAAAAGTGTCCATTTTATTGCCCTGTCACCAGCTGCAGATTGTCTCAAATTTACATTTGTCAATTGTATAGGCCAGAAAAAGATATTTGGTATTAACGTCTATTTTTCTATTACTATTGAGTTATTTAAAAATTATTTTCTCATAATTTTATAAGCCATATGCATTTTCTGCTTTGTGAATCTTCTCTTTGTCTCTTTCCCTGCTTCTAAGGTCCAGTGGTAGACAGAGGATTCCCCAAAATTAGTGTCTTTGCACAGTCTTATGCAGAATCAGGTAGTTAATAATACTATATAGTGCTTATAAACTGTGCTAATACTATGGATTGGCTTGCTTCACTTCCATTACACCCCGGAATCTTCTGTACCTAAGATTTGCCATGTGGATTAGATGTCACCAAGTAGATGCACTCATATGAAGTTTGGCAGTTAAAAGTGGGCTGAAAAACTATGTGTATATATGAGGTTTTCTGCAGTGCTCATTTTCCACCTTCCTAGGTCTCAAGAGGAAGTGATGTGCTACCCCCACCAAAGTCAACAACAGCAGCGTCCCCATCTGGTTTCTAATCACTGGGTCACAGCTATTGGATGCTCTTCATCTAGATCCGTAGGTATTCAGAAACAGCTGCAGCAGCTGCAGAGGAGAAAAGAGCAGGTTTTTGATTCTGGCAGAGCTCTACTGGTGACATCAAAGATAGTAATTCCCTTAAAGTTTCAGTTCTGTATTTTTCTGGAACTACGCTTGTGAAATAGACCGTTAGACCTTCCAGCAATCTTGTAAGTACTCAGTACCCTGTTTTAAATTCCTGCCTGTAAATTGTTAGGAACTTTTTGGAACATAATCTAACTGTATATATTACAATATAAAAATATGTATACACTTTGACCTAGCAGTTGTACTTGGAAAAGTCTCTTGCACGGTAATAAAAGCATTAGCATGTGTTTTCACAAAGATATTTATTGCAGTGTTATTTTAGTGGCAGAAAACAACCTGGAGAAAACCTGAATGCCCACCAATGGGGGGGTGGTTACATTCATTACAGAACATCCATGCTGTGGAATACTATAAATCAAACTAAAAAATTTAAAATTTTTTTTAAAAAGGAAAGGTTGTCCATTTATTGATCTGAAAGTATGCCATGATACATTTAAGGAAATGGTCTGTATAATTCCATTTTTGTAATTAAAGAGGCAAGAGCATTCCCTTCTGCTTAAGAAACTTACAGTGGTTTCTGTTTTCTGCCCTGAACCCTGACTGGTACACACACTGTCATCATTATCATCATTAAACGTTATATATCTGAGGTGGTGCAAACAGCCGGTTTCTCATCCAGTAATGAATCTCATAAATAAAATAAATATACAAGAAAATTCTTGGAGGCCCAATACTTATTAAAATATTGTACCACACAAGGGACTTCTGTTTTAAGATAGAGCAACTTGTAGCAAACTAATGCTGTTGCTGCAAACAACTAGAAAAATCAGGTGAAATACTCCCCAAAAAGTTCCTTTTTGAAGGCATCAGAGAGCCAGGCCTTGAGAGGTAAGAACCCAGAAAGAAGGGAAGCTCATGAAAATAAGCCCAACTTTCTGCATGTTGTTTTTCCCTTAGGGTATTTCTCAATTCTTGGTCCAGAAACTGGGTAGAGGGTGACTCCTATGAGGCAGAGAAGTCAACAGAGCTTTAGGTAATATCACAGAACTCGGAGTATAAAAATTGAAGTTTAAGGTCTGCCAAGGCCAGCCAGGATTTGAACAGCCATGAAACTGCAGAGAGAAGCAGCAAAGGAAAGTGAACCTGACACAGCACAACTTTTCCACTCCAGGAAATTGCCAATTAAGTTGCACAGGGCAAAAGATTATAAAGATTATAAGCCCTGCAGAGTGGCTAAAAAGTAGAGCGGAGTTTCAGGAAGATTCACAGAGCTGAAGATGCAAAAATTGGAGTTCAGAACTTCTCAAGGAGATGTGTCCCTGGGAAACATCTATCCCTGGTTCTCATTTGGGACCCCTGGAGAGCTATATCCTAGGAATAGAGCAAACTAGAAATAGGTTGAGTCTAGCAAACACTGCAAACCAGCCTCAGGTCAGCTCAGTGGCTGAAAGGATTAAGATAATTTGCCCTTCCGCTGCCTGGCAAAATATAGGGTGAATCCGCTCTGGAGCACATAAGATCATCTAGAGTCTATATACTTTTTTAGGCACAAAGTCTGGCACTCAGTGAAAAATTAACTAATGTACCAAGAAACAGCACCAAGAAGAAAAAAAAAAAAAAGCAGGCAACAGGAACAGACTTAATGACCAAGTTATTGCAGTTATATGACATGGGCTATAAATATTCAAGAAAATGAAGAACAATGTGGAGAATTTCACCAGAAAACTAGAATCTATAAAAAAAAGAATCAAATGGAAATTCTGAAAATGAAAAATACAATAAATGAAATTAATAATTCAATAGTGGGCCACATAAAGTCTAAGGTTCACCACTACTTTGTTTTGTTTTGTTTTGTTTTGTTTGAATTACATAGTCTTCTTAATTGGTGTCTTTTTTTTTTAATTATACTTTAAGTTTTAGGGTACACGTGCACAATGTGCAGGTTAGTTACGTATGTATACATGTGCCATGCTGGTGTGCTGCACCCACTAACTCGTCATCTAGCATTAGGTATATCTCCTAATACTATCCCTCCCGCCTCCCCCCACCCCACAACAGTCCCCAGAGTGTGATGTTCCCTTTCCTGTGTCCATGTGTTCTCATTGTTCAATTCCCACCTATGAGTGAGAATATGCGGTGTTTGGTTTTTTGTTCTTGTGATAGTTTACTGAGAATGATGATTTCCAATTTCATCCATGTCCCTACAAAGGACATGAACTCATCATTCTTTATGGCTGCATAGTATTCCATGGTGTATATGTGCCACATTTTCTTAATCCAGTCTATCATTGTTGGACATTTGGGTTGGTTCCAAGTCTTTGCTATTGTGAATAATGCTGCAATAAACATACGTGTGCATGTGTCTTTATAGCAGCATGATTTATAGTCCTTTGGGTATATACCCAGTAATGGGATGGCTGGGTCAAATGGTATTTCTAGTTCTAGATCCCTGAAGAATCGCCACACTGACTTCCACAATGGTTGAACTAGTTTACAGTCCCACCAACAGTGTAAAAGTGTTCCTATTTCCCCACATCCTCTCCAGCACCTGTTGTTTCCTGACTTTTTAATGATCGCCATTTTAACTGGTGTGAGATGGTATCTCATTGTGGTTTTGATTTGCATTTCTCTGATGGCCAGTGATGGTGAGCATTTTTTTCATGTGTTTTTTGGCTGCATAAATGTCTTCTTTTGAGAAGTATCTGTTCATGTCCTTTGCCCACTTTTTGATGGGGTTGTTTGTTTTTTTCTTGTAAATTTGTTTGAGTTCATTGTAGATTCTGGATATTCACCACTACTTTGTATGATATTCTGAGTACCGGTTATGTTATTCCCTCTGGAAGACTCCCTTCCCGCATTGTGTGTAGCATTCAGGGACTGCCAATCAATATGCCCTGCACCCCTCTGATCAAGAAAGTGGCGGGTACTAGGTCCAAACCAAGTCCATTGGATTTGCCTAAGAATCTGAATCTTGAGCTAAGCAATGCAAAGATGAAAAACAGAGCTGATTCATAATGCCAATGGTGCCCTGGTGATATGGTTTGCCTCTGTCTCCCCACCCAAATTCAACCTTGAATTGTAATAATTTCTTCATGTCAAGGGCGGGACCAGGTGGAAGTAATTGGATCATGGGGGTTGTCTTCCCCATGCTGTTCTCATGATAATGAGTGAGTCTCATGACAGCTGATGGTTTTATAAGCATCTGGTATTTCCCCTGCTGGCACTCATTCTCTCTCCTGCCGCCCTGTGAAGAGGTGGCTTCCGCCATGATTGTAAGTTACCTGAGGCCTCCCCAGCCGTGTGGAACTGTGAGTTAATTTAACCTCTTTTCTTAATAAATTACCCAGTCTTGGGCATGTCTTCATTAGCAATGTGAGAAGGGTCTAATACACCTGGAAAAGTAGCTCATTAGTTCCCTCCATATAGATCCTGGATAATGTCATGATTTCCATCTTTTTTGAGACCTGCTGGTTTAATTATTCCTTCTGCAAGCTAACTCATTGTCTTCCAAATAAACTCCTTGACTAGCCAGTGTATTAATTTGGGTAAGTAATACATCAACTGCCAAATTTCAGTGGCTTTAAAATATAAGCCATTTCCCATTCATGTCCTACCCAGAGTGGGTCTACTAAGGGACCCAGGCTCTTTCCATTCTTTGGCTCTGCTCTCTTCTAGGTCTTAGAAGTCCTCTGCATTCAACTGGCAGGATAAAATGTGGGAGATTTTTATGGAAAATGGCACATATCACTTCTGCTCACATTCCATTGCCCAGAACTTAGATACATGACCATACCTTGGTGCAAGGTAGACAGGGAAATGTAATCTAGATGGTTGTCCAAACAAAAGAGGAGAACATTATTATGTATGAGCACCTGCAGTCTACATACCACAGCCAAGGTCAGTTCTGTTACTTGCTAACAAAGGACCATAATCAATACAGATAGATAGGATTTTAACAGAGCTTAAAGAGGAGAACAACTCAGAGAGAGGAACTGGTGTAAACAAAGAGAATAGAGCATCATGTGGTTTGGCTGGAATGTTGAATGCATGATTGGGAGCAGCAGGAGACCAGCGTAAGAGGTAGATAGGGTCTTGAATGCCAAACTGAATTCTGTAGGCCAGGAGTTGACAAACTATGGTCTGTGGGGCAAACCGAGCCTGATCCCTGCTTTTGCAAGTAAACTTTTGTGGGAACACATTCACATTCATTTACTTATGCATTGTCTATAGATTATTTTCTTATGCAATGGCAGGACTGAGTAGTTGCAACAGAAAATACATGGCCCACAAAGCCCAAGAATACTTACTATCTGTACTCTTACATAAAAAGTTTGCCAACCTCTGCTACAGGCAATTGGGAACCACTGAAGGAAATTGATTAGATGAGTGGTACGTAATATTAGAATGGCACCACTGCATAGAGGTAAACTGGAATGTGTGAACCAGTTGTTTGGTTTGGCATAAGGGATCAGAGAGAGGGGTAACGTAAATTACTCAGGGAACTACTACAACAGTCTAAGAAGTAAAAATAGTAGTTACCGTTAATTGGGTGGCTACTACTTGACAAGCACTGTGATATGTATTTTGCAAGCATTATAAAATTCTATCTTCACAAGAACCCCATGAACCACATACTTTTTATTTCCATTTTACAGATGAGAAAACTGAAAATAATACAGATTACATTACTTCTTAGTCTCTTTTACTGGCTCTTCTTCCTCTCCCTCCTCTTGGGAGGGCAGCATTCTGCATGGTAGTTAAGAACATGGATTCCAAAACAAGACTGCCTATGTCCAAGCCTCAGTTTTACCATTTGCTTTCTATGTGAGCTTGGGAAGTTATTTAACCTCTTTGTGCCTCCGTTTCCTTATTAGTATAATGGTGGTAAAGATCAAAATGATACTTCCTAGTGTTTTGGTAAAGGATTCAATGAATTACTCTATGTCATGCACTTAGGACAGTGCCTGGCACTTAGTAAGGCCTGTAACACATTTGCTATTATTTTTCCCAACCTCTGAATCTTGGCATATTCCAGGAATTGGTCCAGGACCCTCTTTTCTTCTCTAGCCACACTTCTGTCATGACTTTGTCTAAGGTTTCCATCTCCCATGACACTTACTTTCCCACTACCCTGTTTTGTTTTCACTGGGGCACAATCTAAAAATACCTTATTTACTACTTTGTTAACATATTTATAATCTATCTCTCCCACTTGAATGTAGGCTTCATGAAGGCAGAGACTTATTGTTGTTTATTGCTGAATCCTTAGGGCCTAGAACAGTACCTGGTGCTGTTAATGCCCAATAAGTATTCATTGAATGAGAAAATGAACTCAGCCAAGTAAGTGGCAGATATAGAATTGAAATCCAGGTCTGACTGAAGCCAATACCTATCCCTTCATCACCATGCTATATAGTATAGTAACCATAAAAACAGGAAAGGGTGGATTCAAGAATCATTTAAGAGGTAGAATTGAACTAACAGTAACTGATTTGATGGCAGTGGAGGTGGGAGCGGAGGAGGACTTGAGATTTACACCTGGATGACAGTGACAGTAGTGTTTTAAAATGCCTTTTCTTTGAGTGTAATTGACTTTTACTCATGAGAAGAGGACCCTTATCCCTGAAATATCTTAGAACTGAGTTAGGAACATGGCAGGAAGCACACAGTCTTGGGGAGACAGGGACAAATTTCATTTTTGGAAATGTTAACTTTTAAGTGGTATAGTAGGGAGATGCAAAGGCAGAGTTGAAGCTGAGAAGAGAAATCCAGGCTACAGCTATAGATTAGGGGTTAATCAGCTTAGAGGTAATAGTTGAAATCCTAGTAATGGACTCTAAGTAAGCACCTACAGTTAAGGGAATTAGAGAAGGAAAGGGGCAACATAGAGAGGAAACAACGAGAAGGGACATGTTAGGGTCCCAGCAAGAAACAGATGACATATTCAAAATAGGAAGATTCAAGAATGGCTTAATAAAGAAATTGTTTACAAAGGTGTGGGCAGGGTGCAGCAAAACCACAAGGGATAACACTCTTAACTGGAGATATTAAAACCCTTAGGCTGGAAGGACTGAGGGAAGGGAGTAATTACCAGAACTCAAAAAAGTCATGTAGAAAGGACCACTCGGAAAAGAATTGTGACCTTTTAACAAAAGGTCCATCAACAAATGGACACAGCCATCTCACGGTGACCCAACAAGAAAAGAGCTGAATGTAATAAATAGCCTAAGCTCATTATTTTCTTTATGATATCCTGCCATGGTCCCCATGGGCAAACAAAAATAGAAACTAACTAAAGGAAAGGAAGCCTGTTGATATAATCCATAAAGATCACCCTCTCAGGGATGAAAGCAGAATAAAAAAAAGGTAGAGAGTGGCTCTGGAGGAGTAAGTGATACATATCTAACATAGTGCAATCCTTTTGCCCCTCAGTGTCCACTATTGTTGTTCACCTAGGTGAAGAGTTTGTTTCCCTTGCACAGGACACACAAAGACCCATAGCTATTGCATGATCAAAGGATGATGTCAATTGAGTTGCATTCCCAACTGAAACCTAAAACAATCACACTAGTGCTCTTCACATAAGGCAGAGGGTATAAAAATAGGACTTTTAAAAGTAACATAAAAAGTAGCTGCTATAGTATCTGTTTTTGTAAACTGCTTAAGTAATCAAAGCTACCTTCTTCCACTACCCGCCTCATAATTCCCTTATCTTCTGCCAGCATACAGGCTCGATGGGGCTCTTAAACTGGTGGGAAAAACAAACTCTTTAGATCAGTGGCATATGAGTATGGTCATATCTATATTATTGGGTTGTCCCATTTCCAATTTGACCAGTACTATGGGGCAAAGAAGTACAGGAGACACCCCAGTGAATACGCTGGGTTCCAAACATACTCTTATTTTTCCCATGTGTAGCAGGAACCCAATTTTCCCCTAGTAAATGGGATTAGTCACTCCAGACAACACACTGACCTGTTGGTTCAATAGCACGGTGTCTCCAAAATGACCAAGTGATATCGCAGCTCCCAATTAATTGGAAACATCCTGACCATGTATCCTGGTGTAAGCAATCCTCTCTTAGCACTTTAGCTCCCTTGGTGACTCCAAACACACCAAGTCCAAGCTTGCAGATACAGGAAGATAACATTCTTTAAGTGAATTATTGGATATTATACTGAGAAGGGCCACTCCTAATTCCACTCCTTGGTTATCATACCTATACATTCTGGCCATGGGTTGCTTTTAAGCATAAACTGTCCTGCAGGATAACACCCCAAGCTCACAAAGTATTGTCTCTCAGAGGCTGCCATAAATGAGCCTTCAGCAGGCCATTACACATTTTATGAAGACAGCTATTTCTGGATGAAGGAGTACATAGTAAGACAGTGAATTCCATGGGTATGAGCCCACTGCGTTATTATTATTATTATTTTTTGCCATAAAGTGAATTTCTGGTCAAAGAAATGTTGGGTGGGTGTATTAGTGAGGGTTTTCTAGAGAAACTGAACCAACAGGATATGTATACCTAGAGAAGGAAAGGTTTATTTTAAGGAATGGGTTCATGTGATTGTGAAGATACAAGTCCAAAATCTACAGGGTAGGCCAGCAAACTGAACACCCAGGGAATAGTTACGGTCCAAGTTTAATGGCACTCTGCAGTCAAGAAATTATTGCTTGGGGTAGGATAGTTTTGTTTTATTAAGGCTAATTAAATTTGATTCACTCGTACAATGGAGTGTAATCTGCTGTACTCAAAGTCCACCAATTTAAATGTTAATCTTATCCAAAAACACATTCACCAGAAACATCCAAAATACTGTTTGACCAACTCTGTGAGCAGCATGGCCCAGCCAATTTGATACAAAATTGTTTTAATTTTTGTGGGTACCTAATTTTTTTAATTTTTAATTTTTGTAGCTGTTTATATTTATGTGGTACATGAGATATTTTAATACAAACATGTAATATATGATAATCAAATCATGGAATATGATGTAACCATCCCCTTCAGAATTTAACCTTTGTGTTACAAACAATCCAATTATATTATTTTAATTATTTTAAAATGTACAATTAAATTATTATTGAATATAGTCACCCTCGTGCTATCAAATAGTAGGTCTTATTCATTCTTTCTAACCATTTTTATACCCATTAACCATCCCCATTTCCTCTTTCCCACTAATTTCCCCCCGCTACTCTTCCCAGCCTCTGATAACCATTATTTTACTCTCTATCTCTGTGAGTTCAATTGTTTTAATATTTAGCTTCCACAAATAAATGAGTACATGCAAGGTTTGTCTTTCTGTGCCTGACTTATTTCACTTAACATAATGACCTCCAGTCCCATCCATATTCTTGCAGATGACAGAATCTCATTCCTTTTTATGGCTGAATAATACTCCATTGTGCATATAAATGTACCACATTTTCTTTATCCATTCATCTGTTGATGGACACTCAGGTTGCTTCCAAATCTTGGCTATTATGAATAGTGCTGTAATAAACATGAGAGTGCAGACATCTCTTTGATATCCTGATTTCCTTTCTTTTGGGTATATACCTAGCAGTAGGATTCCTGGATCATATGGTAGCTCTATCTACAGTTTTATGAAGAACTTCCAAACTGTTCTTCATATTGGTTGTACTAATTTACATTCCCACCAAGAGTGTACAAAAGTTGTCTTTTCTCCACAACTTCTCCAGCATTTGTTATTGCCTATCTCATGGATAAAAGCCATTTAAACTGGAGTGAGATGATCTCTAATTGCAGTTTTGATTTGCATTTCTCTGATGATCAGTGATGCTGAGCACCTTGTCATATGCTTGTTTGCCATTTGTATGCCATCTTTTAAGAAATGTCTATTCAGATCTTTTGCCCATTTTTTAATTGGATTATTAGATTTTTTCCTATAGAGTTGTTTCAGCTCTTTATACATTTTGATTATTAATCCCTTGTCAGATGGGTAGTTTGAAAATATTTTCTCCCTTTCTGTGAGTTGTCTCTTCACTTCATTGATTGTCTGTTTCACTGTGCAGGGGCTTTTTAACTTGATGAGATCCCATTTCTCCATTTTTGTTTTGGTTGCCTCTGCTTGTGAGGTATTGCTCAAGAAATCTTTACCCAGACCAATGTCCTGGAGGGTTTCCTCAAATTAATAGATTCATAGTTCGAGGTCTTAGATGTAAGTCTTTAATCCATTTGGATTTGATTTTTGTATATGGTGAGAGATAGGAATCTAGTTTCAGTCTTCTGCATATGGATATCCAGTTTTCCCAGCACCACTTATTGAAGAGACTGTCTTTTCCCCAAAGTATGTTCTTGGAAACTTTGTCAAAAATGAGTTCACTGTAGATGTGTGACTTTCGTTTTGGGTCCTCTATTTTGTTCCATTGGTCTATGTGTCTGTTTTTAGGTTAGTACCATGCTATTTGGTTACTATAACTCTGTAGTAAAATTTGAAGTCAGATAATGTAATTTCTCCAGTTTCGTTCTCTTTGCTCAGGACAGCTTTGGCTATTTTGGGTTTTCTGTAGTTCCATATAAATTTTAGGATTCCATATAAAATTTAGGAATAAGACCTACTATTTAAGACCTACTATTTGAAGCCAGCACATATCCAAGTTTCACACGAGACCCATAACATTACTCCCTGGGTATCACTGTTGGTTATTCAGGGCCCAAGGACTCTTTAGTCAGCAGCTGATGAATCTTGCCCAGACTGGGTCCTTCCCTTCAAGGCAGCAGGTTCCCTTCTGACCCAGGGTGTGTCTAAAAATGTCACCCAGGAGCTGAAGCCTGGGATGGGGGTCTCACGACTCTGTCCAGTGCCATCTTCTACTGTGGCTGAGCGAGTATCCAAGATGCAAGACAAAGTTCTCTTTATGCTTCTCTTTCCTCTCCACAGGCAGAAGGAAGGACTCACTTTTGTTGATCTGAGTTGTGTTGCCTGGCACTGGGAGAGGGGTAATATAAGCACTCGCCCAGCCACACCATCTGGTGTCTCCCTAGGTCACATGCAGACCAAGTCCACTGACTCTAAGCCCAGCACAGCATCAATGCTTGCTTAAGAATTGCAGTCCTTGTGTCCTAGACTGTCTTTCAAGTTCACTTAGGACCCTGTGATGGTTAATACTGAGTGTCAACTTGATTGGATTGAAGAATACAAATTATTGATCCTGGGTATGTCTGTGAGGGTGTTGCCAAAGGAGATTAACATTTGAGTCAGTGGGCTGGGAAAGGGAGACACACCCTAAACCTGAGTTGGCACAATCTAATCAGCTGCCAGCACAGCTAGAATATAAGCAGACAGAAAAATGTGAAATGAGAGACTTGCCTGGCCTCCCAGCCTACATCTTTCTCCTGTACTGGATGCTTTCTGCCCTCAAACATCGAACTCCAAGTTTTTCAGTTTTGGAACTCTGACTGGCTCTCCTTGCTTCTCAGCCTGCAGGCAGACTATTGTGGGACCTTGTGATTGTGCAAGTTAATACTTAATAAAGTCATATATATATATAAATATATATATATATTCCATTAGTGCTGTTCCTCTAAAGATCCCTAATACAAACACCAAAGCACTTTATTCCATGGTGGCAAGGCTTGCCAAGAAACTCATGTTCTGACCACTGGGATGGGCACTTCCCCTCAAGCTAGATGTGGTCCAAATGCTCCCTCTGTGGGTGGGCACTAGCTAAGTTCAGCATGGTTTTACTTTATGCTGAGACACAGCAGCACTGATTTCAATCACTGCACTCTCCCTTCCCCAAGTGCACAGATTATCTCTCCACAGCACACAGCTGCCGCTGGGGGTTGGAAGAGGTGTGGCATCAGTGATTCAAGACTGTCTTTCCTACCCTCTTCAGTGCCTCTTTCAACAATATGAAGTTAAAACCAGATACTGTGATTGCTCACCTTATTTTTGGTTCTTATAAAGGTGGTTTTCTGTGTGCAGATAGTTGTTAAAATTTACTGTTCCTGTGGAGGAGGACGATTCACGGAGGCTACTATTTGGCCATCTTGCTCCATTCTTGACACATAAAGTTTACCATCACAATTGTTTACTCTTGCATAGACTAATCATTCTCTAAATCTATGAATTATGGTGACTGGGAAGAAGCCCTGTAAACGTTAAGGACAAATCTCTATCAGAATATGTCTATCCGTGTGAGGACCAAGTACTGTCCCTTTCATAATGAAAAAAGTCTGATGTTATCAACCTGCCACCAGGTAGCTAGCTGGTCCTCCCAGGGAATAGTGCCATATCAGGAGCTCAACATTGGCTTATGCTGTTTGGAGAATGGACACCCAGTAGTAATCAGAATCAACCTTAATGAGTTTTATGCTGCTGGGCACAGACTTAACGTCTATCCATGCATGCATGTCTGTTCTGTTCATGGGTCTATTATACAAGCAGTGGAGTGGCAGAAGAGAGGGTCTAGCTGACTTCCACAGGCTGGGTCATCTTTCTCACCTGATCATTGAGAACCTCCTCTGGACTAACTGGCCTCTGGTGAGCATTTATGTAAGGCATAACTATCTTCACACTCTGCCCATTCCAAGAAGTCCATCTACATATCTTTCCCCCTAGATCTCCTGCCATCAATTGTCGAATTATGTTATTTCCAAGTCCCTGACCAGCAAATACATACCTCAGGCCATCTCTTCTTCCACATGAAATGGACAACTGGATGCTCCTGAAGTTCACCTCACTGGAAGGAAATTCTTTCTCCACTGTCTTTCAGAGCCATCCAGAGGGGCTTGTAGTGCAAAGGCCATCCACTTCTAACTAGTGATGGCCTACTGTGCAGATGCATGCCTAAATCAGCCATACATGTCTCCTTTCTCCCTTAACTGCTGTCTTAGTCCATTTTGTGCTGCAATAACACAGACTGGGTAATTTATAAAGAACAGAAATATATTCTCTCACAGTTCTGGAGGCTGAGAAGTTCAATATCAAGACACCAGCAGGTTAGAGCCTGTTCTCTCTGCTTCCAAGATGTCAACTTGAATGCTGCATCCTCTAGAGGGGAGAAACACCATGTCTTCACCTGGCAGAAAAGCAGGGGAAAGCACCTGCTGTCATAAGCCCTTTTTTTGAGATGAGGTCTCACTCTGTCTCCCAGGCTGGAGTGCAGTGGTACTATCTTGGCTCACTGCAGCGTCTACCTTCCGTACTCAAGCAATCCTCTGACCTCTGCCTCTATAGTAGCTGGGACTACCAGGACATGCCACCACACCCAGTTAATTTTTGTGTATTTTTGTGGAGACAGAGTTTTGCCATGTTGTCCAAGCTGGTCTCAAACTCCTGGGCTCAAGCAATCCACCTCCCTTGGCCTCCCACAGTGTGGAATTACAGGCGTGAGCCACCGCACTGGCCTCATCAACCCTTTTTACAGGAGCGTTAATTCATTCATGTGGGTGGAGCCTAAACACATCCTATTGGGCCTAAAGACATCCTAAACACATCCTATTGGGCCACACTTCCACACACTGCTGCATTGGGGATTACATTTCTAACACATGAGTTTTAGAGAGGACAAAAACATTCAGGCCAGATGCAGTGGTACTTGCCTGTAATCCCAGCTAGTTAGGATGCTGAGGTGGGAAGATCGCTTGAGCTCAGGAGTTTAAGTGTAGCTTGGGCAACATGGTGAAACACTCCATCTCTAAAAAAAAATTCCAACCATAGTATTCTACCCCTGTCCCTTTAAAATTCATATCCTTCTTATATACAAATAAATTAATTCCATCTCAATAGCCCCAAAGGTCTTAACTTGTTCTAACATCAACCCAAAAGTCTACAATTCAGAGTCTCAACTAAATCAGATATGAGTGAGACTCAAAGCACAATTCACTCCGAGGCAAATTTCCCTCCAGCTGTGAGCTTGTTAAATCAAACAAGTTATGTGCTTCCAAAATACAATGGTAGGATAGGCATAGGATAGACACTCACATTCCAAAAGGGAGCAGAAGGAAAGAAAGAAGGAGCAAAAGGTCCCAGGTAAGTTCAAAACCCCATAGGGCAAACAACATTAGATCTTAAGGTTTGTTTATTTGACTCCATGTCCTACCATCCAGACACACTAATGTGGGCAATGGACCCTCAATGCTCCTTAGTGTCCCCACCCCCACAGTTTTGCTAGGTGCAGCCTGCATTACTCTCATTGGTTAAAGTCAGGTGCCTGCAGTTTTCCCAGGCTGGTGTTATACACTGGTAGCTCTACAGTTGTCATCTTACTGAACCTGGGTCTGCTTGCTCAGTGCACAACAAAGCCAAACACTGATACTGGGATTTGCAGCAAGAGAAAGTAAGGCATTTATTGCAGGGGGCCAAGCAAGGAAAACAGGCAAGTAATGCTTAAGACCTGAACTCCCTGACGGCTTACAGTCAAGGGTTTTTAAGGCAGGGATAGAGGAATTTCCAAAATGAGTTAAGGGGTGAGGAATCTCTAGAACTTCCTTATACATTTTCTCATTTCAGTTTGTCTGACGTCTATATGACAGTGGTTGGCATTTCCATCTGGTGGAGTCCGTGGCTTCTGAAAAACAACTCAAGGACATATGTCAATACATTCTCTCTAGTTTCTATAGGGAATGAAACATCTTGTGACTCTGACTTACTTGGGTGACTATTGTTTATGCTATTATTACCTTCTTACTTAGCAGGTTATTCACTTACTTCCCTAATTGCTGGTTACAGTGCTAGCTAGGTGCCTGGTATTTCCCTTGAAGGGACTCAAATCTTTCTTTATTTCCATGCCTTTAAGGCAGTCAGCGGTGGGGTTGGGGGGCACCCAGCAGGCCCCTAAAAGGGGTGCCTGCTCTGTCTCACAGTTATGGAGTCTCAGAGGCAGCTTTGACCCCACAACTCCACTAAGTAGTGCCCTAGTGGGTATTCTCTGTGGTGGTTCTGCCAGCCACTGTGGTCTTTACAGTGGTCCCAAGGCTGTTTGAGACATTCTTTGAAATCTGGGTGGAAGAGGCCATGTCTCCAAGTTGCTGCATTTTGTGTGCCTGCAGAATTAGCACCACGTGGACACTGGTGAAGTTCACTGCTTGCACCTTCCCCAGTGACAGCCTGAGCCGCTTTTGGGCCCACCTGAGCCACATCTGGGGTGGCTGATGAGTGCTGTGCCAGAATGTTGGAGCAAAATCATGAGGGCGTCCTGAACAGCAAGCAGCAAAGTCTCCCAGGCACCTTGGGCCTCTCTCTCAAAACAATTCTCCCCTCAAGGCCCTGGCATTCTAGGCCTGTAATGGACATAGCATCCGCCAAGATCTCTGAAATGCCTTTGGGGTCATTCTCCCATTGTCTTGATGAATATCATCTGGATTCATTCTATCCATACTAACCTTATCAAACAGTAGCTTGGCAACACTCTTGGTTTTCTCTTCTAAACACACTTTTTTATTGTTTACAAAGTCAGGCTGAAAACTTTTCAAATCTTTATGTTCTACTTCCATTTTAATTAAAAATTTCATCTTTAAATTGTTTCTCTGTACTCGCTTCTTACTATAAACAATTACAAGAAGCCATGCAGCAGCTTCAACATTTTCCTGCTTAAAGATTTCTTTTGCCAGATATCCTAGTTCATCACTCTTAAATCCTGCTTTCCACAAAGCCCTCAGACATGGATACAATTCATCCAAATTTTTTGCCACTTTATAATAAGAATGACCCTTCCTCTAGTTCCCAGTAAGATAATCCTCATTTCTTTCAAAGACCTCATCAGAATGGCCTTTACTGCCCATATTTCTATCAATATTCAGTTCACAACAACTTAGATAATCTCTAAGACTGAGTTTCCCTCTATAGCTCTCTTCTTCTTCTGAGCCGTCACCAGGGTCACCCTTAATGCTTCCTTCATAGCAATATAGGCTTTTCCCAGAATTCACTTCAAAACTTTTCCTCTTCTACCCATTACCGAGTTCCAAAGCCACTTTCACATCTTTAGGTATTTGTTATAGCAACACTCTACTTCCCTGGTGCCAATTTCTGTCTCAGTCTGTTTTGTGCTGTTATAACAGAATACCACAGACTGGGTAATTTATAAAGAGCAGAAATTTATTCTCTCACAGTCCTGGGCACAGAGAAGTCCAAGATCAAGGTGCCAGCAGGTTTGAGCCTGTTCCATCTGCCTCCAAGATGGCAACTTAAATGCTGCATCCTCTGGAAGGTAGGAACATTACGTCCTGACCTAGCAGAAAAGCAGGAGAGAGAACTCACTCCCAGCAGCCCTTTTTATAGCAGCATTAATTCATTCACAAAGTCAGAACCCTCATAACCTAAACACCTTCAATTAGATCCTACCTCTCAATACTGTTACAGTAGGAATTAAGTTTCCAACACATGCGTTTTGGAGGAAACAAAAACATTTAAACCACAGCAATTGTTCATAGGGAAATTTCCATGAGGCCATAGGAGTATGTTTCAGGAGAAATTGGTAAAGTACCAGGAGCAAGTACCATAGGAGTCTTGAATAACCTGCTCAAGTGGATGCCTTTCAGACCTGCTTGTGCCCAGTCTTGTATATATCACTTCAATTTTATAGCAGGACACTGATGAATATATTCATTTGATGATTCAGTTAATCAGTTAACACACCCGGTTTATAAGGAGAAGTTCAGGTCATATAGTTTCCTTATGTCACGTAGTCAGGAATTCAGTTCCTGCCAGGGTCTAATAGCAAGCTAGGAGCTGACTTTCAAACAGAGAATTGTTGTCAGTCAAGGAGAGCATGGACTTACTCCAAGCATTTGGTCTGCAATGTGATATTTTTATTGGAGATTTCCAGAGACATCATTCAGAAACTTTGTCTTCTGTAGACTCGTCCTTATTATTATTCTTCTAGTCATAAGGTCAAAGTGGCAGCACAGCTTGCCCCACTGTTGGGACCCTTTTCTGCACTGGGCCTTTCTTTAGTACCTAATTAAACATGCTCAAATATAGTGCATATTGCCTTCAAAATCTGAAAAGGCCCACCAAACATTAAGCCTTTTTCTTTACGGTGAGCCGTGTAAAGTGCAGCAACTTTCCTTTTAGAAGGATATCTCAAGATGCTTGAAACGGGACCCCTAGAAACTTCATCTACATGGGAGGATCTTGAACTATGTCCCACCATATATATGAACATATCTTACTAAGGTATCTAGTTTTATTTCTACTTCCTGATCATCAAATCTGATTAGCATAATATTGTCAATTTAATAGAACAATAATGATCTGTGAGATATCAAGATGGACAAGATCCCTCTCAACTATATTATGATAAAGAATAGGAAAATTAGAATAGATCTGGAAACAATACAGTCATCCCTACTTCTGATTTTCATTACTGAGAGGAATGGGAATAGGAAGCAATTTCCAAGTCAACAGCTGTATACAACAGGCCAGAATCTGTGTTGATTTGCCTTAGTAAAAATACCACATCCAGAACTGGAGCTGTGGTTGGCATCATCACCAGAATAAGTCCGTAACAATTTGCTGTCATTATCCACAACCTATCTCACTTTTGTACCAGTTAATTAGATGAGTTAAATGGAGATGAGGTAGAAGTTATCACCCCTGCATCTCTCTAGTCTTATCTCTGCAGTTCCTCCAGAGATATGGTATTGCTTTTGGTTTATTGTCTTTGAGTGGGATGAAGGGAATTTCCAAGGGCTTTTACTTGGCCACTGCCCACCGTAAGAGACCTCATCCTTCAGGTGGGGACAAGGTAGAGATTCTGCCAGTTACTAAGTATATATGTTCATACTATACGTTTAATGTCTATAGAAATAACCACTGAATGGATCCCTTGTTCCAATGGATCAGAGCCAGTACATAATAGATAATTTTAAAATTCTGGTATGTTTCTTTCCCCACTGCACAGTCCCCTTAGTACATGGCTGAAGGCCACTTTGGGAAAAGCTTAGGGTAAGATTGACAGTATATACATATGGCCATATTATAGGGTGCTTCTTCAAAAGGATGCAACCACCTCTCCATTTAAGAAGCTCCAAGTCTATTAACAAGCTTAAGTCTAAGAACTAGGCAAGAGGCTGTGAATTGCCATTGTTTTGATTCAAGTTAGATTTTTGTCCAACAGACCTAAAATTTTTCCACATGTATCAAACAAGCAGCATTTTAATAGGCTGCCCATATATTTCACTTTGAGGGATCTGTTACCAATTAGCTACCACAGTTCTCTCCATTCCAGAATATTCGAGTTGCCATTATGCCACTGTGGCTTACTGTGATAATTGTATTCCCTTATTTCTAATGGTTAGGTGTCACCATCTGTGTTCTATAATTCCAAAAATCCATTATTCCCAAAATGATCAGAGAATCCAGTTCCACTACATCATGGACTCCTTCTACAGTGCATTCAGGATGTTCAAATATTTTTGCCTTATTAACTAGGCCATGATTGATATACTGAGATTAAGCTTTGATTAGTCATCCTGGTGGACCACTAATGACAATCCCAAGTGCAGTCATGCATCACATAATGACAGGGATATGTTCTGAAAAATGCATTATCAGACAATTTCATCATTGTGCAAGCATCATAGAGTGTACGTACTCAAACCTAGATGTATAGCCTACTACGCACCTGGGGTACATGGGATAGCATACTGTTTAGGCTACACGCTTGTCCTGCATATTACAGTACTGATTCCTATAGGCAACTGTAACACATAATAGTAAGTATTTTTGTATCAAAACATATCTAAACCTAGAAAAGCATCAGCAAAAGTGCAATATAAAATATAAAATATGGTAAACCTGTATAGGGCACTTATCATGACTGGAGTTTGCAGGAAAGGAAGTTGTTCTGGGTGAGTCAGTGAGTGAATGTTGAGTGAATGTGACAGCCTAAGACATTACTGTATACTACTGTAGACTTTATAAACACTGTACACTTAGGCTACACTAAATTTGTAAAAAAAAATAAATAAATAAGGTAACTACATTATGATGTTACAATGGCTATAACATCACTGGGCGATAGGAATTTTTGGTTCCATTATAATTTTTATTTAATTTTTTTTTAGAGTCTCACACTATCACCCAGGCTAGAGTGCAGTTGTGTGATCACAGCTCACTGCAGCCTCGACCTCCTGGGCTCAATTGATACTTCCACCTCATTCTCCTGAGTAGCCAGGACTACAGACACACACTACCATGACGGGATAATTTTTTTTTAATTTTTTGTAGAGAATGGGGTCCCAGTATATTGCCCAGGCTGGTCTTGAACTCCTGAGCTCAAGTGATCCTCCTGCCTCAGCCTCCAAAAGTGCTGGGATTACAGGTGAGAGCCACCATGCCTGGCTTCCATTATAATCTTATAGAACCACCACCATATATGAGGTTTGTCATTGCCCAAAACATCATGATGCAGAGCATGACTGTACTTGAGTACTATCATATTCAATCCTGAATCTTGGGAGAGTGAACCTCTGTCAATATATCTTACATTTCCTCCCCTTGATCTAACATTTATAATGTGATAAATACATGAGTAAGCTAAAATAGTGACTATGTGAAACAATATCTAATTCATGGGATCAAAAATATAGTAAAAAATGCTGGACAATGAATACATATAAGTCAGAGTGGAATGATCAGAATTAAAATGTTCTATGGTCCTTGTATTGTTTGGGAGGGTGGCAAATATAATGATTTAATTTAAACATTATTAAATATGCAGCACATTTCTAAAATAGAAAAAGAGAATATAACTAAAATAATGGAAACAGAGCATATAACTTTCAAGTCAAAAAGGAAAAAAATTGTTGGGGATAAACAGACACATCCATAAAAATATCAATCTGAAAGGAAGCAAAAAATGAGGTGAAGAAAGAGAAACAAAAGAACGACAATGAAAAAGATAAAAATGAATGTTAAATGTATAAATAAATCCAAATATATCACTAACCATAATGAATATAATAGACTAACCTCTTCATTTAAAATCATAGACTGGACGGGAAAAAAGACTTCTACTTCTAACTACAAATGAGTAGCATTTATCTGACTAAGTCTCCCTCTGAAAATAATTATAAAAATTATACAAAATACATTTTTAAACAAAGTCTTTAGAGATACTGAAGAACAACCAACACAGGCAAGACATGATATGTTACTTTCCTTGAAAGGAGAAATGCACATGAGGAGACCTTCACATTCATCCAGGCATTCACCAAAGGATATTTTTCTGATTTGAGAAAGCGTGAGTATTTCTGGGATGAGGAGACAGAGGCAAGATCTCAGGCTACTAAATTGAGTTAGGGTTGAAGGTTGAGGGACAAAATCATAGAAAGAAGGGAATCACAGAGAAATTGATCTCCAAATCTGCATACAAATCTTTCTCATATCGTTAGGAGACTCCAAAGCTACACATGTCCACAAGACTCCAACAAACCAGTTCTATCTTAGAGCCAACTCACAACAGCTCATTAAAGGTGATTGCACACATCTCTTCCCAACTTCTCATTCAATGATGTTACATTGGTATCTTGAAATTGTTTATGATGGGAGTACTTACACCATGAAAATCAGCAAATACCGTAAGTCATGGCTTTTTCTACCTCCTTAAAGAGGTGGCTTACCAGAAGACCTCTCAGTAGAAAATAGCAACTGAGAGGCCAAAAATGATAAGCTAATCTCCACAGCTCTGTAACAGCGGGAAGAAAGAAGTAAACATTCATGTCTTACCAAAGTGGAAGAAGGAGACATGATAACCACTCCTGGATTTCTGCTGAAACAAAGAGAGGCCACATTCTAGGAGTAAAGGTTATAAGCCTAAAAGTAAAAGTAAAACTGAAATACAACAATCTCAACAAAGCCTAAAACTAGCTGGTGATCCATCAGTAATTCTATCTGCCTCCAGAAGAAAATTTAACACTATTTCGAGGATAACAATATCATCTAGATTTCTAAAATGTCAACAACTTTTTATACACAATATCTATTTGTCTATTCAATAATCACAAATTATGCTGAAAAATAGAACCAAATATGAAAAGAAAAAAACCTAGAAACAGACCCAAATGTATTTCAGATTTTAGAGTTAGCTGAAAAAAACTTTTAAATAATATGATTAATACATTCAAGAAAATAGAAAGAAAGATGGAAATTTTCACCAGACGTCTGGAATCTATAAGAAAGATCAAATGGACTTCAACTAGCATGAACCCAAAAAGTGCCCACAAAGCTGGGCATGGTGGCTCATGCCTGTAATTCCAGAACTTTGGGAAGCCATGGTGAGTAGATCACTGGAGCTCAGGAGTTTGAGACCAGCCTGGGCAACATGGCAAAACCCCACCTCTACAAAAAATTAAAAAATTAGCCTGTGATTGTGGTGTGTGCCTGTAGTCCCAGCTACTCAAGAAGCTGAGGTTGGGAGGATAGTTTGAGCCTGAGGCAGAGGTTGCTGTGAGCCAAGATCATGCCACTGCACTCCAGCCTGGATAACAGAGTGAGACCCCATCTCAGAAAACAAACACACACACACACACACACACACACACACACACACACACACACACACACAAAGAGTGCCCACACCAGCACACATTATAGTCTAACTGTCAAAATTCAAAGACAAAGAGAGAATCTTGAAAGCAGCAAGAGAAAAGCAACTCATTATGTATAAGGCGCTCCCATGAGATTATCAGCAAATTTTTCAGAAGAAATATTATAGGTCAGAAGGGAGTGGGAGTATATATTCAGAGTGCTGAAAGATAAAAGCTACCAAGAACATTATATCCAGCAAAACTGTCCTTCAAAAATAAGGAGAAATAAAAACCTTCCCAGATAAACATATTCATCTTGGAAAAGGCTGAGAGAGTTCATCACCGATAGACCTGCCTTACAAGAGTTGCTAAAAAGAGTTTTTCAAGTTGACACAAAAGGACACTAGGCAGAAACATGAATGTATATAAAAATATAAAGCTCTCTGGTAAAGGTATAATAAATATATAGACAAATACAGAGTTCCCCAATATTGTAATGGTGGTACACAAATCACTTTTAATTGAGGTATAAAATTTTAAAGATAAAATTATAAAAATAACTACAAAATGATATTAATTGATACAAAACATAAAAAGATGTAATTTGATAATATAAAGTATGAGGAGATGTAAAGGAATAGATTTTTTGTATAGAACTGAAATTAAGTTGTCATCAGTTTAAAATAGATTGCCATAACTATGTTTTATGCAATCCCCATGGTAACCACAAGGAAATGACAAGAGAAAGGAATCAAAGCATGTCACTATAAAAAATCAACAAAACACAAAGGATGGAGCAAGAGAGAAAATGCAAGGCAAAATAACTACAAGAAACACAGAAAACAATTCACAAAAATGGCAATATAACTACAAGACACACAGAAAACAATTCACAAAAATGGCAGTAATAAGTCCTTTCCTGTCAGTAATCACTTTAAATGTAAAGGAATTGAACTTTCCAATCAAAAGACATTTATTGGCTGGGTGAATATAAAAAACATACAAGATCCACCTATATTCTCTGTACAATAGACTTACTTTAACTATAAGGACATACACAGGCTGAATGTGAAAGAATGGGAAAAAAAAGATATTCCATAAAACAGTAACCAAAAGAGAGCAGGGGTGGTCATACTTATAACAGATAGAATAGAGTATAATTCAAACACCGTCACAAGAAAAAAAAGGGACATTATATAATGACAGAAGAGTCAATTCACCAGGAAGATATAACAATTTTAATATGCATGTACCTGTCCATCCATACATAAGAAGAAAACATTGGCAGAATTGAAGGGAGAAATGCATAGTAACATAATAATAGTAGGAGATTTTAATACCCCACTTTCAATAAGGAATAGATTAACTAGACAGAAAATCAATAAGAAAACAGAGAACTTGGACAACACTACAAACCAAATAGACCTAATAGACATATACAAAACATTCTCCTCAACAACAGTAAAATACTTATTCTTTTCAAACACACACAGAACATTCTCCTGGAAAGATCACATGTTAGTCGCAAAACAAGTCTTAACAAATGTAAGAAGACTGAAATCAAACCAAGTATCCTTTGTGACCACAATAGAATGAAACTAGAAACCAATAGCAACAAGAAAACTGGAAAATTCAAAATATGTGGTAATTAAACAATACACTCTTGAACAACCAATAGGTGAAAGAAGCAATCATAAGGGAAATTAGAAAATATTTTTGACAAATGAAAATGGAAACACAATATATCAAAACATGTAGAATACAGTAAAAGCAGTACCAAGAGGAAAGTTTATAGCAGTAAACACCTACACAAAACAGAAGAAAAATCTCAAATCAACAACCTAACTTTATACCTTAAGACACTAGAAAACAAAGAACAAACTAAACATAAAGTTAGCAGAAGAAAATTATAAAAATTAGAGCAGAAATAAAACAAAGAGAGAAGAGAAACCCAATAGAAAAGAATAAAAAATAAGAGTTTTTTTAAAGAGATTAATAAAATCAATAAGCTATTCTCCAGACTAATAAAAAACTGAAAAGACTCAAATAACAAAAACCAGAAATGAAAGAAGGACATTACAGCCGATGTCACAGAAATGAAAAAGGGTCGTAAGAGATTATGATGAACTATTATACACCACAAAATTGGGTAACCTGGAAGAAATTGATAAATTTCTAGAAATATACAGCCTATCAAGACTGAATAATTAAAAAATAAAAAACCTGAACAGATCTATAGCTAATAAGAACATTGAATCATAACCAAAAACTTTCCAACAAAAACAACAAAATTGCTCAGAGAAGAATTCACTGGTAAATTCTACCAAACCTTTAGCGAACAATACACATCAATTCTTCTCAAATTCTTCCCAAAAACTGAAGAAGAGGGAACACTTCCAAACTCATTCTATGAGGCCAGCATTACCCTGATATCAAAATCAAAGATACAAAAGGAAACAAAAACTACAGATCAACATCCCTGATGAATATTTAGGCAAAAATCTTCAACAAAAATACTAGCAAACCAAACCCAACAGCACAGTAAAAGGATTATACCTAATGAGCAAGTGGGATTTATTTCTGGAATGCAAGGATGCTTCAACATACAAAAATCAATGTAATACACCACATTAACAGACTAAAGGAAAAACTACATGATTATCTGAATTGATTCAGATAAAGTATTTGACAAAAGTCAATACACTTTTATAATAAAAAAAAAACACTCAACAAACTAGGAATAGAAGAAACTTACTTCAACATAATAAAAGCCATATATGAAAAGCCCACAGCTAACGTCATACTCAATGGTGGAAAACTGAAAGCTTTTTTTCTAAGATGAGGAACAATGCAAGGATGCCCACTCTAGCTACTTCTATTCAACATAGTACTGGAAGTCCTAGCCACAAGAATCAGACAATAAAAAGAAATAAAAGGTATCCAAACAAGAAAGGAGGAAGTGAAATTTTCTTTGTACACAGATGACATGGCCTTGTATGTAGGAAACTGGACTATGTCATTTACAAAACAATTGTTAGAACTAATAAACAGATTCAGCAAAGTTGCATTATACAAAATCAACACATAATCAGTTTCATTTCTATACATTAAAAATGAACAACTCAAAAAGAAAATTAAGAAAAAATGTTATTTACAGTATCATCAAAAAGAATAAATTATTTAGGAATAACCTCATCCAAAGGGGCAAAATATTTGTACACCAAAAACTCAAAATATTGTAGTAAAAAAATGTTAAAAACATAAATAAATGGGAAGACATTCCATGTTCATGGATTGGAAGACTTAGTATTGTTAAAATGTCCATACTATTCAAAGAAATCTGCAGATTAATGCAATCCCTGTCAAAATCCCAACGGCATTTTTCTTCAGAAATGGAATAATAATCCTAAAATTCATATGGAATCTCAAAGAACTATAAATAGCCAAAGCAATCTTTAAAAAAATAAAGAAAGAAAGAAAACTAGTGGCCTCACACTTCCTGACATCAAAACATATTATAAGTTTACAGTAATCAAAACAGTATGTAGTAGCATAAAGACAGGCATATAGACCAATGAAACAGAAGAGAGAACCCAGAAATAAATCTTCACATATATGGTCAAAGAATCTTCGACAAAAGTGCCAAGGCTTCAAAATGGGGATAGGATAGTTTCTTCGGCTGGATATTACAAATACAAAAAATAAAGTTGGACACTTACCTTAAACCATATACAAACTTAACTCAAAATGGATTAAACACATAAATATAAGACCTGAGACTATGAAACTCCTAGAAGAAAACATGGTGAAAAGCTTCATTACATTGGATTAGCAATGATTTCTCCAATATGCACACCATACGCACAGGCAACAAAAGCAAAAATAGACAAAAGAGAATACATCAACCTTAAGAAACTTCTACAGAGCAGAGAAGACAGCCAACAGAGGAGAAAGGCAATCCATAAAATTGGAGAAATATTTGCAAACCATACATCTGATAAGGAGTTAATATCCAGAATATGTAAAGAACTACAACTTATCAACAACAAAAAGAAATCCAATTTAAAACTGGACAAAATACTTGAATAGACATTTATCCAAAGAAGATAAAGAAATGGCTAAAAAGCAAATGAAAAGATGCTCAATCGCATTAATCATTACAGAAATGCAAATCAAAACCAAAATGAGATATCCCACACCTATTAAGATGGCCATTATTTAAAAACCAGAAAATAAGAAGTGTTGACAGAGATGAGGAGAAATTGGAATCCTTGTCCACTGCTTGTGGGAATGTAGAATGGTGTAGCTGCTGTGGAAAAGAGTGTAGTGGTTCCCAAAAAATTGATAATAGAATTACCACATGATCCAGCAATCCCATTTCTGGTTACATATCCAAAAGATTTGAAAGCAGGATGCCAAAGAGATATTTGCACACCCATGTTCATGTTAGCATTATTTACAATGACCAAGAGATAGAAGCAACATAAATGTTTATATGCAGATGAATGGATAAAGAAAATACAGTATATACATACAAGGAAATAAAAGTAGAACTACCATTTGATCCAGCAATCCCACTACTGAGTATCTACCCAGAGGGAAAGAAGTCATTATACGAAAAAGATACTTGCACATGCATGTTTATAGCAGCACAATCACAATCGCAAAAATATGGAACCAGCCCAAATGCCCATCAATCAATGAGTGGATAAAGAAATTGTGATATATATATATATATATATGCCATGGAATACTATTCAGCCATAAAAAGGGAAAAAATAATGGCATTTGCAGCAACCCGGATGGAATTGGAGACCATTATTCTAATTGAAATAACTCAGGAATGGAAAGCTAAACATCATATGTTCTCACTCATAAGTGGGAGCTAAGCTATGAAGATGCAAAGGCATAAGAATGATACAATGGACTTTGGGGACTTCCGGGAAAGGGTGGGAGGGGGTGAGGGATAAAAGACTATAAATTGGGTTCAGTGTATACTGCTCGGGTGATGGACACAACAAAATCTCACAAATCACCACTAAAGAACTTACTTGTGTAACCAAACAGCACCTGTCCCCCAAAAAACCTATGGAAATAAAAAATAAATAAAATTAGATTAAAATTTAAAATAAGGAAATCTTGTCATAATCTACAATGTAGATGAACCTTGAGGACATTATTCCAAGTGAAATAAGCCAGTCACAAAAGGACAAATACCTCATAAGTCCAACTGTATGTGGTATCAAAATAGTCAAACTCTTAGAAACAGAAAGTATTTATGTTTTCCAACACAATCGTGGTTGCCAGGGGCTGGGGGGAGATGGAAATGGTGAGTTGTTATTCAATTAATATAAAGTTTTGCAACATAAAAAAATTCTAGACATCCGTTGCTCAACAATGTAAATAGTTAACACTACTATACTATACACTCAAAATGGTTAAGATGGAAATTTATTTTTAATTTTTTTTTTGAGACAGGGTCTCACTCTGTCGCCCAGGTTGGAGTGCAGTGGCATGAGCTCAGCTCACCACAACGTCCGCCTCCCAGGTTCAAGTGATTCTCCTGCCTCCGCCTCCCAAGTAGCTGGGATTACAGGCACCCACCATCACACCTGGCTAATTTTTGTATTTTTAGTAGAGATGGGGTTTTACCATGTTGGTCAGGCTGGTCTCGAACTCCTGACCTCAGGTGATCCAACTGCCTCAGCCTCCCAAAGGGCTGGGATTACAGGAAGATGGAGATTTTTATGTTACATTTTTACCATGATTTTTTAAAAGGATATAATGAGAATTCTAGAAGTGTAATTTAAAATTAACTAAATGGACTTATCAACAAATTAGGCACAGCAGAGCAAAAGATTAGTGAACTAAAAGACATTACAGTTGACCTTGAACAATGCAAGGGACAGGGTGCCAGTCCCTCGTGCAGTTGAAAATATGTGTATAATTTTGACTCCCCCAAAACTTAACTGCTAATAGCCTACTGTTTACTGGAAGCCTTACTGGTAACTTTACACTCGATCAACACATATTTTGCATGTTTATATATTATATATTGAATTATTACAATAAAGTAAGCTAGAGAAAAGCAAATGTTATTAAGAAAACCATAAGGAAGAGAAAATATATCCACTATTTATTAAGTGGAATTTGATCATCATAAAGATCGTCATTCTCACCATCATCTTCATATTAAGTAGACTGAGGAGGAGGAAGAGGAAGGGTGGATCTTTCAGTCGCGGGGTGGCAGAGACAGAAGAAAATCCATGTATATATGGGCCCACGCAGTTCAAACCTGTGTTGTTTAAGGGTTACCTGTAGTAGAAAATATCTATATTGAATCCTATAGAGAGAAAAAAATGAAAAATACAGAAAGAGGGCATTGGAGATGTTAAAAATATTTTATATATGTGCAATCAGGGTCAGAGGAGAGAAGAATGACAGTGGGTAGAAGCAATATATGAGGAAATACTGGCCAAAAACTTTCCAAAACTGAAGAAAGACATGAAACCACAGACAAGAAACATTATAAAACCCAAATAAGATAAACCCAAATAAAACTATACCAAGATACACCAGAATCAAACTTTTGAAATTGAAAAGAATAATTGAAAAGTAGCCAGACTGGGGAAAAAAAACCAACATTACCTACCAAGGAGCGATGATAGATTTTTTTTTTAACTTTTCTACAGAAATGACAGTAGACAGAAGACAACAGTATGGCACCATCAAACTGCTAGAAGAAAAAAATATATTTACAAACCTAAAATTCTTTAGTGGGCCAAAAAAAAAAAAAATTCTTGGCCAGGCACAGTGCCTCACGCCTGTAATCCCAGCACTTTGGGAGGCTGAGTCGGGTGGATCACTAGAGGCCAGGAGTTCACTATCAGCCTGGCCAACATGGTGAAACCCCCATCTCTACTAAAAATATAAAAATCAGCCCAGGCATGGTGGCATCGGACAGATCCTCCAGACCGAAAATCAACAAAGAAACATGGGACTTAATCTGTACTATAGACCAAATGAACCTAGTAGGTATTTACAGACCATTTCAGCCACCAGCTGCAGAATACACATTCTTTCCTTACTACATGGATCATTCTCAAGGATAGATGATATATTAGGTCACAAAACAAGCCTTAGAACATTCCAAAAAATTGAAATAATATCAAGCATCTTCTCAGACCACAATAAAATAAAACTGGAAATTGATAACAAGAGGAATTTTAGAAACTATATAAATACATGTAAATTAAACAATATGCTCCTGAATGACCAGGAGTCAATGAAGAAATTAAGAAGGAAATTGAAAAACTTCCTGAAACAAATGATAATGGAAACACAACACACCAAAACCCATGGGATACAACAAAAGTAGTACTCAGAGGGAAGTTTATAGCTTTAAGTGCCTACATAAAAAAGAGAGAAAACTTTAAATAAACAATCTAACAATGCATCTTAAATAAGTAGAGAAGCAAGAGCAAAGCAAACACAAAATTGGTAGCAGAAAAGAAATAATAAAGATCAAAGCAGAAATCAATGAAATTGAAATAAAAAAACAATACAAAAGATACATGAAACAAAAAGATCTTTTTTGAAAAGTTAAATAAAATTGACAAACCTTACCCAGACTGAGAAAAAAGAAGATCCAAATAAATCAAATCGGGAATGAAAAAGGACACATTACAACTGATACTGCCGAAATTCAAAGGATCTTTGGTGGCTACTATAAGCAACTATATGCCAATAAATTGGAAAACCTAAAAGTAATGGGCACATTCATAGACACATACAACCTACCAAGATTGAACCACGAAGAAGTCCAAAACCTGAGCAGACCAATAACAAGTAACAAGATTGAAGCAGTAATGAAAATTCTCCAAGTAAAGAGAAGCCTGGGACCCAATGGTTTCACTGCTGAATTCTAGCAAACATTTAAAGAACTAATACCAATCCTATTCAAACTATTCTGAAAAATAGAGGAGAGAATACTTCCAAACTTATTTTATGAGACCAGTATTACCCTGATACCAAAACTAGACAAAGTCACATCAAAAAAATAAAACTACAGGCCAATACCTCTGATAAATATTGATGCAAAAATCCTCAACAAAATACTAACAAACTGAATTATTCAATACACTGGAAAGATCATCCATCATGACCAAGTAGAATTTATCTCTTGGATGCAAGAATGGTTCAACATATGCATATCAATGAATGTGATACATCATATCAAGAGAATGAAAGATAGAAATCATATAGTCATTTCAATTGATGCTGAAAAATCATTTAATAAAATTCAGCATCTCTTCATGATAAAATGATCAAAAAACTGGCGATAGAAGGAACATAATTCAACATAATTAAAGCCATATATGACAGACCCACATCTAGTATTATACTGAATGGGAAAAGCTGAAAGCCTTTCCTCTAAGATCTGGAACATGACAAAGATGTCCTATGTTGGCCAGGCGCGGTGGCTCACACCTGTAATCCCAGGACTTTGGGAGCTTGAGGCGGGTGGATCACGAGGTCATGAATTCAAGACCAGCCTGGCCAAGATGGTGAAACTCCATCTCTACTAAAAATACAAAAATTAGCCAGGCGTAGTGGTGGACACCTGTAATCCCAGCTACTCAGGAGGCTGAGGCAGAGAATTGCTTGATGCTGGGAGGTAGAGGTTGCAGTGAGCCAAGATCGCACCACTGCACTCCAGCCTGGGTGACAAAGCGAGATTCTATCACAGAAAAAAAAAAAAAAAAAAGATGTCCGATGTCACCACTGTTATTCAACATAGAATGGAAGTCCTAGCTACAGCAATCAGATAAGAGAAAGATATAAAGGGCATCTAAATTGGAAAGGAAGAAGTCAAATTATCCTTGTTTGTAGATGATATGATCTTATATCTGGAAAACCCTAAAGACTCCACAAGAAAACGATTAGAACTGATAAACAAATTCAGTAAAGTTGCAGAATACAAAATCAATATACGAAAATCAGTAGCATTTCTATATGCCAACACTGAACAATGTGAAAAAGAAATAAAAAAGTAATCCCATTTGCAATAGCCACACATAAAATTAAATACATAGGAATTAAGCTAACCAAAGATGTGAAAGATCTCCATAATGAAAACCATAAAACACTGATAGAAGAAATTGAAGAGGACACAAAAAATGAAAAAATATCCCATGTATTGAAAGAATCAATATTTCTGTTTGTTTATTTGTTTGTTTTTTGAGGCAGAGTCTCACTCTGTTGCCCAGGCTGGAGTGCAGTGGCATGATTTCAGCTCACTGCAACCTCTGCCTCCTGGACTCAAGTGATCCTCCTGCCTCAGCCCCTGCAAGTAGCTGGGAGTGCGGGCATGAACCACCATGCCAAGCTAGTTTTTTTATTTTTTGTAGAGACAGGATTTCACCATGTTGCCCAGGCTGGTCTCAAACTCCTGAGGTCAAGCAATCCACCTGCCTTGGCTTTCCAAAGTGCTAGGATTACAGGCATGAGCCACTGGACCTGGCCAGAATCAATATTGTTAAAATGTCCATGCTACCCAAAGCAATCTACAGATTCAATGCAATCCCTATTAAAATACCAATGACCATTCTTCATAAAAATATGAAACAGAAAAATGAACGGAATGAATATAAATAGAAAAAACAATCCTAAAATTTATATAGAACCACAAAAGACCCAGAATAGCCAAAGCTATCATAAGGAAAAAGAACAAAACTGGAGGAATCACATTACCTGACTTCAAATTACACTACATAGACCAATGGAACAGAATAGAGGACCCAGAAACAAATCCATATATCTACAGTGATCTCATTTTCGACACTTTCCAAGAACATACATTGGGGAAAAGAAATAATCTTCACTAAATGATGCTGGGGAAACTGGATATTAATATGCAGAAGAATGAAACTAGGCTCCCATCTATTGCCATTTAAAAAATCAAATCAAAATGGATTAAAGACTTAACTCTAAGACCTCAAACTATGAATTTACTAGAAGAAAACATTGGGTAAAAAATCTCAGACCAATCAGGACTTTGGTCTGGGCAAAAATTTATTGAGCAATACCCCACAAGCAAAGATAACCAAGCAAAAATGGACAATTAGGATTACATCAAGTTAAAAAAAAACCTGCACAGTGAAAGAAACAATCAACAAAATGAAGAGTCAACCTGTAGAATGGGAAAAAATATTTGCAGACTACCCATCTGACAAGGGATTAGTAACCAGAATATACAAGGAGCTCAAACAACTCTATAGGAAAAAGTCTAACAATCCGTAAAAAAATGGACAAAAGATTTAAATAGAAATTTCTTAAAAGAAGACATATAAATGGCAAACAGGCATATGAAAAGGTGTTCAGCATCATTGATCATCACAGAAACACAAATCGGAACTACAATTAGATGTCATCTCACCCCAGTTAAAATGGGTTTTATCCAAAAGACAAGCAATAACAAATGCTGGCAGGGATGTAGAGAAAGGGGAAACCTGGTACACTGTTGGTGGGCAGGTAAATTAGTACAACCACTATGGAGAACAATTTGAAGGTTCCTCAAAAAACTAAAAGTTGAGCTACCATATGATCCAGCAATCTCACTTCTGGGTATATACTCAAAAGAAAAGAAATCAGTATATCAAAGAGATATCTGCACTCCTATGCTTTTTGCAGCACTGTTTACAATAACTAAGATTTGGAAGTAACCTAAGTGTCCATTAACAGATGAATGGATGAAGAAAATGTGGTTCATACACACAATGGATTTGGATTACTGTTCAGCCACAAAAAAGAATGCAATCCAGTCATTTGCAACAAAATGGATGGAACTGGAGATCACTGTGTTATGTAAATAAGCCAGGCACAGAAAGGCAAACATCACATGTTCTCACTTATTTGTGGGATCTAAAAATGAAAACAACCAGACTCATGGACATATAGAGTAGAAGGATGGTTTCCGGAGGCTGGGAAGGGTAGTAGGGAGTTAAGGGGGAGGTGGGGATTGTTAATGGGAGTTAAAAAAATAGAAAGAATGAATAAGACCTACTATTTGATAGAGCAACAGGGTGACTGTAGTCAATAAAAACTTAATTTGTACAATTTAAAATAACTTAAAGAGTATAATTTGATTATTTGCAACTCAACGAATAAATGCTTGAGGGAATTGATACCACATTTTCTATGATGTGCTTATTTCTCATTGCATGCCTGTATCAAAACATCTGATGTACACCATTAATAGATATGCCTACTGTGAACCCATAAAAATTAAAAATAAATAAAAGTTGAGCTGAAAGGGGAAAAAAAGAAGAAATCGAAAATCTGATGCAATTTTCTATTAAAAAATAGCAGAGATATCATCAGCAATCAAAACCTCTCAATTCAAAGAAAGCCCTGGACCAGATGGCTTCACTGGTGAAGTCTGCCAAATCTTTAAAGAATAATTAATATCAATCCTTCACATACTCTCCAAAAAAATTGTACAGCCAGGGACACTTCCTAACTTATTCTCAGAGGCCATTATTACCCTGATACCAAGATCAAAGATATCGCAATAAAATAAAAATATATGCTATACCCCAAAGAATTGAAAAAATGTACTAAACAAAGACATGTACATGAATGGTCACAGCAGCACTATTCACAATAGCTAAAGGTGGAAACAATCCAAATGTCCATCAACAGATGAATGGATAAGTAAAACATCATACAGCTATAAACTGAAATATTATTCAGTCATAAAAAGTAATGTACTGATATAACATGAATGAACCTTGAAAACCTTATACTAAGTAAAAGAGACCAGACATAAAAGGTTATATATGATCCACTGTATAAACTATCCAGAATAGCTAAACCCATAAAGACAGAAAACAGATTGGTGGTTACTTGGAGCTGAAAGGAGGAGGAAATTAGGAGTAACTGCTTAATGAATATAGTGTTTCCTTTTGAAGTTCTGAAAATATTTTGGAACTGTATTAAGGTGGTGGTTGATCAACATTGTGAATATACAAAATAATACCGAATTTTTCACTTTCAAGTTTTTGATTTTATGTTATATTACTTCACTTCAATAAACCAGGCAAACAGGGTATGGAGTGGACCTCTAGCAAACTCCAACAGACATGCAGCTGAGGGTCGTGTCTGTTAGAAGGAAAACTAACAAACAGAAAGGACATCCACACCAAAAACCCATCTGTACATCACCATCATCAAAGACCAAAAGTAGATAAAACCACAAAGATGGGGAAAAAACAGAGAAGAAAAACTGGAAACTCTAAAAAGCAGAGCTCCTCTCCTCCTCCAAAGGAACCCAACTCCTAACCAGCAAAGGAACAAAGCTGGACGGAGAATGACTTTGATGAGTTGAGAGAAGAAGGCTTCAGACGATCAAACTACTCCAAGCTACAGGAGGAAATTCAAACCAAAGGCAAAGAAGTTGAAAACTTTGAAAAAAAATTAGACGAATGTATAACTAGAATAACCAATACAGAGAAGTGCTTGGAGGAGCTGATGGAGCTGAAAGCCAAGGCTCGAGAACTACGTGAAGAATGCAGAAGCCTCAGGAGCCAATGCGATCAACTGGAAGAAAGGCTATCAGTGACGGAAGATGAAATGAATGAAATGAAGCGAGAAGGGAAGTTTAGAGAAAAAAGAATAAAAAGAAACGAACAAAGCCTCCAAGAAATATGGGACTATGTGAAAAGACCAAATCTACGTCTGATTGGTGTACCTGAAAGTGACAGGGAGAATGGAACCAAGTTGGAAAACACTCTGTAGGATATTATCCAGGAGAACTTCCCCAATCTAGCAAGGCAGGCCAACATTCAGATTCAGGAAATACAGAGAATGCCACAAAGATACTCCTCGAGAAGAGCAACTCCAAGACACATAATTGTCAGATTCACCAAAGTTGAAATGAAGGAAAAAATGTTAAGGCAGCCAGAGAGAAAGGTTGGGTTACCCACAAAGGGAAGCCCATCAGATTAACAGCGGATCTCTTGGCAGAAACCCTACAAGCCAGCAGAGAGTGGGGGCCAATATACAACATTCTTAAAGAAAAGAATTTTCAACCCAGAATTTCATATCCAGCCAAACTAAGCTTCATAAGTGGAGGAGAAATAAAATCCTTTACAGACAAGCAAATGCTGAGAGATTTTGTCACCACCAGGCCTGCCCTAAAAGAGCTCCTGAAGGAAGCACTAAACATGGAAAGGAATAACCGGTACCAGCCACTGCAAAATCATGCCAAATTGTAAAGACCATTGAGGCTAGGAAGAAACTGCATCAACTAACGAGCAAAATAACCAGCTAACATCATAATGACAGGATCAAATTCACACATAACAATACTAACTTTAAATGTAAATGGACTAAATGCTCAAATTAAAAGACACAGACTGGCAAATTGGATAAAGAGTCAAGACCCATCAGTGTGCTGTATTCAGGAAATCCATCTCACATGCAGAGACACACATAGGCTCAAAATAAAAGGATGGAGGAAGATCTACCAAGCAAATGGAAAACAAAAAAGGCAGGGGTTGCAATCCTGGTCTCTGATAAAACAGACTTTAAACCAACAAAGATCAAAAGAGACAAAGAAGGCCATTACATAATGGTAAAGGGATCAATTCAACAAGAAGAGCTAACTATCCTAAATATATATGCACTCAATACAGGAGCACCCAGATTCATAAAGCAAGTCCTGAGTGACCTACAAAGAGACTTAGACTCCCACACAATAATAATGGGAGACTTTAACACCCAACTGTCAACATTAGACAGATCAACGAGACAGGAAGTTAACAAGGATATCCAGGAATTGAACTCAGCTCTGCACCAAGCGGACCTAATAGACATCTACAGAACTCTCCACCCCAAATCAACAGAATATACATTTTTTTCAGCACCACATCACACCTATTCCAAAATTGACCACATATTTGGAAGTAAAGCTCTCCTCAGCAAATGTAAAAGATCAGAAATTATAACAAACTGTCTCTCAGACCACAGTGCAATCAAACTAGAACTCAGGATTAAGAAACTCACTCAAAACTGCACAACTACATGGAAACTGAACAACCTGCTCCTGAATGACTACTGGGTACATAAAGAAATGAAGGCAGAAATAAAGATGTTCTTTGAAACCAACAAGAACAAAGACACAACATACCAGAATCTCTGGGACACATTCAAAGCAGTGTGTAGAGGGAAATTTATAGCACTAAATGCCCACAAGAGAAAGCAGGAAAGATCCAAAATTGACACCCTAACATCAGAATTAAAAGAACTAGAAAAGCAAGAGCAAACACATTCAAAAGCTAGCAGAAGGCAGGAAATAACTAAAATCAGAGCAGAACTGAAGGAAATAGAGACACAAAAAACCCTTCAAAAAATTAATGAATCCAGGAGCTGGTTTTTTGAAAGGATCAACAAAATTGATAGACCTCTAGCAAGACTAATAAAGAAGAAAAGAGAGAAGAATCAAATAGACACAATAAAAAATGATAAAGGGGATATCACCACCAATCCCACAGAAATACAAAGTACCATCAGAGAATACTACAAACACCTGTACACAAATAAACTAGAAAATCTAGAAGAAATGGATAAATTCCTCGACACATACACCCTCCCAAGACTAAACCAGGAAGAAGTTGACTCTCTGAATAGACGAATAACAGGCTCTGAAATTGTGGCAATAATCAATAGCTTATCAACCAAAAAGAGTCCAGGACCAGATGGATTCACAACTGAATTCTACCAGAGGTACAAGGAGGAACTGGCACCATTCCTTCTGAAACTATTCCAATCAATAGAAAAAGAGGGAATCCTTCCTAACTCATTTTATGAGGCCAGCATCATCCTGATACAAAAGCCAGGCAGAGACACAACCAAAACAGAGAATTTTAGACCAATATCCTTGATGAATATTGATGCAAAAATCCTCAATAAAATACTGGCAAACCAAATCCAGCAGCACATCAAAAAGCTTATCCACCATGATCAAGTGGGCTTCATCCCTGGGATGCAAGGCTGGTTCAATATATGCAAATCAATAAATGTAATCCAGCATATAAACAGAACCAATGAGAAAAACCACATGATTATCTCAATAGATGCAGAAAAGGTCTTTGACAAAATTCAACAGCCCTTCATGCTAAAAACTCTCAATAAATTAGGTATTGATGGGACATATCTCAAAATAATAAGAGCTATCTATGACAAACCCGCAGCCAATATCATACTGAATGGGCAAAAACTGGAAGCATTCCCTTTGAAAACTGGCACAAGACACGGATGCCCTCTCTCACCACTCCTATTCAACATAGTGTTGGAAGTTCTGGCCAGGGCAATTAGGCAGGAGAAGGAAATAAAGGGTATTCAATTAGGAAAAGAGGAAGTCAAATTGTCCCTGTTTGCAGATGACATAATTGTATATCTAGAAAACCCCATTGTCTCAGCCCAAAATCTTCTTAAGCTGGTAAGCAACTTCATCAAAGTCTCAGGATACAAAATCAATGTGCAAAAATCACAAGCATTCTTATACACCAATAACAGACAAACAGAGAGCCAAATCATGAGTGAACTCCCATTCACAAATGCTTCAAAGAGAATAAAATACCTAGGAATCCAACTTACAAGGGATGTGAAGGACCTCTTCAAGGAGAACTACAAACCACTGCTCAATGAAATAAAAGAGGATACAAACAAATGGAAGAACATTCCATGCTCATGGGTAGGAAGAATCAATATCATGAAAATGGCCGTACTGCCCAAGGTAATTTACGGATTCAATGCCATCCCCATCAAGCTACCAATGACTTTCTTCACAGAATTGGAAAAAACTACTTTAAAGTTCATATGGAACCAAAAAAGAGCCCGCATCGCCAAGTCAACCCTAAGCCAAAAGAACAAAGCTGGAGGCATCACGCTACCTGACTTCAAACTATCCTACAAGGCTACAGTAACCAAAACAGCATGGTACTGGTACCAAAACAGAGTTATAGATCAATGGAACAAAACAAAGCCCTCAGAAATAAGACCGCATATCTACAACTATCTGATCTTTGACAAACCTGACAAAAACAAGCAATGCGGAAAGGATTCCCTATTTAATAAATGGTGCTGGGAAAACTGGCTAGCCATATGTAGAAAGCTGAAACTGGATCCCTTCCTTACACCTTATACAAAAATTAATTCAAGATGGATTAAAGACTTAAATGTTAGACCTAAAACCATAAAACCCCTAGAAGAAAACCTAGGCAATAGCATTCAGGACATAGGCATGGGCAAGGACTTCATGTCTAAAACACCAAAAGCAATGGCAACAAAAGCCAAAATTGACAAATGGGATCTAATTAAACTAAAGAGCTTCTGCACAGCAAAAGAAACTACCATCAGAGTGAACAGGCAACATACAAAATGGGAGAAAATTTTCGCAACCTACTCATCTGACAAAGGGCTAATATCCAGAATCTACAATGAACTCAAACAAATTTACAAGAAAAATCAAACAACCCCATCAAAAAGTGGGCGAAGGACATGAACAGACACTTCTCAAAAGAAGACATTTATGCAGCCAAAAAACACATGAAAAAATGCTCACCATCACTGGCCATCAGAAAAATGCAAATCAAAACCACAATGAGATACCATCTCACACCAGTTAGAATGGCAATCATTAAAAAGTCAGGAAACAACAGGTGCTGGAGAGGATGTGGAGAAATAGGAACGCTTTTACACTGTTGGTGGGACTGTAAACTAGTTCAACCATTGTGGAAGTCAGTGTGGTGATTCCTCAGGGATCTAGAACTAGAAATACCATTTGACCCAGCCATCCCATTACTGGGTATATACCCAAAGGACTATAAATCATGCTGCTATAAAGACACATGCACACGTATGTTTATTGCAGCACTATTCACAATAGCAACGACTTGGAACTAACCCAAATGTCCAACAATGATAGACTGGATTAAGAAAATGTGGCACATATACACCATGGAATACTATGCAGCCATAAAAAATGATGAGTTCATGTCCTTTGTAGGGACATGGATGAATTTGGAAATCATCATTCTCAGTAAACTATTGCAAGAACAAAAAACCAAACACCGCATATTCTCACTCATAGGTGGGAATTGAACAATGAGAACACATGGACACAGGAAAGGGAACATCACACTCTGGGGACTGTTGTGGGGTGAGGGGAGGGGGTATAGCTTTAGGAGATATACCTAATGCTAAATGACGAGTTAATGGGTGCAGCACACCAGCATGGCACATGTATACATATGTAACTAACCTGCGCATTGTGCACGTGTACCCTAAAACTTAAAGTATAATAATAATAAAATAAAATAAAATAAAATAACAATATATTTTCAGAAAAACAAAAGTTAGTTTTTGTTACTAGCAGATGCACACTACAAGAAATATGAAAGAAGAGACTTTGTGCTCAGGGAAGATTATTACACATAGAAGCCTGAAACTGCAGGAAGGAACAAAGAGCACTAACTGTTTAAAACAATGATAATAATAATTTCCTATGTTTTTATTGTAGTAAAATATACATAACATAAAATTTACCTCCTATAGGGTTTTAAACATAAATAAAATAAAAGACATAACAACAATTGTACAAAAGTTGAGTGGTCAGTAAGGAGTGAAACTGTTATATACTACATGTTCAGGAAACGGTAAAAATACTAATTTAAGATAGACTGGAATAAGTCATGGATGCCTTTCATAATCCCTAAGATAACCAAGAAAAAGAATTACAAAATAACGTATAATTAAAAAGCAATAGAGAAGAAAATAGTGGAATAGAAATACTTGAATAATAAAGCAGAAGTCAAGAAAGGAAAAATAAAGGACAGGACAAATAGAGAACATATAGCAAAATGATAGCTATAAAACCAAGTATATTTACAAATTACATGCAAATGGACTAAACACTCCAGTTAAAATACTACAATCGTCAGACTGCTTCTTTTATAAAAAAAAAAAAAATACAACTACATGCTGCTTAAAAGAGACTCCAAGTAAACAAAAGGATACAGAAAAGTCAAAAGTAAAAAGGGTGGGAATATATGTTATGCAAACACTAGAAAAGAAAGCTGACCCAGCTATATTTGATGAGACCAACGGAACCCTGAAACCAAAATCTAATGAGAATATAGCAAGAAAGGAAAATGTCAGGCCAATATCTATTATGAACATAGATGCAAAAATCTTGAACAAAATATTAGCTACATTAATCCAGTAATATATAAAACAAATGATGACTAACTGAGATTTAGACCAGTAATGGAACCTTGGTTTAACATTTGTAAATCAACCAATGTATTTTATTATATTCGATGAATAAAGGGGAAAGCCACCAATAGATGCAGAAATGGCACATGATAAAATTCAACATCTGTTTTTGATTTTTTTAAAAAAAGCATACCAAAGTAGGAATAGAAAGGAAATGTTCTAATCTAATAAGGGTTGTTTTTAAAAATCAGACATCATACTTTATGGTGAAATATTGAACTCTTCCCCTGAGAAGAGAATCAAAACAAAAGTGACCACTATTTCCATTTCTCAAAATTGTACTGGAAACCTTAATCAGTTTGATACATCAAGAAAGTTAATTTTAAGATATAAAGATTGTAAAGAAAGAAGTAAACTCTATTTTGGATAACATGATTTTGTATATAAAATATCCAAAAGAATATACAAATTGTTATAAATGTTTAAATAGGTTGGGCACTTTGGCTAATACCTGTAATCCCAATACTTTGAAAGGCCAAGGCAGGAGGAGCACTTGAGGTCAGGAACTTGAGATCAGTCTGGGAAATATATTGAGACATTCATCTCTACAACAAAATTTAAAAATAAAAAATTAGCCAGGCATTGTGGTGCACATTTGCAGTGCTAGCTACTCAAGAGGCTGAGGTGGAAGGATCACTTGAGCCCAGGGATTCAAGGCTGCAGTGAGCTATGATCATGCCACTGCACTTCAGCCTGGGTGACAGAACAATACCCTGTCTCAAGAAAAAAAAATATTTAAGTAAATTTAACAAAGTCTCTAGATAAAGTTTAACACATAAGAATGAGTCATATGTCTAGCAGGTAAGATGCCATTGCTAATGCCTGAAATCCCAACACTATAGGAATCCAAGGGGGAGGATTGCTTAAGCCCAGGAGTTCGAGATCAGCCTGGGCAACATAGAGAGACCCCCGTCTCTACAAATAATTTTTTTAAATTCAGCCGGGCTTGGTGGTTCATGCCTGGTCCCAGCTACTCAGGAGGCTGAAGTGGGAGGATTACTTGAGCCCAAAAGGTTGAGGCTGCAGTGAGCCATGATCGCACCACTGAACTCCTGCCTGGATGACAAAACGAGACCCCCGCTAAAATAAACAAATAATGGCAAACAATGGGAAAATGTTTTAAAAGACAATATCATTTGCAATAGTATAAAAAATGAGCTATCCAGGAATTAATCTAGTGAACGATGTTGAAGACCTCTCCTATGAAGCATTGCTGAAAGAAATCAAAGAAGACCTAGATAAATGGAGAGATATATCATGTGCATGGATTTGGAAAGTGAATATTGTTAAGATCTCAATTCTCTGCAAATTGGTCTAAGATTCAATGCACTCCAAATCAAAAGCACAGAAGGATATCTTTGTGTAGAAATTGAAAAGTTACATATAAAAGTTATATGGAAATGCAAAAGATCTAAAATAGGTACAGACAAATTTTGGGGAAAAGAGGAACAAAGTTGGCAGACTACACATCCTCAAGTTTTCAAGGCCTATTTTAAAACTCCAATATTTGAATGTGATAGGGATGCAAACACTGACAAAGAAATCCATGGAACAGATTAGGAAGTCAAGTAATTTATAAACCATTACCTGAATTACAGCAAAGCATCCATTGCAATTTAGTGAGTGAAAGAATGGCCTTTTCAGTAAATTGTTCTGGATCACCAGATCTATGCTTCATACTACACACAAAAATTTATTTAAGAAGGATTAGATATTATGTGAAATATAAATTAATAAAACATGGGATAATATCTTAAGGACCTTCAGGCAAGCAAAAATCCTTCATTAGGACACAGAAAACATAAACTTAAAAGGAGAAATTGACAGATTGTACTTCATAAAAATTAAAAGCTTCTGTTCATCAAAAGGCATCCAGACAGTAAAAAGGCAAGCCACAGATTTAGAGAAGACATTCACTATATATATAGTATATATATATATATATATATACTTAATGAATATATATATACATACACTATATATATGTATATATATTCACTATATATATACACATATATATGACAAAAGACTTGTATCTAGAACGAAGAAAAACCCTACAAATTAATTTTTTTAAAAGACAGGCTACCTATCTTTTAAAAAAACGGGTAAAAACAGACTACCTATCTTTTCAAAAAATGGGTAAAACACTCAGACCTTTCACTATAGAGGACAAACAAATGGCCAGTAGGCCTATTACAAGGAGTTCAACTTATTACCTATCAGGACATGCACATCAAAATCATGCTGAGATACCAGTACACATCCATCAAAATAGTTAAAAATAAAAGGACTGACAATACCAAGTGTTGGCGAAAATATGAAGTAACTGAGATTTTCATAGGTTGCTGGTGAAGGTGTCAATTGGAAATCCATGTGCCAGAATCTACTAAAGCAGATCATATGTGTACCGTATAATGTAGCAGTGCCACTCCTATGTATATGCCCAAAAGAAATGAGTGCTCTTGTCCAATTTTAAGGCACATGCAAGAATATTCACAGCCTTGGGGATATTTAAGATATACCCAAGAGGCAAGAGGATTGCTCGAGTCCAGGAGTTTGAGACCATCCTGGGAAATATATCAAGATTCTGTCTGTTAAAAAAAAATATTTAGCCAAGAATTGTGGCATGCACCTGTATTCCCTAGTGACCTGGGAGGATGACGGTGAAGAATTGCTTGAGCCCAGGAGTCTGAGGTTGTAGTGAACCATGATTGCCCTGCTGCACTGGAGTGAGATCCTGTCTCAAAAAAGAAAAAAAAAGCCCCAAACCAAAAATAACACAAAGGTCAGTCAATGGGAGAATAGACAAACTGTGATATATTCATACAAATACTTCACAGCAATGAAAAAGAATGAACTACAAGGAAAAAACATGGATAAATCTCACATTAATGTTGAGTTTAAAAAGCCAGATATTTTTCAAAGTCTATTGCACGACAAGGTGACCACAGTTAATAATGTATATTTCAAAATTGCTAAAAGAATAGATTTCTTTTTTGAGATGGAGTCTTACTCTGTCACCCAGGCTGGAGTGTAGCAGCGTGATCTCGGCTCACTGCAACCTCCGTCTCCTGGGTTCAAGCAATTCTCCTGCCTCAGCCTCCCTAGTAGCTGGAATTACAGGCGTGCGCCACCACACGTAGCTAATTTTTTTTTTTTGTATTTTTTGTATTTTTAGTAGAGACAGGGTTTCACCATGTTGGCCAGGCTGGTCTCAAACTCCTTACCTCAAATGATCCGCCTGCCTCAGCCTCCCAAAATGCTGGGATTACAGGCATGAGCCACCACACCCAGCCCCAAGAATAGATTTTTAAATATTCTCTACAAAAAAGTAAGTATGTGAGGTGATGCATATGTTAATTAGCTTCATATAATCATTCCACAATGTATACATATTTCAAAACAACACATTATATCTCATAAACATACATAATTATTATTTGTCTAGTAAAAATTAAAATTTAAATTAAAAAAGAAGCCAGATGCTAAAGAATATGTATTATATGATACCATTTATATGAAGTTCAATAACTGACAAAAGCTATTTATAATCATAATGGTCACTATAGTGGTTACCTTTGGGGAGTGTTGACTGGGAGTGGACAGGAAGGAGCTTTCTGGGACAATGGAAATATTCTGTTTTAATGGAGTTAGTAGTTATGTGAGGGTATACTTCTGTAAAATCAATCCAGTAGTACACTTAAACTTTATGAACATTACTTCATGCAAATTATACATCATGTTCTTAAAAAAATGGATCGTCAGGCCAAAAAAATAAAATCCAGCTATATGCAATGTACAAAAGACACATCAACATAAGGATTCAAAAAGGTTGAAAGTAAAATGATGAGAAAATGTTGTATCAGGCAAATACTAAAATAATTTAGTAGATCTATTTTAATATCAGAAGAAAATATACTTAAAGGTAATAGAGAAGAACTGAGTTACTACATTAAGCCTCTAACATTTTATGTCTTTTTTGCGGGGAAGAGTCACTTTTTGTTTTCTCTATTTGTTGTTTCATTTTTACTGAGTTCAAGGGAGGGGGAAGAAGTTTGGGGCTAAATGGTAGGGAGAAAGTAAGAAAGAAACAGGTGATTAGTATGAAGAATACTTCTCAGGTAGAGCCAAATAAGATAAGGAAACAGATTTTAGTTCATCTTGTTAATTAAATGTATGTCTCTGCCTGAACCTTTCATTATGATATCCTGACAATTATAAATTACATTTTTCTAAGAAATTTGCAGACTGGGTAAGCCAGAGTCTTAGAGGGACTTCCCAAAACCTGAGAGCTCAACCAATACGAAAGCCTTATTATTCGTTTTGCTTCTGCAAATAATTACTTGAAGAAAAATAAGTTTCCAGCAGGGAGTTGAAAGAATTGTTCTCCTTTGAAGATAAGACTTGTGAATATCCCATAGAGGAAGCAATTGGAAAGTAATGAGGCGAAAATGGATTATACTCTCACTTCTATGCCACAGGAGGAAAACGTTTCCTTTATAGGAAATTAATTCACACCTTCACTTCCTTCAGAATGGATTCAGAATGGGGATAGAGACAAGCTAAAAGGAGAAGGAAATTTTATTTGGTCACTCAATTTTAACCACCTACTTTGTGTAAGAGTTTTTCTCAGTGCCAGTGGTTTGGGTAAGTGTTTAATATATGAAAAATATATAGTTATCACCGGGAACTTAAAATATAGTAGGAATTTAAAATACAAATAATAAAAGACAGACTATAATGTCTTTTTAGAATGCATTTTATGGTATGTATCTAAGGTATACAAAATTATGTTATGAGATACATATATAATCAAATGGTTATCATAGTGAATCAAATGATCATATCTATCATTTCGCATAGTTACCCATTTTTCCCATGTGGCAAGAGCAGCTATAAACTACTTGTTTAGAAAAATTCCTGAACATAATACTCTACTATTAATTACAGTCCTGTTACATATTAGATGTTTAGATTTGTTCATCCTACATATCTGCTACTTTGTATCCTTTGACCTACATCTACTCATTTCCTCTCCCTACCTGCCCCAACACCCCTGTGACCACTATTTTATTCTCTATCTCCATATATTTGACTTTTTTGTCAGATTTCACATATGTGACATCATGCAATATTTTTTTGTGTGTCTAGCTTACTTTATTTAGTATAATGTCCTCCAATTCATCCATGTTGTGGCAAATGACAGGATTTCTTCCTTTTATAGGGCTCAATGATATTCAATTGTGTGTGTGTATATATATGTACACACACACACACACACACACACAATCACAGATTCTTTATCCATTCATCCATTGATGGACACTTGGGTTGTTTCCATATCTTGGATATTGTGAATAATACTGCTATGTACCCAAAGGAAATGAAATTATCACCTCATAAAGATATCTTCACTCTCATGTTCATTGCAGCATTATTTATAACAATTTATTTTGAAGGATGTGCAAAAGTACCATCTAGGCAGGACTACTGGAATGGCAGAGTGCACATCTCTATAAAACCACCACTCCATAAAAACAATGGAAACAGTGACAAAAATGGTCAAAATCATCTTTTGCAGAACTCTAGAAGTTAGGTAAATATCTGTGAGAATCTGAGGAGTATTTATTCAGAAACTGCTAAATATTTCTAAGGACACCAGGATTTGTAGAATTATAACTTGATACGCTCAACTACTCCCAGACCTCTCTCAACAACTCCACAATAGCAAAAATTAACCCACAAAATGAGACAAAATATTTGTACATCATATATCTGATCAGGGACTTGTAACTATATATATAACACAAAACTCAATAATAAAAAGCCAAATAACCCAATTTTAAAAGTAAACAAAAAAAATCTAAATAGACATTTCTTCAAAGAAGATATACAAATGGACAATAAGTTCATGAAAAGATGCTCAATATCATTAGGTATCAGGGAAATGCAAATCAAAACCACAATGCCCACTAAGATGGCTGTAATAAAAAATACAGACAATAACAAGTGTTGGTAAAGATGTCAAGAAATTGGAACCCTCATGCATTGCTGGCAGAAATGTAAAATGTTGTAACCACTGTGGAAAGCAGGTTGACAGTTCCTTAAAACATTAAACATAAATTACAATATGAATTAGCAATTCCACCCCTAGGTATCTAGGATACGTCAATACAAAAACTTGTACACGAATGTTCCTAGAAACGTTGTTTATAACAGCCAAAAAGTAGAAACCATCCAAATGTCCATCAATGGATGGATGAATAAATAAAATGTGTTATACTCATACCATGGAATATTATTCTGCAATTAAAAAGAATGAAATGTTCATACATGCTACAACACAGATGAATCTTGAAAATATTCTGCTAAGTGAAAGAAGCCAGACACAGAGGACCACATAATGTAGGATTACATTTATATGAAATGTCCAGAATAGGCAAATACATAGAGACAGGAAGTAGATTGGTGGTTGCTAGGAGCTGGGGTAAAAAGGGAAGTGGGAAAGAGGTTTCTCTTCGAGGTGTTAAAAATGTTTTAAAGTTGTGCAGTGATGCTTGAATAACTGTAAATATACTAAAAACCACTGAATTGGTTTTTAAATTAGTGAATTGTATATGTGAATTATATCTCAATTAAACTTTTTTTTAAAAGCACTATTTGATGTGAACACTATGGTTACCAATTAAGGAGCTCAGAGGAAGGAGTTGACTGCTCAGATCACTTCCCTGGTTGTTCTAGATTAGTTCTTCTCAAGTCTTGAGCAAGGCAAAGATTCAGATGGGGATGTTGGTAATTCCCAACAACATTAATTCCATTAGGTTTACACTTGATCAGAAGATCTGGCTGCACAGCACAGCCTCATTTAATCCTACCTGACACAATTTATTGCTCCTTACAGTCTGTTATCCCAGGGTCACCAGCCATCTCCTAAACTGTGCAGATAGATGCCTCTCAATACCTCATATGTTATCTAATCTGGACCCGCCTCATACTCTCAAATAAGTGGCTGCCTAATTTCCTCTGCCATGGGTAGGAAAATAATGCTCCTCAAGCAGGAACTATATGACAGGCACTGACTCATTTAATTCCTAAAGCAATGCTGTGAAATATGTACTAATATCATTTCCATTTTACAGATCGGGAGTATGAGTCATGGAATGGTAATTTTGCCAAGGTCACAAAACTAGTCAGTAGCATGATTAGGATTTGAGCCCAGACTGGTGCCAACAACAATGTGCTCAATCAAAATGCTATGCTGTGTTCCAAGAAAAGCTCTTTCACACCCTTCCTAGTCATTCTTCCCAAGTTTTATACATTTGCAGTTATCTAGTGAAGAGCAACTCCGTGTCTTATTCACTTTGTTTCCATTTGCATCCCTCCCCCTCCATCCAACATAGTTTTCATATCTTTAAATTCACTGCTCTGACAACCAGAGCCCATCATTGGTTTCTATATTATCAGTTTACCCAGTCTCCTACCTTTGTAGCACAATGTAGCAATTTCCACTTTGTAGCACAAAATTCTGTGCAAAAATTCAGTGCAAAACTGAGCTCCCCTCCACCTCTAACTCAGCTGTCCCTTTCCAGTACTTCAACCCTCCCATATTTTTCAACACTATTTCCCACACCAATAGCCATTCTCATAGCCATTAAAGAGCTCACAACAGTTGGGGTTCAGGGGACATGAAATGAGGGAAGACTTCATAGGGAAGATCGCACCTGTTCTGGTCCCTGAAGGGCAGGTAGAAATGGAGGGAACATTCCAAAATAAGAATATATAAGTAAATGCATGAATAGCCAAGTGTCTAAAAGCAGACTTTGGGATTTGAAAGTTTGGGACTGAAATCCCAGGTCCACTAGCTGTATCATCTTAACCAATTTACTTAACTTCTTTAAACTTAAGTTTAAATTTTTAAAAATCTAGATAATAATGTCTGCCTTTCTGGGGGTTGTGAGGATTGAATGAAATCATATAAAACACAATCTCTCAATCAAGAAAAACAATCACCAATGAAGTAGTAAACATCAGTCATTCTTGGCAAACAGTAGTAGTTAACTTTGCCAGTGTTGGTGAATTTGGGAGAATAGCCTGGGAAAATAAATTCAGATCAGACCAAGGTAGGTATTTAAAGATTATGAGAATTTGGAAGAAAATAGACAATAGAGTTATCAAAGTTTGTGTGGGAGGAGAGAATGAGAGGGGGAATGAGAGGGGGAAAGAGAGAGAAGTGGGGGTGAGAGAGGGAGGAGAGAATGAGATGGGGAAAGTGAGAGAAGTGTGGGGGAGAAAGGGAGGGAGAGAGCCAAGAAGAGCGAGGGAGAAAAACGAAGAGGGTTAGCCGGACGTGGTGGCTGGCGCCTGCAGTCCCAGCTACTCTCCTCGGGAGGCTGAGGCAAGGGAATTACTTGAACCCGGGCGGCGGAGGTTGGCAGCGAGCCAACATCATGCCACTGCACTCCAGCCTGGGCCACAGAGTGAGACTCTGTCTCTAAAAAAAAGAAGAAGAGGAGGAGGAGGAGGAGGAGGGGAGGGGAGGGGAAGAGGGAGAAGGGTTGCTATAGGGAATGGTCAGAACTAAGCAAGTTACTTAGTATTTCTTTGTAACTCAATGTTATGTTTATTGTCTAGCACTCTCATTACACTTTGAGCCTCACAAGGATTCGAAACATGCCTATTTTATTCACCACTCTATATACAGAGCCTTGCACAATCTTTGGCACATAGTGAATACTTGATAAATATTTATTGAATGAATTATGATGAGGAGGAGAGCGGAACCAAAAAAATAAAGATTCCGAGAATTCAAGATAGGTGACTGGGAGAATATAAAAGTTTGGAAGTGCGGAGGAAATAATGAGTTTAAATTTTGGACGTACAAGTTTGAGAAGCCTATAGTGCAGTCACGTTCATGTTTAGCAAAATTATTATGTGTAATTGGAGCTCAGATAAGGGGTGGGGGCTTGGGATAGGTTGTTGAGATTCATTAGCATACGAGTAGCAATTTAGATCACCCTGAAGAAGGGAGGCTTTAAAAGGGGGGATGCACCGGAAGTGACGCCAGTCAGAGGTTAACGGAAAACGGAAGCTGGCTGGCTGAGAAGAAGCTTCCGTTAGTCCTACCTTGAAGAGAAAAGAGCCAGATAAAGAGAAAGATTAAAAGTATGAGAAAATACAGAAGCCACTGGTCTCAGGGAGACAGAGAAGGATACCAAAGAAGAAGTAACTATTATGAGGGGCCACACACCAGCCACTCAAGGTAAAACTACGACATCTAATTAATTTGCCATTTAAATCAGAAGTCATTGGCGGCTTTGGGATGAGAGGTTTTTAAGGGGTGTTGGGGAGCAAAGCCACATTGCCATGACAGTTATATTGCTTGAGTTTGAATCTCAACTAGTTTGTGACCGTAGGCAGATTTTACAGTCTTAGCTGTAAAATGAAGATGATAAAATAATAGCAATTACCTCAGCATTGTTATAATAAGTGAATATATGTAAAACTGATTAGAAAAGCACCTTACATATAGTCAGCACTCGACATTTTAGTTATTGTTAGAATACCTTGCAGAATAAATAGCCCTTAAAAGATGGTGAATAGCACTGTAAACTTAATTTTTGTTGGTGTCCGTGAGACATTTTAAAATGCCAGAATGGAGAAACCAGATGAACTTTTCCTGTTCAATGTGGCTGGGTTAAAATGAAATAGTAATTTTAGGCATACTGCCAAAACGTAGTAATTCAGTGAGGATGATCCTTCCAGAACGTTCCAGAATGCTAAATTGTTCACTAGTCACGCACGCCTTTCCCCAAGCTCTGCCCACTTATCCTATAGGCTACGGAATAGTAGGTCTCCTCGCATTTCTAATTGGTCTTCAGAGGGCTTTGGCTCCGCCTCCTGGGGCAAAAAAGTCCCTGTAATTGAACACTTTCATTTTTGCTTGTCCCCAGGCTTGTCGTTAGAAAAGTAGGGGACTTTCCTGTTGAGTATCATGTTTACAAAAGCAAAGTGGCTTTTAAATTTTAAACTAAGTATCAAACAAGTAGATAAGGTGGATGGGAGGGATCTTCAGGAACTGAAGGGAAGTGGAACTTAAGGTTGGAACATCGGTGTGCTTTTAACGACGGACCGAGCTACTTCCGGGAGAGAATGGGAGGGTGGAAAATTTTGTGCGTTTGGCGGGTTTCGCTCTCTTCATAAGTATTGATCATTCCGCAGCCCTGCGGACCGGACACGTGAGGAGGTAGTGACGCCGACACTGCCAGAACACACTGCTACAAGGTCCCAGATGGCCACGTCTCTGGTGAGTGCCTGGGCCGTGGCAGGACGGCTGGGCGCCGGACTCCAGTGGCTGAGAGGAGGGATTCCGGGGCGGTCTGGCTGCTGCTCACGTGGATAGGTGACGAATCACGTCCCGGCTCTCTGCACTGCGGGGCGGGGCCCACGCTTTGCTGCCCGCCCTGCCGGCCCCACCCCCAGCCTGGTTAGCAGTCGCTTTCTGATCCCGGAAAGGACCCTGAGCTGGGAAATAGCGAGAGGCGGGGATGTTGGGGTTTGTTGTTTATGGCTTGCAGTTTCTTTCTCTCGATTATCTTCCTCTCTAAAAATCACTTTCAGTCACCTGACAAAGAAACTGGCGATTCATTGTTCTTAATTTAGTAATAGACTGGGCCCCGTACATGAATGAGAAGGAAGGTATTCCTTAATTCTCCGGCACGAACGCCAACAGCGTTGCTTTCTTCGGTGTCACAGTTCTTAGGCAAACAGCAGTGAATATTTACGCAATGTGGGAAAGTTTCCTAAGTGGAGCTGCCGGTTTTTCAAGTAGTTGAACTACTTTCGTGTGTGTGTGTGTGTGTGTGTGTGTGTGTTTCCCATTCATCAACTTTGGAGTTTGGCTCTAACACCTCACTTGAAAACAGAAAACAATTTCCTAGCTTATTCAGTGGCAGTTTTTGCCGCTCTCTCTCCTTTTCTAAGGTTCAGGTGGTGTCATTTTCATTGCCGTGAATGTTTGTAAAATATTGAAAGTCTAAAGTGCTTAGTTGCCAAGAAAAGATTATAAATTTATATGTGGAGACTGAAAAAGACTCAGATTCATTGAGAAGATTATGTCCTAAAGACATGCACTTAAAATTAGTGAAAAATTTTAAAATTGCAAACTTCAGAGTCCGGCCTTTAAAATGTCTGAATTTATATGAAAGAATGTGGACTGTATATAGAGCTACATAGTGGTTGAAATAAATCATCAGCTTCTGTCAGTGGTTTTGTGTTTGTGAGGGGTTGAAAAGGTTGGTAATCTATACTTCTGGAATTTTTCTTGTAGGATTTTAAAACTTATGTAGATCAGGCATGTAGAGCTGCTGAGGAGTTTGTCAATATTTACTATGAGACAATGGATAAAAGAAGACGGGTGAGTGTTATAGACTCTACTACTCTTTATAGACTACTACTCTTTATTAAATACCAGGTTGTGTCTGGAGCCAGCGTTTCATCTGACTTGCATAAGTGGTAACTGTGGATTTACTCTTTAAAAGCAAATTGCTCAGGGAAGGATTGGTATGGCATTAGTGGGAACATGGGCTCTGGAATCATATCCCAGGTTTACTTTTACCTAGTTCTTTGACCTGGAGCAAGTTGCCATTTTCCCTTAACCTCATTTTATTTTCAGGTTGGTAAGTATGAATTAATTAAAATACCGCACTTAACATTAGGCCCAGCATATTTTCTTAAATATGTTTCCTTTTCTTAGTTCCATCAATTAACCAATATGGTTAAGGTATTATTAGTGCTAATGAAGGGGTGGGTCATTACGGGGAATATTTCCTGATTCGCCCCTTTTATTTCATATATTTATAGATAATTTCTGATCATGGCTCAAAAGTATAGCTTACACCCACAAAAAGTATGCATGTAGCATGGATAATATTAAGTCCTCAACAGACCGAGATTTCATCAGCTTTTTCATTGCAACTTATCCCTGCACCATATCTTTTACGTAATTATGTCAGTATGTGGTCAAGTGAGTCTTGCCTAGGTCTCTTACCAGCATAGAACTGTGCTTTGGAGAACTACTTCTGTCCTGCAGCTGCAAAAGTTAATACCCTATCTCTAAAAACCTATTTTTTATATAAAACCCATTTATTAAGCATAGGATTTTATATATATATATACTTTAAGTTCTGGGATACATGTGCAGAATGTGCAGGTTTGTTACATAGGTATACACGTGCCAAGGTGGTTTGCTGCACCCATCAACCCGTCATCTACATTAGGTATTTCTCCTAATGCTATCCCTCCTCTAGCCCCCCACCCCCTGACAGGCCCAGGTGTGTGATGTTCCCTTCCCTGTGTCCATGTGTTCTCATTATTCAACTCCTACTTATGAGTGAAAACATAACTGTGTTTGGTTTTCTGTCCCTGTGTTAGTTTGCTGAGAATGATGGTTTCCAACTTCATCCATGTCCCTGCAAAGAACAGGAACTCATCCTTTTTTATGGCTGCATAGTATTCCATGGTGTATATGTGCCACATTTTCTTTATCCAGTCTAACATTGATGGGCATTTGGGTTGGTTCCAAGTCTTTGCTATTGTGAATAGTGCCACAATAAACATATGTGTGCATGTGTCTTTATAGTAGAATCATTTATAATACTTTGGGTATATACCCAGTAATGGGATTGCTGGGTCAAATGGTATTTCTGGTTCTAGTTCCTTGAAAAATGGCCACACTGTCTTCTATAATGGTTGAACTAATTTACATTCCCACCCACAGTGTAAAAGCATTCCTATTTCTCCACATCCTCTCCAGCATCTGTTGTTTCCTGACTTTTTAATGATTGCCATTCTGACTGGCGTGAGATGGTATCTCATTGTGGTTTTGATTTGCACTTCTCTAATGACCAGTGATGATGAGGATTTTTTCATATGTTTGCTGGCCACTTCTTCTTTTGAGAAGTGTCTGTTCATATCCTTTGCCCACTTTTTGATGGGGTTGTTTTTTCTTGTAAATTTGTTTAAGTTCCTGTAGATTTGGAAATTAATAGATTGCAAAAATTTTTTCCCATTCTGTAGGCTGCCTGTTCACTCTGATGATAGTTTCTTTTGCTGTGCAGAAGCTGTTTAGTTTAATTAGATCCCATTTGTCAATTTTGGTTTTTATTGCCATTGCTTTTGGTGTTTTAGTCATGAACTCTTTGCCCATGCCTGTGTCCTGAATGATATTGCCTAGGTTTATGGTTTTGGGTGTTACGTTTAAGTGTTTAATCCATCTTGAGTTAATTTTTGTATAAAGTGTAAGGAAGGGGTCCAGTTTCAGTTTTCTGCATATGACTAGCCAGTTTTCCCAGCACCATTTATTAAATAGGGAATCCTTTCCCCATTGCTTGTTTTTGTCAGGTGAAAACCAATTTTTTAAGGCAAAAGATAAAAGAAGTTTCTTGTACTGATATTTGATGTCAGGGAAAAGGGTTGTGACAATGGATGTTTATTGTGCCTTGCCTTGAATGTGTATTGTACCTTACTGCTTTCAAAAAATAAAGTAGAAAAAAAAAGACAACATTGTTTATTACCAGTGTCAATATATGTGTTGACCTTTTTTTTTATTTTTATTTATTTATTTTTTTTTGAGATGGTGTCTCACTCTGTCACCCAGGTTGGAGTGCAGTGGCGCGATCTTGGCTAACTGCAACCTCTGCCTCCCGGGTTCAAGCGATTCTCCTGCCTCAGCCTCCCAAGTAGCTGGGATTACAGGCAACTGCCACCACGCCCGGCTAATTTTTGTAGTTTTAGTAGAGATGGGGTTTCACCATCTTGACCAGGCTGGTCTTGAACTCCTTACCTCATGATCCACCCGCCTCAGCCTCCCAAAGTGCTGGTATTATAGGCGTGAGCCACCATGCCTGCCTGGCCTTTTAACCCAAGTTACATTATAGAATTAAGCTAATAGTGTGTCTTGTGACCCCAGAGTTTTAACTGTGGAATTTCTGCCTCATTTGGGCCTTAACTTATTTGACTTATCGAAGTCTCTGCTTTAGCAAGTACTCATGATTCTTTTGAACTAAGTACACTAATAGAGTAGTACTATAGCCGAGCATGGTATGACATGCCTGTAACCCCAGCTACTTGGGAGGCTGAGGCAAGAGGATTTCTTGACCCCAAGAGTTTGAGACCAGCCTGAGGCAACAGAGCAGGACCCTGTCTCAATTTTTTTAAAAAACAGAATAATTTTTAAGAAAACATAAACCTCTTCTCTAAAAAGTGGGAGTAGTGAACTAATTCTTTCTAACACATGCAAATATTAAATGTTTCATATATATATATAGCCACTAGCATTAAAGGGTACAGGTAGGGCTTGATCAAAAACTTTGTTAATTCTCATAATTACAAAAGGAAGACACACTAAAACTGGCTTGGGGCTGCATTTGCTTGGAATTTGTGATCATTTAATTCATTTGAATACAGAAAGCAGAACTTAATTGGGTGGAAGGTTTTATTGTGTCTAAAGTGAAATATGAAAAAATATATTTTACTGCCTAGTTTATAAAGAGTAAGGTGATATTTATTTAAGGCCAAGATTATAAGACAGACGTTTTGTTCACATGGGTTTCCAGTGGAGATGGAGCAAGGGGAGTGGAGATGAAGGTAGAACTACAAAAAATGTTTATATACCATCTGTAATATTTTAATCCATTTCTATAAAATGTTTATCTAGAAACAGAATTATTTCCCTTTTTTAAATTTGTCTTTCTTTTTAGGCACTAACCAGGCTGTATCTGGACAAGGCCACCTTAATATGGAATGGAAATGCTGTTTCAGGGCTGGATGCCCTAAATAATTTTTTTGACACATTGCCTTCTAGTGAGTTCCAGGTCAATATGTTAGATTGCCAACCAGTTCATGGTAAGATCATGATCTTTCAAGATGCTTCCTTTGTTTTCCTCTAGTAAGCACTGAGCTTTTACACCAAAAGCAGCGAGAAACTTTTAGTGGTAGAACTATTTACTTACTTGAGCAAGTTAAATATTATGAAAAATGTAACTGTCCAGTCAAACTTTGGTCTTCCTTCAGATTCTTTCCACTAGTAGCTTTTGATGGATTATGTGATTTTGGCTTATTAAAAGTTGTATGAAAAGTTGAGATTAATGTGATTTTTGTAAATGGCAGGGAAAGATTATCTGATTTCTCTAAATAGTTGCCTGCTGGACCCTGAAATGTCTCCAGAGTAAAATTATACCATATCTCTGATTAATGTGTTCAGTATCTTACAATCTACTAATATTTCACAGAAATTTACTCTGTTATGTGAAAGGATGACTTTTTACAAGAAAATTTGATTCCAGGTAGATTGATACAGTTTAATAAAACCTCTAGGTGGGGTCCTAAGTGTCTTAAATTGTAGTTCAGGGTGATTTTTTTCCTTTATAATTCCTGAAAAGAACAATAGTTTAAGAAGCAAAGCATGAATAAGCTCTGTTAGAAACCTGAAATATTAATTCTGAAATATTTATATATATATGAAGCAAATGGTCCTATGCTAGATATAAGCTCCTCATTTTGAAACTAGAGTATCCCAAAGTTTTCTGGACTGAAAATAATTTTAATATCTTTTACTAAGTACTTAGTTTTCTGGGTTTGAGTATGCATGCTTAAGATTATGCTCAAGGGACAGAAAGTGTATGAAAAAAATTTTAAGCATTAGTCCATAAACAATGTATTTTAAGCCTGAAAATCTGCTTATTTAGAGATAGAAAATGATGTGTTCTCTTTTTTTTTTAATGTGGATGAAGAGCAAGCAACTCAGTCCCAAACTACAGTTCTTGTTGTGACCAGTGGAACTGTGAAGTTTGATGGAAACAAACAACATTTCTTCAACCAGAACTTCCTGCTGACTGCTCAGTCCACTCCCAACAATACTGTGTGGAAGATTGCAAGTGATTGCTTCCGTTTTCAAGATTGGTCTAGTAGTTAAAGGGGCAAAAGTCCATTCTCATTTGGTCCATTAGTTCCAGCAATTGAAATTTATGTGAATTATTTTGATTGTAGAAGCACTATAATATGTGCTGAAACTAAATTTCTTTAATATTTTCTATTCCTGTCAGCACCTTTTCTAGCAGCTGCCAGTTTGGAGCATTGCCCTCTAAGAGCTTTAAAACTATTTTTTTACATGCCTTATATACATTCCACTAATGACATTCTTATAATAATATTAAACACATGATCTTGGTACTAACATACTCACTGTGAACCCAGCCTATTGCAAAAATAAAATCTTTTTATAATATTATCTATGGGATGTCAGCACAATATAACACTCTGGGAAGAAGTGGAGTTTTTTGGTTATTAGGTTAATTTTCTAGTAAAACACGTTGCCTGTTTTCAGTTAACACTGGTAATGCCATTTTAATATATGGCTTTTTCAAATCAGTTCAGTGAAAATAGTACAGATTTAGGTTTACATAACTACTCTGACATACTGGAATTGCATATAGAGATGTTCAGTGGTCGTTTTTCATTTTAAGTAATTTTTGTTTTGGCATTTTTTTGTGTGAAGTAAATTAATCAACTAGAGAGGTGCAAAACGTTCTCAGTTGATATCTGAGTATTGGGTGCATTTGGTGGCTTAAAAGCAAAGCTTCCTAAAAAGATTTTTCTTGGCAGCTCCAGGTCTATACATTTAGGTAATGAATGGTAGTAGAACTAATAGCTTTAACAGGAGAATAGGGAATGAGAAATAGAAATCCAAGGCTGAAGCCAAAAGTAAGGAGGGTGGCCAAATGGTAAACTATTGGTACTTGTTTTCTACCTCCTAAAAATGTAGCTTATTTTTAGGATTTAAATCACTAAGTAAATAAGTATCCTTGCCAAGTGATCATGAGTGTCATTTTTGTTCTAAGACTAATATTTTTAGATCTTTTTACTTCACCTCATACTTATCACCAATGTATATCTCCATTTATTCAATAACTTACTGGGGTAAAATAACAGCAATAAACCTAACCTTTTAACAGGGTCTAACATGAGAGTTGGAGTCAAAGCCATTGTTATCTTTTGGTGACACCCTTAAATTTTAAGTCTTCCAGTCTTCCATGTGAACTTTAGGCCCAAAGTTTCTTATGTATCACACATCCCCCAAATAAGTGATTTTTTCCCAGTGCTTTGTACTGTCAACTGCATTATCTTTAATTATTTAAAGGTAGAATTATTTAATTTTGTGATTTGTTCTTCCATATGACATTGAGCAAATAGATCTGTTTCAAAATATGTTCCCGCTATGTGGATAACTCTTCTTTTTAAAAAGAAAATAGAGAATAGCAAATCTTCATGATAATCCTCAAAAGAACAAAATGCTTAACTTTATCTCTTAATTTCTAAAGGTAAATAACCTAGGTTCAGCTTTTGCTTAAACATTAAATATCTTTTCCATTTTTTAATGTTTGTAAGCTAGATATGCCAGCTTTGTTTCTACATTGCAACCAAAAACTGTTTCTTTTCACTTAATTATAAAACCAGTAATTCATTTACTCTTGCCCAAAACTATACACTGTATTTCTGTTATAGTAACAAAATAGAGTTATGTAGAATTGTATGGAACTCAAATTTAAACCATGCTTTCTTGTAGTACTGATTGAAACTTACACGTTTTATTCTACTCATAGTGAGCTTATTCTTATTTTGGATTGATTTTCCAAAACCACAGCTTCAGCAGCAACAATCAGAATGTCCAAATGCTGTCCTTTCCCTTACAGAGAAGAACAATGGTAACTAAAAGCTGCATATAACTAGCAATAACTACATTGAACGGTGTGCATTGTTCATGATTGTTGTGTTTTAAGACTTGTATATAAACTGCTTTTTCCAAACTCTGTATAACTTTTAAATGGCTGGAACTACTCGTATAAGGACTAGACTGTATTTTTGACATGCTCCTATTTTTGTAACTTGAAAAAATAAAATTTTGCCTTGTGACAGATTTTCTCAAGATTGTTTTAAGGTCTTTTGATTTTTGTTCTTAGGTTTCAGAATGGTTACTTGTTTCTTTACAATATAAGGTTTTTTAAATTTAGAAAAAAATTACAGTAGTGTGTTGACAACAATGGTTAACAACTTGGATCTTCTTTTGGTTCTTTCTGTAACCTGCCACATCTGTCTCCTTTTCCTGCCAATTATTCACATTCCTGAGATCATCACTTGTTTGAGATACCTGTAGGTTTTTGGTGAGAAGTTGGAAATCTTAACCTTGAGAAACCAGCTAAAATGCTATATTCGATAGGCAGTGAAACCAAAATACAGTTGATTTCCAGAAAGAATGGTTCATTAAATTTAATTCTACATTAAAAATATGTCAACACTACTGGGTAAATAACGAAATGAAGGCAGAAATAAAGATGTTCTTTGAAACCAATGAGAACAAAGACACAACATACCAGAATCTCTGGGACACATTTGAAGCAGTGTGTAGAGGGAAATTTATAGCACTAAATGCCCACAAGAGAAAGCAGAAAAGATCGAAAATCGACACCCTAACATCACAATTAAAAAAACTAGAGAAGCAAGAGCAAACACATTCAAAAGCTAGCAGAAGGCAAGAAATAACTAACATCAGAGCAGAACTGAAGGAGATAGAGACACACACACACAAAAAAAAACCCTTCAAAAAATCAATGAATCCAGGAGCTGGTTTTTTGAAAAGATCAACAAAATAGATAGAGTACTAGTAAGACTAATAAAGAAGAAACCCCTGTGGGAGGCAATTAATTCAAAGAGAACTACAAACCACTGCTCAACGAAATAAAAGAGGACACAAACAAATGGAAGAACATTCCATGCTCATGGATAGGAAGAATCAATATTGTGAAAATGGCCATACTGCCCAAGGTAATTTATAGATTCAATGCCATCCCCATCAAGCTACCAAGAACTTTCTTCACAGAATTGGAAAACACTGCTTTAAAGTTCATATGGAGCTAAAAAAAGAGCCTGCATTGCCAAGACAATCCTAAGCAAAAAGAATAAAGCTGGAGGCATCATGCTACCTGACTTCAAACTATACTACAAGGCTACAGTAACCAAAACAGCATGGTACTGGTACCAAAACAGAGACATAGACCAATGGAACAGAATAGAGCCCTCAGAAATAATAACACACATCTACAACCATCTGATCTTTGACAAACCTGACAAAAACAAGAAATGGGGAAAGGATTCCCTACTGGTGCTGGGAAAACTGACTAGCCATATGTAGAAAGCTGAAACTGGATCCCTTCCTTACACTTTATACAAAAATTAATTCAAGATGGATTAAAGGCTTAAATGTTAGACCTAAAACCATAAAAACCCTAGAAGAAAACCTAGGCAGTATCATTCAGGACATAGGCATGGGCAAGGACTTCATGACTAAAACACCAAAAGCAGTGGCAACAAAAGCCAAAATACACAAATGGAATCTAATTAAACTAAAGAGCTTCTGCACAGTAAAAGAAACTACCATCAGAGTGAACAGGCAACCTACAGAATGGGAGAAAATTTTTGCAATCTACCCATCTGACAAAGGGCTAATATCCAGAATCGACAAAGGGCTAATATCCAGAATCTACAAAGAACTTAAACAAAATTACAAGAAAAAAATCCACCCATCAAAAAGTGGGCAAATGATATGAACAGACACTTCTTAAGACATTTATGCAGCCAACAGACACATGAAAAAATGCTCATCATCACTGGCCATCAGAGAAATGCAAATCAAAACCACAATGAGATACCATCTCACACCAGTTAGAATGGCGATCATTAAAAAGTCAGGAAACAACAGGTGCTGGAGAGGATGTGGAGAAATAGGAACGCTTTTACACTGTTGGTGGGATTGTAAACTAGTTCAACCATTGTGGAAGACAGTGTGGCGATTCCTCAAGGATCTAGAACCAGAAATACCATTTGACCCAGCCATCCCATTACTGGGTATATATCCAAAAGATTATAAATCATGCTGGTGTAAAGACACATGCACACATGTTTATTGTGGCACTATTCACAATAGCAAAGACTTGGAACAAACCCAAATGTCCATCAATGATAGACTGGATTAAGAAAATGTGGCACATATACAGCATGGACTAATATGCAGCCATAAAAAAGGATGAGTTCATGTCCTTTCTGGGGACATGGATGAAGCTGGAAACCATCATTCTGAGCAAGCTATGGCAAGGACAGAAAACCAAACACCGCATGTTTTCACTTACAGGTGGGAATTGAACAATGAGAACACATGGACACAGGGTGGGGAACATCACACACCGGGGCCTGTTGTGGGGTGGGGGGAGTGGGGAGGGATGGCATTAGGAGAAATACCTAATGTAAAGGATGAGTTGATGGGTGCAGCACACCAACATGGCACATGTATACATATGTAACAAACCTGCATGTTCTGCACATGTACCCTAAAACTTAAAGTATAATAAAAAAAGAAAATTAAAAAAATATATATGTCAGCAGACTTTTTTGGAGGGGAATGAGAAGAAGCAACAGCCAGCCAGGCATGGTGGCTTACGCCTGTAATCTTAACACTTTCTGAGGCTGAAGTGGGCAGATCACTTGAGCCCAGGAATTCGAGACCAGCCTGGGCAAAATAGCAAGACCACTGTCTCTACAAAAGTAAGTTAGCAGGGCAAAATGGCATATGCCCAGCTACTCAGGAAGCTAAGTTGGGAGCATCGCTTGAGCCCAGGAGCTCAAGGCTGCAATGAGCCATAACTGCACAACTGCACTCCAGCATGGGCAACAGCAAGACCTCATCTCTAATTTTAAAGCACAGTAATAGCTCTTAAAATTAAATATCATATTTTATCTCTTCAAAGATGCATGTATTTTTCACATTTTAACATCTCTGGAATTGGTACAGATCTTAAATTGATGCCATATTATAGTTGTGTCTCATTTCCCCTTTCTCAGTGGTAAAGTAATGGTGAGTCTTATAAACAATGGCATCTTAGGAGTTTTGCCTAGATAAAAATGGCTAGGAATCTACTTAGGTCTAAATTTGTAGGCGTTAGTGGAAGTAAAAGGCTGTAAGCTTACAAGACTAATAATTCATGACTCAAACAAATTCTGTCACCATGCCATTTGTATTTCTTGAGTAGCCCATATGGCTGTAAGAGCCACAGATTCCTCAGTGAATTTGAGTCATGGTAACATTTTCATACTTTTTGGAAATCACCTAGTAATGTATAGTGTATCTATAAAGATAGCCCCAGTAAGGTTCAAGGATAAGCACAGTGTTTGGAAAAGGAGCAGGAAGTCAAAAGCCAAGAAGGTACTGTGAATTCTTTTCTGAAATTTTGATGAATTCACTATTTGCCTGAAATTGGGCAGGAAATTTGGTAGAAGGGGATTCCATTTACTGATTTTTGTTATAAGCCTGTGTTGTCCTTCCTGTCCTATGTGTGCTTTAACATAACCACACATATTTAGGGGAAAATGGTAAGGCATTTTTGGCTTTTTGATTTTGTAGTTGGCTCTGTATAATAAAAGTATTTCATCGAAACACTTTTTTCCAAACTGCTGTATTCTATTAATAAATGCTTACCTTTTGCCAAATGCAGCTTTCTTTACAAAAGAGTTCTCAGTGACTCTCAGTCAGCTATGTAGGTCAGTCTAGCTTTCTAGGGAAGCAGTAAAAGGTAGAAAAATGTATTGTTGGAATAATGTGTCAGATGGAGGGGTCTTAGGACACAACATAAATCTGGGATTGTGGTATATGCATTCTTTAGAGAGAGAGCTTTCAAAATTTTCACTATGACCCACAGTGAGAAGTATATTTTACATCACAACCCGGTATACAGATGCACAAGTAAACCTATATATGTGGGTGTATGTGTGTGTGTGTGTGTGTGTGTGTGTGTGTGTATAATGTCCAAAATAAAACTCACGTTTACCACTTGCAGTGTGGTCCTTGCATTTTCTATTTCATTCTATTATTTTTTTTAAATGCTGGTCATAAGTTGCTCAACTGATTTTTTTACAACTTCCTAACGGGTTGTACCATCAGTTTGAAAAACACAAAAATAGATCAAGCATATTTTCACTATCACTTTTGAGTAGGGGTATAGGGCTGGCTTCCAATAGGTAGTGCCATATATCAATGATGTCACCCTGACTTAGAAGTGACCAAAAACTTCTTTCTCTTCTCAGGTTTTTCATATTTGTTGAGGGCCATGAAGGGCAGCAGTGTTTGCCTCCCGTTCTTTGGTTTGCACGAGAAGTTCAGAGCTAAGAAAGCAAATGTTTACATAGTCTTTAGGCAGAGTCTGGGAATAGAATGAGCGGCAATGAAAAGGAGTTGAAATGGAAGGAACTGTGCTATTTCAGGTGTCCAAGGAAAGAAGTGAGAAGGCTTTCTAGCAGGACCACTTTTGAACATGATCTGATATTATGTAAGCTGTATTTTGATAAATTTTAAATTTCATGTGTTTTTTTCCTTTTCCTCCCTCCTTGAACACCCCAAACATCTACATATCAACTCCCCTTGTTTGACAAAGGCTGTGGTGGTCTCTAAGGTGTAATCCTGGTCCCAGACCCAAAGAAGACCTGTGTTCTAAGGCTGTTCTGCCCCTAATGTGTTTTGTGACTTTGCACAATTCACTTACTCTGGGCCTCTCTCTTCAGCTATTGAATGGAAATACTATTTGTCCTATCTGGCCCACCAAGTGGTTGTGAGAATCAAATAAGGCAACAAACGAAAATATTTAAGTGCCACGTGCTACACAAATACAATGGTTATAGTTTTTGGCTTGATGATTGGTTTCCTCCCTTCCAAAAATTCTGGTTTTCTTTAAGGGTAAAATCAATTGAGAGTGACTGTTTCCCGCAGCCAGACACTCATTCTAAACCTTGCCCCTGACTTTACCAGGTAGTTGTTAAACCAGCTCCGCAAAAAAAGTCTAAGATTAGATTTATAGAGATGGTTATTTTACTGTTAAAAAAAAAAAAAAGGATTCAGGGCCCTAAAGGAAACGATAGTAATTTTGCAAATGTATTTTCAAGTAGTCTTTCTGTAACTAGAAAAACAAAATTGACTGTAACATTATTCATTCCAATTCTCTTGCTCAACGGCAAGAAATTGGCAGTAGATGCCTGCAACACTTAACCAAGCCCAGGTACCACGGTCTGACTTGGAAACCTGAGCTGCCTGAGGTAGCCAATAAGCACTTTGTTTTCCTGACTCTTTTTTTTTTTTGAGAGGGGTCTCGCTCTGTCACCCAGGCTGGAGTGCAGTGGCCTGATCTCAGCTCACTGCAAGGTCCACCTCCCAGGTTCGCACCATTCTCCTGCCTCAGCCTCCCGAGTAGCTGGGTCTACAGGCGCCCGCCACTGCGCCCGGCTAATTTTTTGTATTTTTAGTAGAGACAGCGTTTCACCGTGTTAGCCAGGATGGTCTTGATCTACTGACCTCGTGATCTGCCCGCCTCGGCCTCCCAAAGTGCTGGGATTACAGGTGTGAGCCACCGGGCCCGGCCGTTTTCCTGACTCTTTTTTGTTGTTTCTGAAAGAGCCTCTGGAAATGATTTTTCTAAGGTACTAATCCGTCCATCTGTGGCATCCAGGATTCCCAATGGTCTGGGCTCAATCTCAGACCTAATAATTCACTGGCTTTGGATGTTGCTGAGGAGAAAAGACAAGCCTGGGAGAAGGGATGGAAGGAGTAATTAGCTGGGGGAAGGTGAGGGAGAATGGTAGGTAGGGACAGTTGGGAAGATACTGCTTTCCAAACAACTGAAAATAAAAGGAGAGGAAGACGGGAGAGAGAAACTAGGAAAAACAGCCTCCCCAGACAGGTAATTTATAATAACTGGGAGGAAAATGAGAACTGCAGCTAAAAATATGTATACACTCACAAATCCCTGGAAGGCCAGTGGCAAAACTAGGAACTAGGAGACTTCCTACCTCCATGCCCCTTTCTCCCATCCTTCTCAGGCCCTATATTGCTATGCTTCCTAAGGCCCACACTGTGGTAGACTCTAGACCTAGCCTGCCCTCTTTTCAAATCCCTCAGGCCTCACCCTCTCCTTTCGAGCTAAATCTGTTAACTCATTACTTTGGAGGCAATAGGCTTTTATCTTGGGGTTGTTGCATTTTGGCTGGCAGTATCTGGAACAATACCATAACTGAAAGGAATATTTCATTAGTCTTGGTGTCAGAAGCGTTTGAACCATAGCAACTCCATCTTGAGCAGTGGCTGGGTAAAATGAGGCTGAAACCTGCTGGGCTGCATTCCCAGGAGATTAAAGCATTCTAAGTCACAGGATGAGATAGGATGTCAGCACAAGATGTAGGTCATAAAGACCTTGCTGATAAAACAGGTAGCACTAACAAAGGCGGCCAAAACCCACCAAAACCAATATGGTGACAAGAGGAGTAACCTCTGGTCATCCTCATTGCTACACTCCCACTAGCACCATGACAGTTTGCAAATGCCATGGCAACGTCAGGAAGTTACCCTATATAGTCTAAAAAGGGAAAGCATGAATAATCCACTCCTTGTTTAGCATATAATTTTTTTAAACATAAAAATAGGCAACCAGCAGCCCTTGGGGCTGCTCTGCCTATGCAGTAGCCATTCTTTTTATTTCTTTACTTTCTTAATAAACATGCTTTCACTTTACTCTGTGGACTCCCCTCAAAATCTTTCTTGCTCAAGATGCAAGAACCCTCTCTTGGGGTCTGGATCGGGAGCCCTTTCTGGTAACATTTTTCTGGTGAACCCCAAGGGATGATACTGAAGAAACTCGTGACCAAAAGGAAAATCATCTGTGCACACCAATTGGCCGACTTTGGGTAAGTGAGGTGCATATACCTGGGTAAAGGATGGGATTGGGTTAGAGGCCCAACTTAGGGGAGTTAGAGTCTCTCCTAAGACAGAGAGGGTTAAAGGGCCCTCTCAATAAAAGGCAACAACGCTTGACCAAACTTGGGTTGGAGGCCCAATTGAGGAAGGTTAGAGTCCTTCCTAAGATTTAGGAGGTTAGAGGACCCTCTCAGTAAAGGTACTCTCAGCTACGAACAGGTTTGGCACTATGGGATGTTAACGGCTATTCTCTTTGAATTAATCTACCTTGCAGTCTGCTGATGGCTGTGGGTGACAGGATGAGGCATGTATGGGACCATGGGACATGGGGAGCTTTTTTCTCCCTAAAAGGGGAAACTTGAGAGCTAATGGGACTGCTGGAAAAGATCCCTTTGCAACCGACAAGCAGCTGCCTGAACTTTTCAATCACGCTGGGATGGGTGGATCTTTCTTGGGCCTCTGTGAGATGCTCGCCTTCCCCACCCTGCCGCAAGCAATGCTTCTCTCTCTCTCTTTCTCTTTCCTGTCTTTTCTATTACTCAGGGCGACCATCTTGCCCAGAGACCACATGTTGAAAAATGTCCTTGGCAGATTAACCTTGTAACCACATGGCAGTACTTTCTCTTGGTCTCTGCCATCACAATAGCAGCCTGGGTTCAATTCCCAGCTTAGGGAATGAGTACTTTCTGGTTTAATATCTGTGTGACCTTTGCCATTTGTTGGTTCTCTTTCCCTCCACTAACTGTCTTGAGTTTTACTTTCTCAGTGCAACTATTAGGTTACTTTTGGTAAAGTTCAAAAGCCAAAAATATCGGCCGATTGGCTTGGCTAAAAGTTGGGTAATACATTTTAATTTTAAAATTTTAAATTTTAAAAGGACTCTTTTTTTTAGAGTGCTGTGGTTAAAAGTCAGCTTAATTAAAAGCAGATATTCTAGCTCTAATAGGTGGGGACTCAGGAAAAGCAGAGGAGGCACCACAGACCCTGCTTGGGGAAAAACCTCTGTCTTCCTCATGAAACCCCAGGAATTAAAAGTGGATAGATCCCTCTCAAAATCTAAGGCTTTGTTCTGTTTTGCATTGCATTATCTGACATTTTTAACTTTTGGGGGTATCAGAAATTACTTTGCATTATGAGAGACTTTTAGTGTGTAATAACTAGGTAGGAAGTATAGTTTTGGGAGATGGGCTGATTCCCCCTTTTTGGGGATCCAGGATCTGGTATAAAAATGGGACCCTTAATTTGAGGGGATCTGTTTTGCCTTCCAGCTGTGCCTGCTTATTATGCCCTAAAAACTGCATGCTTTCCTGTTTCCTGGCCCTGTTCCTCCAAGGGCTCCATCCTAAGCCAGTAATCCATTTAAGAAACTGGCAAAAGAAAAATCTTACAAGTACTGGATCTTCTTCTGTCTGTGTATTTATATGTGTTATGTCTGTGATATTTATATATGAAAGAGCTTTAATTAATTGGCTTAAAAATAATAAGTTCTTATTTTATCAGAAAAGTAAAAACTGTAATGCCTTTTAGTTCATGTGACCTAAGTAATCTTTGGGCAATAAAAACAGTTTTACATGCAAGGTGTGTAAGGAAAGTGAAATGTGTTTTTGGTAAAAGATTATAAGAAGTCATAGGAATGTGGATTTCTTGCCTAAGTTTAGAGGGCTAAAGGATTGTTTTAAGTTGGGATAAAACTGCAAGTTTGAGCAAGTTGTGGAAGATTTGCAAAAAATTAATTGTAAAAAAAATTCTGTGTGTGAACATATTTCCTAAAATTTAAAAAGGTATTCAATTTTTCCGTAAATTGAACATTGGAATAAGAGCACAACAGGTTTTTCTTAGAGCACTGAACTGCTCTTTCACAAAAATTGTAAAGGGTTATAAAAGGTTTATGATCCACTTTGCTGAGGAGGTGAGGAAAAAAAGTTTGTAGGAATCTTATGTTCAAACTGATTAAGATGGAATAAATTTGTCTACAAGGTTTTATTAAGAATTGGGGTTGACATTAATAGTACACTAGTGCAACAGTGAAATTTGTCTTATTTGGTATAAAAATCCTGCAGGAAGCATTGTCAAATATAAAATGATGTTTGGCTTTCTTTGGGCTGTATTTGTGTAAATATGTTATTGGTATGTGTTCCAAAATTATGAGAAACTCCTATAATTCTAATATGACTTAGTGTATGTTATTAATAATCATCATTGTTATGTAAAATAGTTGTATGCCACAGAAATAACCAAAATTTCCTTGTCAATTGTGGTTTTAATCGTGGCTGTCCTAACTAATAAGACTTTTTGTCATCTACAGACTACTGTCTTGTTTTGGTCCTCTGTAGAAGGTGGTTTTATAATCAACTATAGAACTCTAACAGGTGGTCTTAAATGAAGGTTTCTAATAACTTTGGAGATTGTGACATTAGAATAGCAGAAAAAACTTTCAGGACTCTTATGGAGAGCTGAAATGTTAATGGATATCAAGCAAAACAGGACTTAACTGCATGGACTGAACTAATAGAAGACTGAAGTAATCTTTTTAACTTTTTGCTTAAAACGTTGCTGATCCTTTGTTTTGTTTTTCACAGTCAAGGAAATTTTTCTTTTGAGCTATTAACAGCTTTCAACAATTGAGTAAAATATACTCCTGTGAACAAAATTTGGAGGATATTTGTTTTGCTCTATCTAATTTCTCCAGAATTTGGAAACTAAGTTGTGGGTATTCTTAACTTATGGCAATATACTTATTTGCATAAGTGCAATAAGCATCTGTTTTCATTTACAACAAGACACAATTGGAGATACTGGTTATTTTAGGAAGGCTTTGACTTGAATGATGTGCTTTCCATTAAGGAATCACACTTGACTTATAGAGCCAATCAGGGCCCCTTGGGAAAACTGGCCTCATACCTTGTCTACACAGTCCCTGTGCAGGGTTCCTGACCTGTGGTAAGTTCCTAACCTGTGGTAAGAATGTCACTTTCTGACAGGCCCAGGAGCCCCAAGTTATCTTGGGACCTCAAGAGGAGAGAAATTTACCCAAGTCACAGGTATTTGACAGTACAACCCCATGGCTGGGCTCAGCTTAAAAAAAAAGTCTGATTTGAGATTCCTTCTATGGAACAGAGTTCCATCAAAGCCAATTTTAAAAGCCTATGTGAAAAATAATTATTCTTGCTGCACTTTATACAAATAATCAGGCCAAGTATAATAAAGCAAATCAGTCATACCATGATTTGTCTTTAGTAAAAAATGAGAAACTGGAGAGAGAAAAATTATGTTTCAACAACTGTGGTACACCTGTTTTTAGATTCTAGTCTCATCAGTTGTTTTTAAGGTTTTTTTTCCTGCAATTTAGACTAACCTGCTTATTCCTGTGAACCAACCAGTGATCTCTGGCTGCTGCTCAGAAGAAACAAGAGGGATGGGTAATGTAAAAATCTAGATCAATATTCTAATTCTGGGCACACTGGAATAAGCTAGTGATCCCATATCAGCTTGGTTCCAACAGTTGCTCCGCTCATGGAAAGCCTTCTAATTTAGTTTACTTGGATAATTTTATTTATTTTGCTTTACTGTTGTGCAATACAATGCTGTTATACTCTTTGTGTAGGAATGCAGGATAAGCTTACTCAATATTTTCTTAAGCACTTATTAATCTTCCAGATATCACTTTTGTTGGAACTCAAGAATTATGAATGACCCTCACCATACCAAGGCTTTCTGACTGAGCTCCTTTCTACCCTGAATACAAGAGACCCAGTAGTTAGGTAGGAATAACATTGCCTCTGTTCAGCATGAAGAAGTTACAGAAGATGGATCTTTGTCCCTCTACAACCCTTAGGATTAAGGGTTCGCTTGTAAAAGGGAGGGGGGAAATATGTCAGAGGCATTTGAATCAGAGCAACTCCATCATGAGTAGGGGCTGGGTAAAATGAGGCTGAAACCTTCTTGGCTGCATTCCCAGGAGGTTAAGGCATTCTAAGTCACAGGATGAGATAGGAGGTCAGCACAAGATACAGGTCATAAAGACCTTACTGATAAAACAGTTTGCAGTAAAGAAGCCAGCCAAAACCCACCAAAATCAAGATGGCAACAAGAATGAACTCTGGTCCTCCTCACTGCTACACTCGCGCCATGATAGTTTACAAATTCCATGGCAATGTCAGGAAGTTACCTTATATGGTCGAAAAAGGGGAGGCATGAATAATCTACCCCTTGTTTAGCATATAATTTAAAAATAACCATAAAAATCGGCAATCAGCAGCCCTCAGGGCTGCTCTGCCTATGGAATAGCCATACTTCTATTCCTTTACTTTCCTAATAAACTTGCTTTCACTCTATGGGCTCTTCTTGAATTCTTTATTGCGTGAGATCCAAGAACCCTCTTTTGGGGTCTGGATCTGGACCCCCTGTCTGGTAACATTGGCACTTCAGGCATATACTTTGTGTTTTAGGAGCAGAAGGAGTTTGATTTGAGGATCAGAGGGACCTTTGGTGCCTTTCAAACTATACCTTGCAGAAAGCAAACTTCTATATAACATTTGTCATGAAAATATACATTAGCCCAACATGTAGCCACCCAAATATCTCACCAGTTATGCATTATTTTGACTTTTGTTCGCTGGAATAAATGGCTTGCATCCCACTGCTGCTCTCTCACCTAGTCGCTAGTGATCTGAGAACACCTCTAAACCCTGTTTCTGCCTCTTGCTTCCTGTTAGCCTGCAGAGCCCCTTCAGCAGCAGCCTAGGAAAACTAGGAAGTATTGTGGTGTGGGATAATGGGTCTGTGCTCTGGAGTCAGACCTGGAGGTGAAATTCAGACCTGCCAGTTGCAGGCTGTGTGATCCTTTAACAAGTTGTTAATCTACCAGGGCCTCTGTTTCCTCATCTATAAAAGGGAGATGACCTCACAATAACCTTAGGAAATAGGTACTCTTATGATTACCATTTTTCAAACGAGGAAATCGAGACTCAGAGAAATAGTCATTTGTCCAAGGTCACTAACTGGCAAAATCAGGATTCAAAACTAGACCTTTTTGATTCTTAACCACTTGATATTAGAAGTACAGGCAGTTCAGAAATGGTAGTGATTATTAAAATTGTTGTGTTGTACATGCTTAGTGCCAAAATCGAAGGAGACTTAGTTGCCCATACACCCAGTGTGTATATATATATATATGTATATATACACGTATATATACGTGTATATATATATATACGTATATATACGCGTATATATACGTATATATACGCGTATATATACGTATATATGTATATATACACGTATATATATATACACGTATATATATGTATATATACGTATATATATATATACACACACACACATATATATATATATGTTTACTCATCATATGTCTTGACAGCATCTTATTTCCTTATCCCCCTGACTGGGTAAACATGGAGTAGAAGCATATTCAAATATATGTGCGTGTATGCATCTATATATAGTAACTGAAGGTGAAGCTTGGGCTAATATCTGGAGGAAAAAATACAACAGCACAGGTGAGAGCTTCTCTCACCCCTACTCCTTGTGGGGCAGAATGAACTAGCCCAAGTTGCACTCCCTGTCGTAGAGGTGTCACAAGGTGACACCTTGCATTCATGCTGATCTGCTTATATACACCCATGCTGGCCTTTTGCTGGTGGTTAGAAAGAGTTAGACGTTGTGGCAGCTATGGACACTGCTCAATTCTCCCTTCAAGCAGGAACATACCTTTCATCTGTGAGCAGGGAAGTTAACTGAGAACTTCTAGCTGTAGCACCTGCAAGATTTGCACTATATTTGAACCAATGCCATGGTCTTCCAGGGCAGCCTGTAGTCAATGACTGAGCACACTAAATGTACTCAAGTCTGGCCATTTCAGTCCAGTGTGGGGCTTTTCTCATGGGACATCTTTGTTGCACAGCTCTCTCTTGGATATGGTGAGACTTTGTCAGAGCCACATCACAGCCTGCCTAATTCTGCTTTTGTCCTTCTTTCCTTTCACAAGTGTCAGATGTACATCAAGGTCTGAATGCTTTCCTGCCCAACAGTGCCTCCTTTTCGATCTTTCACAGATATTAACTATCCCCCAATAAAGCTCTTTGACTCCTAACTCTATCACAATATATGCTTACTACTAGAGAACAAGAACTGACCCGTGGGTTTCTGTTGCCTGTCCTTTGCTGAATTGAAGCACTGATCAATATTGAGAGTGAGCGGAGAGTGAGAGCCTGGTGGCTTCTCAGGCAGCTATCCTACTAGCCTGCTTGACTGTTACCACGGAAACATACACAGGGAAGGAAAACAAAAAAACAAAAAACAGGAGACAGGGACTCATGGCAAAACACCACTGCCAGGCTGTGGGAGAGGCTTCCCAGCCACTTGGGCAGAAGGCTTGGTTTCACAGCCAATTGCATTTGGCCTTGTAAGGGCTGGAGTTGAAGAGGGAATGGAGAGATACTTAAGCTGCCCAGGCCTGAGATACGGCGGCAGGGAATAGAGGATAGAGGGGAATGCTGGGTAATAGGAGTGTATGGCCCACATTGCACTATTAGTATTCACTAAGGGACCCCAGCTTCCTAGAGTCTTCACATCCTGGCAGCAAAATCCGCACTTAACCAATACTTTCCAAACAGAAGCTGACCTGCTAAAGATTTCTGTATACCCTGGCCTTCTGGCCCACCCTACCTCCCACTCTTGCCTTTGTGTGTCCTTGAATCATTGCTCCAGAACAGAGATTCTGAATCTGGACTTGGGTCTATAGAACTGCTGGAACTTCCAGAGGGTGGTCTGTGATTCCCTCAAGGAAATTTTACAAATACTTATCTGGGAACAAGGGCCATAGCTTTCATTGGAGATTAGGAACTTTGGGTTCAGGGAAAGTGAGTCCATTTTTATGGATTAAGTAGGCAGTACTGGCACATAGTAGGTGCCCAAAAAATTATTACATAAATGAATGCATGACTAGAAAGAAGAAAATCAAGGTAGAAAAAATTAATTTAAGTGAGATAAGACATAAAACACTTAACACAGTACCTGACTCATGGTACCTGACACATGGTCAGTCTTTTCAACAAAAATCTAATACTCCAGGCTGAGTAAACAATAAGGTACTTAACCATTTCTGTCATTGGATATACCAATTTTTCTCCATTTTTTCTTACACACTGAGACATTGAACATCTTTGTACACATATTTTTGCACACATGTGAGAACATACCTAGAGGATAAAGTTCTAGAAGTGCAATTGCTGGATTAAAGGATAAGCACATTTTAAATCTTGATTAAAACCATGAAATTTCCCTCCAAAAAGGCTCTACCATTTCATACTCCCACAAAATGTATATGAGTGCTCATTTACCCACACTGTACTTATTAATTTTTAGGAAGTTGCCAAACTCATGAATGAAAAAACAGTATTGTGTTTTAGTTTATATTTCTTTAATTTTTAGAAAATATAACTCCTAAATGTATGCTTCAGTTATGACCTCCAAACTTATACTGTAAATCAACTGCCTACTCAAACGCCTGACAACTCTAATTTAATTTAATCAAAATCCTAAATTTTTTAAAGGTAGAACTAAAATATGGACAACCATAATATTTAAGATAGGAGAGCGTTAACATGTCCAAGCTGAACTGATCTTATCCTCAAATCTGCTCAACCTATGCACTATCCAATCTCTGAAAATGGCAACTCCATTCTTCCAATTGCTCAGGCCAAAAACATGGAACCATCCTGGATTCCACCCTTTCTGTCACACCCACAGATTCAGACACTTCTCACTACCTCCACCAATACCAGCCTGGTTTAAACCACTATCATCTTTTGACTGCATTATTGTTCAAGCTTCCTACATGATCTTCCTGATCCCATTCTAACTGTTCCCAACCCCAGTCTATTCCAAGTATAACAGCAAGAGTGTTTCTTTAAAAAACACGATTCAGATCACGTCAGTCCTCTGCTCAAAAACCCCCAAAGCTTTTCCATCTCATTTTAAATGAAAGGTAAAGTATTTTCAGTGGCTTACAAGGTCCCCACTGTCTGGCCCCTGCTGACTCTCTGGACCTCATCTTTCTCATGCTCACTCAACTCCAGCTGCTTGTCCTTTTTGCTGAATGTGGACCACTCTAGGAAAGACACCTACTTATGGTCTTTGCCCCTACTCACAAGGCTGTTCCACCAGATATCTTCCTTCATGCCTCATCCTCACACTTCAGTCCTTTTCTGCTAAAATGTAATATAATAAGAGATCCTCTCTACCTATCCTTTCTAAGATAGCACATCCTTCAGCACTTTCTATCCCCCTACTTTGCTTATTTATTTTGTTATAAAGCACTTTTCACCACTAATATGTATCTTAATTTTTGCTATTTGTCTAAACCCACCAGAAAGTAAATTCCAAGAAGGTGAGGATTTTGTATATATCATTTATGACAGAATCCTGAGCACCTATTACAGTGCTTGGCATGTAGTAGCTGCTCATTAAATACTTGTTGAATAAATAAATGACCAAGATTAAGCATTAGTGAGGATGACCATTTGTGGTGCTTCATCTGTGAACTGCCATTTCATGTCCTTTGCCTGTTTTTCCATTGAAGTTCTTTTTTATTTCTTATTGATTTTTGTAGGAGACCTTTAGAGAAAGTGCATATTAATGCTTTGTCACCTGTTATAAATATTTTCTCCTTTTTGTCACTTGCCTTTTTATTTTGTTTATACTTTTGTCTATTGTAATGATTAATTTTCTATGTCAATGCGACTAGGTTAAGGGATACCCAGATAGCTGGTAAAACATTGATCCTGGGTGTGTCTTTGAGGGTGTTTCTAGAAGACAGTAGCATTTGAGTCAGTAGATTCAGTAAAGAAGATGCACCCTCACCCTCATCATCCAATCCATCGAGGGTCCAGAGAGAACAAACAAGTGGAGTAAGGGAAAATTCACTCTATCTTCTTCTGCTGGAAGATCCATCTTCTCCTGCCCTTGGACATCGGAGCTTCTGGTTCTCAGGACTTTGGATTCAGCCTGAGTCACACCACCGTCTCTCCTGTTCCTCCAGCTTGCAGATGGCAGATCATGGAACTTCTCGGCTTCCATAATCATGTGAGCCAATTCCCGTAATAAATTCCCTCTTATCTATTTATCTATATCTATCTATCTATCTATCTATCTATCATCTATCTATATCTCTATCAATCATCTATCTCTATCTATCGATCATCTATCTCTATCTATCTATCTAGCTATCTATTTATATCCTATTGGTCCTGTTTCTCTGGAGAACCCTAATACAGCTGTGCAGCTATTTTATGATTTTTATCTGTTCCAGCTTGGCATTTTTTTTTGTTTATAACTTCTGATGTTCATGGAAAGCTTAACACAGTATTCCCTACCCCAAAATTACAAATATATGCTCTCATATTTTCAAGTACTTACATAGGTTTGGAGATATTTGTTTTCCTTAAGCTTTCATAAGGTTTAGATTCATCTTAGATTTTTTTTCATTAGATATATGCTGTCAGGCAGAGGTCTAACTTTATTTTGCACTTCTATCTTCTACATCTGTATGCCTGTGACCCTTAGAAAAATGTATGTGGGACCCACAGACATAACTTGGCAGCAAGCACTGAGTTCATCACTCCTATAATGGACCTTCCTATCAATCGGTGTGGTGGGAAAAAGTAAAATACCTTTGCCCACCACCACCCACTTCTGCAGCCAGATGAGAAACCAAGGGATTAGGGAGCAAAGGTACCATTAGTTCCTTCATTCTCAGTCAATGTTGAAAAGCTTTTCTGGACAGAGGAGGGGCAAATACATTCTTAGCATAACATATACTTGCAATAGTTTGGATGTGGTGTGTCCCTGCCAAAACTCATATTGAAATTTGATCTCCAATGTGTTAGGAGGTGGGGCCTGGTGGGAGGTGTCGGGGTCATGAAGGTGAATCCCTTATGAAGAGATTAAGGCCCTCCTGTGGAGGTGAGTTCTTCCTCTCACAGGAATGAATTAGTTCCTGTGAAAGTGGGTAGCTAATGTGAAATGTGATATACAAATTGTATCACTCTGCTTCAGAGCTCTAAAATGGAGTTGGGAAGCCATTCTCAGAAGGACTACCTATACAACATGTGAACTTGCAAAACAGGAACTTGCCTTGAACTTTGAACTGGGCTAAACCACCACAACAACAGCATCCTGGAAAACAGCTGAATTTTGCCAGTGCTGCAACCCCTGAACAGTGACAACTAATGAACTATAGGCTCATTTACAAAGCCAGCCACCTCCACCAATGATACTTTCAAAACAACTTCTGTAATCACCCTCAGCATCCTTTTAAAAATTGCTACTCTGCTTCCTCCCTTTGGCAGATAATTTGGCTTCTCGCTGAATCTGTGTCTCCCAAATTGCAATTCCTAAGGCCCTAATAAATGCTTGCTGCGTTGCACTCAGTTCTTTTGCCTCTTCTTGGTTGACGTTAAATGGTGTCAGAAGTGGGATATGATGTTACTCTCTTACTATGCATTCTGGTGCTGCCACAGATTTGAGCACTGTACCTGCAGGAACTCCTTGTGTTCCATCACCTCCCTGACAGCTCCATACTCTGTTAGTGAGTCCCCTCTTTTCCCTGACCCTCCTAACTTGGTTTGAGGTTCATATCTTTATTGGGTGTTCTTTGTTGCCAGCTGTCCACAAAGGAAATTTTCCCCTTGTGGTGAGTATTCATGAGGGCTTTTGCTTCTAAGAGTATAGGTGCTGAGTCACCCCTTTCTAGGAATCTCGGTTTCTTGGTGCAAAAATTACAATGCTTCATCTTGTGAATGTCTTTCTTGATGGACAAATATAACTGAAAGTGATTTGGAATTACAATGGCCAACCTGGTGATCTTTTGAATTTCCACAATGCATTTTCTTCCACAGTTAGAAGGGCTAAAAGAAAAGACCAAATAGCCTAAATAGGATGTCTGCTTTAATTTGGTATCTTAAGGCATCTAAAAGACTCTAGGAATCTAAACTAGTGTCTCTAAAAGATAACAATGCCAAATTAATTCAAAGACTAAATTAGAAAAAACCCAGAAGCTTCTAAAAATGAAACAAATCTGGAAACAAGCACTTCTCTATTTGTCTTTGTCTTGTGTCTCCTCCCCCTCCTAGCCCTAGCTATTCCATTTCACTGCCATTCTTGGCACCCTCTTTGCTTATATGGTAAAAACTTATTCTAAACCTGAGCAATTCCTCCTGGGCTTTCCATAAAGAGGGTTATTGGATTGAGTCGCTATTGGAATAATTATACCATTGGAAATTCTAATCATCAGTGGCCAAAAGATGGATCCTTTTAGAGATCTCTCATTCTAAACAATTACCTTATTTGTATATAGGGGAGGATCAAATTTCTTTTAAAGGACATATAATAGTGTCATGCCTAGCCTTAGAAATTTTCTTGACTAAATTAAAGGGCAATCCTAAATCAAAGTTAAAATATTTTGTATGCTCAAACTGTCTGCTTTGGAGCCCATGCAGGATTTACCTCCCCCCACCCACCCCCCAAAAAAAAACACTTTACCCTATGGTCTAGGGCTGGGATTTGATGCTCTCACTGCCAGGGCCCAGGTTCGATTCCCAGTCAAGGAATCAGTCTCTGCTGATGTAAGCCCTTAAACGCAGGAAAAGAAACATTTATTGAAAAATTGGTTTGATATTTATGTGACTTAACTTTTTGGGGTATTCATTTGTTATTGATCCTCTCCCCTCCCATGAACATCTTTTGAGTTCCTGTCTTACCAACTTTCTCTTTTAATCCTTCATCTGTGGGTACATGGGATGGTCAGCTTTTGTGTGTAGACAGTCAGCTAAGAAGCTGAGATGTTAGAGAATATTGCTGGACACAAATGTGGGTTGTATCCCATTTGTGGCTAGCAAAACTGTCCTTTCTTTGAGCTGTCTTTGGGATGGTTCTGGGTCTTGTGAGGAATACTTTGCATTTGGAAATACCTCATGTGTCCTTGGTTAGGTCATATGCTTGGTTAAAGCTTTTCGGGTTTGGTGAGTCATTTGAAAGTCACCTTTGGGGGAAAAAAGTTCAAAAGCCAGTAATATTGACTGTTTTTCCTGGATGAAATCTGATAAGATATTTGAAAAGACACCCTTTTTATAGGAACACTATAGTCAGAAATCGGCTTAATTAAAAGTGGATTTTCAGGCTCTAATATTTTTAAAGGCCTTTCTGCTTTTTCTAGTTTAGATTCTGTTTTGGGGAATTTTTTCAGTCAACTGAAATCTCCTTTTCAATGATATGTTTGGTCCTTCTGTTTGCTCCCTTTCTTGTTGGCATGATTTTTGCTGAGAAAAAATGTAAAGCTTCATTGGTCTTTCTGGGAAACTTAAAATTGGCTCCCCAAATTGGCTCCACTAAGACTTGTTCCGTTTCCTTCCACTTCTCCTCCTCCTTCCTTTTTGTCATCTTCAATTCCATATAACAAAATCTAAAGGAGACTTCTAGCCTCCCTAAAACCCCATTAAAAGGTGCACAGAGAAAGGTGCCACACAACTCCTTTTTAAGATCTTCTGTTTTCCTTGTGGAGCCCCAAGAGTCATGGACAGGTTCCTTTCAGATCTCAAGCTCTGGTCTCTTTTGCATTGAGTTCCCTGGTCTCTCTGGCTTTTGGGGGTACCAAGGATTAGTTTATGCTGTGAGAGAAAACTTGACCTATGTGTGTTTGATGACTGGTGGGTCACTAGCAAGGGCTGCAGTTTTGAAGGTGGCTGACAGTGGTTATTTAGAGTGAATGGTTATTACTGCACAGGCTACTCATTTTTTTTTTTTGCATGTTTAAATTTTTAAAAAAATGTGGTTTGCACATTTGCAGGCCATGAGAACATTTGCCACTGAGGGATGACTCCTGTGGTGAATGGGCTGATCACAGAGTGGGCTAATGAGTATTGGGTCTCCCACCACCTTCTGGAAATGTCTTTGCAGCGAAGTACACTGTGGAAGCCTTGCGCAGCCCAGTCCTGTAGTGTTTCTCTCTTTTGGAGGACAAGGGATTCAGTGTAAAGATGGGATCCTTGATTTGGGGGGATCTGGATGCTCTGCCTTCCAGCTGCTCCTGCTTTTCACATACATAAGTGTTAGGTCATGGAAAGTGCAAATGATTTGTTGGCCCTATTCTTTAATGGGCTCTGCCCTGAGCTCAGTGGTCCAGTTGAAAAACAGAGACTAAATTAGAAGCCACCTATCTAAAAATATTAGTCTTCAAAATATGGCTTTCTAGCATTTGGTTATTTTGAAAAGCTTTCTGAATTTTCCTAGGCTCATCTGTATAATCCTATGGTTAATTCCTATTTATTTTGCGTTACATTGGTATCCATTTTTAATCTTTCTCTCACTAACACACCCAAACTCTTTCTTGAAAATGCTTAAATTCTCTTCCTGTGCTTTGAGATGTAAATTTTCTACCCTCTTTTCTCTAAAACTCAGTAAAAGCTTTGGCCATGTGGGACAGATAAACTTCAACTTGTTCCATTTACAGAGGCACAATTTAATCCAACTTTCTTTTTAAACTAGTGAATTTCACCTGTCGCATGACTAATATTTTACAATCAAAGCTATACATTCTTTGTATTTTATGTATACATGTGTACATGTCGGTTTGTACATTGAATAAATGATACTAAATTTACTTATAAATAAATGAGTACTTATAAATTAAATAACTAGGCCATATGCTTTTTGAATTCACGTGACTTCAGTAATTTTTAGTAAATAAAGCTAGTTTAAAAATTGTTGGTAAAATAAAATAGAAATGTCTTCAGAATTTTAGATATAGTCACCTGAGTCTACCACTCAAACAAATGTATGCCATCTCTACTAGATGTTTTAAGGTCATAAAAGTCTTGCTTCTGTGATCATTTTGAGGCTTGCTTGATGTGTCTGTGAGCTAAAGCTGTAATGGGAGGGTGATGGACCTCCCTAAAACCTTGTACACATCTTTCTGTGAACTTAAAGTCTTTTATTTTCAGCCTTTAAATACTGGGGTGTAGACAGGTGGCCATGGTGAAGCTGGAAGACATAGGTATGTCCACAGTGCCTAGGCCACAAGCTGCAGAGCAGAGCCAAGCCCAATATGGCCTCATCCTCTCTGGCCCAGCTGTGTCCCTGGCCATACTGGGAAGGGTCGGATCCTTCAGGCATTGTCTTCACAGCTCTGTCCCCTGTCCTGGGCTCTGCACCTGATATATATAACATTAAAATTACTTAACTCATATGTTTTACTCTAGAAATTTGGGTTACTGAAAGTTAAAATTATAGTTAATATATGTAATTAAAATTACTGGATATAAGAGAAACAATTCTGTACACAGACTGCATAAGAAAAGTAGGATGTTTTTGGTAAGAAAGTTTATAAGAAAGACAAGTGAATGTGTTTTTTCTTCAAAGAAAAGTAATCTTTGTCTAGTTTAAAGGTGATTTAAAGGTTGCTTTTGTTAAAGGAATAAAAAAGAATTATAGATATACCTGAATGGATATAGAAAGTTGAGGAAAGAGAGAGAATGAAAAAAACTTGTAAGAGTTTATAAAAGAGTTGTGGAAATCTTATCTTATGTGGTCAGTCTAAGAATGGATAAATTTGTTTATAGAATTTTAGTAAAATTAGCTTTGTATTAATAATAGACCAATGCAAAGGTAGAATTTGATTTTCTCTTTTGAACAATATTTTTGTTTAGTAATAATAAGAAACAGTAAAAGACTAGGTTCAACTTTTAAGTAAATTGCAAAAAAGAGAGGAGTTTGCCTCATGCTGTCTTTATTAGGTCATTTGATTATTTAGAAAACTGTTTTCTGTCAAAGAGTAAAAGTTTTTAGCTTTGTGAAGCCTTTTTATTATCACTTTGGCTAAATGAATGACCATTATTTTACAGTGACCTGTGATCCTATTCTGATATCAAGTGTTTTAAATCTTTGATATTTGACAAACTTCCCAAAATGAAATTTAAAATTCTAAATTAAGTCTTTTTGACTTTAAACAAACTTTTAGACATTTTTAAAAGATCCTCTGAGAAGGAGTTTGATACCAGCCTGGCCAATATGGTTAAACCCTGTCTCTACTAAAAAATACAAAAATTAGCTTGGCATGGTGGCATGCGCCTGTAGTCCCAGCTACTCAGGAGGCTGAGGCAGGAGGCTCTCTGGAACCTGGGAGGCGGAGGTTGCAGTGAGTGAGATCGTGCCACTTCACTCCAGCCTGAGCAGCAGAGCAAGACTCCATCTCAAAAAAAAAAAAAAAAAGATCCTCTGAGAGTTCAAGAAAACATATTAGGCTTATTTTGTATGTTAAAATCAAATGGAAATCATGGTCCAGTAAGAAATGGTGTTTAACTTTGAATTATGTTCATAGGGATGTTATTAATATGTGTTCCAAAATTGTGTGAGATTCAAAAAATCTGATATGTCCTAGTAAATTGCTGTATTCTGATGCTCTTTTTCTAAAAGGTCTTCGTAAATCTTAAAGTGTTGTGTCTTCAAGGAGGTTCATGGAAGAGGGTCTGACAGATACTCTGAAATACAGAACTCTGCTTATGACATTCAAATTATTCAACTGTACTGGGTAAAATTTTTTTTAAAACTCTAATTTAAAAAGCTGTATTCATAAAATTGGTAACCCAACATTAAGCAGAATAAGAATTAATTACATGAGACTAACTTGATGAAGGACTGAAATGATTTTTATGACTTTTTGCTAGAACCATTGCTAATTCTTTTTATGGTTTTGTTTTCCAGAGTTAAGAATTTTTTTCCCTCTTAAGCTGTTTTTACCTTATATCAATGGGTAATGTATACTTTTGTTAACAAAACTGAGACGTTTACCTTTCTCTTTACCCGATTTATCTAGAATCCACAAATTATTCATGAGTATTCTTATTTTATGGCAATATAGTTGTCTGCCTAAGTTCAATAAGAATCTGTTTTCTTCTGTGACAGGATACAATTGAGACACTGGTTATTTTACCAAGGCTTTGACTGGAATATCATATTTTTGAATGTGACCAGACTGCTTTGAGAAATTGAGATTGACTTTAAAGCCAATAGATGTGGAAAAAGACTGGCCTGGTACCTTGTCTACATGTTCCCCTACAGGGTTCCTGACCTTTCAGTATTTAAAGAATGTCACTTTCTGATAGGTCCAGAAACCTCAAGGTATTTTGACAACTCTAACAAGAGAAGAATTCAGCTGGGTCTGGTGGCTCATGCCTGTAATCCCAGCACTTTGGGAGGCTAAGGTCGGTGGATTGCTTGAGCCCAGGAGTTTGAGACCAGCCTAGGCAACATGGCAAAACCCTGTTTCTACAAAAAATAAAAATTAGTTAGGTGTGGTGGCATGCACCTGTGAACCCAGCTACTCTGGAGGCTGAGGTGGGAGAATCACCTGAGCCAGGGAGGTCAAAGCTGCAGTGAGCTGTGATCTTGCCACTGCACTCCAGCCTGGGTGACAGAGTGAGACCCTGTCTCAAAAAAATATTAAAAAAAGAGAATTCAACCAATTCATACAAGAATTACAAGCACAAGTCTGACGGTGAATCCTTAGCTTGGCTTCCTACACTTAAGAAGCTTTTAAAAATCAAATCTGGTATTTCCTATTTTAAAAAGTTTCAGGAGTAGGAAGGAAGAGCCTCCTGGGAAGGTGATGACTCAACTGTCCTACTGAGAATGAGAAATAGGTATAGCTTTGGATGTGAAAAGGGTCCAAAAGCCCATTTCTTGCAGAAAGCCATAAATAGAAAGGGGGAGAGAGACCACAGTGTGTTTGGAGAACTCAAGTAGTTAAATTTAAGGTGCTACGAAACCACTGAGCAAAAGAAGAGGGTAGAGACTTTGTAAGCAAAAGCCAGATTGTAAAGGACCTTATATTAATATATCATAGCCAAGCAGTGGGAAGAGCTCTGTTAACAATGCAATGTTGTGGGATAAAGTTCTCACTAGTGGGATTGGCCATATAACCAACTGCTTCCTAAGTGTTGAAGGAACCGATGGAGATAAATCCTATCTTATGACAGAAGGATCAGATGAAAAAAGAGTGTAAAGACAATTAATCAACTGGCCCATGCCCTTCACATGGACAAAAACTTGAAAGCTGGCTGTCTTGTACATGTGTTTTGGCCAAAAGCAAAATGTGCCCTCTTGAGAGATTACCTGGTGTTAGTAGACAGTCCAGGCACAGATGTTACTACAGAGCTGGATAGCTGGATTGATAAGTTTTGCCTAGATGCTGATGTCTTTGTTTTGGTTGCAAACTCTGAATCAACACTAACGAATACGGAAAAACATGTTTTCACAACATGAATGAGTGGCTTTCCAAGCCTAATATTTTCATTCTCAATAATCGTTGGGATGCCTCTGCATCAGAGCCAGAATATATGGAAGATGTGGGCCACCTGCTGAAGGATTTCAGGCAAGATTACAGGAATTTCAGAATTTTGAACAAATCTTTGAGGAGTGTATCTCACAGTCAGCAGTGAAAACAAAGTTTGAACAGCACACTATCAGAGCTAAACAGATACTAGCTACTGTGAAAAAACAATGGATTCAATAAACATGGCAGCTGAACAGAAAAGGCATTATGCAGTGGAAGAGAAGGAAGACCAAATTGATAGACTGGACTTTATCTGAAACCAGATGAACCTTTTAACACTGGATGTTAACAAAAAAACCAGGGAGGTTACTGGGGAGGTGGCAAACAAAGTGTCATGTGCAATGACAGATGAAATTTGTCAACTGTCTGTTTTGGTTGATGAATTTTGTTCAGTTTCATCCTACTCCAGATGTATTAAAAATATATAAAAGTGAATTAAATAAGCATATAGAGGATGGTATGGGAAGAAATTTGGCTGATTGATGCACCAATGAAGTAAACACCTTAGTGCTTCAGTTCCAGCAAGAAATTGTTGAAAATTTGAAGCCATTACTTCCAGCTGGTATATAGGATAAACTACATACACTGATCCCTTGCAAGAAATTTGATCTTAGTTATAATCTAAATTACCACAAGTTATGTTCAGATTTTCAAGAAGATATTGTGTTTCATTTTTCCCTGGGCTGGTCTTCCCTCGTACCTCAATTTTTGGGCCCTAGAAATGCTCAAATGGTGCTCCTAGGATTATCAGAGCCTATCTTTCAGCTCCCTAGATCTTTAGCTTCTACTCCCACTGCTCCTACCAGTCCAGCAATGCCAGATAATGCATCACAGGCAGAACTCATGATTACATTAGTAACAGGATTGGCTTCTCTTACATCTAGAACTTCTATGGGCATCGATAATGTTGGAGGAATGATTTGGAAAACTATAGGCTGGAAACTCATATCTGTTTCATTAACTATGTATGGAGCTTTGTATCTTTATGAAAGACTGTCCTGGACCACCCATGCCAAGGAGAGAGCCTTTAAACAGCAGTTTGTAAACTATGCAACTGGAAAACTGAAGATGATTGCTAGCTCCACAAGTGCAAACTGCAGCCACCAAGTAAAACAACAAATGGCTACCACTTTTGCTCGCCTGTGCCAACAAGCTGATATTACTCAAAGACAACTGGAAGAAGAAATTGCTAGATTACCCAAAGAAATAGATCAGTGGGAGAAAATACAAAACAATTTAAAGCTCTTAAGAAATAAAGCTGTTCAACTTGAATATGAGCTGGAGAATTTTACTAAGCAGTTTCTACCTTCACGCGATGAAGAATCCTAGCAATAGAGATTGCTTTGGTGACAATGATAGGAGGAAATGAAACTTGTAAGATCAGGACAATTGTTATTTTTATGAAATGACTTTAAATATGAATTTTACTAACTGTACCTAAATAGCAAAGCCTTATGTAGATTCTGTTAGTGATGTATCTCAGGGTATTGGTATTTTTGAAGAGTATTGTGTCCTTAGTTTTAATTTTGGGTAAAGAAAAAACTAAAATCTGGAATTAGTTACAAGCAACAGCACCAACTTATGTGACCCTTGAGGGGTGGGGCTGTGAGCTCTTAATTTGTTTTTGATTCTGAAAATCTCTGCTTCCTGGCATCCAGGAGTTAGAGATTGAGCCTTTCATCTTCTTTCTCAAAACTAGTTTTTGATGCTTTCTTTCCTGGGAATAGTCACTTTTTAATTTTATTTAATAAACTGCATTGCTGGAACCACACACACAAAAAGTTTCAGCAAAGCCAACTTAAAAGGAGCATATATGACCAATCATTATTTTTGCTACACTTTATGCAAATAATCAGGCCAATTATGGTAAGACCAAAAGTTATTTTGCAAATAAATTGGCCCTACTATGATTCATCTTTGGTAAAAGTGGGAAACTGAAGACAGAAAAAATGTGTTTCAGAAGAAAACTATAGAACATCTGTTATTAGATTCTAACCCTGACCATTATTTTTTTGAGTTTTTATTACTTGCCTACAATTTAGACTGAATCTTGAATTCTTTCCTGGCTACAAGTCTCCAAACTAACAGTTCCACATATTTCTTCCATTTTTCCAACTGAAATTGCTACTAGGTTTGTTTTTAGGACCTGCAAACTGAAGCTCATGTATAAATGACCTTGACATACAAACTACAGACCAGAAAATCCTTTCATATTGCCACTGCCTATTTCCACTTTAATTGAGGGTTTTTCAAGTCTAACATCTAGACACCTCAACTGACTGCTCTCTAGACTCCAAGGAAACTGGTTTATAGACTATTCCAAACAATAGCTGTTTTTTGTTTGTTTGTTTGTTTGTTTGTTTGAGACGGAGTCTCGCTCTTTCGCCCAGGCTGGACTGCAGTGGCGCCATCTTGGCTCACTGCAAGCTCCGCCTCCCGGGTTCACGCCATTCTCCTGCCTCAGCCTCCGAGTAGCTGGAACTATAGGCGCCCGCCACCACGCCGGTCTAATTTTTTCTATTTTTAGTAGAGACAGGGTTTCACTGTGTTAGCCAGGATGGTCTCGATCTCCCGACCTCGTGATCCGCCTGCCTCAGCCTCCCAAAGTGCTGGGATTACAGGCGTGAGCCACCGCGCCCGGCCTAGCTGTTGTTTTTCTTCTGTTGAGAGCCGGCTTGCAATGCCATCTCCTGAAATATGACACAACTGTTTAATTGGACTGGCCTCTTCCAAGAAATAGGGGACTAGTTTAATGGGATCCTTTGTCATTCAGCTATTGACTCAATTTTTTTCTCCACAGACACCAACTCAGATTTTAGTGTGTGAAAGTCTTGGGGAAGTATCAGATAGGGGAATACTGGAGTGCAGAAAATGATCCCCCATAATATGGCACGTTGGCATGCTGAGTGTTTTTGAAAATTGAAAAGCCCAAGAAATTAGCCTCATAATCAAAGTCGTTTTAACCTTGTCTTATTCTTCCCATCGAAGGGCCAGGAAGGACTCTCTGAATTTCCTTATCTGACCAAGAAAGTTCCTTTCCAAAAGAAACACAATTGCCTTCTATGCCCACCCTGAAATCTCATCTATTTCGGAAAAGAAGAATGAGGAATAACATTTAGACATGGTTAATTAAATGAATGCCTCTCCTGATATACAGCTAATTACTATAGACTAATGTGGGCCTCCTCACTTAAATAGCTCCCTTGTTACTCAAATTGATCAGTCTCTAAAGCCTTGGATACACACTGACTTTCAACAACCCCACTCCATGGAACATAACACTCTAGAAACAAATGCTTCCAGATCTGAGGGAAACTAATAACAAATCTGTAGCTTACCAATCAATAATTGATCAGTGATGCTGCCTCACATCAGATCTTAATCGAAACGGGAATGTGAAATGTGATCTACAAAATGATGTCATTCTGGTTCAGAGATGTATAATGCAGTTGGGAAGTCACTCGAAAAAGTACTACCTGCACAACCTGCAACCTTGTAAAACAGGAACTTTCTTGAACTTTTTTTTTTTTTTTTGAGACGGAGTCTCGCGCTTGTCACCCAGGCTGGAGTGCAATGGTGCGATCTCACCTCACTGCAACCTCCACCTTCCGAGTTCAAGCTATTCTCCTGCCTCAGCCTCCCAAGTAGCTGGGATAACAGGCACCCACCACCACACCCGACTAATTTTTGTATTTTTAGTAGAGACAGGGTTTCACCATGTTAGCCAGGTTGGTCTCGAATTCCTGGCCTCCAGTGATCCTCCCGCCTCAGCCTCCCAAAGTGCTGGGATGACAGGTGTGAGCCACTGCACCCGGCCGCCTGAACTTTGAACTGGACTAAACCACCACAACCACAGTATCTTGGAAAACAGCTGAATTATCCCAGTGCTGCAACTCTTGATCAGAAACAACCAATGAACTACTCAGGCAGCCACCTCCACAAATGATAATTCTTTTGAAACAACTTGGGTAATCATCCTCATCATCCTTTTGGAAACCCCTACTTCCCTTCCTCCCTTTGGAAAACATTTTGGCTTCTAACTGAACCTGTGTCTCCTGAATTGCAATTCCTATGACCCCAATAAATGCCTTATCTTACTGCTTTGCAGTCTAGTCTTTCTTGGTTGTGTTAAAGTTGCAGATACCAGGATGAAATCACTTTTGTCCAATCCAGACAAAATAATACCAGGAAGGACCAAAGGAGGGGAGGCACATGCTTACATGTCTGAGATAAGAACCATTTTCAAGGACTTTCTAAAAACCCTTTACATATCTCCTACTTTGATGAGGCTTATCACTACACATTCTTTAGGACTGCAGTCATTCCAATAAGATGTTCTCAGAAGAACAGTTCTCCAGTAATTGCATCTCCACCAATAAACTGACAACTCTAGTACTGAACCTGGGGAACCAATGAACTCTTTTTCTATGCAGCTTATGTAAATCTTTTTTTGCTCATAAAAGCTCCCCTTCCCCTTCCCTCCCTGAAAGTACTGGTGACTTGTGATTCCATGCATTCTGGATTATGATCCCTATTTCTTTTTTTTTTCCTATTCCTATTTCTGAGTAAACCCAACATAGAGGTAATTTTCTCTAGTGTTATTTTTTTAGATTAACAATTGACATTGAAAAGAGTCTAGCTTCCTCTGTTCTTCTTTCTTGCTTCCTTTCTCACCATGTGATCTCTTAGCACATGCCCACTTCCCTTCCATTTTCTGCCATGAGTAGAAGCAGCCTGAGGCCCTAACCAGATACAGCTGCTCAATCTGGAAGCATCCAGCCACCAGAATTATGAGCCAAATAAGCCTCTTTTCTTTATAATTTACTCAGCCTCTGGTATTCTGTTATAGCAAAACTAAATGGACTAAGAGAGAAAGTTGGTGCCAAGGAGTAGGGTGTTCTTATAAATACACCTGAAAATGGGTAAGTGGCTTTGGAACTGGGCAATGGGCAGAAGTTGAGTTTGAAGGTACAAGCTAGAAAAAGAAAATATTACAGTGAAAAGAGCATTAAAGACAGTCTTGGTGGGGGCTTAGAAAATGAGCTAGAACTTATTAGGGATTGGTTAGGTGGTTGTAACCAAAATGCTTACGGAAATATGAACAGTCAAGGCCAGTAAGATGAGGTCTTGGATGGACATGAGGAATATTTATTTGGAAACTGTAACAAAGGTCATCATTTTATATAGTTGCAAAGAACTTGACTGCATTGTGTTTATGCCCTAGGGTTTTGTGGAAGGCTGAATTTAAGATTGATATAATAGCATATCTTGTGGAAGAAATTTCTAAGCAGCAAAGTGTTCAGGCTGCTGCCATGGTTACTTCTAAGTGTTTATGGTGATTTGCTGGAGAATTTGGAAACAGAACAGAAGGATTTGGAAAACTCACAACCTGGATGTGTAATAGAGAACTTTCAAAAGAGCACTTTCAAAACAGTACTTTCAAAAGAGGAATCCAAGGGAATGGCAGACTTGCTAAAGAGATTAGCATGTCTAAAAGAGTGCCAGGTGTTAACTCAAGACAATGGGTGAATAACCTGAAGACATTTTAGAACTTTAAGGCTGCCTTTCCCATCACAGGCCCAGAGACCTAGAATGATAGAATTGTATTGGAGGAGAGACTTGGAGGGCTGCTGCTCTGGTGACCTCGGGACACTGGTCTGTGCATCCTGACCACTCTGGCTGGAGCAGCCATAGCACAAGTGGCGCCACATGCAGCTCATGCCCCTGCTCCAGAAAGCACAACTGGGAAGCCTTGGCAGCATTCATGTCTACGTGGTACTCATTTTGCATGCATGCAGAATATGAGAGTAATGGAAGCATGGTGGCTTCCACCTAAATTTCAGAGTATGCATCAGAAAGCCTGGGAGCCAAGGCAGAAAGTTGTTGTAGTGCAGAGCCACTACAACAGTAGAGAGAGCCTGTACTAAGGCAATGCTAACCAGAAATGTGGAGTAGGAAATACCACAGAAGGTCCCCATGAGGGTAATGAACAATGGAGCTGCAGGGTAGGACTACAACCTGGACCCCAGAATTGTAGAGCCACCGGCAGCATGCAACCTCAGCATAGAAAAGCCGCAGTCATTTGACTCCAACCTGTGAGAGTAGCTACGTGGGCCATGTCCAGCAAAACCATGAAGGCAAGGCTGCCTGATGTCTTAGGAGTCCCCCCCTCATACCAGTCTGCCCAAGATGTAGGACATGGGGTCAAAGGAGATTATTCTGGAGTGTTAAGTTTTAATATCTGTTCCACTGGGTTGTACTTGTATGAGGCTTATCATTTCTTTCTTTTGGCCTATTTCTCGTTTGTGAAATGGGACTGTTTACCAAGTGTTTGTCCTACTGTTGTATCTTAGATGCAAATAGTTTCTTTTTACTTTCGTTTGTTTATCTGTTTATTTTTTAGAGATGGGTTCTTGCCGTGTTGCCCAGGCTGGTCTCAAACTCCTGGGCTCAAGCAATCCACCTACCTTGACCTCCGAAAGTGCTAGGATTACAGATGTGAACCACCATGCCCAGCCTACTTGTTTTTGATTTTACAAACTCATAGCTGGACTTTGGACCTTTGAGTTGGTGCTGGAACAAGTTAATACTTTTGGGACAATTGAGATAGAATGATTGTATTTTGCATGTGAGAAAGACATGCATTTTGGTGGGGCCACGGGTGGAATGCTATGATTTGGATGGGGCAGCTCCATCAGAACTTCTGTTGAAATTTGATCCCCAATGTGGTGGTACTGGAAGTGGGGCCTAGTAAGAGGTGTTTGGGTCATGGGGTTGAATCCCTCATGAATACATTCATTCCCTCCCACAGGGGTTAGTAAGTTCTCCCTCTTGCAGAAATAGATCAGTTCCCATGATATCAGCTTGTTAAAATGTCTGACTTCCTTGGTTTCTCTTTCTTGCTTCCTCTCTCACCATGTGATATCTTGGCATGAGTGGAAGCAATCTGAGGCCCTCACCAGATCCAGTTGTTCAATCTTGAACTGTCCAGCCACCAGAATCAAGAACCAAATAAATCCCTTTTCTTTGTAAATTACCCAGCCTCTGGGATTCTGTTATAGCAACACTAAATGGACTAACAATACTGCCCACTGTCAGGCCTCTGAGCCCAAGCTAAGCCATCATATCCCCTGTGACCTGCAAGTATACATCCAGATGGCCTGAAGCAACTGAAGATCCACAAAAGAAGTGAAAATAGCCAATTCCTGCCTTAACTGATGACATTCCACCATTGTGATTTGTTCCTGCCCCACCCTAACTGATCAGTTGACTTTGTGACAATACACCTTCCCCGCCCTTGCGATAATGTACTTTGTGACATTCCCCCGCCCTTGTGAATGTACTTTGTATGATACACCCTCCCCACCCTTGAGAAGGTACTTTGTAATATTCTCTCCCGCCCTTAAGAAGGTACTTTGTAATATTCTCCTCACCCTTGAGAATGTACTCTGTAAGATCCACCCCCTGCCAGCAAAAAATTGCTCCTAACTCCACTGCCTATCCCAAACCTATAAGAACTAATGATAATCCCACCACCCTTTGCTGACTCCTTTTTCAGACTCAGCCCACCTGCACCCAGGTGAAATAAACAGCCTTGTTGCTCACACAAAATCTGTTGGTGGACTCTCTTCACACGGACACACGTGACACCCACTCCCAAATGTCTGTCTTTCCCTTAAATCTCTTCTCTGAGCTCAAGTCTCATATATCCAACTGTTTGATTGCCATCTCTTCTTGGATGGATAATCGCCGTATCTAACTTAAAATGCTCAGAATTAAACCTACCATCTCCCCTTCAAACCTGCCCCTCCCCAATGTGTGGCATCACTGTTGCTCATTCAGAAACCTGGGAATCCACCTTAACACTTTCCCTTCCCTCATTTTCCACATCCAATCCATTATGAACTCCTGTCAGTTTATATCTCTACAATACATCTCAAAAATTTCTACAGGTGATCTTCCCTATTCACAGATTCTATATCTATGAATTCACCTACTTGCTAAAATTTATTTGTAAGCCCAAAATTAATTTTTCCAGCATTTTCAAGATCATTCCCAGACTAGTGCAGGGAGGTGAAAAACGTGAGTCAACTGACATTCACATTCCCAGCTGAGATGAAAAAGGGCAATGCTCTGCCTTCTTGTTTCAGCTTTCATATTGTAAAGAAGGATCTCTTCTGGAGTCTATTTAGTGCCACTTTTTTTCACATTTTTGTGCTTTGGTTAATGACTTCACCGTTTTAAATTATCCTGAAGCATAGTACTGAAGTGCCTTCTAATATTGCTAACTAAGCAAAAGAAGGCCATGATGATAGAAAACACATGTATTAGACAAGCTTCATTCAGGTGTGAGTTATAGTTATCTTGGCTATGAGTCCAATGTGGATTAATCAACAGTATATGCTAAAGCAGATATTTTAAAACAGAAACACACATAAAACAAAGTTATATATTTATCAGTTGAAAAAAAATTTGTGATCAGACGCTGGTAGAAACCTGTTTCCCAAATGGTTTGGTATTCATTAATGCCATATTCACAGCCACTTTGTAGAACATAACTACCACAAATAATGATAATCAACTATGCTTCACTCAATTTCCACAGCCTCTACCCTAGACCAAGCCACATGCAATCATCATCTCTTGTCTAAATTGCTGCAATGTCTTCTAGAATGAAATCTTTGATTCTACTCTTGTACTACTAGTGTCCATTCTCCACACATTAGCCAGAGTGCCCTTCTGAAATATTAAATCATTTTATGTTACAATACTTCCCTCACTAAACCACTGGGGGAAAGTATCCAGTTGTGCTTAGAGTGAAATACAAATTCCTTACTGTATTAGGGTTCTCCAGAGAAACAAAACCAGTAGGATAGATATGTACAAAGGGATTTATTATGGGAATTGGTCTACATGATTATGGAAGCCAAGAAGTCCCACAATTTGCTTTCTGCAAGTGGGGAACCAGGAAATCCAGTGGTGTAATTTGGTTAAGTATCAAGGCCTGAGAACCTGGGGTGGGGAGAGAGTCACTGGTATAAGTTCTGGAGTCCAAATACCCGAGAACAAGGAGCTCCTATGTCCAAGGGCAGGAGGACACAGATGTTCCAGCCCAAGAAGAGAGTGAATTTGCCCTTTTTCCACCTATTTGTTCTCTCCGGACCCTTAATGGAATAGATGATGTCCGCTTACAGTGGTGAGGGTGGATCCACTTTAGTCAGTTTACTGATTCAAATGCTAATCTCTTCCAGAAACACCCTCAAAGACACTCCCAGAACCAATGTTTTATCAGCTATCTGGATATTTCTTAACCCAGTCAAGTTGACACATAAAATTAACCATCACACTTACCATGGCCTACAAGGCCCTGCGTAATGTGGCCCCTGCTTGTCTCTGCATCATAATCTTTCTCTCTTACTCTGCTTTAGCCACACTGGGCTTACTGCTCTTTTTTTAATATACTGAGCCCAGTTGCTCCTCAGGGTCTTTGCATTTGCTCCAACCTCTGCCTAAACGTTTTGACCAGCTCCTTGAATGGCTGACTTCTCGACTTTGAGAGCTTAGCTAAAATTTCTATGTCCTCAGAGAAACCTTCTCTGACCACTCTGGCTAAAGTAACCTATCAAGTATTCATGGTTACAGCACCCTGTTTCTTTCTTCAGAAGAAGTATCACAATTCATAATTACATATTTGTTTATTAGTGTAACCCAGCAGTTGCATGCACATCAGACTCCTTCCAGATTATGTAGGCTCAGTTCACAACTTTGAAAATTTTGCTCTTACTCAGAGCCTTGAATACTCTCATATTTAGAGGATGATGGGAAATTTTGCTTGGCTGTTTCCATTAAGGAGTCTTTTAGCCAGCACCATGTCCATAGCACATGCACTCCTAGAAGTCCCCCTTTTTACCTCCCTCTTGTCTTCCTTTTTAACCCCTTTCCCCTCATTTCATCATGCAATTATATCCTGTGCTTGAAATAGTCCCATTTTTACTCCCTCTTCAACTTCTGTGAAAAGATAACAGTTTTGAGATAGGAAGTTATAGTTTTATTTTTTCCTCATTTCCCCTATTTCCCTTCTCTGTTTATTTAAGCAAGTAGTCAACCTTATGCCCCTATGTTTCAGGGAAAAAATGGGTCAGAGTGCTTTTCCTGACTCCCATTATTATGTCAGGCTGCCAGGGAAATCTTCAACTTAGAATTCGCCTTTCAATTTAGCCAACTGCAGCTGAGGCTGTCATCCCACATTGAGCTGCTTCCAACACAAGGCAGTTTAGGCTTCCCTCTGAATGTCAAGAAATAATGAGTAAAGCTAGTGGCATCCTCTTGCCAGTGTGAGGTGACAGAATTCCACCAGTGTATTACATAGGATCCTTGGGATCTCTTCCAAAAAGTCTTCTTCATGGAAAATATTTTCCAGTGAATGCATCCAGTCCATTTGAAAATTTTTTTCTTGAATATCCTTGATTATTTAGAGCCAAACAGCAACCAGTTAACTAGTTCTAGCATTTGCTCTATTCCCCAAAGCACTGCCCTTAGCACTCTGGAACTTTATTTCTTAGGCTATAATATCTGCTGCTATACTATATCTAAGGGACACCATAGTATCCTACAAATGGACTGTTCATTAGTGATAGTTTTTGCCATTCCCATGAGAACTTTCTTATGCCAGTAGAGTAAGTTCACATATTCTTTACCACCAACAAGGCTACTTCTTTCCTTCCCACTACTGAATACAACTCAAATATTATCCACTGAGCTTTGCACTAATTCTCTATCCTCATTTGGTGAAATAGTGGTCAGTTTAGGATTAAAGATTTCATGGCTGAAACTTTTAGCAAAGCCTTTCAAGATAGTATCTGTGTGTAGTATAAAGGCCATATTTGAATCCTCAAAAGGCTAAAATGTCCATTGACTAGTTGGTCTGTCGGCATCATGCAGTCTGCCCACACCTAGAATTTTTACACCTGTACAAATCAATTGTACACAGGAACTGGGGCAATGTGGCAGAAACTGATAGTTACCACCCTCACTCCCACCCCACCTTCTGAATATATCCACTCTTCACTTCTTTCTTTAAATATAGAAACCTTAAGTTTTACTTGTCTTCTCAGATGAAGACTACATTTCCCAACCTCCCTTGCACCTAGGTTAAGGTCATGTTACTGGAATGAAGGCAGAGGTGATGTATTCAAACTTCTGAAAAGCAGCTTTAAGAGGAAGAGATATATGGATATGACGGTAAGAGCTGGAGAAGCCATCTTAGATCACAGGAGGGAAACTGTGTCTTAGAACACTTTATCTCCATTTCCCCTCATTTTGACTTTTGTTTCTGTCATCATGCACTGTTAATTTGACATATACTTGGAATCTCACAAGATATTATTTTTATGGTTTTATAAGTTGATATTAATTTGGATTTATCATTTTCATTACTATTTATCCTTCCTGCATTTCTGTTTCCATTTAGGAAAATTTTCCTTCTATCAAAGAATAGCCTTTACTATTTTTGTTGTTGCTATTGTTGAGATAGAGTCTCACTCTGTCGCCCAAGCTGGAGTGTAGTGATCTCGGCTCGCTGCAACCTCCTCCTCCCAGGTTCAAGTGATCCTCCCGCCTCAGCCTCCCTAGTAGCTGAGACTACAGGCACGTGCCACCATGCCTGGCTAACTTTTGTATTTTTAGTAGAGACAGGGTTTCACCATGTTGGCCAGGCTGGTCTCTAACTCCTGACCTCAGGTGATCCACCTGCCTTGGCCTCCCAAAGTGCTGGGATTACAGGCATGAGCCAATGCACCCGGCCCTAGTATTTCTTTTAGCCTGGATCTGCTAGTGACAAATTCCCTCGGGTTTTGTTTGTTTGGAGAAGTCTTTATTTTACCTTCCTTTTTAAAGAGTATTTGACTATATATATTATAGAATTCAAGGTTGGCAGTTATTTTTCAGTACTAAAGGTAGCACTTTGTCTTCTGGCTTCCATTATTTCTTTTGAGAAGTCAGCCAATATCTTATTATTGCTCCTTTGAATGTAATGTGTCTTTTTTCCTCTAGATGCTTTAAAATTTTTTTTTAGTTTTCAGAAATTTGAATATGATGTACCTAGGTTTGATCCAGATTCTCACCCTTTTGCTGTACAGCAAGAGTTAGCAAATGCCTTAAGAGTTAAAGCAGTGGGTCAGGTTTCTGTGGTCGCCTTTTCTCTAACTTCTTGGATTCTCAAAACCTGACTATTTTGACAGCTTTTGATGCCTCCATATAGATTGCTTTTCTAGTAGTTCCAGTTGACTCACTCATTTAAATCAGACGTGCTGGATCTGAACACATCTGTGCCCACTACCTCAATGACGCCCGCTGTCACTTTCAAGAACTTCAGGCTGAATCACCTTCTGCCAGATATGGAAGACTCTATACTCACCGCAATGTTCAATCTTGTCTGCTCCTCTAAGGGACTGTCGGCTCACACGATAACCAAAACATAATAGTTATTGGAGACTCACTCTATGGCTCATCTTGGCACAAACCTTCCACCGTTCCACCACACCAGTGGTTCTCAACCCTGGCTGTACATTAGAATCATCTGGAAAGCTGTTTAAACATATCAATGGTGGACTCCTTTCAAAGACTCTGAATTAATTGGTCTAGGCTGAATATCCTCACCTGTGGTCCCACTGGCCTCAGGGAGAAAGACCGCAGTTGTGGGGAAGAAGTTGGACTGCACCTGAGGAATTGTACCCATTATTTCTTTTTTCATTTTTCTTCTTTTTTTGAGACAAGGTCTTACTCTGTTGTTGAGGCTGGAGTGCAGTGGCATGATCATGGGTCACTGTGGCCTGTATAAAATAATAAAACAAATGTCTCATTTTGGTTTTATAAAAAGAAGCAAATTGCAAATCAGGAGACTGTGATCAATTAAAGTGTTCTAAGGTCTTTCTGTTGATTGGGATGGGGTGAAAATATTACCTAATTTTAGCCTTTTTTGAGGTAAATATGCCTGGTAAAATTTTGGAACTAACCACTAAAAGAACAGAAATTGAATATAAATTCCAAACCAATAGAGGAAAAAATAATTTTAAATGAACAATAATAGCAATAAAATCAATCCCTCTGAACAAGGTGAGAGGAGAAAAGGAAGGATGAACATAAAAAATTACAGCTCAAATACTTGGATAACCACAATAAATACAAATGGACTTAATTCACTAGGTAAAAGAGATTGTCAAACTGAATTTAATTTTTTAAATGCAGTTATGTGCTATTTGCAAAAGACCCATCTGAACTAAAATAACACGGAAAAGTTGAAGATTAAACAGCTAGGAAAATATATACCAAACAAATACTAACAAAAAGAAAACTGGAATTGCTATGTTAATATTCAAAAAACTAGACACTAGGACAAGAAGCAGTATTAGGGATACAGGGGACCACTACATAATTATAAAAGATTAAATTCACTAGGAAGATATAGCAATCCGAAACCTATTCATATATCAAATTAAGTAGTTTTGAAATATATGAAACAAAATTGATAAAATTACAGGAAGAAATGGACAAATCCACCATCAAAGTGGAAAATTTCGTGCTACCTCTCTCAATTATTAATTCAAAAAGACAAAGAATCAGTAAAGATATAAGATTTGAAGAACACAATTAACAAGGTTAATATCATAAACATATATTAAACACATGAATTTTTTAAAAATTATGTACAAGACATTTTCAACAACCCCCAAAATAAGTATCATACAGATCACATTCTTTGACCATCAAACTATTCATTTAGAAATCAATAACAATAGAAAAACATCTCCCATTAATTTGGAAAATGTTTTTATTCTAGATAATTCATAGATCAAAGAACAAACGTCTTTAGATTTTAGAGAAATATACATCAAAGCCACAATGAGATGCCACTTCATACCCATTAGTATGACTATAATAAAGAAAAGACACAATAACAAGTGATAGTGAAAATGTGGAGAAATTAGAAGCCTCATACATTGCTATTTCTGCAGGAAGTTTGGAAAAGGGTTTGGCAATTTCTCCAAGTGTCATGATAGAGTTACCATATGACTCAGTAATACCAATCTTAGGTGTATGCGTAGGAGAATTGAAAACATGTCCACAAAAATACTTACACACAAATGTTCATAGCAGCATTATTCATTTAACAGCATAAGGTTCAAAATAACCCAAATGTCTATCAACTAATGAATAAATAAATTAAATATTGTATATCCATATATTGGGATATTATTTAGCCATAAAAAGAAATTAAATCATGGCTCTAAGTCTTATTTTGGACCACAGCATCTTATCGGTACCAATATGTAAGTGCTGCCTATAACCAGTGAAGGACCCTTGATATATCTTATCAAGCTCAGCCCGTGTGTGTGTGCGTGTATGTGTGTGTGTTTATGTATAAACACACACACATGTATCTCACAGCTAATTGGAGGAGAGAGGGGTAGAGCCAGTATGCTTACTAAATCATATTAATATTTAGGATCAACACATTCAGATTCAGTAACTATTCAAACCCTGAGCTTTCACAGATCAATGATGCTTGCTCCCGCAGCAGGGATATTTGAGTCCTTCCACTTTCCTTAACACTGCAAGATTGATGATCTGGACAGAAACTCTTGACTTCATTATAAAGATAGCCCTCATAGCAGATCCAATCCATAGTGAAGGGCTATGACATCACTGAGGAAAGAGAGAGAGCACATTACGCCCACAAACGGACTGAGGTAATGTGACTTTCTACTCTTATCCTAAAGAATGTGTTTGTGTGGTATGTGAATTCATATAAAGTTTTACTTTAGGTAGACTAGGTAATTTTATATTGGACAACATTTTGTTACATTGAATAATAGTATAATAATTATAATTTGAAAGACTATCTCTAATTGGTTTAACTTAATTACATCAAAATGTTGAGTGAATGTAGTAGGTAATAGACCTACCTACTTAAGGTATTAGACCCCATAACTTTGAATGCTGAGTATACAGGTGTCTTCAGTTTGTAAAAATTCATGGCGCCATATCCTTATGGTTTGTGTACTTTTGTATCTATGTTCTACTTTAACAAAAATTGTATGTGTGTGTATATATATACATATACACACACATATATATACACACACATATACGTATATATGTATATATACACATGTATATATATACCAACGCACATAGATTTGGAAATATATATAGGTATATGTATTTATGTGTGCGCATATTATATCCTTTTCCCAAACTAAGCAAAAAGCCTAGATGATTTTAAACGTTCGTTCTATCAAACTTTGAAGAAACAGGCTATCTAACTTTATACAAAGTCTTCCAGAGAATAGAAAAAGGGGAGAATCTACTCCAACTCATTCTATGAGGTAGGTATAACTTTGATGTCAAAACCAAATTAAGGCTGAATGAGAAGGACAATTATAAGTCATTCTTCCTCATGAGTATAAAGGCAAACATTGTAAACATAGATATTAGCAAACTGAGTGTAGCAGTTGATAAAAAAGATAATATACCATAAGCAAATTGAGTTATCCCAGCAATTCAAGAGTAGTTTAATGATAGGAAATCTATAAAATGTTATTCATGCTAAAAACTGACTGAAAGAAAAATAAATCATGATGAATTCAATAAGAGCAGGAAGAAATGTTTCATAAAGTTCAGTACATACTCATGATAAAAAGTCTTAGCAAACTGGAAAAAATAACTTTCTTAATGTGGTAAAGATTATCTACTAAAGACAAAAACAAAACAAGACCAACAGCAAAGTTTATTCTTCATAGGGAAATGGTGGAAGCATTTTGTTCAAATCGGAAACATGACATGGATGCCTTCAGTCACTGTTTCTATTCAACATTATACTGGAGGATCAAGTCAGTAAAGTAAAATAAGAAAAAGAAATTAACTGTATGGCCCGGGTTGGTGGCTCATGCCTGTAATCCCAGCACTTTGGGAGGCTGAGGTGGGTGGATCACTTGAGGTCAGGAGTTCAAGACCAGCCTGGCCAACATGGTGAAACCCTGTCTCTACTAAAAATAAAAAAAAATAGCCAGGTATTGTAGCATGCACCTGTAATCCCAGCTACTCAGGAGGCTGAGGCAGAAGAATAGCTTGAACCTGGGAGGCAGAGGCTGCAGTGAGCAGAGATCATGCCACTGCACTCCAGCCTGGGTGACAAAGCAAGACTCTGAAAAAAAGAAAGAAGAAAGAAAGAAGGAGAGAAAGAAAGAGAAAGAAAGAAGAAATTAACTGTATGCATTAGATAGGAATAAACTAAGACATAATTATTTGTGGATAGCACAACCATCTTCATTAAAGCAACCCTAAACAAGTTGCAAGTGAGTATAAATTATAAGAGATTGAGCAAGATGACCTGCTATAAAAGCAATATTCAAAAATCATTTGCATCTCTATGTCAGCACCAAAGAATTAGAAAATTAGTATTTTAAAAAACACCATTTGCAATAGCAATGAAAACTACAAGGTACCTATGTCACAGGATCCTTGGGGTGTCACTTTGCCAGCTGGAAACCTCTGTGGCCAGTGGCACCTTCTGCCTGAGTATTATTCATGCCCACTGGGCTTGTTCCCCCCACTTTGCCCAGCAGACTGGACTGGACTTGTGCTACCGGCCTGGATCCCACACCTGTCAAGGGCAAGCCAGGCACGGAGCAGTGAGGGGTGTGTGGGCCAGCAAGCGCTGGGTCTGGCCACTGTACACAGCCAGGCATTCTGGCTGCTACAGCGCGATGGGTAGCTCCAGGTGCCTGCACAGGTGCTGGCTCCACATGAGGCTGCAGATGGACCAGATGTACTGCATGCGGCTTCCGCTGTGACCATCTGCATCTAGATGAGGGGAATGCAGTGACACTATGAAGCTTGGAGATGCCAGGAACTGCACAGCCCCAACAGAGGTGTCACAGCACTGGTTTGGGGAGTCCCTAGGTCTAGGCTCCTCAAAGATGCTGCAGCTCTTCTCTCCCTCTCATTGCCTGCAACATGGTAAGTGGGGGGGTGCAGTGTTTCAGCCCTGTCGGTGTTACAGCTCTTTCAGTCCTGCCATTAGGTGGGTCCCAAGTTCTTGTTCCACATCCAGGAAGAATTGAGGTACATGGAAAACTGGAGGGTGAGCAAGGCAGAGAGGCGTTTCATTGAGCAACAGAACAGCTCTCAGGAAACTCACAGTGGGTAGCTCCTTTATGAAAGCAAGTCATCCTGATGTCTGTTCAAGTCTGGCTGAGTCTGGGGGTTTGTATGGGCTTGGAAGGGAGGAAGTGCAGGCTGATTGGTCCATGGGCAGCCATGGGTGGCCAGGAAAAAGTACCATAAGTTCTCACTGTGGTCTGCAGACTCCACCAGGAACTGACAGCCCAGCCCCCATGCTTCATGCCCTCCCTGGCTTGAAGGTGGGGCTTCACTGAGGACCCACACTGTTCCGCCCGGGACACTGTCTGCCTCCTGACACCATCCACATGCCATCCGCAGTGCCCAGGCTGTTCATGGCAAGGGGCACTTGCAGGCCTGTGCTAAGCTGCCCTCAACAGCGCCCCACCCACCTCCCTCCTGTTCTCATTGGCACCCAAAGTCCAAAGGGGGCTGAGGTGGCAGGGGGCTGGCATGTCAGCACTGCCCCAAGTGCACACACACCCAGCCAGGTCGCAATAGTGCTGGGGCTTGGCCACAACTTTGCCCAGAGCAAGCACTGGGAGTGGGCAGAGGCCAGACAGCAGGAGCAGGCACTTCCGAGCCTGCAGGGGCAGGGGCTTCCTGGACCCTAGAGAGTACAGGGATGCCTGGGTCCAAAGCCACGGCTGGGAGGCTGCAGATGTGCCTGGGAATGCGGGGCTCCCACTCAGACAACTTGGTAGGGAGCAGTACTCCTGCCTGTTCCTGGATCTCACCAGCCCCACAGAACAGGTAACCCCACCCGTGCCTCCCCTGCTGCAGCCAGCATCTTCGCAGCAGCCACTGCACATGGGCTGCTGCTGCCATCACCTAGGACTAAATTTAACAAAAGAGTGTAAGATTCAATCAAGAAGAGTAAATAACTTTATAAAAAGACATTAATAAGCTCTAAATAAATGTGACAATGTATCATGTTCATAATTAGGCACACTCAATACCAATTCTTCTCAAATTAATCTCTAGAGTCAATGAAATTTCAATTCAAATTTCAACAGGGCTTTTCATTGAATTTGGCAACAAATTTTAAAATTTATATAGGAGAACAGAGTGCCAAGAATAGTGAAGACTATTCCTGAAAGAAAAAGAATCAAGTAGGGAGATTTGCCTGAACAAATATTGAGACTTAATATAAAGCCATAGGGGCATATGTTCTCAGGACCTCCGTCATGGAAAAAAAAAAAAGCTACAGTAAATAAGACAATATGCTATTGAGGCAGGGGTTTACCAATGGACTAATGGAACAAAATGGGGGCTCAGAAATAGATCCATAAATATATGGAACTGTGACATATCAGAGATCACTGCAGATCATTGAGGAAGGAGTGACTATTCAATAACTGGTTCTGGGACAGGTGATTATCCATATGCCAAAAACAATTAGATCCCTATTATACACCATACATAAAATAAAGTCCAGATGGACTGAAGACTTAAATGTGAAAAGCAAAATTTTTAAACTTTTAGAAGAAAACATAAGAGAATATCTTGTTGACTTTAATGTAGTAAAGGATTTTTTGAACAAGGCTGAAAAAGCACTAACCATAAAAATAAAGACTGACTAATTAGACTACATTAACATTTTGAATTTCTGTTTGACAAAAGGCATCATAAAGAAAATGGAGAGACAAGCTACAAACGTGGAGGAGGTATTTACAACATAACCAAAAAAAGATTCCTATCCAAAAATATAAATATAAATAATTCCTACAGATTTTTTTAAATGTAAAAATGGGCATAGGCCATGAACATTCATTTTACAGAAGAAACACAAATGGTCAATAAGCATATGAAAAGATGCCAAACTTCATGAATAATCAGGAAAATGCAAATTAAGACCACAAGGAGACAATACTTTATGCCCATGGAAAAAATGAACATGTCTGATAATACCAAATGTTGATGAGGATGTGGATCAATAGGAACTCATACATTGCAGGTGTGATTGTCAATGGGTACAACCACTTTGGGAAACAATTTGCCTTTATATTTGCATACCCTACAATCCAGTAATTTTACTCCTTGGACTGTTCTCTTGCACATGTGCACCAGGAGTCAAAAACAAGAATATTCATAGAAGTACTGTTCATAATAGCAAATATTTGGTGGCAAACAAATGCTCATAAACAAGAAAATGGATTAATATATTATGAAATATCATATGGTAGTAAAAATATAATACAGTTACATTAAGCAACATGGATGGTGTGGATAAATCCTAGAAACATTATGTTCCGGACAAAAGAAATCCAAGAAGACCATATGCAGTAGAATATCATTTTTATAAACCTCTTAAATATTATATAGACATTCACATTTATGTAATAAAGCTATTCCTTAAGGCAAGGGTACAATAAACGCAAAATTCAGGATACTAGTTACCTCTGGGTTTAGGGAAAGAGTAGGATGGGATAGGCATCGAATTATTAATAGTGTTTGAAATGGTTTGGCTGTGTTCCCACCCAAATCTCATCTTGAATTGTACTCCTGTACTTCCCACATGTTGTGGAAGGGACCCAGTGGGAGATAATTTAGACCATGGGGGCAGTTTCTCCCATACTGTTCTCATAGTAGTGAATAAGTCTCATGAGATTTGATGGTTTTATCAGGGGGTTCTGCTTTTGCATCTTCCTCAATTTACCTTGCCACAGCCATTGAAGAAGTGCCTTTTGCCTCCCGCCATGATTCTGAGGCCTCCCCAGACATGTGGAACTGTAAGTCCAATTATACCTCTTTCTATTCCCAGTCTCAGGTATGTCCTTATCAACAGCGTGAAAACGGACTAATACAGTGTTCTATTTCATGAATGGCATTGTGAATTCATTGATACTCATTATATTATTACACAATTTAATACATATATGTGTTACACAGTTTTACATATCAAGTAATATATTTAAAGAGATAAAAATTAAAAGTGTGACGAATAAAGTAATTCATATTTCAATATGTATATAGGTGGTTATGATTACACTAAAGAAATATTGAAGTATTGAGTTATTTATGCCCTTATGTCAAAGAAAACATGAATGTAGCAGCCACAGATGCAGACTGATAAAGATTTGTGGTATTGTCAACTCAAATAAGATGACTAATCAGTGTTGTGTTTTTCCAAAATGGTAAATAATTCTTGGCAAAATTGCAAACAAAACACAACACGATTTTCTCTCATTTTACATGGTAGTTATATTATTGGAAAATTCAGTATATATTGAAACCTCTTAAAAGCTACTTCGTGTTTGTGTTTAACACAGAGTTAGGTTCTGGACTCAGATAATTATAATCAGGTTTCACACCCTGCAAGGTGCAGGTGGAAAACTCCCAGCTTTTCTGTGACTTGGGCTCTTATTTGAATGAGCTCATAAGAGAAGCTTCCAGATCTGACCACTGAAGATTATGTGAAAAGAGAGGGGGAGAAAGAAAGAGTTTTGGTTTGGGAAGACAAAGTGGGCAGGGGCCAGAGGCAGAAGAATGTAGAAAGAAGAAAGAAGTCTAAATGCCAGGCCCCCTAAACTGGGAAAATTAGTCAAGAAAACGTCCTGTGAATCTCAGTTCAATGTTGTACAACTACTCCATGAGAGGCCTACTTATCAGGACCACTGTAAGATCCAAGGGGACCTTGGGACACCTAATGGGGTGGAGGGGAAGAATCTGTACCTGTGCTTGTAGTGGTGGAGAATTGGACCCCGAATATAACAGTACTCCAATCTGGGTCAGTGGGAAATTGACCTCACAGTCACATAACTTTATTAAACATGTGGGAATGTTGCACCCTGAGCAAAAGGGGCAGTGAAGTTAGCATGTGCCTTTTCTGGCAATGCCCACAAATGTCACCAGGAAGGACTCCACAAGCTTGATTCCCCCTTTATAGATATTTGCACAGGATCGGCAGCTGTCCACTGACCTCGGCTTAGGAGTTGGGAGCAGGGCAAAGAAGGAAACAGGCTTAACAGATATGCAACTGAGCCAAAGGAAAAAGTAGCCCAGAATAACCTAGGAAGACAAAAAAAGCACTTGATACACAGGTACGGTGCCAGGAGTCAAGGACCGGAGATTGGGTCCAATTGCGGAAACTGGGCATCCTACATCTGCCTAAGATAGCTGAGCCTTGGAAGGGCATGCTGTATGTAGTAGAAAACAACAAGGATCACTATCAACATATAAAGTCCAGCCTCAGGGCAGCCAGGAATAGGGTGGAAGCAGCTGTCAAGGTGATATATTGTAGCAATCATCTGCCCATCAGGCAGCTGGAGGAGAGAGGTCAGGTGAGTGCTGCTTAGAACAAGAAACAAGTTCTAAGCTATGTAAAAAAGGAGAAATACGAATGTCTCTTGCAAACCAGACTGGAGGGTGTCCAGAAGGAAATTAATCCTGTAGAATTCACAGTCTAGAGTGGAAGGCTTCTTCCTCACCCACTGTAGTTACTTCAATCTCACCACTCAAAAGAATCAAAAGACAATGGGTTTATATGTTGTTTGGAGGGGCAAGTTGCTGAGTAATGCATAGGATATAATCTAATTTAAGTATTTTATCTACCGTAAGGGAAACAAGCACAATCACACATACACATTGGTAAGGGTATAGAGAAAGGTGTGAAAGGATACACACTAAACTGTTAACATTGGTTACTTAGGAGGTGGAATTAGATATGAGGGTAAAGAAGTCTATAGTTTTCTTTAGACCTCTATATCACTTGAGTTGTTCAACTACCATGTGAACATTCCTAAAAAGTTAAATCTGATAGAAAGATTGAGCTCACCCCTCCCCTCTGCATATTCAGCAGAAATTGGGCAGGAGAGGGAAATCTTTGACATTCAGCAGACACCGGAAGCAGCAGAGACATGGCAGAGACATGGGGCATGATCACCTCTTTTTTTTTCCTGTTTTTTTTTTTTTGGAGTTCAGCAGACTTCAGAAGGCTTTATTTCTGTTGGGAGGGGTAAGGCACACATTCCCAGAAAAGAGGAGGCAGGGACATGGGAGAAGGAAAGGGTAAAAAGGAAAGGACTTAAGGAAGATAAAGGACCAAATCAGGGAAGGATGGCCAACCTCTGGAGGCTTGGGGAGCTTTTATATGTGATGCCCCCAAGAACCAAGGCACTGAGACCTCGTGCCTTTGTAAGGGAATGAGGTAGCTCAGCTAAGGCTACAATGCCTGCCCTCATTCTCAACTTGGTGTGGCTTTGGACCAATCACCTGATCTCTGAAAAATGCTTAAGGGTTTGTTAGGGTCCAAGGTATATGGTATACTTTAGAGAAGGCAAATGTGGCAGCAGAACAGGGAGCAAGAGAAGGAAATAGCTGCCTTGCTCTCTCCATGGACATTGACAGCACCCTCATTATAGACTATGGGGTAGCAAGAATTGCCTACCTGCAAACAACTGTGGGCGTCAGGGTTACAACGATTATCTACTCATGGATGGCAATCCAGCTGGAGAGACAGTAAGGTCCATTTCCCCTGCTCCCCCCATCAGTGGTAGCTAGAGATTCACCTCGAGTCAAAAATAGAAGGCACAACATCTACATGTAGCTGTATATGTAGGATCTGAAACAGGCCAGATCCCTAAGTGCCTTCTGCATCACCAAGGACAGAATTATCTGTTTTGCTATGGTTCCATTGTTGTTTTAACTTAGTTTTTAAAAATTATTAATGTCATGTATCAGCTCAGTAATTATCCCCAAGTGAAGGGTATTTGAAATCATCTGAAGGTGGGGGAAGTACTTTGGAAAACCAGATATACTGGTCCCTAGCCCTAGGTGAGTATCCCTGTTTTGGTGAACAATTGCTATGAATAGAAGTGTATCATAGCACTCAGATATGTTGGGATAGAAATGAACAACAACAAAAAAGTGAGAACAACTCTTTTAGGCCAGTAGTTCTCAAGAGAGTGATTCCTAGAGAAGCAGCTTTGGCATCATCTGGAAATTTGGTAGAAATGCAAATTATTGGGTACCACCCCAGATCTTATTGAATTCTAAACTCTGAGGGTGGAGCCTGACAATCTGTTTTAACAAATTATCCAGAGGATTCTGACACACACTCAAGTTTGAAAATCACTCGTCTAGCCAAATCCAAAGCCTTTAAAATTATCACCCTCCTTGGCAGACCACCAACCCCACCCCATTATAGTTGAACTCTTTAACCACCTCCTTTTTTTGATTAAATGTCTCATCCCTGAATTTCTCTAATTTCTCTTGTCTTTTATTTCTCTTTCAGTGTCACCTTTGCCTCTTCCTTTTTGCAAAATATGAATGCTTGCCCAGTGCTCAATAAGCTGCTCCTGCAACCCTCCTTCTCCATTCTTCTCCTTTCATCTACTCTCATGGTTTAAATGGCCATTTGTATGTTGATGCAGCTTGACATCTAAAGCCAAAACAGCAGCCTTCTATGACCATATACCCGTAGGCTAAAATCAAATAGTGTTTTCCACCAAGTGAATGTCTAGTCATTGCTTCAAATTCAACTTACCTAACCTTCCCAACTCTGCATTGTAGACTCTCCAAACTAAGAAAACAAAAAAACTCATGTTTAACTTTGATGATTCCTTCTCTCTTTTCACCTAGCCCACCCAAACATCCTATTGAATGTTCCTTCACAATGTCTCCTGGATGTGTCACTTTCTGTTCCTTTCCAATAACCAAGTCTAAATTCTCCACATCTCACACCCGAACCTCCTAAATGATCTTCAAGGTCATTTCCAGTCTCCCTTCCTTTGATGCCTTCCAAACTGCTAAATATCTGTTCACAAAAACATTGTATACATCATATCACCTTCCTGCTCAAAAATCCATTGATAACTTCCTATCATTCACTCTTTCAAATCTAAATTACTCAGCCTGACATTCAAGACCCAGAAAAACCTGGCCTTTTTCTTCCCATCCCCCATTCCTCACTTAGTGAGCATGTCCACATACCACATTATAGCAGGTACCTAAAAGTTAGCAATGACTGTGGCAAGCAATCTCCCTGGCCTATTCCTGGATTCTCTTAATCTGCTGCTGCTCGCTCATCCTCCTGGACCTCCAATCCCTGATTCTTGCTCTTGATATCTTCTTTTAACCTCTTAGTTTTGATGAATTGGTCCAAATCTCCTTTCTGATTGATTGGACTCAACTCTTTACTTAACCCTTGATTCTGAATACCGCTCTGACTTCAACATTGCCCTACGGTTTAGGGAAAAACATTTGTTCCACCAGCATTAATCCTGAAGAACCTTTCCAGCCATACATCTCATCCTCTATCTCCCACTCTTTCCCCATTAGAGGAGCTTCTTGGACATTGCCTCTATATTAAACCTTCCATTCCAATAAAGCTAACTCCTTACTGAGAGCATTCCCCCACACATACACACATCACTCTTATCCCCATGGTGAGCTCTTTGCTCTTTCTGTTCCTCTCATATCCTGTCCATTGTTAAAGACCCATCACATTAAACCTGTTGGAATTTTCCCACACTCATGGAGTAGACTGGCTTGTGTACTAGCTGGCAGACCAAAGTCTGAGGCTGGGTTACAAGGAGGCCCAAATGCAAGTATTATTCTCCAGGTTTCCCATATCAGGAAGAGAAACAGAAAGGGTGGGACAAAAAGAGAGAGGAAGGAGAAGGAGGAGAAGAAGGAGGAGCAGGAAACAGAAGAGGAAGTAGTCCAGTTCAAGTCCAGGTCTTTGAGAGAAAGAACAGAGTCAAGAACTAGTGAGACAAGGTACAAACATCCAGTTCCAAGGACTAGAGCGGGGTCACAAACAAGATGTTGATTTTTAAATTGGATTGTTATATATTGGAAGTAATAGCATGTCAGAAAACATGAAGGAATATCTTGGAGCCAGGGGAGTGGTGGAATATTTGCCAGAAACAATGTTGGATATTCATGGCTCATTTTATAGGATGGTAGGAGAATGAGTGTGACATGATGGCTTAAAGTTTCAATGTTGATACAGATACCAATTCCTCCTCCTTCCTGCCTTTCAGGGTATGGCATAGAACTTCTTTTTTTTTCTGCCTACATTTTCTCCCTCTGTAGGCTCTTTTGTACCTTTAGTCTGCATTAAATAATCAAAATCCTTTTTTATTATGTCCCTTCCTCTAAATATCACTCCAATTTTGTCTTCAGATTTTTAATAACCCAGTTGGATTTTATTAAAAATTTAGTGACAAACATAGTGATATATGGTAGATTTCATTAGAAGACATTAAAAAGAGTTTCTGGAAATTAAAATAAAATATGATTGCCAATTTAAAACTTCAGTAGAGACATAGTCACATAGTCACTGCTGAAAACAAAATTAGTTTTTCTGGCCGGGTGCGGTGGCTCACACCTGTAATCCCAGCACTTTGGGAGGCCAAGGCAGGTGGATCACCTGAGGTCGGGAGTTTGAGACCAGCCTGACTAACATGGAGAAACCCCATCTCTACTAAAAATACAAAATTAGCCAGGTGTGGTGGCGCATGCCTGTAATCCCAGCTACTCGGGAGGCTGAGGCAGGAGAATCACTTGAACCCAGGAGGCGGAGGTTGCAGTGAGCTGAGATCGCACCAATGCACTCCGGCCTGAGCAACAAGAGCGAAACTCCATCTCAAAAAAAAAAAAAAAAAAAAAAAGTTAGTTTTTCAGAGGATGAATTGGAGAGGAAAACATTAACTTAAAGAAAATAGAGAGAATTAGTAAAGATAAAAGCTAAAATTAAAGAAATAGAAACTACCACCACCACATAGCCCCACATCCTGCCTCCTACCACAGACACACAAAGGAGAATGGATAATTAAAACCAAAATCAACAGATCTATAAAAGAGACCACCCTCCTTCAGAGGCCTAATTTTTAAAAAGAGCAAAGATGAAAATATACACTATTAGGAATAAGAAATGAGGTTTAACCACTTAATAGATTGAAATAATGATAAAACAAAAATTATATGCAACTTGGTCAACAAGTCTGAAAATCTAAAGGAAATGAATGAATTTCTAGCAAGACATAGAATATCACAATTAACTCAAGAAGTGGTAGAAAATCTAAACAGACCAATAAATATAGGGAAAAATAGGATATTTCTGAGTTTCATTTAACCTTCAAAAAAATATCTTTCACATTTCTCAAACTGTCTCAGATTTGGTTAAAACTTCCAAATTTATTCTACACATACCTTTTTAAAATGTGATGGAAGAATGCAATAAAGAAAAACCTGTAGACTACTTTTACTTATAAATATAGATGAAAAATGCTTTTATTTTATTTTTTTATTTTACTTTAAGTTCTGGGATACATGTGCAGAACATGCAGGTTTGTTACATAGGTATACATGTGCCATGGTGGTTTGCTGCACCTATCAACCCGTCATCTAGATTTTAAGCCCCACATACATTAGGTATTTGTCCTAATGCTCTCCCCTCCCTTGTCCCCCACCCCCCAACAGGCCCCAGTTTGTGATGTTCCCCTCCCTGTGTCCATGTGTTCTCATTGTTCAACTCCCACTTATGAATGAGAATATGTGGTATTTGGTTTTCTGTTCTTGTGTTAGTTTTCTGAGAATGGTGGCTTTGAGCTTCATCCATGCCCCTGTAAAGGACACAAACTCATTCTTTTTTATGGCTGCACAGTACTCCATGGTGTATATGTGCCACATTTTCTTTATCCTGTCTATCATTGATGGGCATTTGCATTGGTTCCAAGTCTTTGCTATTGTGAATAGTGCTGCAATAAACATACATTGGCATGTGTCTTTATAGTAGAATGATTTATAATCCTTTGAGTATATACCCAGTAATGGGATTGCTGAGTCAAATGGTATTTCTGGACCTAGATCCTTGAGGAATCGCCACACTGTCTCCCACAATGGTAGAACTAATTTACACTCCCACCAACAATGTAAAAACGGTCCTATTTCTCCACAGCCTTGCACCAAACGGTGATTATTAAAAAGCAAAGTGTTTTAATATAATATTAGCAAATAGATTCCAGCATAGAAGTAAGAAAAGTAATTCATTCTGATTAAGCAGGGTTTATATTTGAAGAATGCAAATATGGCTAAGTTACGCAACCTATCTATATGATTCATTACATCCACATATTAAAGGCAATAAGTGCTATACAATTGTATCAACAGGTAATGAAGAAGTATTTGACATAACTCATCAGGCATGGCTAATAAAGTCTTTAAAGAAAACAAACATGGAAGGAAAACACCTCAATCTGATAGACTGTTTGCCAAAATCCAGTGAATACTATGAGATACTGTGAGTAAAAAAAGGTAACATCAATCCTGGGCTGCAGCAGGCCTGTCTGAGAATGACCTCAGTCTCCAGAAGAAATAAGATAAATGAACCTGAATGACATTATGCTAAATAGAATAAACCAGGTACAGAAAGACAAACATTGCGTGATCTCTCTCTTTCTCCCTCTCTCTCTCTCTCTCTCTCACACACACACACACACACACACACACACATATAAATATATGTGCAGGATGGGAAAGGAGACATGCTGGTCAAAGGTTATAAAATTTCTATTATACAAGAGGAATCCATTTTAGTGGTCTATTGCACAGCATGATAACCATATTTAATAATAACACATATTTCAAAATTGCTAAAAGAGTAGATTTTAAACATTCTCACCACCAAAAAAGTAGGTAAGGTGATGGATATGTTAGTTAGCTTAATTTAATCTTCCTACACATATATCAAAATAACACTTTGTGGCCAGGTGTGGTGGCTCACACCTGTAATCCCAGCACTTTGGGAGGCCAAGGCAGGTGGATCACTTGAACTCAGGAGTTCGAGACCAGCCTGGCCAACATGGTGAAACCCCGTCTCTGCTAAAATACAAAAATTAGCTGGGCGTGGTGGTGCATGCCTGTAATTCCAGCTACTCAGGAGGATGAGGCAGGAGAATCGCTTGAACCTGGGAGGTAGAGGTTGCAGTGCACTCCAGGCTGGGCGACAGAGCAAGACTCTGTCTCAAAAAAAAAAAAAATCACATTGGCCGGGTGCTGTGGCTCACGCCTGTAATCCTAGCACTTTGGGAGGCTGAGGCAGGTGGATCACAAGGTCAAGAGTTCGAGACCAGCCTGACTATCATGGTGAAACCCCGTCTCTATTAAAAATACAAAAATTAGCCAGGCGTGGTGGTGCACGTCTGTAATCCCCCCTACTCAGGAGGCTGAGGCAGGAGAATTGCTTGAACCCGGGAGTCCGAGGTTGAAGTGAGCTGAGATCTCACCACTGCACTCCAGCCTGGGCGAATGAGCAAGACTCCATCTCAAAAAAAAAAAAAATCACATTGTACCCCATGTGATGGTTAATACTGAGTGTCAACTTGATTGGATTGAAAGATGCAAAGTATTGATCCTGGGTGTGTCTGTGGGGGTGTTGTCAAAGGAGATTAACATTTGAGTCAGTGGGCTGGGAAAGGCTGACCCACCCTTAATCTGGTGGGTAGAATCTAATCAGCTGCCAGCGAATATAAAGCAGGCAGAAAAACGTGAAATAGCGAGACTGGCCTAGCCTCCCAGCCCACGTCTTTCTCCCGTGCTGGATACTTCTTGCCCTCAAACATTGGACTCCAAGCTCTTCAGTTTTGAGACTCGGACTGGGTCTCCTCGCTCCTCAAGCTTGTGAATAGCCTATTGTGGGACCTTGTGATCATAAAAGTTAATACTTAATAAACCTCTCTCAGAGAGTCAGAGAGAGATCCTATTAGTTCTGTCCTTCTAGGGAACCCTGACTAATACACCCCATAATATAAATACAATTACTATTTGTCAATTATAATTTAAAAAATAAATTTAAGCATACAATTAAATAAAATTAAATACAGTTAAATAAAAGGTAAATGGAAAACTTGTGTCTGTCTTGGTGGTTGAATGCAACTCCCTCTGGGTTGGGCTATCTGTAAGCAGCCTTGTAGGCCGCAGCCTTGCTAGCTAGAATGAATATGGTCAAATAGATACTGTGTTTCATTGAGAAATAATGTACTTCATCTAGGTAACTGGGATCAAAATTTTAGATCATTACTTTGTGCCACACATAACATAAATTCCAGTGGGATTAGAAATTTAAGTTTTCACACGAAAATTTTAGAAGAAAATAAAGAGAATATTTTTATAACCTCAGAATGGGTATGGCCCATAAATGGGTGAAGCAAGATAGGAAACCTAGAATCCATAAAGAAGATTGACCAACTTGAGAACATAAAATTTTAAAACTTTCTGCAACTCAAAAGACTCTGTAAAAACTTCACTGAGAAAATATCTGCAAATCAAGTGAAAGAAAACAGATTAATAGCCATATAATATAAAGAGCTCCTAAATTTTTTTATGAAAAAACCAACAACCTAAAAATTATGGCAAAGGTCATGAACAGGAAAATCACAGAAGTGGACATACAGATACCAACAAGCATATGATAAGTTTCAACTTCATAGGCGGTCAAGGATATAAAATATTGTAAATGATGGGATAGCATTTTTATTACCCTTCAGATTGGCATCATTTTAAAATATTCATAATGTTCTGTGCTGGCCAGAATATGGGGAACACCAACTACCTTACATCTACCTCTAGTAGAAGAGTAAGTTGCCACAACCATTTTGGAAGGTAATCTGGTAGTAACTATGAAAAATTTTAAATGGGTAGACCTTTGATCTGGCAATACCTCTTCTAGAAATTCTTCCTAGTATATTATTCTCACAAGTCAGTATTGATTTATGCCTGGGGATGTTCACTGCCATAGGTATTAGCGCACACACACACAAAGGAAAACAATCAGAAGGTCTATCAGAAAGGTAATGGTTAAGTTAGCAGGCAGCCATACACTCAAATACTAAAATGGAGCACAAGTTGATAGCTCTCTGTTGGCCAGGAGAGTTCTCCATGATGTATTGCTGTTTTCAAAAAAGATGCAGAGTATTTTTCATAATATGATGGTATCTTTATTTTAAAATAGTTGGAGAAAGGAACCACATATATCTGTGTGCATATATAACTGCATTTAGTAGAATTCAGAAAAGAATCTGCCCACATTCACATATAATTTCAGATCCCCCTGAATTTCTACTGAATGCAGTTCATGAAAAGTTTCTGTATAACAAACTACAAGGGAACAATTATTTGGTAAATGTGTATTTGTCTATCAAATCAAAATACTTCACTTCTGTTAAAAGGGTGTGATATTATGGCTATCCTCGTATATTTATTAAAGGAACATGTAATAAACCACACTGGTAAGTGTTCGAATGACAGAAAACAATTTTGGTAAAGTATTCAAGTTTGAAGAAAGCCTATATCAAAATTTAAACTAATGTTGTGTGTTTGTGTGTGTGTGTGTGTGTGTGTGTGTGTGTATGTATGTATACTGCCGAAAGACAAAATTACAATAAATTTTATTTTAAAATGTAATTGGTTTTTTTTGTGATTCTAGAAAACAAAGTGAAGGTTTCCATGAACTGAGCAGAGAAGGTTGACTTTATAGGCAGAAAAGGGCTGAAGAAAGAAACAGTGAACAAAAAGTGATGGGTCATTTCAAAATTACTTTCCTTGTAAAGGTTAAAAGAGAGAGGACTTTCTTATCACACTGGCTAAAACTGGCCTGTTTGGGAATTTGGCTATTATCTCTGCCTTTCTTGGTTTGTCAGAAAGTCAGACAAATAACTTAGTTTCGACTTGGTGGCATGAAACTTCTGCATGAGTAACTCCATTTTGGTTTGGTCTGTTGGACCCAGCACAAGGGCTCATTCTAAACCAATGGCCTCCTATAAATTTTAACAGGGTTCTTCAGAAAAATTTGAAAGGACCCACATCAAACTGTTAACACTGATTATACCCCAGATGTTGTATAGGAAGGGAAAACTTTTTTTTTCCAAATACATCTTTGTATATAATTTAAAACGAGCAAGTCGTTTAAAAACTCACTTAGCAAAAAGAAATTCAGGGCAGAAAGAGAACGCAAGAAAGACTGCAAGCAGCAAGACAGATAGGTGAAAGAGAGTGAGAAGAGAAGAGAAAAGAGAAGAGAAGACAAGCAAGACAAAAGACAAGACAAGAAAGAAAAAAACTGCAATCTGTGGTTGAGGAGAATGGGACCTAAGCAGCGCGGAGAGGCAGGCGCGGGAAGTCAGCCGCAGCCACAAGCCTTGGAGCTGCTAATCCCCGTGCGTCTGTGGCCAGCTGCCTGCAGCAGCCTGGACTGGCGGGCGCCCCAGTTATGTGGGAAGAAGCAGAACTTCACAGTCATTGAAACCGTACCTAAGGGAAACAGAGTGGAGCTCTGAATATATATCGATGGGAGCGACTGTTGCAGAAAGCAGACCAGAAAAAAAGGCAGACGAAGCCTGCAAAGCCAGGCTGTGGGAAGTCTGTCCACCCACAGGGTCAGCTCGCTGGTGACGCTCCAGTGAAAGGCTCTGGCTGCGCCACCCACCCCTTGAGCCCTTAAGCTCAAATGCAGCAAGTACCTCTTGTTTCAAGAGGATGAGAATCTGGAGGGGGAGGGTGAGGAAGCGCAGATGATCACGGAGGACAGGAGCTGGACAGAAAAACAAGACAGTTGTTCTCATTCCCCCTCTCACTGCGCCCTGCCCCTTAAAGGGGAGTCAGTGGAAAGCTCCTTTCTCTGCTAGCCTTAAGGATGGGCAGGCCCGAGGGCTAGGAATGGGGAGGAACGTTATTGGCAAGAGAGGGAGACCTGACTCTGAGACGGAAGAGTGTGGAGCTGGAAATATCAAGCCCCCTCGTCCTGCCAATCCTGACAGACCATGTTGAGGCCTTTCACGCAATGGAAGAATTTGAGCACGGCGGGCTCTGGATTGAAATCCCAGCTCTACCACTTGCTAATTGTGACCTTGGACAACCAACCTGACCTCTTTGGGTATCTTATTTGTAAAATGAGGGAACAATAATAGTATTACCCTTCCCATGGGGTACTGAGAGATTAAAGATGATAATGCATATGAAATATAGCACCCGGGAAAACGTAATTGCCAAATAAATCCTAGTTATTATTAGAACATTAATTAATGTGTCATTTGTGTGCACAGCCCGAGACCAGGTGCTGAGCTTTAATAGCCACAGAGGCTCCTAGATTCCATCTCTTTTCACCATCTCCAAGCCCTCCCCATTTCTTCTTCCTGCCCCCACCAGTGCCGAATCTAAAATCCTATCTTGCTTTGGAGCGTCTCCAGCTGTTTGCTCATTTTCCACCAGCCCGCTGTTACCCGCCCCCAACACATAGGCACACATTCTCTTGGGGAACACTTTCACTCAGAGAGTGAAACCTCCCTGCCCAAGCCTTCTCTAAGTTCACATGGAACTGAGGTGGGGAGCTGGAGAGGTTTGGGGGACAGCAGTCTTGGGATACAGATTTCCAGAGAGAACAGAGAAAGACTATTGAGTATCGCTTGTGGGGCAGTTCGAGATGCCCAAGGCAGCCAGCAAATAGCAAATACTTAAGGTTGTTTTTTTAAATCAAGCATCTGCAGTTGCTGGGTGTAACCCTAGCTTCCTTCCTCTGCGAGATGTGTGAATGTGCTATCGTCAAGCATTCCACATATTGATTCTCTTACATTTCACTGACTTGACCCCTCTCTGCCCCCATTAACCCTGTATAATGGGGCACTTGCTCTTTCAAATCCAGGTGGATCCCTGCAGTTGGTCGAGTTTCATAATGGTTAACCAGCCATCCCTGGCTTCCCATCTCTGCTCAGAATATGCCATTCTATAGATAAACATGGAAGGCACAAAGGGGAAGTCAAGGATTATTTCCTTAAACTTTTACTTGTTTTGCCAAAGAATAAATATGATGCTGCAGAATATGTCCAATATGTCCAAATGTTCCCAAAAATAGACCTAGTGCTGAGGCTGTGCTCATGCCTGGGCATTCCCAGAAATGGTTTCACTATTCATCTTCCAGTCACTATCTGCGCAGAAGGTGGTAAGGAATTCTCACTTGATGTGCTGAATAGTCAGCCCTTCAAGATTAGAAAAGCTTCTTGATTTAGGAGACATTTGTTATGGAAAGATCTCAGTCCCCCTTGGGGAATCTCTGTTCACCCTCCCCCCTCACCATGTTCCCCCTCTTGCTGACGCCTTCTCAGGCAGATTATAGCCATTGCTGGATGTCACAGCATAAGATCAGCTTGGACCGCTCTGGGCAACCATGGCTTTCCACATCCTCATGTATTTTCTGCAAGTTGATCCAAGTAGACATTCTTCTTTTTAGCTACTTACTGTCAGCTCCCTCACCACCCACCATCATGTCTTTTTAAAATATGTATTTTTATTGAGTCTGATTACAAATGTGAAACATGATTATTGTAAATATTGACAAGTTACAAAACTGCAGTCTAACCATAAGAAAAACATTAAATGAGCCTAAATTGTGGGACATTCTAATAAAATACCTAGACCAACACTCCTCAGAAGTGTCAAGGTCATCAAATCAAGGAAAATCTGAGGAACTATCACAGTCCACAGGAGCCTAAGGAGACATGACAACTAAATGGATGGCATACTTGAACAGAAAAGGGACAATAGGGGAAAACCAATGAAATCTGGAAAAGTGTGGTCTACAGTGATAATAATGTCTTAATACTGATTCATTTTTGTAAATCTGACAGGTGAAATATGATTAGTAATTGTTGCTTGTTTTAATTTTAACTTCTATATTAGTGAAGTTGAACATTTTTTCTGTTTATTGGCTCTTTGTATTTCTTCTCCTGTTAATTTCTTATTTATTCCTTTTGCCCATTTTTTCTGCTTTGTTTTTGATTTGTAAGAACTCTTTGTATAGTAAGCCCTTTGTATCATGTGCTGCAAATGTTTTCTTTATAAAATTTTCTTGCAGTTTATTTTTAAAGGTGCTTATGATAGAATTGTTTTTCATTTTCTTTGGTTTTGGCATTTTCATGCCTTGCATGTGGCTTTTGTCATTCTCCGCCTGCTTTCTTTCACATAACAGCCCTTCCAGGTAAAGTAAGGGATGTGAAATGTCACATTAGTTGCCTTATGGACACACAGATGATGATAAAACTGGGACTTCAACCCAAGTCTCTCCACTCTTAGTCCAGTACCTTTTCCATTGCCAGGAAAGAGCAGAAGGACTTATTTCCACATAAGAGAAAGGAAGCTTCTTTCTCCATGACTGCTAACCCCTCATGCAAAAATATACAGCTGGGCAGACTATATGACACACTACATGATAGACTAAATGACACACTATAGAGTCATTATGACCAATCTCAACGGGGCCCTTATTGCTGCCACACAATCTTATTAGTTTCTTAATTAGCATCTTCAATCCTTCTCCACAATGCCAATTTAAAACATTCTTCATTTTTACCAAGCCTCTGATCACCATCCCTCACTTCCCTCCCTCTCCCATCTCACAAAGAAAATAAAGCTTTTCAGGTGGGAATGCTCAACTTCTTACGCTATCACTCTTAAGAGTGGTCTAAATAAGGAGTCGCCCTCTCTCCTGTCAAAAAGAGGTGGGGGAGGAGATTCCACCCTTTGCCTTCCACTGGAGGTCAGGCTCCAACTAATATCCCCCTCTGTTTCCTGTGCCTTCACCTTCTCCCTCTCTATTTACTCTCCTATCAGCATTTAAACATGCACAAGCCTCTCCCTTCCTAAGAAATAGAAGCAAAAGGCCACAAAGCCTCTGTAGCCAGACTGCCTCTCTAGATTCCTCCTCTCTGGGCAGGGCATCTCTGAAAGAAAGACAGCAACCCCAATCAGGGGCTTACAGATAAAACTCCCATCTCCCTGGGACAGAGCACCTGGGGGAAGGGGCGGCTGTGGGTGCAGCTTCAGCAGACTTAAACGTTCCTGCCTGTCGACTCTGAAGAGAGCAGCAGATCTCCCAGCACAGCACTTGAGCTCTGCCAAGGGACAGACTACCTACTCAAGTGGGTCCCTGAACCCCGTGCCTCCTGATGGGGAGACACCTCCCAGCAGGGGTCAACAGACACCTCATACAGGAGAGCTCCAGTTGGCATCAGGCGAGTGCCCCTCTGGGACAAAGCTTCCAGAGGAAGGAGCAGGCAGCAATCTTTGCTATTCTGCAGCCTCCGCTGGTGATACCCAGGCAAACAGGATCTGGACTGGATCCCCAGCAAACTCCAGCAGACCTGCAGAAGAGGGACCTGACTGTTAGAAGGAAAACTAACAAACAGAAAGCAATAGCATCAACATCAACAAAAAGGATGGGCATGCAAAAACTCCATCTGAAGGTCACAAACAACAAAGACCAAAGGTAGATAAATCCATGAAGATGAGGAAAAAATGGCTCAAAAAGGCTGAAAATTCCACAAACCAGAATACCTCTTCTCCTCCAAAGGATCACAACTTCTGGCCAGCAAGGGAACAAAACTGGACAGAGAATGAGTTTGGCAAATTGACAGAAGTAGGCTTCAGAAGGTGGGTAGTAAGAAACTACCTCTGAACTAAAGGAGCATGTTCTAACCCAATGCTAGGAAGCTAAGAACCTTTATAAAAGATTAGAGGAATTGCTAACTAGAATAGCCAGTTTAGAGAAGAACATAAATGACCTGATGGAGCTGAAAAACACAGCACGAGAACTTCGTGAAACATACAAAAGTATCAATAGCCAAATTAATCAAGCAGAAGAAAGGATATCAGAGACTGAAGATCAACTTACTGAAGTAAAGCATGAAGACAAGATTAGAGAAAAAAGAATGAAAAGGAACGAACAAAGCCTCCAAGAAATACGGGACTATATGAAAAGACCAAACCTGTGTTTGACTGGTGTACCTGAAAGGGACAGAGAGAATGGAACCACATTGGAAAAAGCACTTTAGGATATTGTATAGGAGAACTTCCCCAACCTAGCAAGACAGGCCAACATTCAAATTCAGGAAATACAGAGAACACCACAAAGATATTCCTCAGGAAGAGGAACCCCAGGACACACAATCATCAGATTCACCAAGGTTGAAATGAAGGAAAAAATGTTAAGGGCAGCCAGAGAGAAAGGTCAGGTTACCCACAAAGGGAAGCCCATCAGACTAACAACGGATCTCTCTGCAGAAACTCTACAAGCCAGAAGAGAGTGGGGTCCAATATTTGACATTCTTAAAGAAAAGAATTTTCAACCCAGAATTTAATATCCAGCCAAACTAAGCTTCATAAGTGAAGGAGAAATAAAATCATTATAGACAACAAATGCTGAGGGATTTTGTCACCACCAGGTCTGCCTTACAAGAGCTCCTGAAGGAAGCACTAAATATGGAAAGGAACAACCAGTTCCAGCCACTGCAAAAACAAACCAAAATGTAAAGATCATCAACACTATGAAGAAACTGCGTCAGCTAATGGGAAAAATAGCCATCTAGCATCATAATGACAGGATCAAATTCACACATAACATAACTTAAATGTACTTAAATGTTAAATTCACACATAACATAACTTAAATGTAAATGGTCTAAATGCCCCAATTAAAAGGCACAGACTGGCAAATTGGATGGAGTCAAGACAAATCGGTTTGCTGTATTCAAGAGACCCATCTCACATGCAGAGATACACATAGGCTCAAGTAAAGGGAAAGAGGAAGATTTACCAAGGAAATGGAAAGCACAAAAAGCATGGGTTGCAATCCTAGTCTCTGATAAAACAGACTTTAAACCAACAAAGATCAAAAAAGACAAAGAATGGCATTACATAATGGTAAAGGGATCAATGCAACAAGAAGAGCTAACTATCCTAAATATATATGCACCCAATACAGGAGAACCCAGATTCATAAAGCAAGTTCTTAGAGACCTACAATAATAGTGGGAGACTTTAACACCCCACTGTCAATATTAAACAAATCAACAAGACAGAAAATTAACAAAGATATTCAGGACTTGAACTCAGCTCTGGACCAAGTGGACCTGATAGACATCTACAGAACTCTCCACCCCAAATGAACAGAATATGCATTCTTCTCTGCACTACATAGCACTCATTCTAAAATTGACCACATAATTGGAAGTAAAACACTCCTCAACAAATGTAAAAGAATGGAAATCATAACAAACAGTCTCTCAGACCACAGTGCCATCAAATTAGAATTCAGGATTAAGAAGCTCACTCAAAACCGCACAACTACATGGAAACTGAACAACATGCTCCTGAATGACTGCTGAGTAAATAACGAAATTGAGGCAGAAATAAGTAAGTTCTTTGAAACCAATGAGAACAAAGATATAACATACCAGAATCTCTGGGACACAGCTAAAGCAGTGTTTAGAGGGAAATTTATAGCACTAAATGCCCACAGGAGAAAGCAGGAAAGATCTAAGATCAACACCCCAACATCACAATTAAAAGAACTAGAGAAGCAAGAGCAAACAAATTCAAAAGCTAGCAGAAGACAAGAAGTAACTTCGAGCAGAACTGAAGGAGATAGAGACACAAAAAAACCCTTCAAAAAATCAATGAATCCAGGAGCTGGTTTTTTGAAAAGATTAACAAAATAGACTGCTAGCAAGACTAATAAAGAAGAAAAGAGAAGAATCAAATAGACACAATAAAAAATGATAAAAGGGAGATTGCCACCAATCCCGCAGAAATACAAACTACCATCAGAGAATGCTATAAACACCTCGACACAAATAAACTAGAAAATCTAGAAGAAATGGATAAATTCCTGGACACATACACCCTCCCAAGACTAAACCAGGAAGAAGTTGAATCCCTGAATAGACCAATAAAAAGTGCTGAAATTGAGGCAGTAATTAATAGCCTACCAACAAAAAAAAGCCCATGACCAGACAGATTCACAGCCGAATTATACCAGAGGTACGAAAAGGAGCTGGTACCATTCCTTCTGAAACTATCCAAAACAATAGAAAAACAGAGACTACTCCCTAGCTCATTTTATGAGGCCAGCATCATCCTGATACCAAAACCCGGCAGAGACACAACAAAAAAAGAAAATTTCAGGCTAATATCCCTGATGAACATTGATGCAAAAATCCTCAATAAAATACTGGCAAACCTAATCCAGCAGCACGTCAAAAAGCTTATACACCACGATCAAGTCAGCTTCATCCCTGGGATGCAAGGCTGATTCAACATATGCAAATCAATAAACGTAATCCATCACATAAGCAGAACCAATGACAAAAACCACATGATTATCTCAATAGATGCAGAAAAGGCCTTCGATAAAATTCACACCCCTTCATGCTAAAACAAACACTCAATAAACTATGTATTGATGGAACATATCTCAAAATAATAAGAGTTATTTATGACAAACCCATAGCCAATATCATACTGAATGGGCAAAAGCTGGAAGCATTCCCTTTGAAAACCGGCACAAGACAGGGATGCCCTCTCTCGCCACTCCTAATCAACATAGTATTGGAAGTTCTGGCCAGGGCAATCAGGCAAGAGAAAGAAATAAAGGTATTCAAATAGGAAGAAAGGAAGTCAAATTGTCTCTGTTTGCAGATGACACGATTGTATATTTAGAAAATCCCATCATCTCAGCTCAAAAACTCCTTAAGCTGATAAGTGTCTTCAGCAAAGTCTCAGGATACAAAATCAATGTGCAAAAATCACAAGCATTCCTATACACCAATGACAGACAAACAGAGAGCCAAATCATGAGCAAATTCCCATTCGCAATTGCTACAAACAGAATAAAATATCTAGGAATACAACTTACAAGGGATGTGAAAGACCTCTTCAAGGAGAACTACAAACCACTACTTGAGGAAATAAGAGAGGACACAAAAAATTGGAAAAACATTCCATGCTCATGGATAGGAAGAGTGAATATTGTGAAAATAGCCATACTCCCCAAAGTAATTTATAGACTCAATGCTATTCCCATCAAGCTATCACTGACTTCCTTCACAGAATTAGAAAAAAAACTACTTTAAATTTTATATGGGACCAAAAATAGCACGTATAGCCAAGACAATCTTAAGCAAAAAGAACAAAGCTGGAGGCATCACGCTACCTGACTTCAAATTATACTACAAGGCTACGGTAACCAAAGCAGCAAGGTACTTGTACAAAAACAGATATATAGACCAGTGGAACAGAACAGAGACCTCAGAAATAATACCACACATCTACAACCATCTGATCCTTGACAAGCCTGACAAAAACAAGAAATGGGGAAAGGATTCCCTATTTAATATATGGTGCTGTGAAAACTGGCTAGCCATATGTAGAAAGCTGAAACTGGATCCCTTCCTTACACCTTATACAAAAATTAACTCAAGATGGATTAAACACTTAAACGTGAGACCTAAAACCATAAAAACCCTAGAAGAAAACCCAGGCAGTACCATTCAGGACATAGGCATGGGCAAAGACTTCATGACTAAAACACCAAAAGCAATGGCAACAAAAGCCAAAATTGACAAATGGGATCTAATTAAACTAAAGAGCTTCTGCACAGCAAAAGAAACTATCATCAGAGTGAACAGGCAACCTACAGAATAGGAGAAAATTTTTGCAATCTATCCATCTGACAAAGGGCTAATATCCAGAATCTATAAGGAACTTAAACAAATTTACAAGAAAAAAACAAACAACCCCATCAAAAAGTGGGTGAAGGATATGAACAGACACTTTTCAAAAGAAGACATTTATGCGGCAAACAAACATATGAAAAAAAGCTCATTATTACTGGTCATTAGAGAAATGCAAATCAAAACCACAATGAGACACCATCTCATGCCTGTTAGAATGGCAATCATTAAAAAGTCAGGAAACAACAGATGCTGGAGAGGATGTGGAGAAATAGGAATGCTTTTACACTGTTGGTGGGAGTGTAAATTACTTCAACCATTGTGGAAGACAGTGTGGTGATTGCTCAAGGATCTAGAACTAGAAATACCATTTGACCCAGCAATCCTATTACTGTGTATATACCCAAAGGATTATAAATCATTCTAGTATAGAGACACACGCACATCTATGTTTATTGCACCACTATTCACAATAGAAAAGAATTGGAACCAACCCAAATGCCCATCCATGTTAGACTGGATAAAGAAAATGTGGCACATATACACCATGGAATACTATGCAGCCATAAAGAAGACTAAGTTCATGTCCTTTGCAGGGACATGGATGAAGCTGGAAACCATCATTCTCAGCAAACTAACACAGGGACAGAAAACCAAACACTGCATGTTCTCATTCATAAGTGGGAGTTGAACTATGAGAATTTATGTGCACAGGGAGGGGAATATCACACACCGGGGCCTGTTGGGGGGTGGGTGACAAGGGGAGAGATAGCATTAGGAGAAATACCTAATGTAGATGATGGGTTGATGGGTGCAGAAAACCACCATGCCTCATGTATACCTATGTAACAAACCTGCAAGTTCTGTTCATGTATCCCAGAACTTAAAGTATAATAAAAAAATTTTTGTTTAATTTTAAAAAAGAAAAAAAAAGAATCACCATGGGATCATTAGAAAATACTGAGGTCTATACCCCTTTCCCAGGATTCTGATTTAATTGGTCTGGAAAAAAAAGAAATAGCAGCAAACACAGACACAATTCTTCAACCCTAGGTCGTCCTCCAAGTTGCTTCTTCTAATAATGCAACTGTAAAAGCAAAGACCTTGCTTTGGAGCTGAGAGGTCTAAGATGCTGTATATGTGGTGCCAAGTTGCTACAAATCTATCTTGAAGGGAAGAAAAAAAAATTATTGCTTGCTGTAGGGGAGACAGTGCTGCTTTGGGAGGAGACAAACTTTTACCTGAGGAGAGAGGAGATTGACTTGGAAGACTGGCCTGGCTCCTGTTCCCACTCTGGCCCACTGGGCTGGGTTTAAGTCCCTCTTGAAACCCATGGAGACTTTGTAAGCTTCTCAGTGAGCACTGAGGTTCAGAGGCTGATAAACAATTCACTTGCAACTTGATGAGACTCCAAGCATAAATAGGCCTGGCCTTGGGCTCCACTAACCCAGTATAGAAAAGAATTATAAAAAGGATGGTTTGTCCTGCCTCTGTTCATAACTCAGATCTCCAGTGCCTCCCAGAGGAGCATATGGTGCCAGACAGATCCCTAGGCATGGACACCAGTATGCTCATGATGACATCTACTAGCCACAATAGCTGGTGTGGACAATGGGTTCTGGAGGAAAAGAAAAAAAGCAGGATAGTAAGTACAACTGACGGATCAGCTTATAGGCACTTGGGAAGCATCATTTTGAGGGATTCTCAGATACAAGCAGAGAACTCTCTGAGGGAACTAACTACCTCCTAGAGCACTTGAGGGATGGGGAAGTATAGAAACTTGAGTATAGCTATAAATGTGACCCAGAGTCACAAGCTAAAAGGGCCACGAGGCATTTCAGTCTTACAGGACCGTGCACATCACTCAGGACCATGCGCATCACTCAGAGAGTATCCAAAGGCAGAACTAACTCTTCTTTCCCAAAGGGTAGCCACTTAGGAAAACTCTGGTGAGTGTCACCAGACATACACAGGCAACTTCAGCCATGGAAGAGAGGTCTTTCCAAGTGGCAAACAACTCTGAGGCTAACCTTGCTGAGGGAGCAGTAAACGTTTTAACTGTGGGTGATTACCCCAAAGACTCATTCCCAAAGGGAATGAGCAGAAGAACAAAGAGGGAGATAAAGAAATGGGGTGGTGTAAAGAGGAAAAATGCAGAGGAGAAGCAAAAACATCCCTTTTCGTGTAAGTTGATTTTGGACAGAAATTCCTAGGAGTCAGGGCCTACATGTTGCCCAGAGAGCACTCAGTCAGTACTTGTTCTCTGTAGCTCTGTAAAGTGAGCACTGAAGTTAGTTGCCAGCCCCAGCAGATTGACTTCATGACCACTGCTGTATGCCTTGAGCACTGATGGAATTCCCCTACCACCAGCACCTGGAAAAACATGTTTCTGATAAATTCTTCTTGATCTTGAACTTGAAAATCTCAAATAACCAAAAATCTGGCTTTGGGTCATCATGCACCAAAGTTTGTGGAGAAGCAGATGGCAGGAGAGATACTTTTTAAAAAATAAAATGAACTTTCAAGGAATTATGTGGATTCAATTCAGATTCTGGAAAATTTTCCGCAGCTCTTAGAGATACCTACCTGAACAATAGATGCTTCTGGATCTCTGGGGTTTTGCAAGATCCTTAAATGTATTCCCAATCCTGAAAGAAAAGCTCGGTAATGTTTAGGAGAGTAGAGGAGGAGGGAGAAAGGGAGGGAATTTCCCATCTTACAAGTGGACAATCTTCTTTAACATCTAACGCCAAGAAGCTTTAGGCATTTATTTACTTCCTTAGGTGCTTAGAGAAACCAGGTCAGGGAGTGGATGTGACTATTCATTTCTCCTTTAAAGGGAAGCTCTGGTTCTCTGCCCAGTCACATATGGAATTTACACAAGCTTTACCCAGTTCACTGTACAGACAGGCATTAAGTTGAAGGGCCATCTATCTTCATTAAGCTGCTGTGCTTTGAGTTTAACCCCTACAACTTGGCTCCAGGCTGAGATGACCTCAAGAGGACTTCTTCTATTGACAATAGTTGGAGACACCAGTCCAGTTATTACTAATCTCAAAGACCCTGAGGAGGCAGGATTTGGGAGTTTTCTGGACACTCAAAATCACTGAACTATATTCATTGGCATTTATTGAGTGACTAATAACAATAACTAATTGTGTGTATTTTACATGCATTATCTCACTTCCCAACCCTCTGAGATAGGTAGACCCTAATATTATCATGGGGAAACTGGGGCTCCAAGAAGTTAAATCTCTTACTCAAGGTCACTGAGCAAGTAAGTGACAGAACAGGAAGTCTGATCTGTCTGCATGATCCAAGATGCCATGCTGATTCCTTCCAAGGATTTATCAATTGATAATCTTTCCCTTTTATTTCACCTCCACCATTCTTGGAAGAATAGACCATACTGGCTATTTTCTGTTCCTACCATCAACTCACTCCTTAACCCTTTCCCTCTGGCTTTCCCTGTTCCCCACTAACTAGCCATCTGGAAGGTGACCAGTGACAGTCATCAGCAAATCAAATGTCTCCTTCTCAGCCTTCAGCTGCAACAAGTCTTCAGAGTCAGATGCTCCCTCTTTCTTGAAACACTTCTCTCCTTTGTCCTCTGCAATTTTTCCTCTTTCCTGTTACCTTTCTTATCTGTCCTTCTCTGTCTTCTTCAACAGATTTCTCTAATGTCTTTCTCCATAGATGTGGATTTTTCTCAAGGCTCTGCCCTCCACCTTGCCTCCACTCTCCTAGATTCAAAATGCAATGCCTCAGGGAGAGGCAGCATAACATAATGGCTATGAGCACTGACTCTAAAGTCAGGCTGCCTGAATTTCAGTACCCCTCTGTCATGTGCTAGTAACTTTGGCAAGTTTCTCTATGCCTCTGTTTGCTCATCTGTAACATGAGGATTCATTGAGATCATGTATGTAGAGCACTTGAACCAGGGTCTGACAGATAGTAAGCCTCATGCAAGTGTTTGCTTTTATATAGTCTGGGCCCCCAGGCCCTAACTTTCACCTAGACTCCAGGTCCACTTCAACTGGTTTCTTCATATCTTTCCCCAAAGATCTCTAAGAAACTCACCATGTCCATAATTGCCTTTATGTCTCCTTCTTTCCATCCCACCTTTTATTACTCATCTCTGTCAAATATCACCACTATCCTCATCAGCATGCTGTCAAAACCTAATGATACCAGGCATACTGGCACATGCCTGTAAACCCATCTTCTTGGGAGGCTGAGGCAGGAGGATCACTTGAACTCAGGAGTTCAAGACCAGCCTGGGCAACATAGTAAGAACCCATCTCAAAAAAACAAAACAAAACAAAAAACAAACCCAAGACTTTTCAGCTCTGTATGAGATGAAAGAAAAAGAAAACCCTAATGGGTTTGACTCTTCCCTCTCACTCACCATCTTATTGGTTGCATAATTCTGCCAATTCTACCTTTAAAAATTCCCCAGTCTCGATGATGAAAATGTTTTGGAGTTGATAGTGGTGATGGTTGCATACCATGTGAATACACTAAATGCCACTGAATTGTACACTTTAAAATGGTTCTAATGGTAACTTTTGTGTTATGTGTATTTTACTACAATAAAAAAAATGAGGAGGTTGAGGCTCCAGTGAGCCGTGATTGTGCCACTCCAAAGGCACTCCTGTCTGGGTAACAGAATGAGACCCTGTCTCAATAAAAACCAACAACAACCAAAAACTGAGCATATCTCTCTACCTCCATTGCCACTATGATATCCAGGCCACTGTCATCTCTCCTCTGGAATATTGTCACAGCCTCCTAACTGGTCTTTTATACTTCTGCTTTTGTTTACCCCCAAAGGTACTGATCCAGGAGGTCTGAGTTGGGAGCCTGGGAATCTGCCCTATTAACAAGTGCCCCGGAGAGTGTTTATTAAAGTTTGGGTGTCACTGACTATAGCATGAAGTCCAAACTCCTTAGTCTGGCAGGATCTTTCATATCTTCTCCTTAGTGTGACTCTCTTCCCCTTTATTTGACTTCTTCTTTGTAACTGCTTTATATTTTGACTAAGGATGATCATTTGCCATGAACTGAGAAGTAGGATTAGGACAATTTTCTCTGAAAATGCAAATCAAAACCACAATGAGATACCATCTCACACCAGTTAGAATGGCGATCATTAAAAAGTCAGGAAACAACAGGTGCTGGAGAGGATGTGGAGAAATAGGAACATTTTTACACTGTTGGTGGGACTGTAAACTAGTTCAACCATTGTGGAAGACAGTATGACAATTCCTCAGGGATCTAGAACTAGAAATACCATTTGACCCAGCCATCCCATTACTGGGTATATACCCAAAGGACTATAAATCATGCTGCTATAAAGACACATGCACACATATGTTTATTGCGGCACTATTCACAATAGCAAAGGCTTGGAACCAACCCAAATGTCCAACAATGATAGACTGGATTAAGAAAATGTGGCACATATACACCATGGAATACTATGCAGCCATAAAAAAGGATGAGTTCATGTCCTTTGTAGGGACATGGATGAAGCTGGAAACCATCATTCTCAGCAAACTATCGCGAGGACAAAAAACCAAACAACGCATGTTCTCACTCATAGGTGGGAATTGAACAACGAGAACACTTGGACACAGGAAGGGGAACATCACACACCGGGGCCTGTCGTGGGGTGGGGGGAGGGGGGAAGGATAGCATTAGGAGATATACCTAATGCTAAATGACGGGTTAATGGGTGCAGCACACCAACATGGCACATGTATATATATGTAACAAACCTGCACGTTGTGCACATGTACCCTAAAACTTAAAGTATAATTTTTTAAAAAAGATAATTTTCTCTGAAATTCAAGGAGGAGAGAAAGAGACAGAGAGAGGAGAGAGAGAGAGGAAAAGAGAGCTCTGGATTTAAACCTTAGCTCAAATCCTAGCTCTACCACTTACTAGCTATATCACCCAAAGTAAGTTACTTAACCTGTCTTCATCCTCTCTCTCCTTATCTGTTAAAATAATAGTAATACCCTACAATTTTGCTGTGAAGATTAAATTAGATAACACACAAAAAGTGCTTAGCATTTATGTATTTACAGTACTTTTACAAAAAGTTAATGAGTTTTTAAGCTTAGAAAAAATAGAAACGATACATGTTGATGACATAATTTTTCAACAAATGTCAGAGTTGTTTCCTCAGTGCTTAGCCCAGTGTGTGGCACATATCAAAAGCTAAGTACATTTTTTTGCTGCTGTTGTTATTAATATCATAAAGTTGGGGCTAGGATCAAGCACTCTGGCAGAGAGCTTAACCCTGGTAAGGTGAAGGAGCACATCTTCCTGAGAGCCGGAAGCATTTGGGATGGCTGTGTGGAGATGGCTCAGATAGAAGCTGAAGAAGCTCCTGTCAGTTGGCCTCAATCTTCTCAGAAATGAAGGAGGTGAAATCATCTCCTGAGAATGAAGGGCAGGGATGCGGCTGGGGGCTTGAGGGGAGGGCAGGAAGTTTGGAGCAGCTGCTGTAGGGAATGTGATAGGGAGTCAGCAAGCGAGGAATGAACGGATTGTTGAACAGCCAGAGAAGCCAGCTTAGACAGCACACATTGGCAGAGAACGCAATGCAGGGTTTTTCCAACAAGCCAAGAGTGGAAACAGCCACCTTCAAGGGGTCACTCAGGGCTGCATATTGGAAGGACAAGAATGGGACGAAAGGTAGGATAGTGAAGGATTCTAGGATGGGCACAGGAGCCATGGAACTGTCCATGGACCTGGGCTGCAAAGGAAGTTCATCTATATTCCTTCAACACATATTTAACCACCATATATTTTATACATATTATACAAGTGCCTGGGTGTGAGGGATGCTGAAAAGAACCATACACACAAAATTTATGTATTTAACATATGCCCACACAAAGAGTTGCACACAAATGTTTATACAAGTTTTATTCATTATTGTGAAAAACTAGAAGCAACTCGGATGATCTTCAACAGGTGAATGCATAAACAAACTATGATACCTACCTAAAATTACTCAGGAATAAGAAGAACTATTGATACATGCAACAATATAGATGAATCTCAAAAATCAGTATGCCGAATGAAAGAAGTACATACTGCATTATTACATTTGTATAAAATTGTAGGAAATGCAAATTAATCTACAGCAACAAAAACCAGGTCATTGATTGTTTGGGCCAGCAGGAGGGAGACACAAAGGTAATTTTGGGGAGTGATAGGTAGGTTCATCATCTTGATTTTGGTGAGGTTTCACATATATTCATATGTCAAAACTCATCAGATCATCCACTTTAAATGTATGCACTGTTTATATGTCAATTATACCTCAAAAATGTTAGCAAAATAAATTTTTTTAAATTGACCATAGAAAAATAAAAAATAAAAAAATTGACCACAAAATCTCTGCCTTCATGGATCTCATAGCCTACATGGGAAAGACTGACAATAAACTAGTAAGTAAATAAAAATCATTATTTTAGACATTGTTTCCTGCTGTGAAGTAAACATACAGGACAAAGGGATAGACAATAGGGTGGGAGTGGCAAAAAGGAGCAACTATAGATAGGATGGTAAAGGAAGGCCGCTGAGAAATTGCCATTGAGCTAAGTCCTGAATGATGAGAAGGAAACAGCCATAGGATGATGTAAAGAAAGAACATTCCAAGCAGAGGAAACAGAACATGCAAAGGCTTTGAGGCAGAAAAGAACTTGAAGTGTTCAAGGAACAAACAGCAAGAAAACTAGTGTCACTTGAGTTTAGTAAGCAAGGAGAAAAGAATTCAGGAGGTGAGGTTTAGAGAAGTTGGCAAGGGTCAGATCATGAGGGGCCTTATAGATCATGGTAAGGAGTTGGGAGATTATGTTCTAATCATATGGGTAATCCAATGGAGGGCCTTGGATTACCCATATGATTAGAACATAAATAGAGAAGAGACATGTTCTACTTTATGCTTCAATATTGCTCTGACTGTTGTATAAAGAACTGACTCTTGTGGGGGCAATGGTAAAGGCAGGAAGACCAACTAGGAAGTGTTAGGCTAGTTCAGGTAAGAAATGATGGGGATATAGATTAGGGTGGTAGAAGTGGAGATCGTGAGAAGTAGTCACATGTAGAATTTCTTTTGGAGGTACAATGGAAAGAATTTGGCTCCTAGATTGGCTGTGGGAGGATGAGGGAAAGAGCAGAATCAATCTGACTCATGTTTTGGCATAAGCAAATGGGTGGTTGGTGGTAGCTCCATTTACAAAAATGGGTGCTATCAATAAGGATAATCCTATAATTAAGTATCTTAATGAATCTCATCTAGAAGCAGGAAAGGCTACACAGAAAGACTAAAGGTGTAATTTGTAGAGCAATAGCATTCACTCAAATTAGCTAGGAAAGGAGGATGTTTGGTATTTTGTGTTTCACACTAACCTTATGTTTGTCTGTGCATATATAACATGATGAAATGATCTTGTATTGTCTTACTTCATCACGGTCACAAAGACATGTCTTGTCTTGCCATTGGACTTATCTGGTATTGGTGTTCTGTGAGATTGCTTATGTCCAATAGGAGAATAACATGGCCTACCTGTGAACATCAGGCCAGCTTCTAAGAAAAGTGAAACCTAGATGTAAATGTCACATCAATTCCCAGATGTCAGGGGTTGTTTTTTCTTTCACACATAGAAAAGCAAATTTGGGAGAAAGGAACTCAAAAACTCTAATTTGGATGGGTTAACTTCGAGACAGGTTTAGATACCCGAGAAGAGATGTTAAGTAGACAGTCAAATATGCAAGTCTGAAGAGTAGGGGTTTCAATAGATAAAAAGTATATAAATTTGGGAGTCATCATTGTAAAGATTGTATTTATATGTGAGGATAATATTTTTCATGTTGAGACTAGTTGACATCATCAAAGGAGAAAGAGTAAGATGGAGAAGAAAGAAGGTCCCAGGATGAAGCCATGGGCAGTTCAACGTTGAGAGGTTGAGGAGATGAGAAGGAACCAGTAAAAGAGACTGAGAAGAAAAAGGGCTAGTAAAGAAAGAGACAATCCAGGAGACTGAAGTGTTATGGAAGTCAAAAGATGAATTTCAACAAGAGTCATCAACTCCATCAAATGCTGCTAAATAGTCACAAGGAATGAAGACTGAAAATTGGGCATTAGATTTGGCAGCATGTAGGTCATTGGTGACCAGGACAAAGCAGTTTCATTGGTGTGAGGAGCTGAAAACTGTATTGCAATGGATTGAGACAAGATTAGAAGGTGAGAAACAGAGCCAGAGTGTAGACCATTCATTTGAGGAGTTTTACTCAAAAAGGGAAGAGGACTAGGTCAATAGCTGGAGGAGGGAGAAGGGCAAGAGAGTTGTTTTTAAGGTGAGCAAGCCTGACATATTTTGTATGCCGACAAGGAATGAAGCAAATGAAGCCAGAAGGAGAACAACATCTTAAAAAATAGCAATAGTAGTGGAGGGATTGGAAGTCAAGATGAGAGGGAAGTACAGAGGTAGCTACTGAACTCTTCCCCTGGGCCAGGCACTATGTTAACTTCTCAATCTTCACAGCAACCCTGGGGAGGTAGGTACTACATCTATTTTACAGAGGGGGAAAGGAGGCTTGGAGGTTAATAACTCTCTTGATATCACCCAGTTAGTGAAAGACCATAGATTTGGACCCATGCAGCCTGGCACTAGCACCTACATCCTATGTACTACAGTATTCTGCCTTAGTGGAAGATGGAGAAAATCAGAAGGTGGGGGATCTTGAACGTACCAGCCACCTGGACTTGCTAGAGGAAAGGCTCAAACTTCCATGGGATAGTGCCAGATACTCGGTACACAGGATGGAGACTAACCCAGCTGATTTCAGAGCAGCTACCTCCAAGCAGGGCTTGTCATTTCTCTTTGGCCTTGATTTAGTATAGACTTATAGGTAGATTGCAGGAAAATGATGGCAACTCCATTCTTACAGTCCTCAGGGGACCCATCCTAGTATTTCTCCCCTCATTCCCCTCAGCCATTCCTCTTGGTGTCATATTTGCTAAGGTGGCCTTCCAGTGGACAGAGGGCTAACTGGGAAGCAGGGCAAGGGCTTCTCTCCCTTTCCACCTGCCCCGATTACTCCCATCTCCACACACATCTTATCCCCCACAATAAGAGGCTCACATGAAAAAGAAGATGCCCTCCTAGGCTGAATGTTGCAGTCTTCCAAAATCCCCTCGAAGGACTGGAGATAAAGAAAAAAAAAACAAAGTCCTTTCCTTGAGAAGCTAATCACAATGTAGTGACTGCTAGAGTTAGCTTACCCATATCATATTTGAGTGTCCTAGGACAAGCCCTCTTTCATGCCTCTCTCCCTCACTCAGTGTCTGAAAGCCACCATTAAAAATATATTCTTTGCATCATCGCTGAGAGGAATAGCAAATTAGGTGTAAATGAATAAGATCATTAGATCCTAGCAGTAGGAAAGAGGTAGTTTTGGAATACTGGGACTAGGGAGAGCAAGAATGAGCTTGGAACAAGAAGGGGGAAAATGAGATAAATACCAATCCCATAGTTTTTCCAGAAGCTGATCCTAATCACATTGCCCCTATTAGGAAGTGGTCCTAAAAGAGGAAGATTGAAATTAACAAGTCCTTTGTCTCCATTCTTTCTTGTGCTGGGCCTGCTGGAGCTGTAGCCCCTACTGGATCACAGCTAGATCCTAAAAAGAGCCAAGGGGAGATCCCCTGTTCTTTTAGGGACCTGAAATGTTTTCTTGAATAGACATCTTATGAGTCGGGTATGCGGAAATCCAGTGAGTTTGTACTGCAATCCAGTCATTCATGGCCACCTCCATCCCCCCCAGGGTTCCAAGAGCATCTGGCAGTGAGAGTAGAATGTGACTTGAGAAGTTGTGGGAAGTCCAGCATATCCACCTCTGTACTCTGCCTGATATCTGTAAACATTTCAAGGTATATCTTCTTCCAGATTTCACTGAACCCCACAACTGGAGTTTCTTTCTTGGGGTTTTACCTTTACACTGTCCTAAGTGATCCATTATAAAATGTGAATATCCATGGAAGGGGTGCCATCTGAAGCAATGATTAAGTATGCCACTTCTATTTAAGGGAATTTAACTGTTCTCCTTTTTCTCCAACTGAAAATGGCACTGTGGTAAAACGATGTCAATGTACTTAGCACTACTGAGCAGTACACTTTTAAAAATGGCTATGTGGGTAAATATTACATAATGCGTATTTTACCACAATTTTAAAAATGTATCTGAGGTATTTTCCTGTCTGCTCTGGCTGCACTCTCTTCAGAGGAAGAGGCACAGGCCACAGCTTTGACCACGACTCTGTCCTCTTTCAAAACATAGCAGATGGAGGACTAGTTGGGGCCACCTGGTCCCATGCTGTGAGGTCTAGCACTGAAAGAGGAATTGGCTTAATCACATTATTTGTCTCCCTGGACAGCCTATAGGTTATGTTAAGTAGGAACAAAAGGGCTGAAAAGTGACTTCTCATCCAACAGCTTCTCCCAAGGCCATTTTTGATGGAAAGGTCACGTTCACCTAGGCTGGCTATTGACCAATCTAATCTATTCACCTTTGGTGATCCTCAGTCATACTCTCTCACCTTCACAGAACATTCTAGTTCATTCTTCCTCTTACCTCCCTTATGAAGCCCAGCGTCCCTGATTCTTACCCTTCATTCTTTTCTCTTATGCTCGCTACCAATCCCTGAAGACCCCTGTCTTCAAAAGTCTAGACTCCAGTCCTGGTAGAGCGTTGTAAATAAAGTGTTACTGTCATACATTTTTTAAAGAGCACCATGGGCCTGCAAGTAAACGAGAGCAGAGTAGAATGGTGAGACAGTTATGCAGTTTCCTAGTCAGCCAAGATCCTGAGAATGGGGTAGATAAGCTTGAAAATCTGGGAGCCAGTGGCTAAGTATCAGCAATCCTCTTTTTTGAGCATTAACAGTAGAAACTACATAGTGGAAAATTTTCTCTTCCTCCCACTACTCCCACCCAAGTGCCAAGAGCACTCCTCCAAAGAAAGAAAAGGAAAGTATAAACTTAATACCTTCTATAGTTTCTACACTTCTCCTAGCCTTTTCTCATATATTATCTCACTTGATCCTCAAATCCCCACAGCTGTAGAGACTGGGGCCCTGAGAGGTTAAGCAGCTCATTCTGAGAAACAAAGCTGGTTAATTGGCAAAGCCTGAGCTGGACCCAAGTTCTCCTGATTTCTGGTCCTATGCTCTCTCCACATCATGGTATATTCGCTTTAGCTGGCAGGCAAGATTGTTTGGAAAGCAGCCCAGACCCCTTTTTTTGTTGCTGATGATACAAGTTATGTGCAGACCTTGGGTTTATAAAAGCAATGACAAATTGAAAAAGAGAAGATGGTAACTACAAACAAACAAAAGACCCCACTTATATCCTTCTAGAAAAGTAAAATTGACACACAGAATTGTGTCTGTAATAGAAGAAAAGCTTTCATTTCTTTTCGCACTGTCGATAAGTAATTCCAGACATTGAAACTCAAAACATCCCCTAGTTCCTCTGCAGAAAGCCTCAAGTTACAAGTCAGGAAGCAAAGGTCTTTTGCTTCTTTATTATTTTGGAGTGAAGATCTGAACCTGAGTTGAAACAGGATCTGGTTATGCAGAGAGGAGAAATAGACTGCTTGGTGGAGTGAAAAAAAGAATCATTCTATTAGAATGTTTAACATCTTTAAAATCACATTAAGGACAAAGCTAACATTTTCCCAACTTGTATAGTCAGCTATTGCTATTCAGGGATACATTATCAAAACTGGGGGTTGGCCAAGCACCTAGTTTTTCTTTCTTCTCCCTATGTTTTGCTGACCACAATATGATCACTTCAATGCTGTTAACACCTCCACTGTCTGGTAAAAGTTGAGTGTCCAGACTTCTGAAAAACTTCATTATCTGGGAGACAGTTGAAAGTCTGAGAGTATTTGAAAAAAGCCACTAGAAAGTAAATTAAATCACTCTTCCCAGCCCACCTCACTTTTCTGACCAGGAGGGTTCTATAGCTACTCTCGCTACATGTTCTTCATGGGTACCCTAAGTCATCATAAAAAGGTTAAAATGTTTTTAAAAGCAGGAACATTTTCCATGGGATTTGTTTTCCACAGCTGGCACATTAATGTGTATTATGAGCACTGTCCTAACTGCTCCCAGCTTCTTTTATTTTTGGCAATATATTCTTTTAAATGTCTATGGGAAAATGGTACAAATGTGTTTACAAAATTTCAACACCTGAAGCAGTGATTATGCTTCATTATCAAAATAACCTTGAGGCCGGGCGTGGTGGCTCACGCCTGTAATCCCAACATTTTGGGAGGCCAAGGTGCGCAGATCACTTGAGGTCAGGAGTTTGAGACCAGCCTGGCCAACATGATGAATCCCCGTCTCTACTAAAAAAAAAAAAAAAAAAAAATTAGCCAGCGTGGTGGCGCAGGCTTTAGCCCTGCTACTCGGGAGGCTGAGGCAAGAGGATCGCTTGAACCTGGGAGGCAGAGGTTGCAGTGAGCCAAGATCACGACACTGCACTCCAGCCTGGGTGACAGAGCAAGACTCCGTCTCAATTTAAAAAATTAATAATAATAACCTTGAGTCCCCATTATGCCAGATAAATGAGTGACATTGTTTTACTTAGAATACAGGACTGAAGACCGCCCCGTCACATGTCCTCAGCATTGCTGTATATTGTGCCCTTCCTCCACATCCTCCCCAGGCCTCCCTGCCTGGCTGAAATGGCTCACACAGCTTCCCTTCTCTTTCTGTCATCGTCTTGGACTGCTGCCCAATCCCTGGCCCTCACCTTCAGGGGTGACCTTATGGCTGGAACGAGGACTGGAGAAGAGCCAATGGGGCAAGGCCAGTATAGCTTCAATGAGTGAATCCTGGAAATAAAAGTAAGTTCACTTAACTTATTAACAGTTCCAATAAAATGCTAGATGGGCTGGAAGGTAAGACCCAATGCCTTGAATGAGGTTTGTGTGTTATCAATGCATTTAAGTGACTGGTAATATATTTGTCCTGCTATCATTATCAGAGAACCCAGCTATATTTAAGCAAATTGGCTTACTTCTAAGAGGTGATTTTATGTGTGGTTGATGAAGCCCAAACAGCCATCATCAGATATAAGCATTTCAGCTGTAAGCAGGGAAGTTTCTGACAACCTTCTTGAGACAAGGAGAATAAATCAATACAACACACACCTCTAACTTTACCCATCATTGGTTAAGATTGCTCAGTTCAAGAATTTTCTCTTTGACTTCAGATTTACACTATTTGGTGGCTTCCTTGTCTTTTAATAAGCCACTTCAAAAAAGTTATTGGCTAGGTGCAGTGGCTCACACCTGTAATCCCAGCACTTTGGGAGGCCGAGACAGGCGGATCACTTGAGGTCAGGAGTTTGAGAACCTCCTGGCCAACATGGTGAAACCCCCCGTCTCTACTAAAAATACAAAAATTAACTGGGCATGATGGGGCACATCTGTAATCCCAGCTACTCAGGAGGCTACTTGGGAGGCTGAGGCAGGAGAATCGCTTGAACCCAGGAGGCAGAGGCTTCAGTAAGCCTTGATTGTGCCACTGTACTCCAGCCTGGGTGACACAGTGAGACTCTGTCTCAAAAAAAGTAAAATAAAAACAATTATTAAGGTGGCTTCTAAAAATTAGGTTTGATAATAGCTAAAAGGGATGGGCCTTAAAGGTTTTTTAAAGTGCATCCTGAAAGACTGCATTGTGATCTTTGAAAGTGCTTCAGAAATAAGAAAAAAGGAGGGATAAGTAATAAAGTAGGTATAACTTTTGAAACACTTGAAAAAACAACCCATTTAGCCATATAAACATTTTCTTCACCCATAATCACACATATCAAATTGGAACTGGTTACATAGATATAAATATCACAACCACCCAACCCCCAAATCCAAACATCATTTCCAAAAGCAAAAGAAAAAGGATTCCTTCTCCATATGGTACTGGGTCTTAAGGCTGGAATCTCTGAGAGAAGAGTCTTGCGTTATTGTTTAAACAACCTTTATTACCTGCCTCTGACATTCCCCAGGGTTACAGAGCAGGGGGCATCTGAGCCTCAAGTTCCACGGATGAAGCAGACACTGCAATAACAACTGAATCAATAGAGGAGAGGCATTTGGAAGTACTGGGGTGATACACCCAGTAATGGTAATCCTCAGCAGAAGATGGCATAGCTACCAAAAATCAGGCGTTACCACTGGGATGAAAACTGGGGAGGCAAGAAAATCATACGGTTGGAGTCATAGATCATTTCCCTCCCCGTTGAGCACTCCTCCCCCTTCCGTCCCCCATTAAGTTCATTCTATCCCACAGACTGGTCCTAGTGTCCTGCTAGCTCCCTGCTGAAAGAGAGAGGGAGGGAAAAGATGTCTGAGGTCTCTTCATTTCCTTTGTCTCTGTCCCTAAGGCAACTGGAAGCTGGAGCTGCTGCAGTCGGCCTGGCAAGCCCGTTGGCTCTGCAGAGTGAGCAGTCCCTGGCAGCCCCTGGAGCAGCTGCCAGTTAGACGGCCCAGAGTTCTGATAGAATGCATTGCTTCAGTTCAGTGCCAAGTGTTGGACGTGTTGGATTCAGTTCCCAGAGGGCTGGAGCGTGCTGTCAGGGCTGTCTGAAGACAAGAGAGCAGAGGCAGTTTAGTGCAGTTGGATGTGCGGGGTAGGGGTGGAGGCGCAGGGGTGAAGAGGGAGAAACTGGCCCGAATGGGTAAGGTGGTGCTTCTCCTTCCAGGGCCTTCCAGACAAGGTCTCCTGGCCTCTCACCATTATCTGGGCCTCAGATGAGGCGAACCCTGGAAGGGAGTTGGGGGTGGAAGGTGGGAGGCGCGCCCAGGGATGAGCGAGATGAGGAGGGCGCGAACCAGCAATCTGGGGCTGTGGTTTTAGACCCGCTCAGCGCCCTGGGCGAGGGCAGGCAGCCCCTCGGAGGCAAGCTGGCGGCGGCCCTCGGCCTGGGAGCCCGCGGCAGCCTCGGCGTCGGCGGTCAGGGCGCCTCCCGGGGCCCATTCGTGCTCGGCGCAAGCCTGGGACGGCTCGTCCTTGGCCTCGACGAGCTTACGGGAGCGGGTGTAGGCCAGGATGAGGCCTCCGGCCAAGCAGGCGTAGAAGATCATGATGAGCAGGATGTAGAGATAGGCGTCGTCGCCCTTGGCGCTGGTCACCTCGCGGCCCACGAAAGGGTCAGGCACGACCCCCATGCCCATGCTGGGACGAGGGCCAGCGCCCAAGCCGCTGGCATTACCCCGGTGGTGCAGCTCGAGCAACAGGCGGCTCAGAAGGGTTCGCAGCCGCTGGCTCTCGCTGCAGTTCATGGCTTTCGGGGAGTGACACGGCGGCTCCAGGACGCTGCTGACCTTTCCCCCTGGGCGAGGGGAAGCGAGCTAGCGAGCGGGCCGGCCGGCGGGCAGGGCTCAGCAGCGGAAACAGCGGTAGCACCCAGCTCTCCGGCGAGCGCGCAGTGGCTGGGGGCGCCGACGGCGGGGCCTCCTTATTCCCTCACTCCCGCCCCTCCTCCCCTTCCCCACCACGCCCCCTCCGGCCCGCGGCCGCCTCTTCCCAGGCTCTGGCTGTCTCGCTGCTCCAGGGAAAGGGGACAGCTGGTGGGGGGAGGAGAAGGGGACAAGAGTGGGGGCGAGGCTGGGAGACGGGCGGAGGGGGCGGGGGCTCGGAATGCGCGAGGCCCCAGGCAGCAGACGCTGGCAGGGCAGCTTGCTGGGGCCAAGCCTGGACCCTGGGCTGCGGAAGAGAATTCCTTCCAAGTTCTGGCCACCTGCCCTGCAGGCCAGGCTTTGGCCCAGATACAGCATTTGGCCCCCTAAGGCAGCTCTGCCTTGGGGCGCTCAAGGGAGAGGGCAGACGCCTTTCCGCAGCAGAGACCCCTTGTCCACATTTTATGGAAGTTACTCCCATATACAGGGACCCAGGCCTATCTTTCTAGTCCTCATTCCTTTCCTTTTCCCCCCGCCCCCCTTTTCACCCCCCTCCCACCTTGTCGGAGGAGAGCATCTTATTCAGAAGATGCTCAGGCTGAATTTGGTGACTGAGTGCTCAGGCACCTGCTAGAAGGCCAAGGCAGAGTAGAACTCCCTGGTTATCCAAAATGGTTTCTGGTGATATAAGTGATATTACACCTTCTTGGAAGCACCCCTGCTCTGATGTCCTATGACACTTTTTGAAAAGTCAACACATCTTAGCACATGAATGTACTATTCATAATGGGAGCCTGTTTCCCATGGGTAAGTAAGCCATCTTCCCAGAAGTGAAACCAAGTTCTTCCAATAAGAGTAGCATGCACATTTTAAAAGGCCCTTTGACTACACTCTGTGGATATCTCGGGATCTGAAAAGTGCCAGTTCTAGAGAATATGCTCACCCTACTCCCAGTTAGGCCAGCAAACAGCTGTGTGCCTCTCTAGACTTGGTAACAGGTCTAGGCCCTAATGGCTTTTAGGGCAGCCATTTTTTTCTCAAAGGCTGTCTTTTTTTAGGGGAAAACAAGGCACCAAGACAAAGATCAGGCCAGATATGTTAAATTGGAAACAGACTGAGCTTCACAAAGGAAAAGGGTTGGTTTGTAGATGGTGGGGTAGAAAAAATGAGGTAGTGCTGGCTAGGTCTGGTTGTCCATAGTTGCCAAATGAGAGCAGAAAGCAAGAAAAGTGTATGACCTTAGGCACACCTTGAAAATAATGCTGCCTGTTCAAGACCGTTCAGTCCAGGGACCATTCAATCTATAGGTGCCATGGGTTAAAAAAGGAAGGTTTTCCGATGCCTCTTCCCCAACCGTTCTTCAGCCCACCATCCACCCAGGGGCTGTAGCCTTCTGTGTGTTCAGGTGAGGTTGGCACCAAACTGTATCCAGGGTCTCAAACAGAGCCTTGCTTCACAGCCTCTAAACAGGCCTCAGAGACATTCCACATGACCCTGACACTGGCTCCCTTCTAATCACCTTGCCTCAATATTCTCACCTCAGAGGGCCTCAGGAAAGAATTGTTAAAGCAACTTGGCAGGATGAATGCCAGAGGACACAGCCAGAGAATTTTCAAAGCACTGCTAACCTAGTGATATGACTGTTGAGCTAAAAAGACTTCTCTTATCTGTTAAAACAGGAGTCCCCAACCTCCCAGGCTGCTGGACCTTGGCCTGTTAGGAACCAGCCGCACAGAAAGAGGTGAGCAGAGGGCAAGTGAGCATTATCGCCTGAGCTACACCTCCTGTCAGATCAGCAGTGGCATTAGAGTCTCAGAAGAGCTCAAACCGTATTGTGAACTGCGCATGCCATGGATCTACAATTGCATGCTCTTTATGAGAATCTAATGCCTGATGATCTGAAGTGAAACAGTTTCATCCTGAAACTATCCACCCCTCCCCAGTGTCCATGAAAAAAATTGTCTTCCACAAAACCAGTCTCTGGTGCCAAAAAGGTTGAGGACTGCTGTGTTAACATATACCTAGAAATAGCTAGGGTTTTTTTTTTTTTTTTTGAGAGGAAAGGAGGAAGAAACCCCTTTACTGTAACATACAAATAATCATTTAAACTTGTTTTCTAATTTCAACAGCCTTATGAGCTAATAGGATTCTCATTTTCCAAAGAGGAAACTGAGGTTCAGACTGGTTAAGTAGCAGGACTGGAATTATAAAGTTTGACCTTCTTCTTCTCAGTCCTCACACATTACTTGTGTCAAATGGGTGGTATTCATGAGCTACCTCCATTTTCCCACCTCTCCCTCCTCTTGAACCTTCTAGAGTCCAGTGCTTTCTGCCAAAACTACTTTCTATAAGTCAGTTCACCAGTGACCTCCGGGTCAAATTCAGGGGTCTCTGCTCCCTTTGCATCTTTGACCTCGAGGATGAATTTGAAACCATCAACCACCCACTCCTTCCTGTAACTGTCCTACCCTTGGCTCTTGTGGCATTGCATTCTCAAATTTCTCTTCTTATCTCTCTGACCCACCATTCTCTGCCTCCTTTGCTGGCTCCCCTTCTTTCCTCCTCCCATTAACTGTTGGAATCCCCAAAGACTCAGTCCTCAGCTATTCTCTCTCAACACCCATTTCCTTGAAGAGTGTCTCTTACATGGTTTCACCTACCACTTGGCATATATTTAGCCAAATTTGAATCTCTAGCTCTGATTCTTGGTAGCATGTCTCAGATCCCTCTGCTCCTTCCTTTCTGGTTTTATTGCCACAAGCTTAATCCATGTTCTCATTACCTCAGGTCAAATATGCAAACAGAGAATCTCCTGGCTTACAGCTGAATCTATCATGTTATGGTTAGAATAATTCTCCAACACCACTTCTATCAATTCAGCCCTATGTTCAGAAACCCAGGAGTTGTTACTCATTGATTCTTTAACAGAGTTTAGTCTTCTGTGGTGGAACTTAAGTTCTCACCACCAATAGACACCATCTTCTCCCCTTTGAATTTGAAAAACAGCATCTTCCTGGAGTTCCTCTGCAATACTCTGTGCATTTTGCCTTCCTCAAAATTCGTTGACTGAAAGAAGCCTTGCTCTATGCCCCTGTTTGTGCTTTCAGATTCTTCACAATGCACCCTTCTGAGCTTTACTTTGCAGCATTCAATGCAGAAATCTTGGAAAACACAAAAAAGCAACAAGGAAAATTTTGGAAATCTTGGAAAACACAAAAAAGCGACAAGAGAAAAGAACGAAAAATTATCAATGGTGCATACTCATGACTCTCTCTCTCAAATCTCTCTCTCTCTCTCTCTCTCATGTTTCATGGCCTTTTTCCCTTAAAAACATACTGTAAATTTTTCCATGTCATTTACTATTTCTCCATAGCGTTATTTTTTGTTGTTGTTTTTGTTTTTTTTAGAGTAGATCACTTACAAATTTTATTTTTTAAAGAACATCTTTTCCCCAGCCACAGTATAGTTATAAGCTAAGAATAATTTCCAATATTGCACAATGAATGCATCCAGATCCTGCAATATTGATCAAAAGAGTGGATTAAAATGGAATATGATAGCAATTTCATGGAAGTCTCCCTTTCTAAATACTGACTCCTTAGTGTTATTTTATTGTCTACACAGTACTCCAGACTATGGATCTACCATAACTTATTTAACTTTGCCATTTATTGTAATATTTCTGTTATTTTCATGTTTTGCTATTAAAATAATGTTTTAATAAACACAACGCTACTTCTAGTTTTATTGAAAGAAATCACTACCAGAGAGAAGTCAACCTACTAATTTATAGAAGAATGGCATGGGGAGGGATAGATGTGTAAAAGCGGGTGGAAATAGAAACGGAGAATAGTCATAAAATTTAAAAAGGCCCAGCACTCCAAAAAAAACAACAGGTGTGGGGTGGAGGGGATCCTGGCTTTCTTTTCACACTAGGGGCTGATGGGCATCCTTTAAATCTCAGTTCCAGGCCAGCCTGGAATGGCTGAGATGCTAACCCCTTTCCCTACCACACTTAATGAAACTGCAAATCCACCAGATGGGCACTGGTTCTCATTCCTCACCACCCCTCCACCCCCATTTTCCACGAGCCCCATACCTGTCAAATAATCATCTGTTTATCCATCACCTGGAACTCATTTCCAAAATGGTAATCAAGGGTGTTGACAAAGGGAAGTAATTTACAATCATGTATTTAGACTTTCAAAGAGTCTCGGGAAAGGTTCTCTTCCATGCCAAGTTTGTTTTAAAAGTACAATTGAGGCGCCATGGATAGGAAATGCTTTCCCCATTCCTTGAGACTGTGAGTGCTTCCTGCCAACAGTGCAGCTCTATGGAAGTTGGTTGAATTGAACTGAGTTGAGTTTGGCTAGTTGCCAAAGGACAGACACAGATGGTAAGCACTGTCGGAGTCCAGAAGGCTGGCAAAGCCACAGTGGGCTCTAAAGGAGAGAAAGAAAGAAGGCTTCATGAGGCACCAACTAAAGACTGAGAAGGAATCATTCATTCATTCATTCATTCATTCAACAAATATTTATTACATGTTACTTTGTGTGAAGCACTGTGCTGGGTCCTAGAGACACATCGGTGAGCAAGTCACATCGGTGAACAGTCTGTGCCTTTATAACTCTCACAGACAACTTCTTTGTGAACTGGGGACAAATAGGGAGTGCCAGGATGTGGAGCTGGGTAAGTAGTGGGCAGGACGACCAGCCAGAATTTGGAGAGAACTGAGACTCTGGGCCCAATCTCTAAGCACTAGAGTCCAAAGCCTTGTTTGGAAAAAGGAAGACTCCAGGTGGTCTGAGCTCACTGTCCCAGGCTATGCTGCAAGCTTCTCTACCTCCTCCTAGCAGCACAATCTTGAGGGTATGGTTTGCCATAAGCCACCACAGTAGGTCTGTTCTCAAAAGACTGATGAGAATAAATTAGACGGTTCCTTAATCCAACTGGGGCTTCTCAGTTTTTCCATGGGAATATACACAGCATTTCAGACTAACTGGGGTTTGATAAAGATCACAATATTTGTAGGTTGGAATGGGCCTCAGGAGCTTCAAATGCCTTACTTAGAGACTTCTTGGAGATCTTCGTGGGCTTGTGCTGATATCCTCCTATATTCAGGCCACATACTGGAGCATCAAATTTGGTCCCTGATTTCATTTATCAAGTGTCTAGCATATGCCAGGCATATTACATACATTATACTAATTAACCCTATAACAACCTTATGAGGTGGGCAGGTATGGATTCAACAGCAGTATATCTTCAATGCTGGTCAATCAGAATGGACTAACAAACCATCAGAATAGATTTTGACTGTGAACAACCAGTATGGCCTTACAGAGCCACAACATCCTTGGGCAAAGAAGTAGGACAGAGGCACAGACTAAATGGCTTCCCATTTCCCAGGGGATCAAACCAAGATCTCATCTCCTTAGGCTTTGGGGCTGTCCTGGTCATTCTGAACCTCTCTTTATGGATGCTTCCAGCTGCTCCCGTTGCTCATTGCAGGTACCTGAAAAGCTCCCTTGCCTGCCAACCCCCGTAAAGCAATGGCATCTATCACACCTGCCCCTTTCTCCCAGTAAATTCCTAAAGATGTCACTCCTTGGCTCAAAATTCTTGAATGGGTCCACTAGACTTCCAAATGATCACCTTACTGTGGCCTTCAAGACTCTCTGTGCTCCGGCCTGAAGATGCTGTCCAACCCTACTTACAGCACTAATTACCCAAAATGTCTTCAATGCCACACACCTTCTCAACTAGATGAAATCTCACTGTCCTTAGCAATCTCATAGCGTAGAATAATAGTGACGGATGGGCTCATCAGATGGCCCCTACAGACCTCATGAGGGCAGGTGCTGTGTTCTTCCTCTTTGTACCCCTCACCATGCCTGGCACAGTGCCTGGCACATAATATGTGCTCAGGAAATTTTTACCTAGGTCTGAGGTCTGCCTTCCCGTAATGAAACTTACCAACTTTGAAAAAGATTCACTCTGTGGGGACTGTGAAACTTTGAAGTTACATTTTTCCAAAAAAAAGTATATATTGTGTAAAATTTCAAACATATAGCGACATTGACAGAATTTTACAGAGGATATCTAGTAACCACCTAGATTCTACCACTAATATTTTCCTATACTGGCTTTATTCATCCCTCACCTATCCACTCCTCCCTCTATCTATTTGTCTATTCATTATCTTTTTTTTTTTTGAAGTTGCATACATCAGTATGCACTTCACTCCTAAGCACTTTCTCCATACCTATCATTAACTATAGTCCAATATTTGTTTATTATTCTTTTTTCCTTTTGAAGTAAAATATACATACAATGAGATATATAAATATTAACTGCATATTTTCTGAGTTTTGGTAAATGTAACCCCTACTAAGATAAAGACTACTACTCAAGAACATGTCCTCTCATCCTTTCATAGGCAATCCTCTCCCTTCACTCCCAGAGGCAGCCACTGTTTTTTTTCCGTCATTGATTAGTTTTGCCTGTTATAGAAGCTCATATATATGGAATCATAAGGCATGGACTTTTTTGAATAAGACTTACTTTACTCAGCTTAATGTTTTTGAGGCTCATGCTAATACATGATACATAATGATACATAATTCACATATATGATACATAAATCATGACACATGCTGTTGCGAGTATCAGTAGTTTGTTCCTTTTTATTACTGAGTGGTACTCCACTGTGTGACCATACCACAGTTTGTTTATCCATTCTCCTACTGATGAACACTTGGTCTGTTTCCAACTTCTGGCTATTAAAAATAAAGCTGCTCTAAATGTTCTCATATAATTCCTTTTGTGGACATATGTTTTCCTTTTTCTTGGGTAAATACCTAGGTGTGGAAATGCTGGGTCATGGGAAAGATGTACTTTAGTTTTATAAGAAATTGCCAGACATTTTCCCAAAGTGGCTTGTATCATTTTAGACTCCCACCAACAGTGTGAGAGGATTCCCATTGTTTATGGTTACTTGTGCAGCTCTCTGCTTCAATTGCATACTTAGCCTTGCAGTGCACCCATGAAATGCATTTATCATTATACTTATAAAAGGGCCAAGCCTGACTGTTTGTGGCTTAGTACTTAAAACTTCCCCCAATTTTGATGACTACTAAATGAACACCCAAGCTCTAGGAAATTGCTACATTGTGAGGGTAAGCTCTATGTGATAATAGCTTTTACTGAAAGTGACAAACACTGTGTTAAACACTTTACATACATTATCTCACCTAATCCTTAACAACAACCCTCTGAGGTAGGTAAAACAGTATTCCTATTATACAGATGAGGAAATTAAGTTGCAGAGAGGTTAAGTAACTTGTCCAAATTCGATTGGCTCATAGGTGGTCAAGCTGAGATTTGAACCAGAGGTCAGTTATCTTTTTTATTGTCTACTGTCCTTTGTATAGAAACTATCAGGGAAAATAAAACATTTCAGGGTTGGAAGTCTCATCTAACCCTCTTATTGTAAAGGCGGAGCTACTGAGGTCCAGAGAGGAGAAGGGACTTGCCTGAAGTCTCTCATTAGTTAATGGCAGAGCCATCAGACTGCCTCGCAGTCAGGAGACGTTTTCACTCCACTGCACGGCCTCCTCCAATGCTTTGGGCAATTCAGATTTTATTTCCAGCTTTGTAATGGTGACAAGGGTGCAAAAACCACTTTGAGATCTTTGAAATAAGTACATGAATCTAAAAGGGTGGAGTGAAATAAGGTCAATCTTGCCTTTTGGGCCAAAACATAAAGTCATAAATAAAATTATCAAACTCATGTCAATTCCTGCCTAAACATTATCTTGAAAATGTTTCTCCCACCCACTCAGGCTTCTCTGGAAAAGAAAAAAGAAAAACAAAGAAACAAAAATGCGGATATTTGGAGTATTCTTGGGAAAGGAGTGGGAAAGGAAGAGGTCCGAGGGCACTTTTCTTTTGGACTCCCACAGCACCATCTGGTGGAGGACTGGAGTTTTCATTTCTCCTCATTCAGAATGTTTTTCTTTTCTTTTAATTCATATGTCTTTATTTATTTATTTTTAGGTTTTTATATATACTTTAAGTTCTGGGGTACATGTGCACAATGTGCAGGTTTGTTACATAGGTATACATGTGCCATGTTGATTTGCTGCACCCATTTTATCTTTGCTCCAGTTTCCTCGATTGTAAAATGGAGATAATAACCATGCGCTTACCATAGGATTTTGTGGCAAGGATTGAATAAGATAACTTATGTAAAGTACTGAACATAATGCCTGGAACATGTGAAATGCTCAATAATGTTGGCTGTGGTTGTTTCATTAACATTAAACGTATGGTGCAGTGGGAACCAGAGAGGAGCATTTGACTCAACCTCAGAGAGCTCAGGGCACATTTCCCTAAGGATGTGACACCTGACATAAGTTTTGAGTATGAAATAGTCACTAGGATCATTTCTCCATGTGGAAAACAATGCCTGTAACAACAGGGTTTACTCCTCTAATCCCACATTGTGAAGGATGACAGCATAGTGTTCCTTTGCCTCTGGGGTACCAGGGATTGCAGCGAGGGCTTCTAAGCTACAAGATGGTATGGGAACATTTAGGAATTATTGGAATTAGTCCCCTGACCACGTGAGACATTGTTTCCATAGTGGACACACAGAGTTTGACTTGAAATTAGATGCTAAGAGAAACATGGTTGTGTCGATTACCACCTGTTTGTTCTAATTTCTACTTTGCTTGTCAGCAATGATGCTTCAGTGGCTCTTTATTCACTCAGCATTATGTTAAATAGGCATGATGGGATCTGATAATTTCTCATTGCCTCCAAATTGTGCCTGGCATACACCACAAACATATTTGACTCTATTCCTATTGCTCATCACCCTTGCAAACCCTTAACCCTTCCAGGTTATCCAAATTTTACTCATCCTTCAAGGCCTAGACTTCCTCATTCATTCATTCATGAAATATTTTCTGAGCATGTACTATGTGCTAGGCACAGTGGCAGGCACTAGATCTATAACAGCATATGAGACAGACACAGTTTCTACTTTGACAGAGCCTGTGTAACTTGGACTACAAACAGGAAAACAAATCATTGAGACCATGTGCTACCAAAGCTCTCCAAGAAGAGGGATACATCTGAAATGGTGCTTTCTAACAGTTTTTACCACATAGCACACATAGATAACATATATTGGCTCCCTGGGATAAATGGATAAAAAAGCAACCTGCCAGGGAGCTCTGGCCACCCCAAAGGCAGAAGGCATCAATATCTTAGGTGCATGAGGAATCTCTTGGAGATCTCTGGTATAGAACCTCAAGCTATAACCCGTGAAATTCCTGTTGCTTTCACCCCATGTAGTCCATGAGGACCGATAGGGCCTTCAAGGACTACATGGGGTGAAAGCAACAGGAATTTCATGGTGCAGTGGGCAGAGAGGATGCTGCTTTGAATGAATGCATGCTCCTTGTTATTATCTGGAATTTGGTAAAAGTCACTCTCACCTCTTCAGTAGTAGGCTCAGACTGGAGGCCTTCTCAGGCAACTGAATCCTGAAAGACTCTTTGTCTTTTCCAGATTCCTACATATGTAGAATCTTCAGCTCACAGTTCAGCTTCTCATTCACCCTCATGGTCTGACATCATGTGCTAATAGCACAAGAACTTTTTTGTATCTTCATAACACCTAGCAATACTACACAAGAAGGGCCAGAAGCATTTAAGTGCCATGTTTTAAGACAAAGGAAATCTAAGAGTATTGGAACTTCACAGGGTTTTAAAACAAAAATGGCTTTGCTACCTAAGAAAAGTCCAGTGCTCAGTCTGTCTTTAAAACTTGTAAAAGAGAAACTCCTAAAGTTTTAAGAGAGAGAATGAAGTCAACAGCTCAAGCTAACATATTTGTACAATCTTACTCCTGGAAACAGGATGCTGAGTCCCTGCAGCTCCAGGCCAGTTGGTTTTGGAGTTTGCCTTCTTCTGAGCAAAACCAAAGGCTAACCAAGATAGCCCACAACCCGAGGAGATGGGATCCAGAGAGCTATTGTTTATACCATAAGCAAAAAGGAAGAGTTCACAAGCAAAGAGAGCCCAGGGGGGCCTCTTGCAGAGAAAACAAAGACTCCTGCTGAAATGTAACAGAAGATTCCATATCCTTTCCTTCACTTGGACTCCCTGAGAAAGGTTAATCCTGTCACCACCATGAATCTTGATGGGTAATAAAATGTAGATCTGGGTGAGAAATGATGCCACCTAGAGGAAGGCTGGGGAGCACACTTGAGCGATTTCAGCTCGTTTTTCTATATTCCTCCCTCAGTCAGTATCTAGGCAGGAGGGCTTCTTGATTTTTCTCTCTGGCCTTGTCCCTCACCTACTCCTGGAGAGCCACATTGCCACTTTCCTATGTTGATACATGCTATTCAACATCCGAAACTGAATGTGGGGCATGGAGTGCCCTATGGTAAGGAATGTCGAAGATACAGCTAAGGTGAGAAAGCCATATGTAAGAAGAGCAGTTGGCCATAAAGAAGAAAGTATATGTCGACATGTCTGTAATTTATATGTACGTATATGTATATCTAATTTGAAGCTTCTTATAACTTCATAGGCTAGCAAATAGCCAGGTGCAAAAATAAATACCTGAACCTCAAAATAATTATTTTCAGATTTCTACTGCAAAAGTCACTCTGGAGAGACACATGCGTGGGTGAATTTCAGCATACTCTCTCTTTTCCTTTTTCCCTTTGTTTTTGTTTGATTGATTTATTATAACCTCAAGGCAAAAATATGAAATGGGAAACTTGGTGTTTAGCACTCCCAAGTGTCCCTCCACCACCACTAGAGCCCATTTTTAATTTGTGATACCCTTAGGAGTGTCTTCCAAGAAATGTTCTGATTCTATATCTCATCCTCTCAGAATCTCTCATTCTTTTTAGTGATAAAGGAAATAGCTAGCTAACTTGCTGATATGGTTAGGCTTTGTGTCCCCACCCAAATCTCATCTTGAATTGTAATCCCCATAATCCTCATATATCAAGGGAGAGACCAGGTGGAGGTAATTGAATCATGGGGGCAGTTTCCCCCAAGCTGTTCTCATGATAATGAGTGAATTCTCACAAGATCTGATGGTTTTATAAGGGGCTTTTCCCCCTTTGCTCGGCACTTCTCCTTCCTACTGCCTTGTGGAGAAGGTGCCTTGCTTCCCCTTCACCTTCTGATATGATTTTAAGTTTCCTGAGGCTCCCCCAGCCATGCTGAACTGTGAGTCGATTAAATCTCTTTCCTTTATAAATTACCCAGTCTCAGGTAGCTCTTTATAGCAGTATGAAAACAGACTAATACACCTGCCAAAGTGAAAGAAAAATTGATCCTACCAAGAAGGAAGAGTTAGAAGAGCCAACAGTTAACTAGGAGCCTCCTTCCTTGGTTAACCGTGAAGACTGTCCACTCCTCTGTGAATTATTTTGTTATTTAATCCTAAAGATAAATGCTAATAAAGGAATTGAAATATCTAGCAGGATGGCCTCCATTGGCCAGTGAGGGAGGATGAGGTATGGAAATTGTTTTTCTGTTTTGTTGTTGTTTTTAACCTTCCCATGTGATTCCTAAGTGCAGCCAGGGTGAAGAACCACTGGGAGAGATGAGTTTAACATACTGGAGAACATACTGGAGTAAAGATCACAATGAATTTGTTATATCAACAACTTAAAACTCTTCTGCTGAGCACATCTACAGAGGTGCTATATACACCTCTGTTACACGAAGGCTATACATTTCCTAATTACTGCTATTGTGGAAATATTGCTTCACTCATTGTCTTCAAATATGTAAATACAAGGGAACTAAATTTATTCCAGACAGTTAAAGATTCAGAATGTGTTATTCCTCCCAGAACAATGACACCGAGGACATAATTTTTCCTTTGAGGCCTTTACCTATCCCGCTGCTGAACCATTTATGTGCCGTCTTTTTTTTTTTTACAGAATCTTGCTCTGTCGCCCAGGCTACAGTGCAGTGGTGCAATCTCGGCTCACTGCAACCTCCGCCTCCTGGGTTCAAGCAATTCTTCTGCCTCAGCCTTCCGAGTAGCTGGGACTACAGGCGCATGCCACCACGCCCGGCTAATTTTTTGTATTTTTAATAGAGGCAGGGTTTCACCATGTTAGCCAGGATGGTCTCAATCTCCTGACCTCGTGACCTGCCCACCTCGGCCTCCCACAGTGCTGGGATTACAGGCGTGAGCCACCATGCCCAGCCCCTTTTTTTGTTTTTATTAAGTTCTGGGATACATGTGCAGAACATGCAGGTTTGTCACGTAGGTATACATGTGCCATGGTGGTTTGCTGCACCTATCAACCCGCCATCTAGGTTTTATGCCCCACATGCATTAGGTATTTGTCCTAATGCTCTCCCTCCCTGTGCCCCTCACCCCTCGACATGCCCCAGTGTGTGATGTTCCCCTCTGTGTCCATGTGTTCTCACTGTTCAACTACCACTTGAGTGAGAACATGCAGTGTTTGGTTTTCTTTTCCTGTGTTAGTTTGCTGAGAATGATGGCTTCCAGCTACATCTATGTCCCTGCAAAGGACATGAACTCATTCTTTTTTATGGCTGCATAGTATTCCATGGTGTATATGTGCCACATTTTCTTTATCCAGTCTATCATTGATGGACATTTGGGTTGGTTCCAAGTCTTTTCTATTGTAAATAGTGCTGCAATAAACATATGTGTGCATGTGTCATTATAGTAGAATGACTTATAATCCTTTGGGTATATACCCAGTAATGGGATTGCTGGGTCAAATGGTATTTCTGGTTCTAGATCCTTGAGGAATCACCACACTGTCTTCCACAATGGTTGAACTAATTTACACTCCCACCAACAGTGTAAAAGTGTTCCTATTTCTCCACAGCCTTGCCAGCATCTGTTGTTTCCTGACTTTTTAATAATCGCCATTCTGACTGGCATGAGATACTTTCTTGTATGACTCTCCACAATGTACTCTTCATTAAGCACTTTGCTGCTGAAATGCCACCTCTTGCCTTTTCAAATGTTAAATTATCTAAATATATTGTTATGGTGTCAATGTTTTTCTATCAGTTTTCTCTCCTATCCCATACCCACCTTTGATTCATTTGAAAAGACTTGAGAAATGTCTTACTACTGACACTGCTGCATGTAGCTCTTGCTTATTTACCCATCTAGGGAAACAGGATGTATTTCCTTTCTTAGAAAAGCCAATTTACAGATTACACTAAAATACTACTCCTTCTGCATCACTCAGCTTTTTAACTTGGTAAGTTTTAAGAAGTTTCAACAGCAAAGTTGTTATTCAATGGGCATGATGGACTACAAGTGCCTTGAGTTACGTGTATCTGCCCTAGATGTAAACTTCATTGCTTTTTGTTGGATGATATTTTAAAAGGATATAAAATAAATTGGTCTAAAGGCCAAAAAAAAAAAAAAAAGAAACTAGAATGGAAAGTTCCTGTTGGAGAGAGAAGACGGAAAGCTTATTGACAATGGAATAATGCTTTCAACATGGAGAGGAAATTTTCAATCCTATACCCAACAAATTATCAATTAAGGTCTCCAATTATTTCCCATTTATCCCTTCTCAGTAAGCTACTGTAGAATATATTCTATCAAGGAGAAGTAACAATCCAAGTGAGAAAAAGACGTGGAATACAGAAAACAAGAGATCCAACACGACAAAGGTAAAGTTAAGTCTCAGGATGACGGTGAAGGTAGATGCCAAGATAATGACCCTGCACCAGGGAAAGGAGGGCAAATCGTCTGGTTCTAGGAGAGATTTCTTCCAGATGAAATTGTTAGAATTCTTCTTATCTGGAAGTCTACAGAGATTTAAGCAATTAGTTGGAGAGCCTGCGGTAGAATTAGCGGTAAGTACATAGAAAACCAAGCAAGTGAAAGAAACACAATTATTAGCTCCAGTGGTTTAAAAGTGCAGAAGAAAATGAATCACTTGTTTTCCCACTACATTTCAGCTCTGAATAGCAGTTATTATAATGTAAAGACTTATTGATCTAACTATGCATTTATATTGAGAGGATGAGAGGTGTCCCTGTGTACACTGAAAAGTTGATAAAATCAAGAAGCAGGGATACAAGCATGTTATTTAGATACAAGATGGTAAACACCAAAACAATCAATTAAGAGTTAAAAGTGGTTGCCTCTGAGGCAGAGGAAATGGGGAGGATGAAGGCAGTGGATAGCTGTTTTTCAGAGACTTTGTAGAATAGCAGCCTTTAAACCTGTGCTTTTCAAACCATGACTTACAATCTCTCTGGAGTGATGCTGCCCAATATGGACATAAAAATAAAAATCCAGTTCCTCATACTAACGACATTTAATTTTTTAAAGATCTCTTAAATTTTTGTTATTTTATTTTTATTTTTTTTTAGAGCTGGGGTCCCACTACGTTAACCAGGCTTGTCTCAAACTCTTGGCCTCAAGCGATCCTCCCATCTTGGCCTTCCAAAGTACTGGGATTGTAGGTGTGAGCCACCGGGCCTGGCCAACAATAACCACATTTTAAATCATCCACAGCCACATGTGGCTGGCAGCTACTACAGTGGATAGTGCAGATACTGAATATTTTCAACTTCACAGAAAGTTCTATTGAACAGCACTATTTTACAGGGTAATTAAATCAATTTAGTGAGTAAGAGCCAACATTTAAATAAATGAAATAGAATAGAAAACCAGTGTGCATCTCATTAGTATTGTTTTTTCACAAAATATTTTCATAAAATATGTGTGCACAGCATTGTGGATCACAATAAAAAGAAGTTTGGAAGCACTCCTTTACATTATGTGTGCAAAACCCTGATTAAAATTTAAAAAAACATTAAGGGTCAGGCACTGTGGCTCACATCTGTAATCCCAGCGCTTTGGGTGGCTGAGGTGGGAGGATTGCTTGATGCCAGGAGTTCAAGACCAGCCTGGGCAACATAGCAAGACCCCATCTCTAAAAAAAAAAAAATAATTAGCTGGGCACGCTGGAGCGTGCTTGTAGTCCCAGCTACTTGGGCGGCTAAAGTGAGAAAGAGGATCGCTTGAGCCCAGGAGTTCAAGGCTGCAGTGAGCCATGATGGAGCCACTGTACTCCAGCCTGGGTGACAGAGTGAGACTCTATCTCAAGACAAAAATACATTAAAAAAAAAAAAAAAAAAGAGTCACAGACTCCTTATACCTAGTAGAATCCTCAACTTCTTGTGATCCATAGCCTCATAGCCCTATAGGAAACTCAGAACCTAGGGCATCATTTAAGAAAATAGAGCTTGGAACAGTAATATCACAATACTAAAGCTAGACATGATGGACCATAAGGACTATCATGTTCCCTATTTCTTTTGTCATTTGTCTTTCCCTTTTTGCAAAAGGCATCATTTTTGAATTTTTGTTTGTTTGTTTGTTTGTTTTTTAATGGGAAGAAGAAACTAAGGCTAAGGCTAAGGTTATGAGATTGGCCCATGGTTACAAAGCTAGTGTCAATAAGCCCAGGTCTCCTGACCTCTAGATCTAGAACTTTTTTCACAAAATCTTCAGGGGCAGTCAGTTCTTTAAGGCCCTGAGTATGCTAGTCAATACTTTAAACAACCTGACTGATGAATAGTGTCTAGGTACAATAATAATTATGATAATAATAGCTAACATAAGCTATTGTTCTAAACACTTTACATTTTAACTCTCACAACAATCCTATTAGGCAGATCCTATTATCCATCAACCCAATTTTTCCAGATGAAGAAATGCAGCTCCAAAATGTTAATTAATTTGCTGAAGGTTACACAACTACAGTGGCAAAGCCAGGAAATAGAGCTCTTAATGCCATTTTATACACACCCTCATATAACTCAAATTAATTTCTCTCTAAAATATTAATTAGCCTAAAAGTAGCAGTTATAATTTGGTAGCGCCCACTGATAATCCATGTTTTGTCCCAAAGTATCAGTGTTACAAAGGGGTTTTACTCTATTGACTGGACCAAAGTAACAGTTTGGGATTCAAATACTCTGAACTAATGGATGGGACTATACAAGCCGGTTTAACTGCTTAATGCAATTCCATAAACCTGGAGATGAGTACTTTAAAAATATGTGTTTAAAAGTTTGGTTAATAATCTTCAAACTTGGAGATTTTATCTCAATGCATAATGAAGTACAAATTGGCTTGATAACATGGGTGGATTTATTTCTTAAGATTTGAGTGCAAACTTAAAAACAAGAACAAACAAAGCTTTTCATCAAGAATAAACACAAAATCTAAACAATTCTGCAATCATGCATTTTAACAGAAAGTACAAATATGAATACATTATAATTTGTAACTGCATTTAAAAATTAAAATATTTCTCTCCAAATCCAAAACACCACACAATCTTTATCTGTTCTCATCTTGTTACCTTAGAAACATTTGTCATATGCTATCAGGAAAATATAGGCAAGACTTACTAATCAGTTATTCATGATCAAAGAAACATGATTCTCCTTAACTGTGACTTTTTGAATCATTTATCTGTATTTCTGAAATATCACACAATTATACCTCTACTCTAGAGAAAAAAAGAATAAATACAAATATCAAGGAGGCAGGAACATTCATGGAATTAAAGCAAAAGTCACAAGTGTTTGACTTAGAAATGTACATATTGTAGTAAATTTTTAAAGTACAACTTTAGTTGATGGCTGATGTGTATGTAATAACTGTGAGCAATTTAAACAGGTATAAAAATGTGAGATCAAAATCTTTAGGCTTAAATACTTGAAAAGTCACTATGGATATGGAAAGATTTGTTTACATAAACATGTATATTTTTAGATGGAAAATCAAGGGGTAGTGGCATCTCCCTGGTCCCTTAACAATATTTGGATTTTTGCAAAGAATTAGCAGCACCCAACCTTAAGTGTTAATTATGTGTTTCTAAAGGACCTATAACAGATCAGTTGGCAGTGTTCTAGCTTTTGGGAGTTGGGGGCAGATTGGGGGTGCAAATATCTGAGATAAGATAGTACATGCACTCACACATTTAAAATCACCATTCTAAATGGGAAAAAAAATCACATATTGGAAAAGTCTAAGAAACTCATTCTTAAGGGATAAACAGCAGGGCAGGAATAAAAGCTGAACAGTAGTCTACTTGATAATAATGGTATTTCACTCTTCAAAGGCAAGTTGGGAAGAATGAGAATACTCACATACACATAACTTCAGGGAAAACTTGCCTAAAATTTTACCTTGCAAAACGCTGAACAGAAATCTTTACAAAAACCTTCATTCTTGTTTATAATACTTGATTTTTCCCTTATTACCACCATATACATAACATTTAAGTATTTTCTTCATAAATATTTTAGAGCAAAAAGAATGTATTTTGTTGCAATGGTGGCCCACATCTGTACAAAACAACATAAGCAACACACACACACACATATATATATGCATATATATAAAAAATGATTAAGAAAAAGTGCAAAGAATAACAGTATTAAGATTTTTTGCATTTTACAGTAACTATGGTTCAAGTGTGAATATTTATCAGGGATATATAATCCCAGGTTTTAATTAAAGATTCAAAAAGAAACCACACTCCCAAGTTACTGCACAAACATCAGTCCCTTATCAAGTAACTCTGCCCTTCTCCCAAATCTAGTATTTCCAGTTTCTAAGCTCTTCCCAAACAGGAAAAAATGATAACAGTGTTTTCTTCCCTTTAACTTCCCAAAACTCATCCAAGTTAATCACCTGTAAGTTCAAGCAAGATATTGGGGAAGTCATTCATTATAACCCGCTTTGCTAAAATTAAAGCAAAATGAAAGGCTTTCTGAAATGCAAACTACTGATCAAGAATAAAATCAGCAACAGCAAACAGACCTTAAATTACAAATGTAATTTAATACATGTACATTTTAAAATCAATCCCTGTTATCAAAGATAAATTCAGAGTTTAAATCTCTTTCCCAGGTTCAGTGCTGTGCAAGGGTTCTAATTCCAAATACTTATGATTTTATCACCTTTTCTAAGAGAAAATGTTTGCCTGTTAACTTTTTACCTTCCTTGCTCTTGGTCTCAGCTTTTCAGTTTGAATAAACACAGAAAGGCAATTTTCAGCATTTCAAAAAATGTACTTTCCTCTTAGTCATTCAAATAATTACAGTTATTTTTAGATCTCAAAGTTTCAAAAAAAGCAGCTCAATTTCCCTTTAAATATATTACTAGATATTTTTTGGTGTTGTATATGTTGTTCTATTCTTATTTTAGGCACTGTAATTATTCACAACATTACAATGACTCTATATCTAACCTATGCAACAATTATAATCTTAATACCTTCTAAGGTATTATTTGATTTTGTGTATTATATTACTATTGAATTTTTCCTTCAAGATAAATGGTTGGAAGAGAATTTTAAAGCCCTGCAGCACTTTTGCTTTGAGTAGTGTTAATACATATTTTCTGTCATGCTTAATATTTAAACTTCTGAAATAGGAAGACAAGAGGCATTGGAAGCTGCAAATTTCCTCAAACTACATTCTACTCCAACTCCAATTTATTTTGTTCAACATTAAATATTTTTCTTTACAAAAACAAGTATATCTTAGGCTAATTTTTAAAAACAGAATTTCTGCTCTATAATAACACAGCTAAAGGGAAATAACTTTTCAATTTCAGCTGCACTAGAACTATGCAAAACTAAGTTAAAGTAAACCGGACAACAATTTTAATAACTTTTGGTTTTGTTTTCTTTTTACTCTATCTTTAGAATGATATACCTTACATTCTAACAGTTCAACAAAGGCTTAAAATTCTAGAGGTTGAAAACCACCAGGCTACCTCCTGCACAACTGTCAATAAGACAACAACATTTTATTTGCCCCCATACATTCGTTCAATGTCTTTGAGGTAATGGTTCCTCAGCTCCTTCCTTTTCAGTTTGAAAGCATCAGTTACCAAACCAGTTTCAGGGGTCCATGGCTCTGGGCTTAATCGAACCTTGATTGGAATTTCAAATCGCTCCAATTTCACTGAAATTAGAAGTGAAAGATGGGAGAAAAGGAGAGGGGGGGAAAGAGACGAGAAAGGAGTGGGGACGGGGAAAGAAGGGGAAGGAGAAGCAATTAATAAAATATGAGTTTTTCAGGATTTACCTAGATGATTCGGGTGTTGAATCACCAATCACCACAAACTTATTTAATGGTATACTAGATAGTTTATTAATGCTACCTCTACCTTACAATTTCATTTTATATTTCTCAAAGTATACCTAAGTTGTTTCAGTTGGATAGTTTTAGTCTATGTGGTTATTAAAATATACATACATATACACATTATTTATACTCACACACACACACATACACACACATCTTCCTCTTCAGAGACTTTATATTTGCCTGAGATGGTCTTTCTCAATAAAGTTGTGTGTCACTTCCATACTTTATCCATATGTCTGCTCAAATACCACCACCCCGGAGAGGACATCCCTGACCACTCATAACAAAAGAGAAGGGGGAGGAGCCAAGATGGCCAAATACGAACAGCTCTGGTCTACAGCTCCCAGCCTGAGCGACACAGAAGACGGGTGATTTCTGCATTTCCATCTGAGGTACCAGGTTCATCTCACTAGGGAGTGCCAGACAGTGGGCGCAGGTCAGTGGGTGTGCGCACCATGCGCGAGCCGAAGCAGGGCGAGGCATTGCCTCACTCGGGAAGCACAAGGGGTCAGGGAGTTCCCTTTCCTAGTCAAAGAAACGGGTCACCTGGAAAATCGGGTCACTCCCACCCAAATACTGTGCTTTTCCGACAGGCTTAAAAAACGGTGCACCAGGAGATTATAGCCCGCACCTGGCTCGGAGGGTCCTACGCCCACGGAGTCTCGCTGATTGCTAGCACAGCAGTCTGAGATCAAACTGCAAGGTGGCAGGGAGGCTGGGGGAGGGGCGCCCGCCATTGCCCAGGCTTGCTTAGGTAAACAAAGCAGCTGGGAAGCTCCAACTGGGTGGAGCCCACCACAGCTCAAGGAGGCCTGCCTGCCTCTGTAGGCTCCACCTCTGGGGGCAGGGCACAGACAAACAAAAAGACAGCAGTAACCTCTGCAGACTTAAATGTCCCTGTCTGACAGCTTTGAAGAGATCAGTGGTTCTCCCAGCACGCAGCTGGAGATCTGAGAATGGGCAGACTGCCTCCTCAAGTGGGTCCCTGACCCCTGACCCCCGAGCAGCCTAAATGGGAGGCACCCCCCAGCAGGGGCAGACTGACACCTCACACGGCCGGGTACTCCAACAGACCTGCAGCTGAGGGTCCTGTCTGTTAGAAGGAAAACTAACAAACAGAAAGGACATCCACACCAAAAACCGATCTGTACATCACCATCATCAAAGACCAAAAGTAGATAAAACCACAAAGATGGGGAAAAAACAGAGCAGAGAAACTGGAAACTCTAAAAAGCAGAGCGCCTCTCCTCCTCCAAAGGAATGCAGTTCCTCACCAGCAACGGAACAAAGCTGGACGGAGAATGACTCTGGCGAGCTGAGAGAAGAAGGCTTCAGACAATCAAATTACTCCGAGCTACGGGAGGACATTCAAACCAAAGGCAAAGAAGTTGAAAACTTTGAAAAAAATTTAGAAGAATGTATAACTAGAATAACCAATACAGAGAAGTGCTTAAAGAAGCTGACGGAGCTGAAAGCCAAGGCTCGAGAACTACGTGAAGAATGCAGAAGCCTCAGGAGCCGATGCGATCAACTGGATGAAAGGCTATCAATGATGGAAGATGAAATGAATGAAATGGAGTGAGAAGGAAGTTTAGAGAAAAAAGAATAAAAAGAAACGAGCAAAGCCTCCAAGAAATATGGGACTATGTGAAAAGACCAAATCTACATCTGATTGGTGTACCTGAAAGTGATGGGGAGAATGGAACCAAGTTGGAAAACACTCTGTAGAATATTATCCAGGAGAACTTCCCCAATCTAGCAAGGCAGGCCAACATTCAGATTCAGGAAATACAGAGAATGCCACAAAGATACTCCTCGAGAAGAGCAACTCCAAGACACATAATTGTCAGATTCACCAAAGTTGAAATGAAGGAAAAAATGTTAAGGGCAGCCAGAGAGAAAGGTTGGGGTACCCTCAAAGGGAAGCCCATCAGACTAACAGCGGATCTCTCGGCAGAAACTCTACAAGCCAGAAGAGAGTGGGGGCCAATATACAACATTCTTAAAGAAAAGAATTTTCAACCCAGAATTTCATATCCGGCCAAACTAAGCTTCATAAGTGAAGGAGAAATAAAATACTTTACAGACAAGCAAATGCTGAGAGATTTTGTCACCACCAGGCCTGCCCTAAAAGAGCTCCTGAAGGAAGTGCTAAACATGGAAAGGAACAACCGGTACCAGCCACTGCAAAATCATGCCAAAATGTAAAGACCATTGAGACTAGGAAGAAACTGCATCAACTAACGAGCAAAATAACCAGCTAACATCATAATGACAGGATCAAATTCACACATAACAATATTAACTTTAAATGTAAATGGACTAAATGCTCCAATTAAAAGACACAGACTGGCAAATTGGATACAGAGTCAAGACCCATCAGTGTGCTGTATTCAGGAAACCCATCTCACGTGCAGAGACACACATAGGCTCAAAATAAAAGGATGGAGGAAGATCTACCAAGCAAATGGAAAACAAAAAAAAGGCAGGGGTTGCAATCCTAGTCTCTGATAAAACAGACTTTAAACCAACAAAGATCAGAAGAGACAAAGAAGGCCATCACATAATGGTAAAGGGATCAATTCAACAAGAAGAGCTAACTATCCTAAATATATATGCACCTAATACAGGAGCACCTAGATTCACAAAGCAAGTCGTGAGTGACCTAAAAAGAGACTTAGACTCCCACACATTAATAATGGGAGACTTTAACACCCCACTGTCAACATTAGACAGATCAACGAGACAGAAAGTCAACAAGGATACCCAGGAATTGAACTCAGCTCTGCACCAAGTGGACCTAATAGACATCTACAGAACTCTCCACTCCAAATCAACAGAATATACATTTTTTTCAGCACCACACCACACCTATTCCAAAACTGACCACAAACTTGGAAGTAAAGCTCTCCTCAGCAAATGTAAAAGAACAGAAATTATAACAAACTGTCTCTCAGACCACAGTGCAATCAAACTAGAACTCAGGATTAAGAATCTCACTCAAAACCGGTCAACTACATGGAAACTGAACAACCTGCTCCTGGATGACTTCTGGGTACATAACGAAATGAAGACAGAAATAAAGATGTTCTTTGAAACCAACAAGAACAAAGACACAATATACCAGAATCTCTGGGACACATTCAAAGCAGTGTGTAGATGGAAATTTATAGCACTAAATGCCCACAAGAGAAAGCAGGAAAGATCTAAAATTGACACCCTAACATCAAAATTAAAAGAACTAGAGAAGCAAGAACAAACACATTCAAAAGCTAGCAGAAGGCAAGAAATAACTAAGATCAGAGCAAAACTGAAGGAAATAGAGACACAAAAAACCCTTCAAAAAATTAATGAATCCAGGAGGTGGTTTTTTGAAAGGATCAGCAAAATTGATAGACCGCTAGCAAGACTAATAAAGAAAAAAAGAGAGAAGAATCAAATAGACGCAATAAAAAATGATAAAGGGGATATCACCACCGATCCCACAGAAATACAAACTACCATCAGAGAATACTACAAACACCTCTACGCAAATAAACTAGAAAATCTAGAAGAAATGGATAAATTCCTGGACACATACACCCTCCCAAGACTAAACCAGGAAGAAGTTGAATCCCTGAATAGACCAATAAAAAGTGCTGAAATTGAGGCAGTAATTAATAGCCTACCAACAAAAAAAAGCCCATGACCAGATGGATTCACAGCCAAATTCTATCAGAGGTACAAGGAGGAACTGATACCATTCCTTCTGAAACTATTCCAATCAATAGAAAATGAGGGAATCCTCCCTAACTCATTTTATGAGGCCAGCATCATCCTGATACCAAAGCCTGGCAGAGACACAACCAAAAAAGAGAATTTTAGACCAATATCCTTGATGAACATTGATGCAAAAATCCTCAATAAAATACTGGCAAACCGAATCCAGCAGCATATCAAAAAGCTTATCCACCATGATCAAGTGGGCTTCATCCCTGGGATGCAAGGCTGGTTTAATATACGCAAATCAATAAATGTAATCCAGTATATAAACAGAACCAAAGACAAAAACCACATGATTATCTCAATAGATGCAGAAAAGGCCTTTGACAAAATTCAACAACGCTTCATGCTAAAAACTCTCAATAAATTAGGTATTGATGGGACGTATTTCAAAATAATAAGAGCTATCTATGACAAACCCACAGCCAACATTATACTGAATGGGCAAAAACTGGAAGCATTCCCTTTGAAAACCAGCACAAGACAGGGATGCCCTCTCTCACCACTCCTATTCAACAGAGTGTTGGAAGTTCTGGCCAGGGCGATCAGGCAGGAGAAGGAAATAAAGGGTATTCAATTAGGAAAAGAGGAAGTCAAATTGTCCCTGTTTGCAGACGACATGATTGTATATCTAGAAAACCCCATTGTCTCAGCCCAAAATCTCCTTAAGCTGATAAGCAACTTCAGCAAAGTCTCAGGATACAAAATCAATGTACAAAAATCACAAGCATTCTTATACACCAACAACAGACAAACAGAGAGCCAAATCATGAGTGAACTCCCATTCACAATTGCTTCAAAGAGAATAAAATACCTAGGAATCCAACTTACAAGGGATGTGAAGGACCTCTTCAAGGAGAACTACAAACCAGTGCTCAAGGAAATAAAAGAGGATACAAACAAATGGAAGAACATTCCATGCTCATGGGTAGGAAGAATCAATATCGTGAAAATGGCCACACTGCCCAAGGTAATTTACGGATTCAATGCCATCCCCATCAAGCTATCAATGACTTTCTTCACAGAATTGGAAAAAACTACTTTAAAGTTCATATGGAACCAAAAAAGAGCCAGCATCGCCAAGTCAATCCTAAGCCAAAAGAACAAAGCTGGGGGCATCACGCTACCTGACTTCAAACTATACTACAAGGCTACAGTAGCCAAAACAGCATGGTACTGGTACCAACACAGAGATACAGATCAATGGAACAGAACAGAGGCCTCACAAATAACGCCACATATCTACAACTATCTGATCTTTGACAAACCTAAGAAAAACAAGCAATGGGGAAAGGATTCCCTATTTAATAAATGGTGCTGGGAAAACTGGCTAGCCATATGTAGAAAGCTGAAACTGGATCCCTTCCTTACACCTTACACAAAAATCAATTCAAAATGGATTAAAGACTTAAACGTTAGACCTAAAACCATAAAAACCCTAGAAGAAAACCTAGACATTACCATTCAGGACATAGGCATGGGCAAGGACTTCATGTCTAAAACACCAAAAGCAATGGCAACAAAAGCCAAAATTGACAAATGGGAACTAATTAAACTAAAGAGCTTCTGCACAGCAAAAGAAACTACCATCAGAGTGAACAGGCAACCTACAAAATGGGAGAAAATTTTCGCAACCTGCTCATCTGACAAAGGGCTAATATCCAGAATCTACAATGAACTCAAACAAATTTACAAGAAAAAAACAAACAACCCCATCAAAAAGTGGGTGAAGGACATGAACAGACACTTCTCAAAAGAAGACATTTATGCAGCCAAAAAACACATGAAAAAATGCTCACCATCACTGGCCATCAGAGAAATGCAAATCAAAACCACAATGAGATACCATCTCACACCAGTTAGAATGGCAATCATTAAAAAGTCAGGAAACAACAGGTGCTGGAGAGGATGTCGAGAAATAGGGACACTTTTACACTGTTGGTGGGACTGTAAACTAGTTCAACCGTTGTGGAAGTCAGTGTGGTGATTCCTCAGGGATCTAGAACTAGAAATACCATTTGACCCAGCCATCCCATTACTGGGTATATACCCAGAGGACTATAAATCATGCTGCTATAAAGACAGATGCACACATATGTTTACTGCGGCATTATTCACAATAGCAAAGACTTGGAACCAACCCAAATGTCCAACAATGATAGACTGGATTAAGAAAATGTGGCACATATACACCAGGGAATACTATGCAGCCATAAAAAATGATGAGTTCATGTCCTTTGTAGGGACATGGATGAAATTGGAAATCATCATTCTCAGTAAACTATCGCAAGAACAAAAAACCAAACACCGCATATTCTCACTCATAGGTGGGAATTGAACAATGAGAACACGTGGACACAGGAAGGGGAACATCACACTCTGGGGACTGTTGTGGGGTGGGGGGAAGGGGGGAGGGATAGCATTGGGAGATATACCTAATGCTAGATGACAAGTTAGTGGGTGCAGCGCACCAGCATGGCACATGTATACATATGTAACTAACCTGCACATTGTGCACATGTACCCTAAAACTTAAAGTATAATAATAAATAAAGAAATACACAAAAGAGAAGTCCCTTTGTCTCTCTATACCTTCTTAACACTATGCTTTGTTCAAAGTAGTTATCACCACCCAACATATTATATATTTGTTTCACCATGGAGCTAAAATGTAAGCTCCATAAAAGCAAGGTCTTTGATTTTTTCACTGCCATCCATAGGGTTGAGAGCCCTCCATAAATACATACAAGTTTATTAATTCATTCTACAGAAAATTAAGTCTCTAGACAAATATTCTTTATAAACTTTACTATATATTCAAATGCAGATAAAAAAGGGGATTGTGAATTTCATATCTTTAAATGGTATAAAAACTGATGCAATGAATATTGTATTTGAGTTATACAACTTAATACATATTGGCAAAATATAAGGAAGGACATAAAGGTAATTAATACAGTATTAATACTTTTAAATTCCATAAATTATATGCCATCAAGTTATTTATTATGACTACAAGGGTAATTCTTTAAATTATGGAGGCCTATTAACAGTAATATTAATCAACAGATGTTATGTTAATCAACATAAAATGTTATTTTATGTGATTATTTAAAACAGCAATTGCCAAGAAGCAAACATTCGCACATTTTTAAAAACTACTACAAAATAGCCTAGACGAGTTTAGAAATGATTTGGTTTCAGTGGCAAGCACAAAGAACTCACATTCACCAAAGTTCTTTTCTAGTACTAGTCTACGTTTTATGAAAGCTTGATTGAACTAGTGAGTTTCTCACTAAAATGACAGAAAAATATAAAGTTGAGTATGAAAAATAATCTTTTAAATATAAATTACAACCAACTTCCTAAAAATAATGCCTGAATGGGTCGTAAAGGAACATAAAACTTGCTTGAATTAACCAGGTCTACTCTGTTATTAAAGTACAGCTCAGTTACACAGAGTTTCATAAAATAAGCTTATCTGCTCCCAACGTCACATTTGGAACTCAAGGAAACAGTTAAATTCTCAGCTACAGATTTGGCCCCCCAATTTTTTATTTCATTTTACTTTTCTTACATACATAGGTCCTAGTCCAGAAACACTGACAAAATTGGGACAAGGCAAACACATTATTTCAGTTGCACACAAGCAAATGAAAGCAGGCTGAAAACAATCTTAGTTAAATTCCTACTTTAAAGCCAAAAAAATAAAGACTGCTATAGAAGTTTCATCTTGAAAACTCCTAAACATTATCTAATACTCCAAGCCATAGGAAGCAATGGACTATCACAGATTCCTGTAAATAGAATAAATTGCCAACAAGTGAGAAAGGTTAGGAGAAGGAAAAACAAACAAAACAAACAAAAATGTGGCATTTTTATCTGAATTAACTAGAACATTATGAAATGTGACTTGCAGGTGGCAGCAAATAGCAATTTTCATAGCCATTAGTAGTTGCTCAAATCACCCAAAAACAAGTATTTTGCATTCTTATGATACTATGTATACCTCACAATTATACTTAAAATATGAAGAGGCCTGCTATGAAAGATGTATAATTTCTGACAGATTTGCTGAATACAATCAAAACTATTTCACACTTTTTTGCATAAGTCTCTGAAATTATAATTTGCAAAATGTTGGCAAGATAAATCCTTTGTGGCACAAAAGGTTTATGATTTATACATTTAGCTCATGATTACCACTCATTATCCAAATCATGAGTTACATGCCTCACTCTAAGCACAGGAAAGTTATGAGAACCTAGTGGGTCCTAGGATTTTATTCTGCCTTCTAACAAAGTGGGATACAGTTTGACTTCCCCCATTGTTGCTTCTACACAATTAAATATGCAATGGAAAATTATTCAAGTCACATTCTAATCCATTAATATATTCAGAGGATGAATAAGAGTAACTACAGTGCACCTCTGATGATTAGCCTTTTGGTTGAAATACTATATATTTCTTGAAATACTATATTTAAAGAAAATACTATATTTGAAATGCTATACTTAAATACCTAAAGAAAATACTATATATTTTTAGAAATACTATATTGAGAGCAAATCAGGCTTTGTATCAAAAAAGGTTCTGGGAGCCTGGTTCATTAATATAAAAGTGTGTTATATCAATAATATTGTAACAAAACCACCTTGAAGAAGGAAATATTATGTCACACTATTTTTGTAAGTATAAAATACATGTCACACTGTTTTTATAGGTATAAAATAAATAAGCTTTTTCAATCTGATTATGTTAACAGGCCATTGTTATTTAAAACTTCACAGTGTCTAGAATTCAGAAAATTATTCTTGGGGAGAAATTAGTTTTCAGGTAGAAAAACTATTACTATAAACTATATTTTTAAACCAAAATGTAACCTAAGTAGTTAACATTTTTAATAAATAGAAATAATAGGAGCCCAGTTAGAGAAATAGGTATATTCATATATCTCTGATAGGAATATAAGCCGGTTCAGTTTTCCTGGGGAGAGGCAGCAATTTGGCAATGAGGAAAAAAGTCTTTAAAATATATATTCTTATGCAGCCAAAAGACACATGAAAAAATGCTCATCATCACTGGCCATCAGAGAAATGCAAATCAAAACTACAATGAGATACCATCTCACACCAGTTAGAATGGCAATCATTAAAAAGTCAGGGAACAACAGGTGCTGGAGAGGATGTGGAGAAATAGGAACACTTTTACACTGTTGGTGGGATTGTAAACTAGTTCAACCATTGTGGAAGTCCAGTGTGGCGATTCCTCAGGGATCTAGAACTAGAAGTACCATTTGACCCAGCCATCCCATTACTGGGTATATACTCAAAGGACTATAAATCATGCTGCTATAAAGACACATGCACACGTATGTTTATTGCGGCACTATTCACAACAGCAAAGACTTGGAACCAGCCCAAATGTCCAACAATGATAGACTGGATTAAGAAAATGTGGCACATATACACCATGGAATACTATGCAGCCATAAAAAATGATGAGTTCATGTCCTTTGTAGGGACATGGATGAAATTGGAAATCATCATTCTCAGTAAACTATCGCAAGGACAAAAAACCAAACACCGCATGTTCTCACTTATAGATGGGAATTGAACAATGAGAACACATGGACACAGGAAGGGGAACATCACACTCTGGGGACTGTTGTGGGGTGGGCGGAAGGGGGAGGGATAGCATTAGGAGATATACCTAATGCTAAATGACGAGTTAATGGGTGCAGCACACCAGCATGGCACATGTATACATATGTAACTAACCTGCACATTGTGCACATGTACCCTAAAACTTAAAGTATAATAATAATTTTTAAAAAAATTTATTTGAAAAAATATATATATATATATTCTCTTTGACTCAGAAATTCTGTTTCTAGGAATTCACACTAAGAAAATAATCACATAAGAAAATAATGGAGTATACAAGATTCGTGTTATATTTGTTTACAGTGATGGGGAAGAAGGTGAAATTCACCTAAAAATCTAATAGGGACTTAAATGGCTATTTATGCACTGGGACTATTTAGTATTTAAAATGATACCGTAATTTTCTATTTACTGACACAGAAAAACTTCGATTATGTTGACAGCTTAAGTATATATACCAAAATGTAATCTTGCCACCCAAAGATAAACTACTCTCAAGTGATTTTTACTTCCTTCTTTGTAATATTCTGTTGTCCAATATTTTATAATGAATATAGATAACCTATAATCAGAAAAATGATATTTTTATTTGTAAGAGAAAAACAATGGGTTGAAATTAGGTTAACAGCTTCCAACAAAACACGAAGAGTATATAGTTTTTCTCTGTTCTGCCTAAAAAAGAATTTAAATTGTTTAGAATAATTTAAAAATGAAAAAGGTATTAACCACAAGGCAAAAAGTGAAACAAGAGAAAATGGGCACTGAATGAGAAAGTGCAACAAAATCTTAGAAGACAAAAAGCAAAGGAATTTGTGGTAATTAACTTAGGGCTGAGGAAGCCAAAGCAACTACCAACAAAAGAGGTTGCCAACAAGCAGCAAACTGCCCTCATAGTAGAGCCCGGGCAAGTGCCCACTAAGCCTGTGCCTCTGAAGATAAGAGATGAGGGGTAAAGCTGGAAAGAGCAGCACTGGTCTCCAGCCTGTTTAGAGAAAAGTTCTCCCGCACCCTATGCTGCTCTTCTCAAAGCCATTTGTAGGCAGGTCTACTTTTTGGAAAAACTGAAGCAGAGACTCGGGACTCATGGACATTAGGTACAACAGAAGGAGGGAGTAAGGCTGAAAAGAGAAGGATTCAGTGAGGGTGAGACCCACTGCTCTCCCATCCCCCTCAATAACTCCTTTACCTCTTTTGGCTACCAGAATTCTGGCAGTCAGGCTAATATTGCCCGGGCAAAAGACTGGAGAAATCTCCTTTGGAGAAACAGAATGACTTAAGAGAAAAAGACACTAACGTTGGAATGCCTTTTCAGTGAAGCCCAGTAAGCTTTCCAAACAGTTTTTTAGTACCTGGTTCCTGAATATGGACATACAAGGATCAGCAGACACTTGGGACTCAATGACCAAGGCAAGCATAAAGTGCAACTTGGAGGTAAAAGAGACAATAACAGGAGAAGAAAACTACATAAAAAGGATTCCTTTTAATATCCTCAGAGGAATAAGAGACAATGCATTGACTGCATCCATGAAAGAGCAACAGGGTGCTATTAAAAGGAACACTGAGAGGACAGGAACAAGCTCTTGAAAATTAAAATTCTGATAGTGGAAATTGGAAATTCAGTAGACAGAAGAGATGATAAAGTTGAGAGACTCTGCCAGAATATAAAACAAAAAGAGAAATAGAAAATTTTAAAAAGGATAATAAAATTAGAGGATGAAAGCTGGAAGTCCAACAGCCATATAAAAGTAGTCTCAGAAACAGACACACAGGGTGGGGGGAATTATGGGGAAAAAAACAAATGAACAAACAAAAGATAAATTAACATTTCCCAGAACTGAAGGGCAGAGATCTCCATATGGAAAGGGCCCACAGCAAGTATGCACAATGATAAATGATCAAAGACCCACACTAAGATACATCATTATGAACTATCAAAACACCAGAAATTAACATAATGACTCTGAAAGCTAGGAGAGATAAAATAGATCATACACAAAGGAATGGGAATCAGGATGCAACACTGGAGCTGGAAGACAACAAAGCCAAGTCTGCAAAGTATTCAGGAAAAATGATTTAGAATTTATCACTCTAAAATATGCCAAGACACATCTCAAGGGTGAGGACAGAATAAAAACATATTCAGACACGCAAGCACAGTCTCAAAAATTTACCTCCCATGCACCTTTCTCAGGAAGCTGCTGAAGGATGTGCTCTACCCAAACCGGCGAGTAAACCAGGAAAGAGACAGATATGAGATCCAGGAAACAGGATCCAACATAGGAGAGAAGCAAAGGAAATTCCCAGGATGATAGTAAAGGGAAGCCTTTGGAAGCAAATAGTCTAAATTTCAGCATGAGGATAAAGGGCTCTAAGAAGTATGTCTCCGAGAACAAAAATACAGACATGCTATCCTTTCCTGTATTAGGGAGAATTTTTACAATTTTAACAGAGTTTAGTGGAAGAGTTAAGAATAGTATACAAAAAACTAATGAAGAGAGGAAATTTTAAGATCCAGGGAAACACAAAAAATTGTCCAAGAAAGGAAATATAATCATAAAACACTATGTAGTTCAGCTGTGAATATTTTCATAATCATAACGGAAACCTGGGTGTAAAATGCAAATTGTACTATCTATTGGAAAAGAAAAAGTGTGGTAGGGAAGGCAAGGAGAATGGTCATAAGAAAGGTAAATCATCTTCTATGGTTAGAGGTCCATAAAAGTCCATAACATCGCAAATGAAAAATTCAAGAAGGAGCAACATAACCATTTTCTTTAGAAAAATGGAGACGAATGCCAGAAACTTTAAAAAAACAACTAAAGTTGAAGACAGATGAGACTTGGGGAAAAGAGGGATACAATATGGGCTGCTTTTTGTTGCAAGTCCTTAATACTGACATTTTTTAAACTATATATACTTGTTATACTGATAAAACTGAAACTTAAAAAAAGGTTATAAAATCAGCCACCCACATGGAATCCCTCGTTGGGAAAAAAGAAAAAAAAAAAGCCTACTATTGAACTTGAGCATTAATTTTTAATCTCTTTAATTTTCCAATCAATGTTCCAATAAGCTTTGTCAGTCCTTTCTGCTAATGTAAAACTGTTGATTACTCTCTTTCCTGAAACTCTCTTAGCAGTGGTCTGCATGGGCATTGCTCTCCTGGCATCTTGCCAATCATGCTTCCCACACACATCTCTTTCTTCATCCATTCCTTATATGCTGGTGTTATCCAGAGACCCATCCACAGCCTCCTGTTCTCCCTTTACAATCTCACCCAAGGTTGGCCCATCTACTTTCGTGGTTTCAATTATCCCCGAGTCTATAGCAGAGTCCAGGCCTCTCCCAATAAGATTTGGACTACACACAACCGCCTGCTGGACATTTTAACTTTGATTATCCAAAACGTGTTTTTTATTTTTATTTTTTTATACTTTAAGTTCTAGGGTACATGTGCACAACATGCAGGTTTGTTACATATGTATACATGTGCCATGTTGGTGTGCTGCACCCATTAATCCTCATCATTTAACATTAGGTATATCTCCTAATGCTATCCCTCCCCCGTCCCCCCACCCCACAACAGGCCCCAGTGTGTGATGTTCCCCTTCCTGTGTCCAAGTGTTCTCGTTGTTCAATTCCCACCTATGAGTGAGAATATGCGGTGTTTGGTTTTTTGTCCTTGCGATAGTTTGCTGAGAATGATGGTTTCCAGCTTCATCCATGTCCCTACAAAGGACATGAACTCATCCTTTTTTATGGCTGCATAGTATTCCATGGTGTATATGTGCCACATTTTCTTAATCCAGTCTATTATTGATGGATATCTGGGTTGGTTCCAAGTCTTTGCTCTTGTGAATAGTGCTGCAATAAACATATGTGTGCATGTGTCTTTACAGCAGCATTATTTATAATCCTTTGGGTATATACCCAGTAATGGGATGGCTGGGTCAAATGGTATTTCTAGTTCTAGATCCTTGAGGAATCACCACAGTGTCTTCCACAATGGTCGAACTAGTTTACAGTCCCACCAACAGTGTAAAAGTGTTCCTATTTCTCCATATCCTCTCCAGCACCTGTTGTTCCCTGACTTTTTAATGATTGCCATTCTAACTGGTGTGAGATGGCATCTCATTGTGGTTTTGATTTGCATTTCTCTGATGGCCAGTGATGATGAGCATTTTTTCATGTGTCTGTTGGCTGCATAAATGTCTTCTTTTGAGAAGTGTCTGTTCATATTCTTTGCCCACTTTTTGATGGGGTTGTCAAAACGTGTTTCAAACTACATGTATCCCATACTGACCTCATCATCTTCTTGTATATGCCAGCTCTTCCTCTTGTATTTTCTAGCTCAATCAGTAGTAGTATTTACCTTGTCGCTTCAGCTACAAATCTGGGGGCTATCCTAGACTCCTCTTTTCCCTTATCTATGTTATCCAATTAATCACTGAAGTGTGCCAATTTTGCTTCATAAACATTTCCTGATTCCCTGCTTCACGCCCTCATTACTCACCACCCCCCAGTCTAGGTATCTCCTACAGTCCTCTTCAACTGGCCTTCTGCCTCAGTCCAGTCCCCCTCAAATTCATCTGCAGCATGGCCTCCAGAGTGACTGCATCTCTCCAAAATGCAAACCTGACCACATCACTAACCTAGTAAAACCTGCCAATGGCTCCTCACTGTCTACAGGATTACATCCAAATTTCTGAACAAGCATAGAAGGTACTACACAACTTGGCCTCTGCTAACCTCTACAGCCTTACCTCATACTTTGCACTGTACCGGTAACACCAGACTCCCTTGTAGTTCCCTGCACACATCATCCTTTTCATACCTATTTGCCTTTCTCATGTTGCTTCTTGGCCTAGAATGCCCAACCTAGTTAACTTCTAATTAACCCTTAAGGATGAGCTGAAGTGACATCTCTTCCATGTCCTCCCAAGTAGGTTAGGTACCCTCATCTGTGGTACCATGATTCTCTGTTCATCTCTCTATTGCTGTTAAGATTGTTGTCTCTCTCATGTGCCCCTCTCACCTGATAATGAACTACATGAGAGCAAGAAATGAGTCTTACTACTTTCTGTATTCCTAGTGTGTAACACAATTCCTGGCATATACTATATAAGCAGATTTTCTCCAATTGGTTATTAATGTACCATCTGAAGATAGTCCATTTACAGAGCCACAGTATACACACAAAGCATAATCATGGTTATAACACTATTTACTAAACTTAGAGTTACTAATTTCTGCTTTACAGACACAAAGTAGATTTATATAACAGATCTACCCAAAGATGGACCATTCCAAACACAGGCTAGATGACCACTTTGGGAAAGATGTTGAAACATGCAATAAAGAACTACATAGGTTATTCTACTATATGACATTGAAGGATCCTTCCAACATGGAAATCCATTATACATATTTAAGAAATAGGTTTCTTAAAATCCTGTATTTTATTATTAAAGCAAACATATTGAAGAGCCTAATGCAAAAGACATCATTAGATGACTTTTAGGGACTATACCAGTCTAGCAATTTCTTACTTACTGGCATTTGCAGCTTCTCGAATTTCTTTCAGTATTTCAGCTTCCATAGCAGGATTATTGCAGATATCAACCCAAGTTCCTTCTACCCCTTTCTGTTGTGCCAAAAGTGTCAACCTTTTCTGGTTAGGAACCACAAAACTGATCACATAGGACTGATCACTAAAAAAACAGAAAATAAAATAGAAATGAAAACATTGAGAAAAGTTATTCATAAACTAGTCAATGACATAGTACAGTACAGATAATTCCAAATATATATTTCTCTTATTTATTAAAGTTTCATTAGGAAATGATAAAACCCATAGTACCAGCATAAAGAAGGACATATAGACCAATGGAATAGAGAAACTAGAAGTAAACCCTTGTATCTATGGAGAAACGATCTTTGACAAGGGTGTTAAGACCACTCAATGAGGAAAGGACAGTCTCGTCAACAAATGGTACTAGGAAAACTGGATATCCACATGCAATGAATGAAGGTGGACCTTCACCTTACAACATATACAAAAATTAGCTCAAAATGGATCAAAAATCTAAACATCGAAGAGCTATTAAGTCGGTGCAAAAGTAATTGACATTAATGGCAAAAACCAAAATTACTTTTGCACCAATCTGATAAAACTATAAAACTGCTAGAAAAAAAAAAACAGAAGAAACACTTTATGAGAATAGATTTGGCAATATTTCTTGGGTGTGACACCAAAAGCAAAGGCAACAAAAGCAAAAAACAGATAACTGGGACTACAACAAAACTAAAAACTTGTGTGTATCAAAAGACTCAATCAGCAGAGTAAAAAGGCAATCTATGGAATAGAAAAAAAAAATTTGCAAATCATATATCTGATAAGGGGTTAATAAACAGAATATATAATTTCCACAACTCAGTAACAAAAAACCAAATAGCTCAATTAAATAATGAACAAAGAACTTGAATAGACATTTCTCCAGCGATAATATATGAATGGCCAACAATCATAGGAAAAGGTGCTCAGTGGCACTAATCATTAGGAAAATACAAATCAAAACTAAAACAAAATATCCCCTCACATCCATGAGGATGACTACTATATAAAACAAACAAGTGCTAGTGAAGAAGTGGAGGAACTAGAATGTTTGTGTACTGTTGTAGGAAATGTAAAAATGGTGCTGTTGCTATGGAAAACAGTATTGCAGTTCCTTAAAAAATTAAAAATAGAACTGTCATATGATCCAGCAATTCTAAATCTAGGTATCTATCCACATAATTGAAAGCAGGATCTCAAAGAGATATTTGCATACGCATTTTCCTAGGAGCATTATTCACAACAACCAAGAGGGGGAGGCAACCAAAATGTGCACTGACAATGAATATATAAACAAAATACATTATATGGATACAATGGAATATTGTTAAGCCTTCAAAATGAAGGAAATTCTGACATATGCTACAACATGGATAATCCTTGAGGACATTATACTAAGGGAATTAAGCCAATCACAAAAAGGCAAAAACTGTATAATTCTACTTGTGTGAGATTTCTAGAGAAGTCAAATTCATAGAAACAGAAAGTAGAATGGTGGTTCCCAGGGGAAGGAGGGAGGAGGAATAGGAGTTGCTGTTTAATGGGTATAGAGTTTCCATTTTGCAAGAAAAAAAGGTCTGGAGATTGGCTGCACACCAATGTAAATATACACAACACTACTGAACTGTACATTTAGAAATGGTTAAGATGGTAAATCTTACGTTATATGCTTTTTACCACAATTACAATTTTTAAAAAAGAATAAAACCCATAAAAATAAGACATATCAACATATAAAGAAAATGGCTCAATCTCTTAGGCTTTTGATTTAGAAAAACTTGGGTTCAAAATTCATCTCAACATGTAGTAGTTGTGTTACATTTTTGGGAAAATTACTTATACTAAGTCTCAGTTGTCATGGATGTTAAATGAAATAACTTGTTGCATAGCTAAGTATTTAGCAAGATGCAGGTGTCCAATAAATAGTTAACACGTCTGAGTTATCTAAAATGATCTTTAAGCTGTTGAATTCACTAACTTACATAAATGTACAATTCCCCAGATCTGATGAAAATTCTAAGAGAAGACTATGTTACCCTTATGATAATATGTAATCACATTATTTTCTAAATATCTTTTGACTTACGAAACAAAAAATACAACTTTGGAAAGTTACCTTTTGGCAAAAGCACAGATGTTGTCAATAAGTGGACAATTCTTCAGTGCAGCTTCTACTTTCCCAAGAGATACATACTCTCCTGCTTGTAACTTCACTAGATCTTTCTTACGATCTGTTAAGTCATAAAGAATGTTAAGTCTGTTTAACTAAGGTATATGCAATTCTGACTGTCTTCTTTGAATATCATTGCCTTAATCGTTATTTACAAAACTACTTCTTCTAAAATTATTATTAGGTTGGTGCAAAAGTAATTGTGGTTTTTGCCATTACTTTTAAAATGGCAAAAACTGCATATATATAATGTTGCCCATACACACCAGTTAAAAATAAAATGCCTACTTAAGTAAGTATTGGCTAAAAGTTACACCTTAAACCCAAAGCTTTAGCATCTTATTATAATCTTAAATATTATAATCAATTTAATAGAGGGAACTAGGACTTTGGAACATTCTATCTGAATGGTAACTCTGCCTGGTACTAGCTAAGTGATCCTCGGCATGTCAGTTAACCTTCTAATCCTCAAGTTTTATCAGGATAATGATGCCTACCTCATACAGACATATCCCACAATGTCTGGCATATAGAACACATTTAACACATGTTAATTCTCCTTTTCCACTTTTGACATTATCTTGTTAAAATGACAGTTCTCTAAGAAAGTGCTAGCACAGGATGGCACAGCTTGAATAATCATCACATGGCCTTGGAATGAGTATGAGTGCTGATTTGCCTACCCGTAGCCTGGGAACCCACTCTACAGAAATAACCTTTGATTCCAGTGCAATTAAGGAACAAGGGGGAAAAAAGCTTATTGTTTCTCAACTGAACCATGGTTCCTGGTTCAAATTTCTAGATGAAGAACCAATTTTCCCAGGAAATCTCTAACTATATTCAGGTCAGATATCGTGAGGTCCAGCGATGGATTGAAATCAGTCACTACATATAGGTGAGGAAACTCTATGTCTTAAAAAAGACCTGACTGGGATCTTGCTGAGGGGTTCTCATCAGCAAGTTTTAACTTTTGCCTCATCCAAGTGAATAGCACAAGGGCCCATTTTGGAGTCATTTTTTGAACATAAAGGTCCACTTCAGTAGACTCAATGAGGACAATGCCAAAGTAACTGACATTCTCAGAACTGACTAGTGCTAAGGATTGATATTAATTTTCTAAGGTTCAGGCCTCGTTAGACACATATAAATAGCCAACAGTAAAAAAAAATATATGTGCCCATGCTGCCCCTTGGGTGGAGAGGTGAAGAGTGAGGAAGGCCTAGCATAGAGTATGTTATAGGAAACAGTTATATAAAATCACATGTGGTTGACCAAGAAAGACGTCCTCTGAGCTCTTTTTGTTTTCTCATTACCTGTTTGCTATTTCCCTGCCCATTCTCTCTACACTCAATGCTGCTGTTGCTAGTGCTGCTAGTACTTACGCTAAGGTTCAGGCTCTGTTTAGAATATTTTACATATATCAACTCATTTAATCTTAACGACAGCCCTATGAGGTTGGTATTGTCCTTGTTTTGCTGATGGAGAAGCTCATACATAAGTTAAATAACTTGTCCAAAGTTTGAACTAATGGAACCATCAACTTTATTAATGACTGATCAATATTACCTTTCATATATACTGAAGTTATAAAAACTAAAGAAAACCATAAAAAGAAAACATTCTGACCTATAATCTGTAAACATCCATCGGGATGGAATTCTCCAATATCACCAGTGCAAAACCACCTTTGTCCATTTTCATCCACAGAATAATCTTCTGCTGTTTTCTCTTCATTTTTAAAATATCCCATGGAGATGTTCTGTCCACCAATTACGATTTCACCTCTGGGGTTTGGCTTGTCATTAATTGTATAACCGCCTGGAAATCATAAAAGTAAATTAGTTATTGTTCTACAACAAATTTCATTAATTCTTAAAGCTTATACGTATGTTAGTATTTTTCTGCTGATCAGATTTTATATCACTTTATGAGAGAACATTAGTTTATATTTACTAAAATTTACATGAGGATACTGGGTGACTGTGATTTTAAGAACACCAAGAAAGGCTCAATGATAATCACCACCAACAATCACCCATCTCAAACCTTCCCATACCATAACATTTCACACTTAGAACACCATTAGAGCTTAGTGTTCACAGAGTTCTGTTAAGATAAAATCACCCCCAGGAAGAGTAACACTTGAAGCTGTTATAAGTAAATTACTGACATACTGATATCAATGCATTTCAAATTTTTTCTAAGGAGGTTTTAACCAAAAAGAACATGCAGTAAGTACCCAAAAATGGTAGCATCATAAAGTGAGAGGGAAAGGGGGGACTATGGGAAACAGGAAGAAAATTGTATTAATTTTGCCTGTGGCCAGTCATGACTTTAGAAGTTCAAACACTAAACTAATTGATAATAAATACTAATATATTTCATCACTACTCATTACCTCTGTATTACTGAAGGAAGCTTACTTTAAGGAAAATATACAAAAATCTAAATTTGCAAAATAAGATATAGACTAGATTTTGTGTCATAAAAGGATTAAAATCAGGGTTCCTTTCAGCTGTTAGCTGCTCTGATAAACTTAAAACTATTCAATATTTCAACATGATAAAACCCATTGTATGTTAAAAAAAAACTGAGATCATTCATACAGTATAAAGCCAAAGAGTCTTCACAGCAAGGAAAACTCCAAATACATGTTCAACAAGGGACCTACTCCCCAAAACTGACATTAAGGCCCAGTACCAGGAAATCAGAAAATAAAAATTATAGTAAAACTTGGTAAGGAGATTTTTGCCTTTAAACATTTCTCTGATTCCACTGCCTAACAATTAAAAACTTACCTAATAAAATAATTCTGATGTTGATGTCCAAAACACATACACACAAACTATTTTCTTCAGATTTTCATGGTAAAATTGGAATGCCATTACCATGGAAAAAGGGAAGACTAAGTCCCAAGGTGTAAAACTCTTGGGAATGCAACTGGCTTTTTAAAATGTGTTTTTAAAAAAGAAATAGTCATTTGCTCATAAAGCACTGACAATAACACACATAATAAAAAATGCTTTAGAAACTTAAAGTTTATGTTAGATAAAAACGTATTCATTTTCTCAGGGTTTGGACAACCTAAGGGTTGCATCCTACACGGTAACTTGTACTTTAAATTTTTAGTCCGTGTTCCATCCTAAGGTAAATATTCTCTTTTAAAATCTTAAGCATTTTAATTACTCTTCCTTTATCTGACATGGCTAGGCTGTTAATTATTTGTTTTATTTAACAATCTACTTTATTGTAGTTACTGTGTATATTTAGTATCTTTCATTAAGAAGACTGGTTGATATTTGCCTTCAGCTAATTTATAGAAAGGATGATCATCAATGTCTCTAGTTTTCTTCTAAGTGGCTTGTCTGTGCAGGTACATATAAAAATTCAACTATACAAATAGCTGGACAGTTGAGTCTCAACTATGAAAATCTTTTCTGGGATCAAGATCTAAGAAGTTGGTGTGTGTATGAGTGCAACCCATCATTCTATCCCCTAAAAATCTGGGGTTTCTCAGCCCAAACATTCTCACTAGTAAAGTCAAGTTTCAAGGATCCTCACCTTCTCCAAACCCAGAAAGCTCCAGTAAGAATTTTTTTTCTCTTTACCTTCAAGTATTGTCAAGTTCAGAATCATTAATCCTAGATTCTAGAGATTTTATTTTCCTCTTGGGAACCTAAAGATATCACTGAGGAAAAAGAATGCATGGGGACAGGCAACAGCAAAACAGCAGAGAATTATTTGCTTCCCCAGACTTTAAAGAAATGAAAGTCATAAAGCTGACAGTAGTTTTCAGCATATCTTGAATCACTAGAGCTTTTCATAAAATTCTTACCTTCTTGCCAGTCTTTTAGCTTAATTTCACAGCAAATAAGAGGTGCTCCAACTCTGCCAGTAGTATAGTCAGTTACTGTGAGGGAAAAAGTAACAGAGATATTAGCATACCACATTCCAGATTTGTACCAATGCACTGGGAATATTAGAGTTAGAACCAGAGTCAGAAAAATGACAAAAGAAGGAGTGCAAAGTGTGATCATTTTTCAGTATTTCAACTCCACTTCAATAGTGCAATGGATTCCATTGTTGTTACATCATTTTTGCTTTTCATGGTTATATTTTATGTAATTAAGTACAAAATATCTGTTAAAGGAGGAGAGATGGCTCCACCGTTATCTACCTAAGCTTGTCATAAGATAGATTTTGATTGGAATTCCTGCTCTACCACTCATTGGCTATGTAACATGGACAAGTAACTTAGCCTCTCTAAGCCTCCATTTCCTCATCTATGAAATGGAGATAGTAACAAAACCTACTTCATACAGGGATATGCTGTGAGGATTAAATGAGATGATACATGGACAATGCTTAACACTTCTTGGCACAAGCTAAGCCTTCAAAAGATGTTAGCTGCTGTTGTCAAACATCATCATGATGATGATATCCATTTGCAATTTGTGATTATTGCTAGCAATAAACAAATATTTATGGACAGCCCATTATGTAAACAGCACATGAGAGATAAGGAGACCCTGCACTCAATGACCTTACAAATGAACTGGGAAGAAATGCATGTGAAACAATTCAGAGAACATTTAAATACTAAACTGCATGGGCACTGAAGGTAAGCACAATAGTAGCTTAGAGACTTAAACAATGAATGTAAAATGAAGTAGTTAGGAAAGACATTATTGAAAAGTGGGCATTAAAAGATGGTTGTGATCAATAAGCAAAAAGGACATTCCAAGAGAAGGGAAAAGAAAATACATAGAGGTGAGACCAAGAATGCCTTCATAAGAAACAGTAAGAAGACTGGTGGGTCTGGAGAGAAGAGCCAGGCATTGTGTATATGTGGGGAATAATGGAAAATGATGTTGGATAAGTACACTAGCATCAGATTAAAGATGTCAAAGCTAGGTAAAGAGGTGTTTAGATTTGATACATCAGGTATCAAGCAGTGGATGAGGTGGATGCATCTAATAGAAGGATACAGGATAAATCAGAAGTGATGTAATGTAGGCAGACACAGCTGTTACAAGGCTGTTAGGTCAGGGCAGGCGCAGTGGCTCCCGCCTGTAATCCTAATACTCTGGGAAGCTGAGGTGGGTGGATCACCTGAGGTCAGGAGTTCGAGACCAGCCTGGCCAACATGGTAAAACCCCGCTTCTACTAAAAATACAAAAATTAGTCAGGTGTGGTGGCACACGCCTGTAGTCCCAGCTACTCAGGAGGCTAAGGGAAGAGAATTGCTTGAACCCGGGAGGCGGAGGTTGCAGTGAGCTGAGATTGTGCCACTGCACTCCAGCCTGGGCAACAGAGCAAGACTCTGTCTCAAAAATAAAAAGGCTGTTAGGTCGGAGCAGAATGGAGCAATAAAAAGTTGGACGACAGAGGTGATATGGAGGGAAAGGAGAAACCTAATGAAGGAATGATCTGATGACATTTAAAGATATTTTAAAATAAACAGATGACTTCAAAGCTGATACCTGGAATGACTTTAAGGATGGTATCACCATTGACACAAACAAATAATTTGTCAATAGAGAGACAGTTTAGAATAATGGCATTGATTTTGGACACAATGAGTTTAAAGCGAAAATAAGATTATCCAAAAAAACAATTCCTATACCCCAGTGTTTCTCAACCTAAAGTGATTTTGCCCCCCAGGGGATATCTGGCAATGTTTGGGGATATGTTTCATTGTCACAGCTGGGGTGAGCCCATAAACATCTGCTTTGGCAACTAAATATTCTGCAATGCATACAACAGCCCTCAACAACAAAGAATTATCGGATTCAAAATTTGAACAGTGTCAGGGTTGGGAAACCTCGCTTCAGGCTGTTGAAAATAACAAAAGGGAAACCAAAGAAGAAGTTAGGACAGGAACACAGATTTAAGAGGGAGCATAAAAGTGATACTTCATTTTTAATAGTACAGTTCTCCAAAGAAGTGATCATTTAGAGAAAGAAGACTAAAGGACCAGGGTGACAGGATTTTGAGGACCGACTGTGTGGCATAAATATTTATAAGGCGACCGGGCGTGGTGGCTCACCGCCTGTAATCCCAGCACTTTGGGAGGCCGAGGCAGGCAGATCACCTGAGGTCAGGAGTTCGAGACCAGCCTGGTCAACATGGTGAAACCCCATCTAAAAATACAAAAATTAGCTGGGCATGGTGGCACACGCCTGTAATCCCAGCTACTTGGGAGGCTGAGGCAGGAGAATTGTTTGAACCCAGGAGGTGGAGGTTGCAGTGAGCTGAGATTATGCTATTGCACTCCAGCCTGGGCAACAAGAGTGAAACTCCATCTCAAAAAAAAAAAAAATTATAAGGCTTAAAATGAAAGGGTCCACATGATACTTATAATTAAGAATTCATAAACCAAAACTACACTGATTTGCAATGAATCTGATATTAGTTAAGAGGTATTTTAAAGTTACCATGGTTTCCAAAGGTAATGCGAATGTATTTTATTAGTAGCAGCTGATACAGAATATTTACCACATTAATAATGCTTACCTTCAGTAACTGTCCCAGCACCACATGATTCTGTCAGTCCATAACCCTGGCCAATTGGGCAGCAGAAGCAGACATTCATGAATCGGTGTGTCTGAGGAGATAGCGGGGCCCCTCCAGACAGCATCATGCGGACATTCCCTCCCAGCAGGGCCTTGACCTTTTTAAACAGTAACCTTAATAAAGGGAGGATAAATGATTTTAATGTACGCATACATTATTCTTGGCAACACACTAATTTATAAGCTCTGGGAAAGATTCCTCAACTGGTTGAACATCTCAATGTCAGAATCACGGTGAGAATGAGAGGTTAACAAGGCAACAACTAGTAACGCCTTGTAAAAATGCCAGAAAAAACTCTTTAAAAATGAAGAAAGATAATGTGTAGCATCGGGAAACTATGCTGACACAAGTAAATGAAAGAAAACAGACATCAGAGGTAAAAAAATTTTAATTATCTTTGGAACATTTAATCACCTATCTTATCTCACTTCCAATAAAAAATGCTTCCCCATCCCCACTCCTCAGCATCACATTTAAAATAAGTTATATTCATATACTTACTACACTATTTTATGAATACAATAAATCAGAAACCTTCATGCAATGGAGGTCACTTTTTTTAGTTAGAAATGACATTTTTTAAGCTCAAGTGTCTTGATTCAAAAGTCTATTTTAGTTTTTCTTCATGAAACTAAATTTTATAAATAAATCTTAAATATACACTCAATTATTAAAATTTGTTAAATTGCCAAGATCAGAGTCCTCTGCTTGCTGTATAAACAATAAGACTTAGAATAAAAGAGAATTTCAACCTTATGATCATGGTGGTGATATTCAAATGAATTAACTTGCCATTTATTTATTCATCTTCTGGATTTAAAAGCATAAAAAAATTTAAAGGCTCAAACCACAGAGCCTATGAAATGTACTTACAGATTGCAAAGAGGTGCATCATATCCCTTTTTGATCTGTTCCAATTTGTAATCATACCCTATCTTGAACAGAGTTTTCTGAATATAATTCATCTCTTGGACTTTGCTCATAACATTCTTATAAATTCTATCCATGATTTCCTGAAAGTTAAACAAAATATTCAATAATCTGAAAGGAATGGAGACAGTCTTTAGTTGAAGATACCTTACTTGCAACATCTTGGGTAAAAGTCTTTAGCATAATGGACATATTTGTTTCTTTAATTATGTAATTAATTTCACTGACTACTTGTTCACTACTTCAAAAAGACTAAGGACAGATATAGGGGTTTCTTCAGTTCTATACATTAAGTTAATCTAAATTTTTTTTTTTTTTTTTGAGACGGAGTCTCACTCTGCTGCCCAGGCTGGAGTGCAGTGGCGGGATCTCGGCTCACTGCAAGCTCCACCTCCTGGGTTCATCCCATTCTCCTGCCTCAGCCTCCCCAGTAGCTGGGACTACAGGCGCCTGCCACCACACCCGGCTAATTTTTTGTATTTTTAGTAGAGACAAGGTTTCAATGTGTTAGCCAGGCTGGTGTCGAACTCCTGACTTCGTGATCCGCCACCTCGGCCTCCCAAAGTGTTGGGATTACAGGCGTGAGCCACCGTGCCCAGCCAAGTTAATCTAAATTTTTAAGAAATGTTAGCTCGAGTTTAGAGAATTCACTCAGCTGTCGCAGAAAAAAAAATTAATCTCTGTTACAATATATTCACTTATTCTCAAACAGTACCAAAATACCTGACTATGTTGAATCTATTCATGATGCTTTTCTCTTTTTTTACTACAACTTTGTGACCTTCTTACAGCATGGCAGAAAGCATTAGTTTCTTAAAATCCTAAGTATCTATAGTTTAAGCATTTCTATTACATTTTAACGGAAGCAAAGAACACGATTCTTGCTCACACAAACTTGGAAAACTGGAGGTAGGACCAGGTTTAAGATATACCGACTCTAAGGTTAATACAAAACAAAACAAAAAAAAATAAACAGCAAACAGCCCAGACTACCACTAAATGATGTTTTCTTGAAATTATTTAACACAAATTAAGAATTATTACATAAAGCACATCTGTTTATAAATACGTGTTTCCAAATACTTAAAATATCAATTATCAGTACAAATTAAGGTATGCTATAATGAATAACTTAATGGGCAGTTCTTTCAATATTAGAATAGAGCCACTCACAAATGAAGACAGCAGAACCATCCCTTAAAAAGGTTACCACAGGCTGGGCATAGTGGCTCACGCCTGTAATTCCAGCACTTTGGGAGGCTGAGGTGGGTGGATTGCGAGGTCAGGAGTTCGAGATCAGCCTGGCCAAGATGGTGAAACCCCGTCTCTACCAAAAATACAAAAATTAGCCGGGCGTGGTGGCAGGCGCCTATAATCCCAGCTACTAGGGAGGCTGAGGCAGGAGAATCGCTTGAACCCGGGAGGTGGAGGTTGCAGTGAGCCGACATCACACCACTGCACTCTAGCCTGGGTGACAGAGCAAGACTCCGTCTCAAAAAAAAAAAAAAAGCTCTCCCTCTCCCTCCTCTCCCTCCTCTCCCTCTCCCTCTCCCTTCCCCTTTGCACGGTCTCCCTCTGATGCCGAGCGGAGGCTGGACTGTACTGCCGCCATCTCGACTCACTGCAACCTCCCTGCCTGATTCTCCTGCCTCAGCCTGCCGAGTGCCTGGGATTGCAGGCGCGTGCCGCCACGCCTGACTGGTTTTCGTATTTTTTGGTGGAGACGGGGTTTCGCCATGCTGGCCAGGCTGGTCTCCAGCTCCTGACCGTGAGTGATCTGCCAGCCTCGGCCTCCCGAGGTGCTGGGATTGCAGACGGAGTCTCACTCACTCAGTGCTCAATGTTGCCCAGGCTGGAGTGCAGTGGCGTGATCTCGGCTGGCTACAACCTCCACCTCCCAGCCGCCTGCCTTGGCCTCCCAAAGTGCCGAGATTGCAGCCTCTGCTCGGCCGCCACCCCGTCTAGGAAGTGAGGAGCGTCTCTGCCTGGCCGCCCATCGTCTGGGATGTGAGGAGCCCCTCTGCCCGGCCGCCCAGTCTGGGAAGTGAGGAGCGCCTCTTCCCGGCCGTCATCCTGTCTAGGAAGTGAGGAGTGTCTCTGCCCAGCCGCCCATCCTCTGGGATGTGGGGAGCACCTCTGCCCTGCCGCCCCATCTGAGATGTGAAGAGCGCCTCTGCCCAGCCGCGACCCCGTCTGGGAACTGAGGAGTGTCTCTGCCCCGCCGCCGCCCCGTCTGGGAGATGAGGAGCGTCTCTGACCGGCCTCCCCGTCTGAGAAGTGAGGAGCCCCTCCGCCCGGCCAGCCGCCCCGCCCGGGAGCTGGGGGGCAGCCCCCGCCTGGCCAGCCACCCCATCCGGGAGGTGGGGGGCAGCCCCCGCCCGACCAGCCACCCCGTCCGGGAGGTGGCAGGCGGGCGCCTCTGCCTGGCCGCCCCGTCTGGGAGGTGAGGAGCCCCTCTGCCAGGTCGCCACCCCATCTGGGAGGTGTACCCAATAGCTCATTGAGAACGGGCCATGATGACGATGGCGGTTTTGTCAAATAGAAAAGGGGGAAATGTGGGGAAAAGAAAGAGAGATCAGATTGTTTCTGTGTCTGTGTAGAGAGAAGTAGACATAGGAGACTCCGTTTTGTTCTGTACTAAGAAAAATTCTTCTGCCTTGGGATGCTGTTAGTCTATAACCTTACCCCCAACCCCATGCTCTCTGAAACATGTGCTGTGTCCACTAAGGGTTAAATGGATTAAGGGTGGTGCAAGATGTGCTTTGTTAAACAGATGCTTGAAGGCAGCATGCTCGTTAACAGTCATCACCACTCCCTAATCTCAAGTACCCAGGGACACAAACACTGCGGAAGGCGGCAGGGCCCTCTGCCTAGGAAAACCAGAGACCTTTGTTCACATGTTTATCTGCTGACCTTCCCTCCACTATTGTCCTATGACCCTGCCAAATCCCCCTCTCTGAGAAACACCCAAGAATGATCAATAAATACTAAAAAAAAAAAAAAAAAAAAAAAAAGTTACCATAGCACTCAAACATGGTACAATATTGTTTTCTCCATTTCCACAAAAGGAATCACTATTATATAACTGAAATATTTCTCTACATCTGTGACAGAATCCCCCATCATTCCCTAGCAGGACTTGAGCATCCTATATCCATCCTTCTTAAAAAGTATATGAGATCTTAAAAAAAAAATGGGGGTGGGGAGGGGAGAGGGGGCAGGGGCTTGGGAATGAGACAGATGTGTGAGAACCATGTCTACTGCTCCTTCCAGCACTGGATACTAATCATAGACATCAGCAAGGCCTTGATGAGTAAGGAACATAATACAGTTGTAACACATTGGCAGAGTTTATTGTTAGCACATTAAGTCACCCTTTATCTCAACCTAACATTACATGATGTTCAATGGAGCCACAGCTGATAAGTAGTGACTTATTCTGAATTTTCACTGTGAATGTTATAGTATTCAATCAATCTTTCATTCTGACCCAGGAAAGAAACAAACTCAAAAAACAGACTCTACCAAAAATAATTCTCAATAAAGAGTTGTTTTTTTTTTAAATGGCCTATTTCTGGAGAAACAGGAGGGGCTAAAAAGGAAACCCAATAATATTTGATGAGGTGCCAATGGACTAGCAACATAGGGAACATTACTATCTCGAGGCCGCAAGACATAAGACAAGTGTCATTGGAACCTGGATGAGGACTCTAGCCATGGGAAAGACCTGGTTACAACCAACGGGAAGGAGACTATCCAACAGGGTCTCCTGACAGCTGCTAAAATTTGCAGCCCAGCAGGAAAGGAGCAAAGGTAATAAGTGTGCAGACTCTCTATCTTTCTGCCCTCTGATCTCTCATGAGGCCCTCCAATTGGCTGAACCCAACCAGAAGTCATAAGGCAAGGATGCACTGGTAATTCGTGCACAGAACATAGCCCCTCAAGACACAAAGTAAAGCAGGGAAGAATGGACAATGGGCAATTAGAGGATAAGGAGCCTATGTGCTAACTGTGCTTATCCTTCAGGCCTAAAATCGGAGATTACTTCTTTAACACCTCAGCTCTTACCTCTTCCTATGTTATCTGATAAGGTTTGCTAGGGAATTCTGAATGTGAAACAGTCCTAAATAGACAGCCATAGTGGTTAAGAAGACTGATAGACTGATACTCCACCAGTATCAGATTGGTAGAGTTCAAACTTTGATTCCATCACCTATGAGCTGTGTGGCTTTGGGGCAACTTTCCTTCTTTATAAGATAGAGTAACAGGGCCCACCTTGCAGTCTTAGAATTAAGTGAGATAATTTATCTAAGGCATTTTGCACAGTGCCTACCTAGCACATAGGAAGCACTGCACTAGCTATTATTAGCAACTTTTTTATGGTTTTAGTCAGATGCCTCTTCTTTCTGTTTGAAAACTTTATGAATTACACAGAACCTCTAAATAAAAAGGCAAAGTCTTCTCTGACCTATTCTACTTCTTTGTTATTTGGTAATTTTGCAATTAGAAGCTAAAAGGACCATAAAGTATCTTCCATCTGTAATTCTCAGAACAACTTGGACTGAACACTTTCTTATCTAATCTCAGAGTTTCCATATACAAAAGTAATTCTGTGAAAGATATTGGGGTAAGATTTCAAGTCTGATCATAATATAAGCAGTAGTGATACATAGTCTTTCTGAAGTTTCTGAAGCATAAAAAAAGCTAGAACATATTTGATTACACAAATCTGAAACATGGTGTTAAATGTTTCAAAATTCATCATTACAAGGCTATAAAATGTAACATCTTTTTTTTTTAAGGCAGTATTTCACATGAAGATTCCGAATATATAGAATTAAACTTTTTTCCTTTGGGAGCTCTCTCCAATTTTCAGTTTACTTAATCACCATAAGAGAGTTGGGAGGGCTTAGATCCTTGACCTTGTATACGATTCTTCAGCTCCCTAGGATGGCCTAAAGTTTCCTCATTTTTTTAATTAAGAGATTAAACAAGATGATCTTTAGAATATATTCTACCTTAAAACGGTCTGACCAATTCTCACAGTAGGTAACCTGAACTAGGTCATTTTCATCACCTAATTTTCATGTATCAGCAAACTCAAACAGGCGTGCATTTCAAAATCTTGCCATTTTGTCTTCCCTAGTATGGTACCTAAGATTTTAATGAACACATTTGCTGTGATTTCAACAAGGTAAAATTATTTTAAAATGTAGACATATCTAAGAGTATTACTTTTTAAAAGGTCCAAGTACGATCAATAAATTATATAAACAATCCTCTTATGTTCATATTCATATTCTGTACTCACCGGAACAGCAGCCATAAGTGTGGGCTTCAGTACAGTACAGTCTCCTTTGCTTCCTTTTTTAATTTTGCTGGACTATATTAAAGAAAAAATAAATATGATCAGGAAAACCAACCTTAAAACATGTTGTAATTCAAGTATTAATAACAAATACAGAAGTTACACTTGGAATTTGAGCTTTTATTGCTCTGTGATTATCTGTTAACAACTATCATAACCTACAAGTCTCAAATGTAAGTATTTTAGTGCTACAGATAACTGCTTCTAGCACATTTCACCTTCCTTAGAGGAGAAACCTTGATCCAGGATAACAAGAGAATGACATTGTGATGAATCAAACATTCTTATTAATAACATACTATCAAATATAGCACAGACTATTACTACATTTTCAAAAAAACTTGATTAAGACAGATATAACACTAAAACAAAATTGAAGGTGATTTTAACTTTCTTTGATTAACAATAGGCAAAGCCACATCCTGAAGACACCACTATGAACATCAATTAACATCATACTGAAACTCTAATTTGGTAATATTCTAGTTGGTAAGATACTGAGAACACTGCCAGGGACAAAGTAGAGATACACATAAATGTGCACAAATGGCCATATAGAGGATGGTTCTCCCGATAGAACTAAGTTGCCTTTCTCCTACTTTTCTTTAATATGGATAAAGGAGATAAAATAACTCATTTTACATATGTGCAAGGATGTGCACATTTGCAAGTGGAAACCTACACAGAAACCATGTACACCACACACAGGAGGGCTGCTCTGCAGAAACAAAATGGGCTCTCATGTCCTTCAGGTCGGAGTTGCCCTCTGCATGCTACTGACCAGCTCTTGCTACAGAGAGCAGTTCCAGGATAGCAGAAGCCACAAGAAGCCCTTCTTTGTTTTTTTTACTCTTAGTAATTTTATCAGTTATTTTGTCTTCTTGTGATCATAGTAATCCTGGTTATGACAATATTGCTATCATCAGTTGGCTCCAAATGTGGTGCTTCTAGTCTCCTGCATCCTTCTGATTTCCTATGTGAAGCAAGTTCCAGTGTTTTAGATTCCTAGTAAGATTGAGAGTCTTTACAGTAAAGTTCATTTAAAAAGTAGGTGTGAATTTTACTGAACAGGCTTCTAATGTACTAGCTTAGCCTAAGAGACAGCAAGAATTAAGTCAGACCAGCAACAGACTCCAACTGTCCCTCCTTTCCCACACTGAGGCTATTGTTCTCAGAAAGGCAGTGAAAAATCAAAGAACGGCTAGTCCTGGCTTCCAAATTCACAAAGGGAAAAAAAAATTATACTCAAAGTTTACTGAAATGTTTTCTACATTTTGATAATGTCTCTGAGCATAAGAAAAACCCATGACAACAAAACATAATGATCAGAGATTTTACTAAATTTGTTTTAGAGTTTAAGCCTTAGTCTTATTGATAGGTCTACTTTGATTTCACCAGGTCAAGTTCTGCTATCAATCGGATAGTGTATTTATTCATACCATTACTATTCTAGCAGATTTTAAGTGTGAATTTATAGCTGAGTGGTATAGTCAAACACAGCAGCACCCTGTCATACAAAGATTGTGTTTCTTAAAGTACAAAGCTAGGAGTTGTTTGGAACAGAATGCGTTCTCACAGAAAAAGCCACTTTAAAAGAAGGCTGGATTCTTCCTTCAAAGAGAATCCAATGTGGTAATGACCAGGAGGGGACCCAAGGGACATTCACGGGTGCTGAAAATGTTCTTTGTTTTCCTAATCTAGACGGTGATGATCACAGAGGTCTATATGTGTATATGCTTATTAAATCTCATCAAGCAGTACACTTAATATTTGTGCACTTTAAGTCATATATCAAAAAAAAAAAAAACACAAAGGTGATTGGAATCTCAAGTCCAAAAAAAACTATTTAACTTTTTTTGTTTTAATAGTATACAACCTATCTAGCCTCTCCCTAAAATGGTATTTCTACAAATAAAGTATTACAATTTCTAACTGTGAACACTGAGGACGTATCTTACCAACTACATGCTCCATGGAGACTCTCAAACAAAAGGCAGCATTGCCTGGTGGGGGGCGGTCTGAAAAACAACAGCTGGGCCCCCAGTGTTGGAGGAGCAGAGCCACGTATAGACAAGTCATTCCTACCTATACTTGCTTTGTCTTTCAGCATCCAGAACCCCACAGCTTCTTTAGTGGCTCTTTTTTTTTTTCCCCTAAGCCTGGTTGAAGCTTTTCTACAGCAACTATTCCAAAGAAGACATAAAACAGAACTGTGGACAATAGTATTAGGTGTGTAATTTCAAATGGGTATAACATATATGAGTTAGCCCCACCCATTGTTGGGATTTCTGCTATGAACTACAGAGAGAAGGAAGAATCCTAACTTAGTATGGTGAGCTGAGACTACCTTTGGAGATGCCTCAGCCCCTACCAATAGAACTTTCTGTGATGATAAAAATATTCTTTATCTTTGCTGCCTAATATGGTAGCCGTTGGTCACACGTAGCTATTGAGAGCTTGAAATGTGGCTAAAGCAAATAAAAAAATTTTTTTCAATTTTACTTAATTTTTTTTTTTTTGAGACGGAGTCTCGCTCTGTCGCCCAGGCTGGAGTGCAGTGGCGCGATCTTGGCTCACTGCAAGCTCCACCTCCCAGGTTCACGCCATTCTCCTGCCTCAGCCTCCCGAGTAGCTGGGACTACAGGCGCCCACCACCTCGCCCAGCTAATTCTTTTGTATTTTTTTAGTAGAGACGGGGTTTCACCATGTTAGCCAGGATGGTCTCAATCTCCTGACCTTGTGATCCACCCGCCTCGGCCTCCCAAAGTGCTGGGATTACAGGCATGAGCCACCGCGCCCGGCCCTTAATTTTTATTTAAATATCTGCCTAGTGGCTACTGTATCAGACGGTACTGCTCTAGAAAAATCTCGGGAAAACTGGGCCAAGACCCTAACATATCTCCTCCCAGAAACCCACCAATGCTCATGGGTAGTGTGTCAAAAAGGCTCATTGCATTTATATTCTCTATCGTAGTTCTCAAGAGTAAAAATCTAGTAGAAAAAGATAAAAGTAATTATTCATTTTTAAATAATTTTAAGGCTGGGCACAGTGGCTCACATCTGTAATCCCAGCACTTTGGGAGGCCGAGGCGGACAGATCACTGGAGGTCAGGAGTTCGAGACTAGCCTGGCCAACATGGCGAAACCCCATCTCTACTAAAAATACAAAAAAAATAGCAGGGCATGGTGGCGGGCGCCTGCAATCCCAGCTACTCTAGAGGCTGAGGCAGGAGAATCGCTTGAACCCGAGAGGCAAAGGTTGCAGTGAGCCAAGATCATACCATTGCACTCCAGTCTGGGTGACAGAGCAAAAGAAAAGAAAAAAAAAATAATTTTAAAATATATAGCTAAAGCAATGCTAACAAATCTACAGGGTAATCTCCTATAGCTACATATTGTTCATGGAAGCTATTTTGAGGTCAAGGAGAAAGCTTTAGCTGAATTAAAATATCTCGAGTCCTAGTAATATGTTCTCAGCCAAACCATGCAGCATCATACGATCATGCCAATATACTGAAAAGTTTGTCACCTGGTCAGAGAGTGTAAGCGGAGAAGAATATCCAATCCTGCAGCCATAGGTAAAGCAAGATATCTCTGCTGTCAGTTCTAGCACATGAGCCAAAGGCAAGTAGCCAATATATGTGTCCTTCGGTCTAAAACAAAATAAGAGAAATATTTTAACCATTCTTGAAAAGGCATTTGAAGTTAGAAATACCAAGAGCTTTATCATTTTAATATAGATTGAGTTTAGAGAATGCTGAACATGAACTCTGATTTCTAAGAAGAAAGTTAAAGAATTATCTTACCCCAGTCCAGGTATTCTTTCACACTGGCCTGTCATTCCAGCTATCAAATTGCTATGATGCATCATCACTCCCTTAGGTCGGCCAGTAGAACCACTAGTATACATAACAATGGCCATGTCTGAAGGCGTTGGTCTACTTGGAGGAATGCCCACTAAATGAATGAATGAAAAATATCACATTTACTTCAGTTCAAAAGTTAAATTACTAAAGAATAATAGGATATTTAGATTTTGCATAACGATAAGCTATCAATAGACAGTATTTGCTTTAAATCATCAAAACGAGCTGGGTGAGGTGGCTCATGCCTGTAATCCTAGTACTTTGAGAGGCCAAGGTGGGAGGATCACTTGAGCCCTGGATTTCGAGACCAGCCTGGCCAACATGGCAAGACTCTGTCGCTACAAAAACTAAAAAAGTTAGCCGGATGCAGTGGCATGCACCTGCAGTCCTTGCTACTCAAGAAGATAAGGCAGGAGGACTGGGTGAGCCTAGCAGGTTGAGGCTATGGTGAGCTATGGTCATACCATTGTGCTCCAGCCTGGGCTAGAAAACAAAAATGTTTATCAAATTCTGATTACAGTGAGCATTTTGGACTCAATTTGGCCCATTTTCTGGATGTTTAACCTAATCTCTGTCTGTGCATTGCCTCTCCACAGTGTTGTATACAGAGCAATGTTGTGGAAAGATTTCTGGGACTTTGGAGTATCAGGAGGACAGAGTATGTGTATAAACTTCTTAGGCCTCAGTTTCTCATCTCTAAAATAAGACAGCTGGACAGATTGTGGTTACTAACCACTAGTGGGTATCAGAATCACGTGCAGAACTTAAATAAAATATTATTTCTGAACCCCCTTTCTGAAAATTCAGATTCAATATGTCTGGGATAGAACAAAGCTCCACAAGTGATTCTCATATATGCCCCTGATTGAAAACCACTGGATCTGATCTTTAAGGTGACTTCAATGCTAACATTTGAAGGTGATAAGTTTTAAACAGAACCCTGGAGCTTCCACTTTCAAGACAGTGTATAGTGCTAGCCTAGTAACCACTTTTCCTTCCGAGAATATACCAAAATGGCTAAGAAGCCACATATATATCATCAGAATGAAATACAAGTTTAACAGGATTATCACATTTAAAAATCTTTACACAAATTATTTACATTTTTATATACCAGTTAAAATAACATTTTTTTAAAACAGTGAGCTATACCACTGAAACAAAGATAGTTACACTTAAACTGGCTAATTTTAATGCTTTTTAAAGATATAGTCATAGTTTATAAACCAAGCAAATAAGGACTGCATATTTCCTCTGATGATTAACCAAAGCAACAGCAGTAGCTAAATTCTTCTTAATCTAAGCACATGTGATACTTTGCTTCTGCCCACTTTTAAGTAAATATGCAAAAAAGTGGCATCACAATAACTGTCTGTACCACAAAAACATATGTATCCTATCTATTGCAGACATGAGTAGAACTAAGTGGGATATGTGGCCTATTACATTATTGCTCACACAAAATTATGAAGACTGCTGACCCCTTAGCTTGCTGCCAACACCCTTTGTGGTCAATCAGCAGAACTGTAACTGATCCCTACCAATCAGGACTTCTCAGTCAAGTTTATCCCAATCTTACAGGGTCAACCTAGTGTAGAAAAACAATTCTCTATGGGTCTCATGTTCTGCACATCTTGCAAGCAGAGACATTGACTTTGTTCCAGACTATCTTTACAAGGATATTTGCACAGAGATAGTGTCTCTCCCCAGAGCAAACAGCAGGCATGCTTACTGTCCAGTACAATAAGATAATAAGATATTCAGGCTCTTTAAGCTCAGAGTTCCTCTCTTATGACACAAATGCTGATATGATACTCTGGCTACTGCTATTGTTGTGAGTAAAAAACTGTCCCTCATCTCAGACCCAAAAGTCTATGGCACCAGGAAGTTTTGCAGGCTCATCTGTTTGCCGGCAAGCAGGGTAAAATCTGACTCTCTGCCATTCTGGACACATGGCAGATGTGTATAATAACACCTGTTATTATAAACGCATGCTCATTCTCTAATGGTAAAATGTTCAGAAGCTGAGTAGAGGTTCGACCAACATTTTCTCCTGCAAAAATGAATCCTTTTCTCATTATAGTATGGTATTTTGACCATCGCATTAAACATAATAAGAAAACTCTTCAAATGGAGTATTAATTTCCTCAACTCTCTGCCCTGATGGCCAACTGACATTTTGCTACAAGGTACACTTACTTGTTTCAAATGAAATACCAACTACCACCTCAGTGGTAAAATAAATCCAAGCATTAATCTTGGTAAACAGCTTTGCATCCTCTGAAACATCCTTAAGATAACTAGCATTAAGCATTTATTTCAGAAAGTTTACTGAATGGAAGGCCTGAAATATTTTTCTTTTATGAGGCCCAAATTGGAAGGTTATAGTGGGTTATTTAAAAAATGAAGAAACATTTGGCAGCAACTGCCATGAAGTCTGAACCACAGATTACATCTCAACCACTTAGTGAAATTTACTAACTTATTTTTTTTGAGGAGAAATGGAGGGAAAATCTTAATCATATATGGTCTTGATGGTTTTTAAAGATTTTTGAACTTTTTTTTTTCAGTCAAAGAACTTTTGTGGATTTACTCATGTCATTTGTTTCCCTAACCTACCAAAATAACAAACTTGGAATAGGTAAATAAAATTGTTTTTACTGCTTTACTTACAGTTTTCTGGGTTAGATCCCAACTCTTCTACTGATTGCATGCTGTGAATCTCAAATCCTTCAGGGTACTCTGCTTTATTGATAGCCTTATTGTCCACATAAATGATATGTTTAACACAACTGATATCTAACAATGCAGTCTGTTGAGCAGAAAGAAAAAAAAACAGCTATTAAACTTAAGCCTGCAACAAAAATTCACTTACTGAATGAATATTTTTCTGTCCTGCCAGACAACGCAACCATGAATTAAAAGAAAATTTCATATTTACCTTAAGTTTACTTTCCAGAAGTTCAACACTGGTAATCAGATAGGAAGCCTCAGATTCATTTAGCCCATGAACTACTGCTTCTTTGCCAAGTGTGGCATATAAAGTCACAACTACATAATAAAAATAAACACAAATATTAAGTAATAAACATCTATTAGAAATGGATATTATTGAAGTCAGTCTTTAATAATAGTTACACTTAGAGACACAAAGACATTGTATATTTTAATTTGATTTCATAGTCTCTGTTACCATCCTTCAACCTTGCTTCAAACTCCCTGGGAGCCCAAAGTTTTCCTTACAAATTCCCAGAACTCTCACTTCCTAAACCTGAAGAAACCCAGAAACACTCGCACTGCCACAGCTGATCAAAAATCTGTCAATTTAGATGCTCAAGGCCAATAGGTACTGGCTGAACTCTTAATTCAGGTCAGACTGGCCCAGCTAGGGCTTCTTCTTGATACACACTTTCATTGGCCATAGCCTCCAAAGAATGGATAAGTCCTTGAAAATCTTGAGGATCTTAAGTCATAAGATCAGCCACAGATAATGTTCTTACTCCTTCTAAGAAGCTGTTTTAGTGAGTCCAATGTCCAATGTGATTGGTGACCTCCACACCTTAATTAGAGAGATCAAGGAGATCTACTCCTTAGGAGCCACCAGAGATAACATAAACCAAGATCAGTTAGAATCAAAGGACATCTGCTAAACTTAGAAAGAACTGAAAATTCAGCTCTAGATTGGTAACCAGAAACAATGTGGTTAAAAATAGCCACTTTCACAAGCTGTTCATCGTTGAAAGTGGGTAATGGGTACATAGGGGATCATTTTCATATTATCTATTTTTTGTTTGAAATTTAAGCTCTATAATCCTAACTTACAGTGTTATATTTCATTCAACAAACAACAGAGTACTTAGTATGTGACAATACATTGTTTATTTCTTAAACAATGGCAACAACAAATGCTTGAGTATTAGAAATATACTCAATTTTACTTTCTAACATATCTAATGCCAATTCCAGCTGTCACATGCATATTTCACACGTAAAATAGAATAAGTCAAATAAGAGGTCTCAAAGTGAAGCAATGAATTTGAATTATCCTGAGAAATGGTTTTTTGTTCTTTTAATCATTACTCTTTGTATATCACCCCCCCAAAATACCCCCAAACTCCAACTCTTTCAGTTACAATTCATTTCCAATTGGAAAATAAAAGTGTAAATCACATCCCTTAAAGCTGCCAATTCCCATATTAGTTCTTACAAGTTACCATACTTAACAGGAGTCATCGGATATCTTTTAGCCACAATATTACATGCCGTATTATGGACATAATTAATGTGTAAAATGGCTAAACAACACCTACTGTGAAAACAAGAGCATCTCAAAACAATTCTCACATGCAAGCAAAGACCCTCCTCTCCCCCCTCCAAAAACACAAGGCACTTACGAGGAAAGTTGTACTTAAAGCAGGTCTGTGCTGCAATCATCCATTCGGCCCTGGTCTCACAGAAGATGGCAATGGTGTTCTTTGGTTTTAGTCCCAGTGCAGTGAGTCCACTACCAAAGTTATTCACTCTGCGATTCACTTCAAGATAGTTCATCCATTTATAATTCCCAAGAATTAACTGTTAAAGTGATACATTCTCTAATATTAGTATATTCAAACAAGCAATTAAAATACTATCCAAAGCATAAAACTCTAAAAATGCTCTTAAATGAACATACAGAAGCTATGAGCGGCTTCTGAGTAGTTTTACACAGCACTATAATAGAATGCCAGCATACTTAAAACGCACTCGATTTATGATAAAACAAATGTGTCTTCCTCTTTAAAACATAAATGAAAAGCACCAAAATACTTTACCTTCTTAAAAACTTTTCCATTTGGCTGCATTTCATTTTCTTCACTTAGGATTTCCCTGGTCCCAAGGCTGTCCTTCTTCCCAAACTTGGATACAGCATGGTCAAATAATTTATCCAGAGTATCTGCTCCAGGGATGTCTATTACAGCTAGTGAGTCGAAGTGTGTGACAGAGCGATATGGACTTCCAGGTTTGTCTGAAGTGGGCTTAGCTTTTATTCTCTTTGCCATAGCGTTTTTCTTCTTGGCATTGGTAAGAAAATACCATGGAATAAATATAAGGGCACTGTATATTGTTATTAACAAGTGGACAGGCAGCAAAATAATGGTGAGCACATTTAGCTTAAGTTTCATAGTGGAAAGGCTTCTAAAATGGTGCTTATTTCTTGTTATTCTTTGGCTTTTGAAAGCCTTATTGTGCTGAAGAAGGCAATAATAGAAGCAGCAGTAAGAATAGCAGTACAGCCAAGGCAGTTCAATCTTAGTGATACAGATAAAAGTTAGTAATCTTTGGAAGCCGACAATAAAGTACGCCTGTAGGTGATGACAATGAACCAAGCAGAGAGCAGGAAAAATAAAAACAAAAAACAAAAAACAAAAACAAAAGAATATTAACAAGTTGATAGCACAATTGATTTAAATACTCAGGTCTTTATTAGTTTACACAATTAATTACAGAAAGCTGAAATAACTGGTCTGAAAGGCTGGCATTTTCCATTTGTAATCATTATTGACGTAAATGTCTTTGAGCACATCAACTTCTGAATTTATTTTTTTCTAGGTTTCTAGGTGTACTGGTACTCTGCATATCATTCTGTGAGTTGAATAACAACCTTAATGCTTACACAAATGCATGAATATGATATTTAAGTTTGTCAAAACTTTGGTAGAATAGGGTATGCCAATAATAAGATTTCTCTTAAACATGTGCATGTAAACTAGACATCTTTAAATAGTGTTAGGTTTATATCCAAAGGGGGGGGTGGGGCAGAAACTATCAACTTAGATTTATTTCTCAAAGGTCAACCCAGAAACCTTATTCTGAGTTCTTCATTAAGGTAAATTTCTCAGGTAATGCTATTTACTATCTACTATTTCCCACATGGGAGCAATACAATTGTAAAATCATTTCCTACATGTCCACTTTGTGCTCAAAACTGCACCAGTTGCCTAGGAGTGGTAATACAAGTCTGAAGTAGTATTAATTCCTGGCCCTTGGCCATTATAAGTTAACACTTATGAGTCAACTATCACACAAGATAGATCCAGTATTTTTGCAACTGTTTGGGGGAACGGGGACAGGGGGTGCAATTAAACCATCTCTTCTAATAAACACTACTGGAAACTGCCCATATATAACACTAAAGTGGAGTTGCTCTGGCCAAAACAGGGTTTGGGGATGTCCAGAGTCCTGCCCCAGAATTCCCGGAATCCCAACTCCCAAGGTGACCACTAAAGCATTTCCACTGAAAAGCCTTGTGGTAATACATAACTAATACATAACTACCATGTGCAGTGTAGGCAGTAGTATAAGCAATAAATGCAAAAGGAGTTCAGAGGAAGTGCAAAATGGCCAAGAGTAACTAGGAGAGGCTTTGTGGAGATTAGATTTAAGCTGGACCTTATGTTGGGCATCTAGAAATGAAAGAGGAATGGAAGGTATTCCAGGCTCAGGGACCATATGAAAAAAGATACGAAGGTGGGAATGAAAGGACTTTGGGAGAATAGGAAGTACCAATAGCAAGGACACTAGTCTGACTGGGGCACAGCATACACTAAATACGCTAAATACGCTTGACTAAATACGCTACGGTAGTTACAAAATCTAACAAATCAGGCAAAGTAATTTTGATTGGATTATGTGGAAAGCTGGGGGCTGCTGCAGGTTAGAAAAACAGTGCCATTGGAAAGAAACCGCAGAAACAGGCTCAAGAATAGTAATATTTCTTTTCTTTCTTTTTTTTTTTTTTTTTTTTTTGAGACAAGGTCTCACTTTGTCACACGGGCCAGAGTGCAGTGGCATGATCTCAGCTCACTGCAACCTCTGCCTCCCGGACTCAAAAGATCCTCCCACCTCAGCCTCCCGAGTAGCTGGGAACACAGATGTGCATCACCATGCCTGGCTAGTTTTTTTCCATTTTTTGTAGAGACGGGGTTTTGCCATTGTTGCTCAGGCTGTTCTCAAAATCCTGGACTCAAGCTATCTGCCCTCAATGGCCTCCCAAAGTGCTGGGATTACAGGCGGGGGCCACCACACCCGGCCCAAGAATAGGAACATTTTTTAAGGAGCTTACCTTCAACTGAGAAAGCTACTTCGGTGAGTTGTAGCATATTTCAACCAGAAAAATCAAAATATTAGTTCACTTTGAAGAGACAAACTGAAGCCCATCCTTCTGCAACTTTTGTAGAAACAGACTGACAGACTTAATTCAATTGACCCCAGGCTAGTTGATTGTTTTTATACCATCTAATATAAAATGGTAGCTTAATCCTGCCTGTGCCTTTGTTCATGTAATTTAGTTGAGTACAGTGAAATGAGAAAGAAACTGGAAGTCACTGGGTGTCAATCCTCATCTCTGCCCCTAACTGGCTGTGTAACCTTGAGCAAACCATCTACCTCAGTCTGGGACCACACTAGATCAGCAGGCCTTAACCTCTTAGAGATGATGGGCCTTTTTGAGAATGAGAACGAGGAACCCAATTCCCCTCAGAAAGACATGCTAAATGATACACACAATGTCAAGTGATTCACAAGTTCCTTGAAATCCATCCATGAACTTCAAAGGGCAACAACCCTGAACTAAAAATGTCTGGCCTAGGTGATTCTTAGGGCCTTTCCAGCTTTAAATTCTATGACTTACCCTACTTGGAAAGTACCTTCTTAGTCTCTCGGACAAGTCTGGTCATTCATTTCTTCAAGATAAGGTATGTCATGTCAAGGGTTTATCATAATGCTGAATGTAAGATCCCCTCTAACAATCCTCTCCTCCCACTGAAGATTTCATGGCTACCCAAGTCCAGAACAATCTTTACTTTTTCTAATTTCACACATCATTAGCAATATCTACCACTCAATCTGATACATGATTATACTACCATCACTTCCAAACTTCTGGGTACCACAGTATAGAACACGGACCAGTAGTTCTCAACCATATCAAACCCAGTACCTCTTTCTTATGACAAATATTTTGTGATACCTCTTCATCAACATCAAAGGATAGTCATAATCTACCAACACACCATTTTAAAAAATGATTTCTTACTGGTAATATAAAAGAGTACCATAAAGAAACTAATTTAAAATTTAACAAAATACTTGTTTCAATACATACATTCTCAGAGACAATATTAGCAGACATAAAAGCATGTCTTCAGATTTATAAAATGCCCCTAAGGGGTGAGTACCACCTTACCCTCAATTGAGAAATCTTCAGGCTTAAGGCTGAAAATATATAAAGAAACAGAAAATAGCTTTTGAAGAGCCTGTACTTTAGTTGGATTTAAAATGCATTGTATGTTTTTTAGTTATTGATGTTACATAAATTTAATCTTTTATACATATTTGCCTTAAGTCTTAGAGAAAGAGAAATGCTTTCTAGGTAATCCTCATAGTGCTTAGTACAGACACACACACACGCATGCACACACACACACACACACACACACACACAGTAGGCAAGGCTCAAAGAACATTCAGGTGAGAAGAAACCAGAGAGATCATTTAGTCTAGAGGTTTTCAAATTCTTTCTGCAGGTAGTGAGGGGGTCATGGGTCATCCATTTGAATAAAATCTTATATAGATATAAAAACACAAGCGTAGATGAAAGCAAAAAGCATAGCTGCTCTGGTAGAGGAGGCTATGACAGCCCCTGAAGGGACTCCTTGGAACTTCCAGTTCAGCTGAATATTTGAACCACTGATATTGTCTGAGCCCTCATCTTACAGAGAAGCAAATGAATGGCAGAGCACAAATCGAGCACCCAGTGCTCTTTCAAGTACACTAGCCAGCCTCTGCCCAGTTTTGCCTATCATCTTAAACTATAATACTTCCTTGTCAGGGGTTATACTCAGTCTATTGATAAATTCATTTCAAAAAAGATTTAAACATTTCATTTCACTTCAAAAAAAGAAGAGTTGGTGGTAAGGGTATGATGCTGAGCATCGTACCCATCATTAGGCAAAATATAATGTCTCATAAGAGAAACAACAAAAATTTTCTAGGCTAACAGATCTGGGTTTAAAATGTGGTTCTATGCAGCCATAAAAAACAATGAGTTCATGTCCTTTGCATGGAGATGGATGAAGCTGGAAACCATCATTCTCAGCAAACTAACACAGGAACAGAAAACTTAACACTGCATGTTCTTACTCACAAGTGGAAGTTGAACAATGAGAAAACATGGACACAGGGAGGGTTACATCACACACAGGGGCCTGTCAGGGGATGGAGGGCTAGGGGAGGGATAGCATTAGGAGAAATACCTAACGTAGATGATGGGTTGATGGGTGCAGCAAACCACCATGGCACGTGTATACCTATGTAACAAACCTGCACGTTCTGCACATGTATCCCAGAATTTAAAGTATGATTTAAAAAAGAAAGCTCTATATTAGTGGCTTCATCTGTAAAACAGGAATACTGCTTATATTACCTACTTTATAGTGCTTTTGTGAGAAACCTTTGTCTTCTTCCTCTTAAATTCCATAGGCAATCATACTCAGTCCCTCTTGGTTGTCTCACTTGGTTGTACTTAATCATCTCAACCACAGCCTGGTTCTATCCTATCCAATTCTCCACCTAATCTGTACCTGTACCTATGCAGCTGAATTTGCTGTGAGAAACACATGACTGTGTTGAGTGTCTCACTTTAAACTTGTGATTGCTACCTCAAATGGACTCTCCCTGATGCAGAGAGACCACACCGCACTAGTCCACTCACTGGCCCACTCCTCTGGATTTCATACTTTACTCTCTTCAGACCACCAACATTCCTCATCCAGACTTATTCTCAGCAGCTGACCTATTTTGCAGACAAAACAGCAACAATCCAAAGATAATTTCCACAGACTCTCACTGCTACATCTACCCACCTAATCAAATCTGTGGCCACATGCTGTTTTCTCTCCTGTGACTATGGATGAACTGTTGATGCTCCAAGCTGAGGCCAACCCCTTCATTTATGCATTACACCCTGTCTTTATAAGGACACGGAAGTGCTACTCTACCAATTCTTCCCTCTCGTCCTTCCTCATTAATTTTCCCTGCTCTTCTGAACTATTCCCTTCAGCATCATAACCAGCTGTTATTTCTTTCATCTTAAAAAACATTCCCTCCTTTGCATCTTCTTTTCAGCTATAGCCCATTTATTTTCTATCTCTTTGGCACTCCTTGAAAGAGGTGTCTATGGCTCTCTGTCTCCCAGTTCTCTCCTATTTTCTCTTGAACCCACTACAATCAGGCTTATGTCTCCTACCACTCTATAAACTTGTTCTCCTCATCAGGGTCTCCAATGACTTCCATGCTATTAGATCCAAAGGTCAATTAAAGCTCAGTTCTCTTCTTCCTTGACCCACTGGCAGCCTTTAACACAGCTGAGCCCTCTTCTGCTTTAAACTTCTTCACTTAGCTTCCAGGAAACCATATTCTTCAGGTTTTCTTCCTACTTCCCTGGCTATTCCTTTTCAGTCTTTTTTTTTTTTTCTGCTTCTTCCTCACATTCCTGGCCTCTAAATGGTATGGGGCTTGGTCCTTGAACCTCACAATTTTAAATACCACATATATGTCGTGATGACTTCCAAATTTTTCCTTCAAGCCTGGAAGTCTGCCTTAAACACTAGATTTGTATATCCAACTGTTTCCTCAACAGATCCACTTAGGTGTCAGTTAAATACCTCAAACTTAGCATGTTCAAAACTGAGATCATCCTTCCACAATCCTATCTCACCCAGTCTTGCCCATCTCTATATATTCCACTTGCTTTGACCAAAAACCTTAGATTCACCCTTTTACCCCCCTCTCTTTCTCACACATTCCACAGGCAATTCACCAGCAAATCCTAATGGTTTGACTTACAAAAAAGGTGAATCTAATTCAACTACTTCTTACCACCTCCACTGTTACCATCCTGGTTTAAGCCAATATCATCTCTCATGTGGATAAATGGGATAGCCAATCTAGTCTCCCTGCTTCCATCTCATACCCCTACAATAAATTCTAAACTCAGAAGCCAGAGTACTATTCTCAAAATGTAAGTTAGATCATACCATTCCTCTGCTCAAAATCTTTCAAAGAATTCCCATATGACTCACCCAGAATATAAGCTGAAGTCCTTACTACAACCTACAAGACTATATAGTCTTTCCCCTACCCCAAGGTTCTGACTTCACCTCCTAGTACGCTTTCCCTGGAACATTCTTCTGCAGTCCCATTTGTTCCTGCCCCATGGCCTTTGTACTTGAGGTTCTCTCTGCCTGGAATGTTCTTCCAAGACATCTACGTAGCTTATTCTCTTGCCTCTTTTTTTTTCTTTACTCAAAGAACACCTTCTCAGTGAGGCATTTCTCCAGCCAACTTCTTTTAAAATTGTACTCCCCACACTTTCTATCCCTTACTTGCGTTATTTTTTTCCTGAGTACTTTTACTAATATACCATGTTTTATTTTTCATGTTTACTGTCTATGCTCCCAGTAGAATATAAGCTTCACAAGGCAGAGAGTTTGTCTCATTTGCTGCTGAATCTGTGACTGGAACAGTGCCTCCGTGTGTTGGCTTCAATCAAATTGTTTACTGAATTAAGAATGTACTGGAATTATTCTGAATCTATAAGGTAAAAATATATGCAAGTACAATAACGTGAAGGTAGCTAACTTTAATCATCTTAAAAAACAATCACTTGTCCATGTCAACATCCTAGGAAATACTATACTCTTAAAATCCCTGGTAATTAAAATAAACTTGAACATGTTGTTAGTTGCTTAATAGAAAATATGAAACTGGAAAAACTGCCTGTTGCATAGAGTTGGAAAAGATTGGTGTTATAAAAGCATGAAGGTTACACAATTTGCACTATGTGCATTTTCACTGATAATTTTCACAAAGGTATGCTGTCCTTCCATGTATGAAGAATGATACTGCTATCCCATCATTAGGAGGACATGAACTTTGAGTGGTGCTTCCTTGAAATCATGTATTTGTATGTCAGCCAGAAAAAGGCAGGGCATTATCTTCAGTCATTGGATAGTTAATTGCTCCTGTTGAACTTTACCATTCCATATGGGAATCATAGTAATAACCAGGTATTGAGCATTTACTACAGGCTAGATACTGTGCTAAGTCCTTCAGATATATTATCTCATTTAATCCTTCAGAAAACTCCTTTGAGGTAGTACCTTCATTTTAAAGATATAACAGACTCAGAGAGATTAAGTTGCCCAAGATAGCACAGCTGAGTAGAGATTCGAACCAGGTCGCTTTGATTTTAAAGTCCATGTTTTTAGCTCAATTATCTGTGATCCTAGTAATACTGGTATAATCTAAATAAGTGAGAGTGACAAACTTTGGGTATGAAGAAATACTGGCAACAATTTTGAGCACTAATCTGTCCTACATCCTAAGACATTTTAGGGGGGGGGGGCCTCTATAGATGTCCAGTAAGTACTAGAAGTTTTAGTGAAAAATCAGATTCAATTTTATTTTATTTTTTTGTTCTGAGGTGAGATTTAATAAGTATTTCATTCCAGTTACTTCAAACACTCCGAGATAGGTTAAATACAGAAAGCATTAGTGATACATTAAGCTCTAGTACACAAAGTAAACAAACACTACATATTAATTAAAGTCTGAATTTAAAAGAAGAAATCGTCTTACCCAGAAGCATGTGACACAACACCAATTTGAGAATGAAAGAGAAAAACTACTGAACTGCAGTTGGTTAATGCCAAGATATTTTTTCAAAAGTTTTAGAAAATGAACTAAACCAAGCAAGGATCCATGCATCTGCCAAGTTGAAACATACAGTAGTGACAAATTAACTTTGTCCTTGACATAAGATCTTACAAAAATAGTTTTTAAATCAATTTGAAAATCAACAATTAACTATATAAGTGCTACTTTTTTAGAAGTCTCATTTTCAAGTTACACATTATTTAAGAGTAATTTAAGCACCAAATAAAGAGACAATTTGCCTTCTGAAAAAGATTAGTTGTAACTAGTAAACATTAAATCAGAAAACAATTATAAAAGTTCCAAGAGATTAAACCGATAAGAATACCTGCTGTACTTTAAAAGATCATATTTCTAAATACATGTTGCATCACAAGGACTTTTGTAAAGGGGTGGAGTGCTTCCTTAAAATCTTATTTTCTTTCATACACTATTAAAAACTTCCAAATGATTGTAAAACATACCAGAGAAAGCTCAACTAGGTTGAGTCAGAATGGTTTCACTTTGTAAATGAAATCAAACTTTACAAGAGACATTACAATTAACTTTATACTTTAACATTAAAACTTAGAGAATGCCAATACATTAAGAAAATAAAAGCATTAAGAGTTCTAACAAGATCTTTCATCAGTCTGCAAGACGAAATAATCATGTAAAATATATGTATCATTACGGCACTTGTCTCATCTGATTCAAATTGTTATATTGCAAATAACAAGCAGTCTATTCAATATCAAATAACTTGTGCAATCAAACCTTAAGCTCAAATATACAGTAATTATAATAAATACATTTTAAAACCAAGAAAAGCAAAACAAAACCTAAGATGACTATAGAGATGCCATATACCAACACATTACACCTGTGCCTGGCTAGTATGACTGAAAGCTTTTCACAATTATGACTGATCTTTGGGTGCGTCTCTCACAAGATAAACTGAACCTGTTTACTTCATCACCTGGAGAGGTATTAACTCCTGAAGTCGCCATTCTGCCAGTCTCTTTGCAGCTTTTCCCAGCAAAGAAAGCACCTCAGCTGCCATGTTGAAGACACTTTTAATGCTCTAGAGTGAATTCCCTCCCATCATGCCTTAAGAAGATCCCCAGCATGCATCAGATAATGTTGTTGCTAGGTCATAGGATGTTATAATCAGTATCCTATCTATGTATGTTAAAATGAGGAGCTCTAGGAGTCAATGTTGATGCCTACACACTTCACATACACTGTGTATAATTATACATCTATTCCTCATTTTAAGTGATCAAGATACACTTGATTTTTAAAAATGTAGCTTTCTAAAGCTGGGAATTGGTTGTATATAATTTAATCCAATAATTGGTTGTAAATAATCCAAAGCTTACATTTAAGGAATCTTGAGGATAAATCAGGCTAGAAGTGGCACCTACTGGCTAAGCATGATGCTATAATCAAACTTTATTAAACATAATGAAAAAGGGAGAAAAACTAAGTTCTGGGTGATATGTGTTTAGAGAGCAATACAAATGGTTCATTGCTGTAGAAGGGCAGCAGACAGCACAATGACAATGTCAATGTTGTACAACTGATGCTAAAGAGTAACTGCTGCAGGTCCCTGTACACAAAACCTTGCTGCTAAATTAAACTGCCCATTGTACCACAGTGCAGACTTTTATTTTATCTACAAAGTCTTCGATTTACTGGGTGCTTTTTCTCTGTTGGGATATATAGATGATTTTAACATAAGTTAACCAAAAATAATTGGGTTATAGAATTTAACTTTAAAGTTAACTTTTATAATAAATGTGTTTTGTTCAAGTGAAGAATATACAAAATATCTATAGGTTATACATCTATCTCCTGTCATCTTACATATTTATTATAATAAAGTAATACAACTTAGGGCTTTCAACCATGAGTGTAGGTTCCAAAAAAGTCTTTAAGCAGCAGTAGTAGTTCCCATAGGAATAGATTCATGTTACAGGGAGAATTTTACAACTATGCCTTTTTTTGCCACATGATCTGCCCTCCCCATCTGCCAGAGGAGGAACCAGCTTAATAGGTTAGTTTGTCAATGTTCTTTTCAATATGTCAGACTGTTAATAAATTATGCAACAATGCAGTCTTAAACCATTTCTTATAAAATGGCCAAATAAATGACTATAATTCAGCTGCCTGACCACCATAATACAAAATTGTATCGTGATTTAAAAAAAAAAAAACTCATTCTGCTTTTCAGTATTAAATAGATCTTAGAAGTGATTCTAATTAAATAACTCAAAGACTGATAAATCTGTTGAATATTGAAATCTTATGGCCATATAGTCAATGCTCACATATTAGCCGTAGTAAAGAACAGAAGGCCACATATTCTAAAGACAGCAGATAATTCAAAAATGCATTTTATCCTTATTAGCATTTCATTTTGAGTATGTCTGACATTTCAGAAATTAAAGAATTCCTACCTAAAGAAGGAAGTCACACAAAGCCAAATATAAGAAGCCATGGAAAAGTACCCCTGGAGTTAATATTTCCACATTAGGATTGGGAATACATTCCATTCTGTTCTCTCCCTCCACATTCATTTGTTTATCTGGCTTATGCTTCAGTAAGATGAGTAAGACAAGGTTGATAAGGGAGCTAATTATTTCCATTTTGAAACATATTTTGGGAAAGTTCAGACAAAGGCAATTGATGGGGGGCCTCCAAAGTGTCACAGAGTACTATCTGCAATCTCCTGAACACAACTGGCCAGATATGTTCATGCCAGTGCTTCTGGTAACTCCTACTCTTCACCTTGGTAGTTTTTTCCCTTCCAAATCTAGATGGGCTGCAGATTGATTGCTATAAATATGTATGTGTGTGTGTGTAGGTGTGCATCTATGAGAGAGAAAACAGTACTTTCTGTAGTTAAATTAACTATAGAAGTTTGAATACTACCACTCTTCACAGTGGCAGTATAGTCTGTCAACTTCCAAAAGGAAATAATAATTTTGCTGATATTTTAACTTCTTTGTCAGCCACTGGGTAGCGTGTAACACCTAAGTAGCTGAATTCGGTGACAGCTAATTCTGATCTGCTGATACAAATCTTTGGCCATGTTTAAGATTCTTCTAATGCAGGCTAATCAGTGGACTTCAGCATTTAGCTATACAAAAACATGGCCTTTTGAATTTCTTTATACTTGGAAATCAAAAATAGTTATTAGCACATAAGAACTACTATATCTTCAGTTTCAAATTTATAACCTATTATAATGAAAGCAATTTTCAGAAGACCAGAAGTTCTAGAGAGACAGTATCAGATATAGGGTTTTAGTCCTGGTTCACAAGCTGCTGAGTGGTAAGACCTGGAACAAATTAACCTCTCAATGTCTGTTTCCTCATCTGTAAAATGAGAAAGTTGGGTTCATATTTTAAGATATCACAAAACAGCAAAAAATGTAAAAGAAAGAATTAGTGGGGGGAAATGACACAGAGCTACCAAGTTGTTGTTGTTGTTTTGCCAGGCATGAATTTTTTTAAAGCCCTACCATTTACTATCACCATAATTTCATGAGATAAATAACATGTTTAATTCCCCTAAATTAGAAAGATATATTCTATAAGAAGCAATCCTTTAAACTGAAAATGTTTAGCTTTTAAAAACTCATGATCTGCTGTCCTTATTTTTCTCACTTCACCATGGACCAGTAAAAACGTTTTCACTAACCAGCACTGGTCTAAAAATCAACAATCGGGGACTATAGGACTAGGTAAATTTCAAAGTCCAAGCCTCAAACACTATGATTTTAATTTTAGGTGCTCTGTTGTATTTCTTTTACTCCATATTGTAGTCTAGAATAGATGCCTCAATGAAATATATACTTAAAAATTTATGAAGATCAGAAATACACGCAAATCAGTTTGAGAGACAGCCTCAATGTATACTTGCCCCGATACATTGAAGCTTATTCTTCAATAAGCTTCGGCACAAGTATACATTGTGGCTGTCTCTCAAAGAATAAGCTTCAGGCTGGTATGGTGGCTCATGCCTGTAATCCCAGCACTTTGGGAGGCCAAGGTGGGAGAATCACGAGGTCAGGAGTTTGAGACCAGCCTGGCCAACATGGTGAAACCCCTTCTCTAGTAAAAATACAAAAGTTAGCCAGGCGCCATGGCGGGCACCTATAATCCCAGCTATTCAGGAGGCTAAGGCAGGAGAATTGCTTAAACCCGGGAGGCAGAGGTTGCAGTGAGCCGAGATCACACCACTGCACTCCAGTCTGGGTGACAGAGCAAGACTCCATCTTGGGGCAAAAAAAAAAAAGAATAAGCTTCAACGTATCGGGGCAAGCATAAACTGCTATGGATTTAACTCCATCAATAATAATGAACCACTGAGGACGGGCGCGGTGGCTCACGCCTGTAATCCAGCACTTTGGAAGGCCGAGGCGGGAGAATAACTTGAGGCCAGGAGTTCAAGACCAGCCTGGGCAACATGATGAAACCCCGTCTCTACTAAAAATACAAAAAAATAGCTGGGCGCGGTGGCACGTGCCTGTAATCCCAACTACTCAGGAGCGGGAGGCGGAGGTGGAGGTTGCAGTGAGCTGAGATGGCGCCACTACACTCAAGCCTGGAAGACAGAGCGAGACTCTGTCTCAACAACAACAATAATAATAATAATAATGAACCCCTGATTGTGCACTTACTGTTAAACCCATTTTAAAGATAAGGAAACTGAGATAATGAGAGACTAAGTAGTTTACCAAAGACACATATTCTATAAGCCTCAGTAGTCAGAACCAGAACTCCAATCCCTGACTCCAGTTTTGGGTATGACTCAAATAGAAAGACGTTGTTTGAATTTTAATTACCACTTGTTCTTTTACAAATGAGTGGCAAATGGTTTAAATTTTAGAAGCTGCACAGGGTAAAATGTTTTCCTATTTTGCTCTATAAAATACTGCCTTTTTAAACACAATCATAAATATTGGTAGAGTTTTTCCTCTATAAAAAGGGTCAAGATGCCTGTTAGTGTGGGAACTTAATTTTCTCAAAAAGCTAATAAAATTACACATTTAGAATTTCTAAAGGACAAATACTTACAAATGTCCTCTTTTTCTCTTAAGAAGAACACGAATATCTTCTGTGATTTCAATCTGCAGTAAGAGACAGCATTTATGAGTACAGTGACATAAGAAAAGTGCCCCTTTAAAAGAAATATCGAGTGCTTGTTCACATTATCTGTGCACCTTAGCTCATAAGCCAGGTACTAAAGGAAAAGCAAGAAATGACTAGAGATGAGTGTCTGACTAGAATTAGTGCTCTTAGGATCTCAGAAAGTAACTGAGCCAGAATCTAAGTGACAGTAGTTGAAACTCTATGGAAAAATGACAAGAAGCAAGAGCCATGTTCTTAACTGTTTTATTTGTATCTCTGAATCCCCCATGGTCAGGACCAAAGCCATGTTCAGACACAGAGACAATGTCTGACCACAGCAAACTAGTCAGTCACACAAGACAGCCATCCCCACACACAGATGACTGTAGGCATCTATCCTCCCATCAAAACCAAAAACGAGTAAGTTCCTTGAAACAACACGAGGTTTCTTCCCAAATACAAATATGACACTGGTCTAGGTAGAAACCTAAATATATTTCCATCTTTTTTCAATTTGTAAACACATCATTTTTGTGACATTTTTCAAGATATACACCAAAAGGACCAGGTAATGGTGACTCATGCCTGTAATCCCAGCACCCTGGGAGACCAAGGCAGGCAGATACCTTGAATCCAGGAGTTCAAAACCAGTCTAGGAAAAATGGCAAAACCCCATCTCTACTAAAAATACAAAAAATTAGCCGAACATGGTGGTGCATGCCTGTAGTCCCAACTACTCAGGAGGCTGAAGTGAGAGGATCACCAGAGTCTGGGAGGTCAAGGCTGCAATGAGCCAAGATTGCACCACTGCACTCCAGCCTGTGCAACCAGAGTGAGACCCTGTCTAAAAAAACAAGAAAGAAAAAAAGAAAAGAAAAAAGAAAAAGAAAAAAATATATACACCAGAAATGTTTGTCAGTTTAGGGTTGAGGGTTTGACCTATTTTGGACAATGCAGGAGTAAACTAGTTACCATCTGAATACTTGGAATAATAAAATAAGGCCTTTCAGTAATTTGATATTGCTTTCTACAGAGCTGGGGCCCCCTGGGCATGATGCTATATTCTGAAGAACTGAGGCTTTATTCCATCCAGCAGTATTCACTACTACTTGCATATGATTATGAGAATAACCCTTCGAGTTTTTTGTTTTGTTGGTTTTTTTTAGTCTAGACGCCCCCATGGAAGTCATATAAACGAACATCCACATAACTGTAATCATCACACTAACTAGCTGGTGTTAATTCATACAGTTAATTTTCTCTTTGCTACCATTAAAGAGATGAAGGAAAGAATGATTTATATCCAAGCCTATTACTAACAAAGGCTAGTTAATAATAGTGAACTACTTTCAACTTTATGTTAATATCCACAATCTACTTTTGTTGAGGGGTTACCAGGGACAGTATCAGTATATGTCTTAACACAAATGGTTAAGATTACTTATAAACAGAAGTCAGGTTATTTCATATGTTCTTATTTTTCTTCCAGAAGGCTAACATTTGCTATTGACATGGGGGGGGGGGCGCGGGGAACTTGCATATAGATATTAAAATAAGATCCAAAGAGCTCACAAGGAGAATGCTGGAGAAGAAAATCTTCATATTTCTATATAAAAACGTACACATTTCCCCCATAGATAATTCCAGTAACTTAAAAATGACCAAAAAAAAAAACCCATCCTTCTATAAAATCATCTAAAGATCTAAAGGTAGAAGTTGCAGGGGAGAGGGATAGGGGAAAATACAAAACTATCCGCTAGTTTGCTTAATTTGGAAAATAACTCCATAAATAAATATTTGCAAAGGATAGTCAACTCTTGACCCTTGGTACTAGAGAGTGTCAGGGAATTCTCCAAGCTGGATGAGAGCCCCAGCTTAAACCTTCTACTCGTCTCCATTCTTGTAGCCCCAAATTGGCTGAGCAGGAGAAGCAACTCTCAGAGGTTCTCTAATGTGAAGGAAGTAATTTTTCTCAATGCCTATCACCTTAAAAGCCATTTCTTTCATCACAAAAAAATGAAAGTAGCAGCTACCCAGCAAAGAAAAGGAAACCAAATCACATTTTGTAACCTAGCCTAATTTACTTCTACACAACAGAAAAACTGATCCTGCACTCTCTTCTCTCCTAGTCTCCTCCTACAAAATAGCATCTCCCTGTTAAAGTCATTATATTAAAATAAATTGAAGAAATAATTTAATATAAAAAACTAAGCAGATTACCACCATGTGGGTTGCATTTATAGATGATCAGGAATTGGGATGATTTAGCTAAAATTGTAAAACAAACTTTAGACTCTTTCACTTCAGATATATGCAAGGTTTTTTTCTAATATAAGAAAGTTAGAAAGTGTTAGCCTAGCAAATTTTTAACAGACTGAAGCATATAATATTGTTTGTTTTGACCTAACAGTAACCTGGTGGCATTAAAAAAAGAAAAAAGAGATAATACAGCATCAAGGGTTTATCATCTTACAATTAGAAAAGAAGGCAGCACTGAGAAAGCCCAACTCACCAAATGCCAGTGAGCAAAACAAAGTCCACGCAGCTAATAGGAGAGCAAAAAGTGATATAAAAAAAGTAAAAACTGATACGAATACAAGGCAGTGTCATTCAATTTCAGACAACCCTCATATTTGGGGACAGACTTTAAAACAAATCATTAATGTGTTTGGCTCTAGCCCTCTCTGCAAATAAGTTGGTCTGTTAAGCAATATTTTGAAAACATTCTTCCACAAGTAAAGTCCATACTAAACTTGTGATAGCATCTGTTGGAAATGTTTCAAGCACGAAGAATCATCGTCCTGGACTTAATGTCTCAAAAATCGATCTTAATAAGTTTAAAATAGAATGTTTCAGAAAACAGTGGAAAAATATTAAGAAAGCTTTTGGCCAGGTGCGGTGGCTCATGCCTATTATCCCAGTACTTTGGGAGGCTGAGGTGAGCAGATGACCTGAGTTCAAGAGTTTGAGACCAGCGTGGCCAACATGGCGAAACCCCATCTCTACTAAAAATACAAAAATTAGCTGGGTGTGGTGGTGCATGCCTATTAACCCAGCTACGGGGGAGGCTGCGGCAGGAGAATCACTTGAACCCGGGAGTCAAGATCATGCCACCGCACTCCAGCCTGGGTGATAGAGTGAGACTCGGTCTCAAAAACAAAAAGAAAAACATTAAGAAAGTTTTTAGCATTTAATGTTCAAATCTAAAAGTAAATTCTGGCCAAGTCCTTTTCAAAACAATTCCCTAAACAATGGTCCTTGATAGGTCTTATTTTAGATAAGTATACATAAATCACATATTGGTTAATAGTAGATTAAAACTGCCATACTAAAATACATTTCAATGTTTAGAAATGTTGTTATCAAGAAATACAGGTCAAAAACAGTATGTATGACTGCATTCTAAATATGTACATATATTTGAGTGTTACATATTCATAGAAAAATTAGCAAAATGTACTTCAAATACTAACAGTTATTGCTGGGTGGTAGGATTAGAGGTGAATTGTTTTAATATTTGCATATATTTTGGGTTTTTTTCCTGCTGATTTAGTGTCTTCCAAAATTTTCAAAAATAAAAATTGTATACTTAAAATTTATTTTAAAAATCATAAAGGAACAAGAAAATGTCTCATTAAAAACAGTACTAAAAAACTGTCGTAAGCCAGTCAAACTACTGGAAGGTATCACTCACACGCTAAGCTGTGGGAGAATCTTTTCCCCTTAAGAATATATGTGAGCCAGACGCAGTGGCTCACGCCTGTAATCCCAGCACTATCGGAGGCTGAGGGGGGCAGATCACAAGGTCGAGAACAGCCTGACCAACATGGTGAAACCCTATCGCTACTAAAAATACAAAAATTAGCCAGGCGTGGTGGTGGATGCCTGTAATCCTAGCTACTCAGGAGGCTGAGGCAGGAGAACTACTTGAACCCGGGAGGCAGAGGTTGCAGTGAGCTGAGATCACACCACTGCACTCCAGCCTGGGCGACTGAGTGAGACTCCGTCTCAAAAAAAAAAAAAAAAAAAAAAAAGAATATATGTGAATGTAGTCGGGCACGGTGGCTCACGCCTGCAATCCAAGCACTCTGGGAGGCCAAAGCGGGCAGATCACCTGAGGTCAGGAGTTCAAGACCAGCCTGGCCAACATGGTGAAAAACCACCTCTCCACTAGAAATAACAAAAATAAATTAGCCGGGCACCACGGTGCACGCCTGTAACCCCAGCTACTCGGAAGGCTGAGACATGAGAATTACTTGAAACCGGGAGACGGAGGCTGCAGTGAGCCACGATTGCATCACTGCACTCCAGCCTGGGTGACAGAGTGAGACTCTGTCTCATAAAAAAAAAAAAAAAAGAATATATGTGAATGTGTAGCACAGGAGAACTAAGTGGTCATAAGATTGAGTCACTTGATTCGTAAATATTAAAACATATTAAATAAATGTTATAACATAAGTACAACTACCCAAAGTCTAGCCTGTGCAATGTACAGAATGAACTAGATATGTTGCTTCATGGAAAAGTTAGATAACTTTTTTAAAAAGTTTTTTAAAAATATTCAGGGCTGGGCACGGTGGCTCATGCCTATAATCCCAGCACTTTGGGAGGCTGAGGCGGGCGGATCATGAGGTCAGGAGTTCGAGACCAGCCTGACCAACATGGTGAAACCCTGTCTCTACTAAAAATACAAAAATTAGCCAGGTGTGGTGGCGCACACCTGCAGTCCCAGCTACTCAGGAGGCTGAGGCAGGAGAATCACTTGAACCCGGGAGGCAGAGGCTGCCGTGAGCCGAGATCGCACCACTGCACTCCAGCCTGGCTGATAGAGCAAGACTCCATCTCAAAATAAATAAATAAATAAGCAAACAAACAATAAAATAAAAATATTCAAACATTACAAAATATATTAAATGAAGTGAAAGTGTCCTTTTTATCCAACCACCTAGAAATAACAGCTTTTTACATTTGGTGGGTAACTTTGAAGCCTTTTTTCTAAGCATATTCTAATACACACATACATTTTTTTTTTTTGAGATGATGGAGTCTCACTCTGTCACCCAGACTGGAATGCAGTGGCATGATCTCGGCTCACTGCAACTTCCACTTCCCAGGTTCAAGCGATTCTCCTGCCTCAGCCTTCTGAGTAGCTGGGACTACAGGTGTGCACCACAGCACGCCGCTAATTTTTGTATTTTGAGTAAAGACAGGGTTTCACCATATTGGACAAGCTGGTCTTGAACTCCTGACCTCAAGTGAACCACCCACCTCGGCCTCCCAAAATGCTGGGATTACAGGCATGAGCCACCTCGCCTGGCCAACACATAGAATTTTTCTTCTTCTTCTTTTTCTTTTTTTTTTTTTTTTAGATGGAGTCTCGCTCTGTCGCCCAGGCTGGAGTGCAGTGGCATGATCTCGGCTCACTGCAACCTCCGCCTCACGGTTCACACCATTCTCCTGCCTCAGCCTCCCGAGTAGCTGGGACTACAGGCACCCACCACCACGCCTAGCTAATTTTGTGTATTTTTAGTAGAGATGGGGTTTCACTGTGTTAGCCAGGGTGGTTTCGATCTCCTGACCTTGTGATTCGCCCACCTCGGCCTCCCAAAGTGCTGGGATTACAGGCGTGAGCCACTCCGCCTGGCTAACACATACAATTTTTAAACAACAATTGAATCATACTATCTATACATGTCTGCAACTTGCTTTAAAAAAAAAAAAAAAAAACTGGGCCAGGCGTGGTGGCTCACGCCTGTAATCCCAACACTTTGGGAGGCCGAGGTGGGTGGATCACCTGAGGTCAGGAGTTCGAGACCAGCCTGGCCAACATGGTGAAACCCCATCTCTACTAAAAATACAAAAACAAAATCAGTCAAGCGTGGTGGTGGACGCCTGTAATCCCAGCTACTCGGGAGGCTGAAGCAGGAGAATCACTCAAACCCGGGAGGCGGAGGTTGCAGTGAGCCAAGATTGCATCATTGCACTCCAGCCTGGGCGACAATGGCAAACCTCTGTCTCAAAAAAAACAAAAACAAAAACAAAAAACAAACTGACTCTCTTACATGTCTTTCCATGGCAGAATACATAGATCTATTTTTTAACCATTCCAAGGCATTCCATTGATTGCATGACCATATCACAATTAAGTTAACCCATATTCTCTGTTGGTAGACATTTGGGGTTTTTCTAATTTCTGATCATTTGAAAGATCAGAATGAACATCCCTATCAATATACTTATGCTAGTGATTCTAGAGGATTTATATCTAGCAGAACTGCTGATTCAAAAGGGTATGATCATTTTATATTTAGTCTATTAAAAATTGCCCTCCAGGCCTAGAAGCAGTGATACCCCAATAGCAATGAGCATATCCAGCACACAGATCTTGTTCCAAATACTATTCTCCAAGAAAAAGAACCAGAGCTCTTTGGAGCAGTTGATTACGGGGCTGAGGCAGGAAATATTCAAGATGAGGTTAGTGTTATCTGGTGCCAAGGAATAAAAAAGTGCTGAATTTTTTTAAATGGAGACATGTGAAAAGGACACAGGGGCCAACCCAAAAAGAGTTCCCAATGGCCACAGCTGGTATTAACACAATCTGGGCAACAAATAACAATAATACTAGATTATATCCCACAGAGTAAAATAATACCCACGAGTCCATACTAATATAAATGAACAATCAAATAAGTAAATGAGGGAGAAGAGACTAATCTTCCTCATAGAAGAATTCTAATAAATGTAGAAGGAATAAAGGAAATAGAAATCTCCATTAGAACACCACAGGAATAATTACTACAGGCAAAATCCATCAGTGAATGCTAATGCTGGTGAGCAAAAGCTGAAACTGGACATTACATTGTCTCAAAGTATCTCCCCCAAATATGTATTAATAAAAAGTGTGTGGATATTACTTCATTGCAAAGGGGAAAATGATAACATTACTGTGGAAAAACACAGCTGATACCATCTTAACTAGGTGATCAGAGTTACCATCACCAGTATAAGGTACATCTATATCATGTAAGCCCTAGTTTGATTCACTGAGAAGAACACAGCATCATTTTTGTGGTATTCTTGCCCAAATTGCATAATCTCAATCAAATCATGAAAAAACATTAGATTAACCCAGATTAGGAACATTTTTAGTTTTTATAATTGTACTATAATCGTGTAACATGTTAACATTAGGGGAAATTGGGTAAAGGACCCATGGAAATGGTGTATGATTTTTGCAACTCTATTGTGAGTCTAAAATTTATTTTTTTTAAAAAAGTAAAAATGCCCTCTAAAAAAGAATATAGTTTCATATTCCCACCGGCAGTATATTAATATGCCCATTTCCCCATATCTCCTCCAATACTGGATTGAACTGTTTGATAGATACCAAAAACACTGTCTTAATTTTTTGCTTTTCACTATTAGCTAATGAACATATGAAAATATTTCACTGGCTGGGTATGGTGGCTCACGCCTGTAATCCCAGCACTTTGGGAGGTCGAGGTGGGCAGAACACTTGAGGTCAGGAGTTCGAGGTCAGCCTGGCCAACATGGTGAAACCCTGTCTCTAGCAAAAATACAAACATTAGCCAGGTGTGGTGGCAGGCACCTGTAATCCCAGCTATTCGGGAGGCTGAGGCAGGAGAATTGGTTGAATCTGGGAGGTGGAGGTTGCAGTGAGCCGAGATTGCACCACTGCAGAGCGAGACTCCATCTCAAATAAAAAAAAAAAAATTCACTATGTCTGAATTTCTTAGACATATTAGATAAATATTGTGGGGTTTTTTTGTTGTTGTTGGCTGTTTGTTTTTTAGTTTTAAGTAGTAAAATATATCTCCTTTATGGCTTCTGGGTCATTTTCCCACTTCAAGACTATAAAATTATTCCCTCGCATTTCTTAGAAGTATGATTATTAGGTCACAGATCTTATAAACTATGCCATATTCACATTCTCTGATACCTTCTTGCTTGAGATACCAAACTGCATATCCATGACAACAGTCATATTTCCTTGCATAGATAAATATGCAGTATTCTGATAGTTTTCACTTTATCCATTTTGAAGCAATGTTTATTTTTATTTTTCTTACTTAAATAAGGTAAACATTACAGCAAATAAGCAATGCTTATTTATCTTAGACCCATTCTCTTCATCTAAACTCAAAGACAGAGTCTAGTTTGAATGCCAAGAGAAATAGTCCAATCTTAGCTAATAATTCTATTATCATTCATTTTGTTACATAAATTCTCCCCCATGATTAGTATGAAGATATATAAATACGATGTAGATCTATCAAGTGCCTAATGAACTGCAAGCACACAAATTTCACTCCTTACATACCAAGTTGTAGACTCTCAGAACCAAAATAGGCTTTAAAGTAAAGATAATGAGCTTGTCTCTAAAAAAGAAACACTTCTCTTGGGCAAACCTGGAGGACACTATGCTAAGTGAAATAAGCTAGACACAGAAGGACAAATACTACATTACACCATTTATAAAAGGAAACTAAAAAGAGTCAAACTCATAGAAGCAGAGAGCAGAATGGTGGTGACCAGGGGCTGGGTAGAGGGAGAAACAGGATGGTATTAGTCAAATGATACAAAGTTTCAGTTATGAAAGATGAAGAAGTCCCAGAGATCTACTGTACAGCATGGTGCCTATAGTTAACAATACTGCATTGTGTATTTTAAAATTTGCTAATAGGGTATATCTTATTTTAAGTGTTTTCATCTCTCTCTCTCTCACACACACACACACACACACAAATAACAATACATAAGAGGGCAGGAGGAAACTTTTGGAAGTGATGGATGGGTTTATGGCATAGATTGTGGTGATGATTCTCTCCGAACTCATTGAGTTGTATACATTCCATCTTTACAGCTTTTTGTATGTCAATCCTACCACAATAAAATGGTTTTAAAAAATGAGGGATGGGTCATTAATTATTGTCCATTTTTGGTGCCAATAGTTTTCAAAGGCAACTTTTTAATTATATAGGTGTAATCATTCTCTAGGGAAAAATGAATACAAATTAGAGTGTGCACACAGATGTTTCCAAATGAATCCATCCATCTCTCTTTAGGAAGTCTCTGCAGTGTACATTTCTTAGGACAGTTTTGCTTAAGGAAGTTTAGCTTGTTCTGCTACCAGTGACAGAGAGCAGGATAAAAGACACAGGGAACCAGTGAGATGCCTACTAAAATAAGAAATGGAAGATGCTCAAAGACAAACATTGCCTGGTTTGACATTTTGTCTGTGTGGTTTATTCTGCCTATTTGCTTCCTTTACCTGAAGCTTAACTGAAATCTCCGGTTTCTGAACCATACTTTTTATCTCGGCTTTGAAATTCAGTTTAAATATGTACCTTTTGGGAAATTGTTGCTATTTATTTTTTTAACCACAAACCCACCCATCCTTCATATTTAGTGACAAATAGAAGCTATTAAAACACTAGAGGGATTTTCAATATCTGATCCAAGGAAAGCTTTTTTAAATGCCAGAAAGTTCCTTTGAGAGGTGGAGTTTTGCTTTTGTTGCCCAGGCTGGAGTGCAATGGCACGATCTTGGCTCACCACAACCTCCACCTCCCGGGTTCAAGCGATTCTCCTGCCTCAGCCTCCCGTGTAGCTAGGATTACAGGCATGCACCACCATGCCTGGCTAATTTTGTATTTTTAGTAGAGACGGGGTTTCTCCATGTTGGTCAGGCTGGTCTCAAACTCCCGACCTCAGGTGATCCACCCGTCTCAGCCTCCCAAAGTGCTAGGATTACAGGCGTAAGCCATGGCGCCAGGCCCCATTTACTTTTTAGCAACAATGTTTAAATCTTGACTTTTGAATAGGGGTATATACTAGCTTAAAATAACTTACTATAACACAAATAAATTATGGAGTGAAGTTCTAGGTTGACATTAAAATTTATTCATCTACTCTTTACCTTCTTCACAGAGGTTGTAAGAATTTTAAAAATTGAATACAATGATAACTGTAAAATAATTTTAAAAAGAAAGAAACAGTTCCCCCCACTCCATGACTAAGAAGCTAAAATAGGGTCTGCTTTCTAGAACATTAAGAAAGCACCCTATGTGCTTCCCTCTATACTAAAGTTAGGAAATTCTTTCTAATCAGTTATAATTACAGCTTTACTCTTAAGATCATCTTGAGACTAGATAAAAGATGAATGTGAGAGTATGAAAAAACAACAAGAATGCACACCATTCCTTTTCCTTCAGTTACCTAGAATTAAATTAGCAGCAGTATCAACAGGGAAAGCACATTCTGTTTATGAGCTCTCAATATATCAATTGCATTTAAATTAGAATTTTTCAAAGTCATAAAAATCAACTGATAATACTTTTTGAGGTCCACACCTAAGAAACAGCTTGATTATCATGAAACAACTACTGGGGAAAAAACTTTCAACATATGAAAATTGCTGTCACACTGATAATTCTTGACTCTGAATTAAGAATCTTACGATACTGATTTTTAAATATTTTGGACAAACAGATTACATAACAGCAAACACTGACCTTACCACAACTCTCCTTTCCAAGTTTAGTCAAGAAGTGTGTTGATACATGGATGAATCTGAATTTACAAGGCATTCATTAAAATACTACAGACCTGAACAATACTTGAAGAAAGTGATTGTTACCTTAAGTGTTCTTAACCAGAAAGTACTCTTGTGTAACAATCAAGACTTCCCACAAAATTTGTACAATTTTTGCCAGAATGTATGTTTTGTTTTTGTTTTTTAAAATGGCAAAAACATAAGTCTTACACACAGAGAAATGCCTAACGTAATGAGCAGAAAGTACATATGGAATTACAACTTTAGGAGAAAAAAATAGCACTTTCCTCTACATTAGAGACTGATAAAAGTATTTCAGAAAGGAAAAATATATTTTTAGAAACATAGACCCTTAGAGTTAAAATATGGTCCGTTTAGACAATTCTCAAAGTACCAGCTGGAGTTACCAGTTCCTTGCAGTACTACTACTTATAATATTGCATCCTTATTTTAATTCCTGCCATGAATAACTTTTATTTACTAAAACAGATAGCAATGCACTGGGGGTCCATAAAAACTAGTGCCAATTAAGAATAAAGAAATTACTCAGTGCTGCCAAAAGTATACAAAAAGGCACTTTATATACTGTTGACAAAAGTAGAAATTAGTACATGCTAAATAGAAAATAACTTGGTAATATGTGACAACAGGCCTTCAGTTATACTTCCTGCACTTGTAATTTCACTTTCTATTTCTGGGAATATCCTAAAGCCACAGTTCTCAAACTTTCGGGCACCAGAGACCAGAGGCGGAGCTCAGGCAGAAATGCTCACTTGTCGCTCACCTCCTGCTGTGCAGCACAGCTCCTAACAGGCCATGGACCAGTACCGGTCCATGGTCTGGGAGTTGCGGACCCCTATCCTAAAGGAAATCATTAGAGATTCACACAAAAAAATAGAGGACAGTCATCATGGTGGTATGGATAACAGAAAAAAAAAATAGGAACAACTTCAAATTCCCAATAGGTGATTGGTAAAATAATGTATCCATGTGATCAAATACTATGCGGCCATCAAATGCAGCATTGCCAGAGTATTTAAGAGTATGAGAAAATGTTTAAGATATATGAAGTGAAATTGGTTTAAGATGAAACTTCATACTCAAGATCAACTTCCTCAAATTTATGTAGGCTATAAACCAAAATGTTAATCTCTAGGTTGCAGAATTACAGGTGATTTTTTTTTTTATTGAGACAAGGTCTTGCTCGGTTACCCAGGCAGGAATCCAGTGGTGCAATCTTGGCTCACTGCAGCCTCGACCTCTTGGGCTCAAGCCATCCTTCCACCTCAGCCTCCTGAGTAGCTGGGACTACAGGCATGCGCCACCACATCAGGCTAATTTTTTGTATTTTTGGTAGAGACAGGGTTTCACCACATTGCCCAGGCTGGTCTCCAACTCCTGGGCTCAAGCGATCCATCTGCCTCAGCCTCCCAAAGTAATGGGATTACAGGCATGAGCCACTGCACCCACGTAGAGGTTATTTTTAGTTTTATCCTTATAATTTCCCTACATTTTCTAAAACTTCTACAGTGAATGTTACTTTTATCATTTAATAATAAAGTAGAAAATATAGCACCAGCCTTTCAATTAATTCTAATGTGTGTCTATGTATTGATAGTAACAATGAATATGGTCCAAAAGGTGTTTAGCCCTACTCAAGTGGCAAAGTAATACTGTAAAAGGAGCTAAAAGTTGGCTTTATTTGTACTAAGGAAAGCAGGTTAGATCTTCGGTTTTTAAATTAGGCTCAAAGCAAAATAAACTCTTCTTTTGCTCATGTAATATAACCTATAAGCTAAATAAAATGAGGGTTTTCTTCCTTACTATAACTACCATGGTTAACTGTTTTCTGAAGCTAAGCATCCTTTTGGTGTCCCTTATGTCAAAACGTGACTAACAAAAATTGACTGGTACAAGCTGAGTCTCCCTAATCTGAAAATCCAAAATCTGAAATGCTCCAAAATCTGAAACGTTGTGAGCACCAACATGACACACAAAGGACATTCTCATTGGAGTATTTCAGATTTTTGGATTAGGGATGCTCAACCAGTCAGTATATAATGCAAATATTCCAAAACCTGAAAAATTCCAAAATCCAAACACTTCTGGCCCCAGGCATTTTGGATAAGAGATACTCAACCTGTAATAGCAAGTTAACAGACAATATCAAAAAGCCAGACAATCATGAGGGGTTCTGCACAGATGAAAGTATAAATTTCTTTAAAGCTAAGAGTTCTACTTACTTATCCTATTAAAACAAATGGGAACTCAAATGCCAGATTATATCTGCATGAGATAGAATAGGTACCATGCCATACTTGCAACCTTCTGCCCCATAATGAAAATGTTTTTCAACTGACCAGAATCAGTCCCCTACAGGAAATTAAGCCTGCCCCAGGAGAAGGTAACTCAAGCAAAAGGAACCAAATGAATATCATTCCTTTGATGTCTGTGATTAGTAGACCCAGAGGGCTACTTTCCACACGGGTGATCAGAGGGCCTGTGAAAGGAGGGGATTTCAGAAGTGAGCTTTCCATCAGTACTTTCTTCTTTACAACCTGGTTCTGGGACCAAATACTCAAACTTCAAAGGGTATCATCTTACCTGTCTAGCTTCAGACATTCCAATCAACTGTGCTATCACATTACAAATGTGTACTAGCTGACTTCAAAAAGTAGGAGGCAGAAAAGGCTGAATCATTTCTTTCTCTCAAAGTTTTTCTTTCGAAATGTTTCGAGCAGTGGTAAAATATCATTAAGTAATTTCACTTCCTGTAAGGCCCACACATCTACAAATGTGTCCTGCAATAACCCCAACAGGGTCTGGCAGCATGGAGTTCACAATGCTAAAAAGTATAAAAAGAATACAGCTGCTACGCATACAATTCCAGTATAATAATACAACAGAATATTTTCTCAAAAATTAACTTTTACTCCAAAGTAGAGGGAAATCTCTCTGTCACTGATGGTTCGCTAAACTGGGTTGAGCCAGTACTTCGGAAGCTAGAGTCACAAACCTGATCCCCAGATAAACTGGTTAAAATGAAGGCGAGGCCGGGTGCGGTGGCTCACGCCTGTAATCCCAGCACTTTGGGAGGCTGCAGCAGGCGGATCACGGAGGTCGGTAGTTCAAGACTAGCCTGACCAACACGGAGAAAACCCGTCTCTACTAAAAACACAAAATTAGCCGGGCCTGGTGGTGCATGCCTGTAATCCCCTCTACTCAGGAGGCTGAGGCAGGAGAATCGCTTGAACCCGGGAGGCGGAGGTTGCAGTGAGCCAAGATCACGCCATTGCACTCCAGCCTGGGCAACAAGAGTGAAACTCTGTCTCAAAAAATAAAATAAAATAAAATGTAGGTGAACACATTTCCCAGCTTTCTGAGGACTGTCCTGTGGTTGTCCCAGCATAATTATCAAACCCCTCTTTCTTTTGCAAAAATATCCTAATGATGACCCTAGTTGTATCCTAACTTTCATCCCATAGAGAACAAGGCAAGAATGTATGGGTATATTAGCAGAAGCCAACCTTCACTCCTGGAAAAACACTTCCAAGTAAAAACTCCTGTTTGAATCCACAGTCATATACGACGGGCAAGTAAATGAAAGCACCAGCTGCACACCATTAATCACACAAACACACAAGACTCTTTATTCCAAGTGTTTTTCAATGATATCAAATTACTACAATCTTAGTTTATGTGCAACATTTATAATCCAATTTCTAGAATCTAGATTAACACCTTAACTGATGACTTCAAACTGAAGTCAATTTCTCATCTCACAAAAAACACACTTGTATCTTAAACAGATATAGGATAAATCAGATGCATTGTAAGAAAATATCTCCGTGTATAGGTATTTGATTTGTGACTTTAAAAAAGTATAGTCCTATTTAATAAGTTATGTTCACCCTTTAACTAATTTTATTTTTTAATTTTTAATTTTTTTTGTTGAGAGATGGGGTCTTGCTTTGTCACCCAGGCTGGAGTACAGTGGCACAATCATAGCTCACTGCTGCCTTGAACTTCTGGGCTCAGGGGATCCTCCTGCCTTAGCCTCCTATAACTAGGACTTAGAAACTCACCACTGCATCCAGCTAACTTATTTTTTTATTTTTGTAGAGTAAGCATCTCACTATCTTAACCAGGCTGGTATTAAACTTCTGGGCTCAAGTGATCCTCCGGCCTTGGTTGCCCAAAGGGTTGGGATTACAGGCATGAGCCACTGCACTCAGCCTAACTTTAAAAATCAGAGAAAAGGATATTGCCAAGTTAACTTTAACAATCAAACAAAAACCCTAGCCTTGCAGGAAATACATATTTCACACCAATTTTATTTTTGTAATAAACATGTAACCAGTTATAATTTCCCATCTATGGTTTTTTGGAAAATATGTGTCAATAGCCTCAGAGTTGCATATCAAATGAAGCATTTCATTCCCAATCAAGAATAAAAGACTAAAGCAAACCTGTATTTCTAAACTAATCCAGATCCTATAAGCTCCAGCTCTTTTTATGGTAGGTAGTACCAGACACAGACCATTCCATTTACTAAGGAAGACTATGCCCCAGCTGAGAGGCAATCCAGTATGGTAGTTAGGAGCCAATATGCTACAGCCAGATGACCTGGGTTCAATCCCTGGCTGTGCCACTTACTAGAGATGGATGACCTAGGGCAAAATATTTAACATCTTTTCCTCATTTGCCACAACCATAAAAATGGAGGGGATAATATTATTAGTTACAGGTACTGTCATGAGACTTAAAAGAGTTGATCTCACAGCTGTAGCCATTACGAACTTGAACCTCTTTTAATTTCTCAAAAGCATCAAGCTTAATCTCTCATCTCTGCTTGCTTCTAGCACATGCTTTTCCCTTTGCCAGTAACATTCTCTTCTGCCTTTTCTTGCTTCCCTTTAGGTCTTCATTTAAATGAAATGTGTAGAAAGCCTTCCTTGACCTCCTATGTTACGTGAAGTGCCTCTGCTATTTGACCTCAAAGTACCCTACGGGACAGCACTTAAATTTGTCTAAGTTCCTGTTCCCCTGCTAGGCTCTAAGCTCCTTAGAGGCAGAGGTCATGTCTGTCTTGATAACTACTGTAATACCTGGGGCCTAGCACAGTACTGGTTCACAGTAGGTGCTGGATAAATATTTTTGGAATTAAGTTGGAATGAAATAAGAAGTCATATTATGTAGAAAGGAAACCAAAAAAGGATTTCCAAGATAAATCTTTCAATCTGAGTAGAAGTATATGCCTCTCCACATTTGAAATACATAGGAGGGCCTCCTCTCATATATTAGGAGTCTCATCATTGAACAGGAGAAGTGGCATTTTTTTAAGAGATGGGGTCCTGCTCTGTTGCCCAGGCTGTAGCACAGTGGCACAATCGCAGCTCACTGCAGCCTCAAATTCCTGGGATCAAGCAAGCTTCCCACCTCAGCCTCCTGAGTAGCTGGGCCTACAGGCACTCGCCATCATGCCTGGTTCATTTTTAAAAATTTTGTAGAGACAGGGTCTCACCATCTTGCCCAGGCTGGTCTCAAAACTTCTGGGCTCAAGCGACCCTCCCACCTCTGCCTCCCAAAGTGCTGGGATTACAGAGGTAAGCCACCATGCCTGGCCAAGAAGTGCCATATTCTGACCAAGTACAAACTTGATGCCAATTCTGGGTAAGAACCACGACTTCATAAGCAGAGTAAGTGACAGTGTGTTCAGTGTGTTTACACTTACTATTTCACATCCTATATTCCAAAGCTTTATTAAAATAAGGGTATCACAGCAAAATTATATGGCTAGTGTCCCTGAATATTATCAGCTGGCCGAAATGAAGCTCGTAAGTGCCAGTGGCATAGGTGGGGAAAATAAAAGGAAAATGAGACCATGAATGTGGAAGAGTATGCAAGAAAGAAAAAGAAAGCCAGCTGCCATGGCATGTGCCTGTAGTCCCAGCTACTAAAGAGGTTGAGGTGGGCGGATCATGTGAGCCCAGGGGTTTCAGACCAGCCTGGGCAACATGGGGAAACCTTGTCTGTACAAAAATTTGCAGGCCGTGGTGGCACACGACTGTAGTCTCAGCTACTCCAGAGGCTGAGGTGGGAGGATCGCTTGAGCCTGGGAGGTGGAGGGTGCAGTGAGCTGAGATTACGCCACTGCACTCCAGCCTGGGCGACAGAGTGAGACCCTGAGAAAAGAAAGAAAACAAAAAGAAAGGAAGAAGGGAGGGAGGGAAGGAGGAGAGAAGAGAGAAGGGAAGAAAGGGAGAGAGGAAGGAAGGGAGGGAAGGAGGGATGAAGGGAAGAAGGGAAGAAGGGAAGGGGAAGGGAAAGGGATGGGAAAGGAAAGAATTTGATGCAGTGAAGAGTGCTAAAGCAACATCAGCAGCTTGTCTATAACGTGCCACTGGGTGGCACCACTGTCCTTAGCTAGTCACTACAGATATGGAACCAGGATAGAGGACCATCAGGCTCTCTTGCAGAGCTTAGGTGAAAACTCAGAAGTCTATCTCTACCGTACTGACACACAGATGCAAGTCACTATAGTTAAAGTTCTCTGCATATGTCATCAACACAAGGATATGTCTTCAGGATGTTGTGCTTATCAGAGACTCCTGGAAGGTAAGTTTGTCAACATTGTTGCTTAGTCCAAAGGCTTCAGAAACAGCTCACTATTCTAAATGCAGATTCTCAGGGAAGTGAGAGATGGGACAGGGGTGCAGGGTGGTCAGAATAACCTAGAAATCTTTTTCAAGCTATTAGGTTGAACCACATAAAATTGCCAATAGTAAAAAATTTGCTACAGACAAAAAAAAAAGGCAATTTCAAGTCGTTCAACATAATATACATACATTTAGAATCACTGGCTTATTGAGCCACTGTAATGATAAGAGTGTCATATTTCTCATTTGTTAGGGGGGAAAAGATTGAGAAGACACACACAGTTGGCCTTTTACTTAAAATCATGAAGAATTAACTGAGCAAAGAGATGGAAACAACAAAATATCTAAAAATAGGGAATAAACTACAGTCATGAACCACATAACATTTCAGTCAATGACGGACTGCATATACAGTCGTCCCATAAGAATATAATGGAGATGAAAAATTCCTGTAGACTAGTGAAGTCACAGCAGGGCACATTATTCAAGAATACTAGCAAACCACCATGGACATATCAATATTTCTAAAAAGAATGACACCTTCTCAAGAAGCACCTCAGGCAGGTCCTTTAGGAGGTATTCCAGAAGAAGACACTCTTATAGGAGATGACAACTGCATGCATGTTACTGACCTTAAAGACCTTCCAGTGGGACAAGATGTGGAGGTGAAAGACAGCGATACTGATGATCCTGACCCTTTGTAGGCCTCGGCTAATGTTTGTGATTGTGTCTTAGTTTTTTGTTTTTGTTTTTGTTTTGAGACTGTGTCTTAGTTTTAACACAGAAGTTTAAAGAGAAAAAAATCAATTTTAAAAATATAAAAAAGCTTTTAGAATAAGGACATAAAGAAAAAATATTTTTGTACAGCTGTACAGTGTGTTTGTTTTAAGCTAAATGTTATAAAAGAATCAAAAAGTCAAAAAAATTTAAAAGTTTGTAAACTAAAAAGGTTATAGTAAGCTAAGGTTAATTTATTACTGAATAAAAATATTTTCATAAATTTAGTGTAGCATAAGTGTACAGTATTTATAAAGTGGACAGTGGTGTACAGTAATGTCTTAGGCATTCACAGTCAGTCACCACTCATTCACTGACTCACCCAGAGCAACTTCCAGTCCTGCAAGCTCCATTTATGGTAAGCACCCTATATAGCTGAACCATTTTATCATCTTTTATACCGTTTTTTTTTACAGTACCTTTTCTATGTTTAGATATATTTAGATACATAAATACTGAGCACTGTGTTACAACTGCCTACAGTATTCAATACAGTCACATGCTGTACAGGTTTGTAGCCTAAGAGCAATAGGCTGTACCATACAGTCTTGGTGCATAGTTGGCTATACCATCTAGGTTTCTGTAAGTACACTCTATAATGTTCACAATGATGAAATTGCCTAACAACCCATTTCTCAGAACATGTCCCTGTCATTAAGCAACCTATGACTATGTAACTACATGTATTAAAAACAGCAAACATGGCAAGAGGTTCACAAAAGAAGTAAATGCTAATATTAAGTATAAAAAAAGCAAGAGGTGCAGTGGCTCATGCCTCTAATCCTAGCACTTTGGGAGGCTGAGGTAGGGGGGATCCCTTGAGCTCAGGAGTTCGAGACCAGGAATGAGGGATATATACTAAAAATATCAGTAGTTGTCTCTGGGTAGGAAGATCACCGTATTTTGTTTTATGTTTTTATATACATACGTTTTCTAAAATAAACATGTATAATAATTTTGAATTCTGAAACCAAAGAAAAAGATTTTGGTAGAAAAACAAGGGAAATCCAAATAAATTCCTTAGTTTAGTTAATAGTATCACACTAGTGTTATATAAAATGTTAACATTAGGGGAAGCTGGGGGCACATTACACAGGACCTCTGAACTATCTTAAACAAATTTTCTGTAATTTAAAATCATAAAACAGGCCAGGCACAGTGGCTCATGCTTGTAATCCCAGCATTTTGGGAGGCTGAGGTGGGAGGATCGCCTGAGGTCAGGAGTTTGAGACCAGCCTGGTCAAGAAGGCGAAACCCTGTCTCTACAAAAAAATACAAAAATTAGCCAGGCATGGTTGTGTACACCTGTAATCCCAGATACTTGGGAGGCTGAGGCAGGAGGATCGCTTGAACCCAGGAGGCAGAGGTTGCAGTGAGCTGAGATCATGCCACTGCACTCCGACTGCATCTCAAAAAAATAAAATTATATATATATATAGAGAGAGATCAAAACAATAAATCATATAATAAGATGATATTTTTAAAGTTTAGAAGACATGAAACTAAAACTTTTAAAAATCTAAACAAAAGTATCCACTTGGTTAAGTGGTCCCTACATATAAACAAGAATATGATGGTACAAAGCTTTTCTGGTAGTAAGTCACTGTGCTCTTTTAAATTGTAACAGAAAGTTATAAAGGCAATTATATCATCTGGCCTCTCCTAAATATGACAGTGACATCACCCCACTGGGTACGGACTCACTGAAGTGGGAAACAAATGGTTAATTCTAATTTTATTTGGTTTTGTAAACATCATTGCTGAAGAATAACATGTTGATTTAAGGAGGGAGAAAATTAAAAGTTAAGTATAGCCAGTAACAACCCTTTCCCTTCAAAATATTTTTTAAAATCTAGTTTCCCAAACCCTGGGTAATTACAGGTACATGTGCGTGCATTTGTTCAAGAAATACTCAGTAAGTATATACTATGCCCTGCCTTTGTGGAGCTTACTGTTCAATTGATATTTTAAGTGGACAGAAGACTAACACAGAGAACTAGACATGTAGGTAGAATAGGAAAGGAAGGTCACACATGAGGCAATCCTCAACCCTATAATAATTGCCCAACCTGACAATTATATGCTTTTTAAAAGTTAAAAATAATAGTTACCCTCTGGAATTAACCAGTTATACCTGTTACTACTTAAGTATCACCTGGCTTGCTTTGAAAATGAATGTTATTAAAAACTTCCTTCAAATATTGGGGCAAGGAAAAGTATGCAAAGCCAAAGGATGAAAGTGAGGTTCTGAAAGAATAGAGGAAGAAAAATGCAGAGTTGAAAGGCACCAACTGAGAAACTAAAACATCTTGATCAATTTCATCTACAGACTAGCCAGCTGTTACAAACAACACTGCTGTCTGGTTATAATACTCCAGCAAGTGTAAAGTTTGGAATGGGTTAGTTCCACTGTGGAACACAGCCAACGGAGGTTTCATTGTTTAAGTACTTAAAATGCCTCAGTATAAGGCACTTTTGCATAGTGCCAAAACAAGAACTCTTAACAACAGATTTAAAGAGAAGGGCCAGAGCACTAAAAAAGCCCAAGCAGAGCAGGAGTCTTTTTTCCCATCTCAATGAAATACTATTTAAGGAAGGAGAGTTATGTATCCCCATACAAAGGTCAGCCAAGAAAATGGCTGTAATCCTAACAGTGCTGATATTTCCTACTAGTAGATATTGCCCATGTATCCCTAATGCATTTAGCTTCTGTTGCATCTGCAATGTAATGTACCTTTAAGATATCCTTTTGCAGCTATTTCTATGATTATTTAAGATATATCACCTTTAAACTAGGCAGTAATTCAATCCTCCTTGAAGCATCTGCAACCAATATGAATAGCAATAAAATATAAGAGGGTAGTTTGCTTTTTCATCAAAGGCAAAACTAAGGCCAACACAGAGGACAGTTTTGAAAACAAACCTGTTCTCTCTTACCATACATCTTTAACTCTGATTGATGGCTATGTGACCGCGTCTTACAAGCCTGATTTTTTTTTAAGAATAAGAAAAGATTGGCTCACACCTGTAATCTCAGCACTTTGGGAGGCCGAGGCGGACGGATCACCTAAGGTCAGTAGTTCAAGACCAACCTGACCAACATGGTGAAACCCCGTCTCTACTAAAAATACAAAAAATTACCTGGGCAAGGTGGCGGGCACCTGTAATCCCACCTACTAGGGAGGCTGAGGCAGGAGAATTGCTTGAACTCAGGAGATGGAGGTTGCAGTGAGCCCAGATAGCGCCATTGCACTCCAGCCTGGGTGACAAGAACAAAACTCCATCTCAAAACAAAAAAAAAGAACAAGAAAAGATTAATTTCAAAATGCTTTTAACAGCCCCATCTTATGGTTTTCAGGGCTGCTAATGCCTGAAAGTAGAAGGGAATGACATTGAGGTTCAGAGCCTTGTGCCAAGCCCAGACAGCATCCTGGTCTTTCTGCAGCAATGGGGCAGTGCCGGTAAGAGCAAGGGAAAAAAATGGTCTGGCAATAGCAGGACATGGCCCTAACCCTGGCCAAAAATCAAACTCAACACAATTTCCAATAGTTTATACTCACAGCCGTGTCCAACCCTTTGAATGCGAGGACATTTTTGCTTATCTCTGGTGGTAGATATCGTGAAAATTATGTATACACCTTTAATTTTTTTTTTTAAGCTCATGAGTTATCATTAGTGTTAGCATATTTTATGTGTAGCCCAAGACAATTCTTCTTCCAACATGGTCCAGGGAAGCCAAAAGGCTGGATAACCATGGTTGAGAGGATCATCCCACAGAACTGTTTTATGCAACTCAAACAGGTAACTGCGCAACTTTGATTTTAACTAAAGAGGTAGAAGTCATAAGCAAAGTCCACAATTCTAAGATTTGGTTTTCTGTCCTAAACAAATTCCTACTCACTCCTCACAATGCAAAAGTAACATTTTCCCATGATTTCATGACAAAACGTTACAGCATTTAGAAAAGACTGGACAAATAATATGACCTTAATGTTACAATTTGCTAGGAATGATGCGAAATTGAAGAAATCAACTCCAGGTTGAAAAATAATTCTTTCAACCGAAGTGAGCTGCTTCAAAATGTGTTACTTACATCTCACTGAAGTCATTAAGTACCATGAAAGTGTTATATAACAATAATCCCAACTTTGAAAGACAAATTCAGTTTTGACTCAATTTTGCAGATTTTCACTGGAGACTGATCATCAAATGAAACACTGCAGACTTTTCAATATACTACTTAGCTTAAGAAATCCCATAGTCAGCCAGGCGCAGTGGCTTACTCATGTAATCCCAACATTTTGGGAGACTGAGGCAGGCAAACTGCTTGAGCTCACAAGTTGGAGACCTGCCTGAGCAACATGGCAAAACCCTGTCTCTACAAAAAATACAAAAATTAACTGGGCATGGTGGCATGAGCTTGTGGTCCCAGTACTTAGGATGCTTATGTGGGAGGATTGCTTGAGCCCAGAAGGTGGAGGTTGCAGTGAGCCGAGGTCACACCATTGCACTTGGGTGAAAGAAGTGAAACCCTGTCTCAAGAAAAAAAAAAAAAAAAAAAGAAAGAAAAGAAATCCCATAGTCTACAATTTGTTGTTTAAATATGTCTCTTAAGTACAGACTAGATCTCAGATTATTGGTTTTTAAAATTCAATGTACACTCTGGCTATAGACTCTAAGTTCACTGCCACTCCTCCTCATCTTTGGTAATGTCCTAGTATGGCATCCACCTCCACTTTTAAGCTGGCAGTGCCCTAAGCAAGGTGATCCTTCAATCAGAGGGGGTGCAGGGAGACAGTCAACAGACTTCCTCTTCCTCAGTTGAAGACAATTGGAAACAAGATTATAAGGAAGCACTTTATCCCTATGAGGCTAACAAACAAAATAAACAAACAAAAAACTGTGGTCTTTAGGGTTAGGGATTTTTCAATAAAAAGATCAGCTCTGTAAAACGTGTTAGGAACAAATCTTCTGTTTTACTAAATGTTATCAATGCAATCATAGGCCAATCACTCCACAGAAACATTTTATGTAACCAAACAAAAATGGCATAGATGCAGGGTACCACAGAGATAAGACAGGGGTTAGGGAACTATCCCACCACTAGAATGTTCTCCAAAGTGCCAGAAGTGCCACCTATGTAGAAGTTGTTATGCCTATGGCAGCTTAAGAGTGACCCCTACTGAGCTAGGATTCAAGGCAGCTAGCAGGGCTGATGCAAGTATCAACTCCCCTATTTTGTACTCCTCGCGCTGAAAATCATCAATCATTCAGTTCTAACTAAGTCCACAAAGAAATGCAAAGATATGGCTGAGCTGTAATGGTGATGTTGGGGAACTCCATTTCAAAACAGGAATAAAATAGAAGGTGGGGAATTCACCATGAAAGTTTTCATTCTGCTGCTGCCTCTTCTGAAACAGTCTGTATTTTAAGGGATACCACCTATAATGAAGTCAATTCTTTGGGGGAATGTTTCCTTTAAAAAGCTACTTTCCGCCGGGCGTGGTGGCTCACGCCTGTAATCCCAGCACTTTGGGAGGCTGACGTGGGTGGATCACCTGAGGTCGGGAGTTCGGGAGTTCGAGACCAGCCTGACCAACATGGAGAAACCCTGTCTCTACTAAAAATAGAAAATTAGCCAGGCATGACGGCTCATGCCTGTAATCCCAGCTACTAAGGAGGCTGAGGCAAGAGAATCGCTTGAACCCGGGAGGCGGAGGTTGAGATGAGCTGAGATCGTGCCATTGCACTCCAGCCTGGGCAACAAGAGCAAAACTCCATCTCACAAAAAACAAACAAACAAACAAAAACAAAAAAGCTAGTTTCCTGGCCAGGCATGGTGGCACAGGCTTGTAATCCCAGCACTTTGGAAGGCCAAGGCAGGTAGATCACTTGAGGTCAGGAGTTTGTGACCAGCCTGGCCAACATGTAATTTTAGTAATTTTTAGTAATTCTACTAAAAATACAAAAATTAGCTGGGCGTGGTGGCACAGGCCTGTAATCCCAGCTACTCGGGAGGCTGAGGCAGGAGAATCACTTGAACCCAGGAGGCAGAGATTGCAGTGAGCCGAGATCACGCCACTGCACTCCAGCCTAGGCAACAGAGCGAGACTCAAAAAAAAAAAAGCTACTTTCCTACAAACATTTAAATACTTAATCTCTTGATGATCAAGAGGATGTTAAAATTAAGTCAATGTGTATATAAATTTTTAAAAACCTGCTTCCACATAAAAATCCTGGCCTTAATACTTGACACTAAAAACTAAAATCTTAGTAAAACAGTCCAAAATTTTCTGGGGGGAAATTTGAGCTGTATAACATACTTAGGTCAGTTATTTTGCTTAAAAATTTATAACATGTAACTCTATTTGAATGAATGTGCTAATACTCACATTTCTACTTGAAGAAATAAAAAAACTACACAGCTTCCCATCTACAGGTTGCTATAATTCACCAATACAGTGTGCCTGAGCCCTGCCTTTTGTAGTTTCCAGGTTATAGAAAAACAACTTGCTTCACAGAAATTCTAACCTACTCCTATAAGGAATTGTCTAGGTACAGAAGGGACCCCAATGCCTTCCAAAATGGGTCTTTGCTTTGCTTGCTGACACTTTCTGAACCCGAAATATTCCACTAAAGACTTTAAACCGTCCTAGACTAACCTTGCAATTGACTGTTGACCAAATCGGGAAAGTTTCCATGGTTCCAGGTGAAGAAATATCATTATCCTAGGCCTTCTCTTCTCTTTTCTGCTCTGTTTGTCTGAAACATATTCATCTAACAATTGCTACAGCTATTTCTGCCGAGTTCTACCCTTCAGTAAAGTTGTGATTTTTCAACTGTTCTTTGAAGCTGCTTCTCAACTTTCAGTCGTCATGTGGAACATAGATCTTTTACTTGGATTCATCCCATGTGGTATTAGTGCTAGTTCTTCTTTTTCTTCTCAAAACCATGACTGAATTTTATGCTCATTCACCAAGTTCCTGTCTCCTGACTGAGGGAGTTTTCAGTTTTCAGTTCATCTGGAAAGCAGAAATTACTAACATATCCTGAAGCACAGTGAATTTTCACCATCTTAGCAGGGCAGCTCTGCCTATTTCTCCAGGTTTTCTTTGATAAAACATCATTCAGGTATTCCCCAGGAGAGTTGGTCGTACAAAACCCTATCATTATTTATAGTATTAAAATACTTAAAGTCCACATTAAAGGTAATAAAACAGAATACCTAAGAAAAAACAGGGGCCAGGCGTGGTGGCTCATGCCTATAATCCCAGCACTCTGGGAGACCAAGGCAGGCGGATCACCTGAGGTCAGAAGTTCGAGACCAGCCGGGCCAACATGGTGAAACCCCATCTCTACTAAAAATACAAAAATTAGCCAGGCGTGGTAGTGCATGCCTGTAGTTCCAGCTACTCGGGAGGCTGAGGCAGGAGAATCGCTTGAACCTGGGAGGCAGAGGTTGCAGTGAGGCGAGATCCTGCCACTGCACTCCAGCCTGGGTGACAGAGTAAGACTCCGTCAAAAAAAAAAACAAAAAAGAAAAGAAAAGAAAAAAGAAGAAACAGTTATTTCACCATACCTCCCCACTCCATTAACCTCATAACTACCACAAGAATCCACCATTAACATTTTCAATGCCTCTGTAAAAGTTCAATCTCACATGCCCTCTCATTAACTAAGTGAGAAATAGAGAAACTCTATCCTGATTCCCTTTAAAATCTGCTAACTTGATAGCACCTAAAATCCTCTGTACTGTGAAATCAATTCCAAAAAGGCCTAAATGGCTTTGGAGAATAGGGACACTGTTTCAATCATCATAATAAAAACCTGAGTATAGCTATGTTGGGCCTTCACATTAACACCATTGTCTACCAGGTAGAATCTTGTTTTGTAAAATGCACTGTTGAATTCATGGAAAATAGTAAGTAACAAAAACCCTTCAACAAAAGTAAGATATTTTCACCTCTAAGTCCTACAGCATAAACCCAGAGGAAATTATAATGGGTCTTCAGCAAATTTGTTTAACAAATACTTCTAGATGACAAGAGAAAGTAGCATACACACATACTTGCCCAAATCAAACTTAATTCTCTGACACAGTTCTCCTAATAATCAATTTGATAAACTACAAACTGAGATATCATAGAAAAAGGTTATGTTGCCACAGATACCTAGATTTTCTTTACTTTTATAAGTTGCAAAAGAATACAACTACACACACCTCTACCAAAAACTAGCCACAGCAGTTGGTTTTTCTTTGAACAAAAATAACCATTCAGGTTCAGTGTTTAATTCTTCGCTAAAATCAAACTCCACCCAAAAAAAGCTTCCTAATGATATTTTAATATATTGCACTTTTACATCATCATTGATAACTACACTGTAAATAACATGTTCATAGTTAAATTCAAAACAGAACTGAACTGACTCAACATTAAAGACTTTAAAATTCCTTGGTTATTTACTTTGGTGACCATGACTTTTTTTTTTTTTTAATTCTGGTTTGTCCTAGAAACCAGTTATTTTAACTAAAACACTGTATTTACATGGCACGATGTTGGCCTTTTCCCACCAGATGTCTTTTTCACTTACTCGGAGTTACTGATGCTGCAAGATGCTCACAATATAGTGTCGAGTTAAACAAGCAAGTTACAAATCAGTATGTACAGTAAAAACCCATTTTTGTAGAAAGGTGATATATGTGTGCACATGTGCATGCAAGTGTCCATACATATAAGCACAAGCATATATACCAAAAAGTTGACAATGGATGTTTCTGGGTATGAAATTACTGTTTTTATTCTTTTTTATACTTATATTTTTGGTGTCAAAAATTTAGAAAATACCAATACTTCATCGATAGCAGAAAACATCATTTTTTTAAAAACCTGAGTGTTCAGTACAAGGCATTAATTACATTTACAGTAGAGTGTTGTTGTAGAATGAAGGAATCCTATTATAAGCATCCTCCAGTGTGCAAATGTTTAATATTAGTAATCTGCATACCTACTATCAAAATAGTAATTGTATTTTGCTATAATAGTAATCTGCATACCTACTATCAAAATTGTAATTGTAAATTATAATATATAATATAGAATTGTACAGAGAAAAAGTAAAACTATACTGCCCTCCTCTAACACCACTCTCTTTTCCTCTAGGGATAATTACTCTTGATGTGTATCAATCAGATTGTTTTGTATTACCCATACACATGATAAGGGTTTATTTTTAGATAAGTGGAATTATGGTATACAACTGTTCTTTGACTCCCTCCCCCTCTCTTCCCCTGCTTAACAGCATACTTTGGAACTCCTATGTCAGTGTATATATATGTCTAACCAAGAGGCTTTTCTTCTTTTTTTATTTAATAACTCAATGGTATTCCACAGTATAACTTACCATTATTTAAATCATTCCCTACTGATGGATATTTAGGATACTGCCAAATTTTCACAGTTACAAACAGTTTCACTGCAGCGAAACCTTATACATAGTTTTATACACATGTAATATTTCCCTAGAATTGTTTTCTAATAAAACTATTGGGTCAAAATGTATGCACATTTAAAAATGAGATGATTTTGGTATTCTTCAGCAAAGAGTTATACATGTGAACTCTCATTAACAGTGTATGCAAATGCCTATTTGTTAAAAGTGGATATTAAGTTCTTGCCAATCTGTCTGGTGAAAAACGGTTTACATTTCCCTAATAACCAGAGTCAATTTGAACATCTTTTCTTTTTTATTCACCAGTACTTCTTTTCCTGGGAAATGCCCATGTATAATCTTCTGCCACTTTTTGCTTTTTGTAGTGGGTACCTTTCTCTTATTGATCTTTAGGAGCTCTTTATATATTATGGATATTATGCAGTAGAAACCCTTTTATCTAATGTGATTTAGAACAATTGGTTATGTAATTTAAAAGGTTAATTTCAGGTAAACGATCATAAAAATATGTATGGCAAACATTTCACCTTCCTTTCATCAGTGGTATATATATACTCATTCAACAAACTTTGTGTGTGTGTGGTTTTGGTTTATTTATTTTTGGGGGGCTTTTTTGTTTTTTTGTTTGTTTCTGAGACAGGGTTTTGCTCTGATGCCCAGGCTGGAATGCAGTGGAGTGACCTTGGATCGCTGCAACCTCTGCCTCCCGGGCACAAGCTATCCTCCTGCCACAGCCTCCCAAGTATCTGGGACTACAGTTGTGCATCACCATGCCTGGCTAATTTTTGTTTTTGTTTTTTTGAGACAAGGTCTCACTCTGTCACCCAGGGTGGAATGCAATGACGTGAGTGATCATAGTTCACTACAACCTCCACCTACTGGGCTCAAGCAATCCTCCCACCTCAGCTTCCCCAGTAGTTGGAACCATAGGCACATGGCACCATGCCCAACTAAATTTTTGTATTTTTTGGGCTAGGCGTGGTGGCTCACGCCTGTAGTCTCAGCACTTTGGGAAGCTGAGGCAGGCAGATCACTTGAGGTCAGGAGTTTGAGACCAGCCTGGCCAACATGGCGAAACCTCATCTCTACTAAAAATACAAAAATTAGCCGGGTGTGGTGGTGGGCACCTGTAATCCCAGCTACTCGGGTGGCTGAGGCAGAAGAATCGCTTGAATCTGTGAGACGGAGGTTGTAGTGAGCCGAGATCATGCCACTGCACTCCAGCCTGGGCGACAGAGCGAGATTCCGTCTCAATAATAATAATAATAAAAATTTTCTGTAGAGATGGGGTTTCACCATGTTGCCCAGGCTGGTCTCAAACTCCTGGCCTCAAGAGATCTGCCTGCCTTGGCCTTCCAAAGTGCTGGGATTACAGGCATGACGCACTGTACCTGACCTGGGGTTTTTTTTGTTTTTGTTTTGTTTTGTTTTTTTATTTAAAGACAGGATCTCACTCTGTCTCCCAGGTTGGAATGCAGTGGTGTGATCATGACTCACTGCAACCTTGAACTCCTGGCCTCAAGCAATCCTCCTGTCTCAGCCTCCTGAGTGACTGGGGACTACAGGTGTGTGCCACCACACCCAGCTATTTTTTTTTTTTTTTTTTGAGACAGGGTCTTGCTATGTTGCTCAGGCTGGTCTTGAACTGGCTTCAAGCAATCCTCCTGCTTTGGCCCCCTAAAATGTTGGGATTACAAGCATGAGCCACCATGCCAGCCTCAAACTTTCTATATGGGGCCAAGAGGCCAAGACCTTTTTCTCTAACTCCAGGCCCATTGATTTTACATTTGACAAGTAATGTGAGTATAAAACCCTTTTAGATGGCTGGTGCGGTGGCTCACACCTATAACCCCAGCACTCTGGGAGGCCAAGGCGGGCGGATCACGAGGTCAGGAGATCGAGACCATCCTGGCTAACACGGTGAAACCCTGTCTCTACTAAAAATACAAAAAAATTAGCCAGGTGTGGTGGAGGGCGCCTGTAGTCAGGAGAATGGCGTGAACCCGGGAGGTGGAGCTTACAGTGAGCCGAGATCACGCCACTGCACTCCAGCCTGGGCAAAAGAGCGAGACTCCATCTCAAAAAATAAAATAAAATAAAATAAAATAAAACTCTTTTAGATTTTTATATTTTTTCCACGTATCTTGTATAGTCATCTTACCCACATTTAAGCGGACAGTATTTTTTTTTGCAACTTGTTTTCATTAACTCTTCTCAAAACAATTTGTTTCATCATAATGAATCTAATGTAACCATCACCCAGCTTCAACAGTTATTCATATGTGCTGAATTGTGTTTCTTCCATACTACCCACAACCCACCTCCATCCCTCACCCCTTGTATAATGTTAAGCAAATCCCAGACATCATATTATTTCATTTGTAAATTTTCAGTAAAAAGAACTCCAATCTCCCCCACTCATATATTGTCAGGTTACAACATATTAAACAAATTACCTTTTAAAAACAAATACAAGCAGGCTTAGCACGGTGGCTCACGCCTGTAATCCCAGCATTCTGGGAGGCTGAGGCAAGTGGATCACCTGAGGTCAGGAGTTCAAGACCAGCCTGGCCAACATGGCAAAACCCCGTCTCTACTAAAAATACAAAAAAAATTAGCCAGGCATGGTGGTGGGCACCTATAATCCCAGCTACTCGGGAGGCTAAGGCAGGAGAATTGCTTGAACCCAGGAGGCAGAGGTTGCAGTGAGCCGAGATTGCACCATTGCACTCCAGCCTGGGCAACAAGAGCAAAACTCCATCTCAAAAACAAACAAACCAACCAACAAACAAAAAAACAAATACAACCAACATATACAGGTTTAGTAGTAAAAAAATTTACTGTACTGGTAGGTAAACAAGCACGCTGGAGTACTGGAGATCAACCAACTAATACCAAGTATTCAGTGTACACTGTATTTTACAAAGGAAATAAAAATTATTCAATGTGGTGAGTCAATTAAGTGGAGGTCAATTAAAGCTTCTAATGCATATGTAGAAGCTTTTTCATTTTTATTTATTTTATTTATTTATTTTTTGAGACAGGGTCTCGCTCTATCACCCAGGCCAGAGTGCAGTGGTGCAATCATAGCTCTCTGCAGCCTCGACCTCCCAGGCTCAAGGGATCCTCCCACTTCAGCCTCTGGAGTAGCAAAGACTACAGGCACATGCCACCATGCCTGGCTTTTTTTGTTGTTTTTTGTTGTTGTTGTTGTTGTTTTGTTTTTTTTGTTTTTTTTTTAGAGACAGGGTCTCACTATGTTGTCCAGGCTGGTCTCAAACTCCTGGGCTCAAGCAATCTTCCCACCTTGGCCTCCCAAAGTGCTGGGATTATAGGCGTGAGCTGCAGTGCCCGGCCATCACTTGTCTTTTTAACTGGGTTATGATGTCTTACACTTTCCAGAAGATTTTTTAAAATATATACTTAGATTTTTAAAATATATTCTTAAGTTATTTTTGTGTATGATGAGAGATGGAGACTTATTACTTTCTAAATACACAGCCACCTGTCTTTACTCAATTTCCATTTTCAACATTACACTTAGAACACTTAAAAGAACTAAAGTGTCAACTGCTTCGTTATAAAAAAGGAAGTTGTACAAACAAAATAATAAACCAACAGTCTAAGCTCAGTTTGATAGGCTCTTACTACTATGTACTTAAAGATCACATAGCAGTTTCAGGAGCAAAAACACTACCATGCCTGGCTCTCTTATTACCGCTACAGCTCACAACAGGGTCTCCAAAAGACATCATAGACTGCATAGAAGTCTATCTGCAGCTTACTGATTGCCACACATGTAAATTCACATTCACATTTAAATAACCCACACTTAACAACAAAATCAACCGTCTCAACTCTCTATGCATTCCTTATTGCTGCTCCTAGACCACAGTGCTTTGGAGACTTAGTAAAGAAAATGAATGCACTCTCCTGAATCACAATATCACCTGGAAATGTAACCAGAAGGTATAAAAAGTCAGGGTAGTTTGTTAAATTGTGTGTGTGTGTGTGTGTGTGTGTGTGTGTGTGTGTGTGTGTGTGTGTGTGTAATCAACAATTTATAAGGTTACCTTATCTCTGGGGTCAGCACTTTTTCTGTAAAGGTCCAGAGAGAAAATTGGCTTCACGGGACATAAGGGCTCTGTTTCAGCTCTGATGTTGTATTGTGAATGCGGCCAGAAAACACATAAATTAATGGATGTGGCTATATTCCAAGAGAAGTTTATTTACAAAAACCGGTGGTGGGCAGGATTTGGCCACAGGCAGTATTTTGCCAGCCCCTGCCTTATACCAATGTTTTATCTTTTTCAAATAACAATCTACTTCCCTCACTGCACACATATTTGAGTAAATATAGTAACACTGAAGGGACAAATAATTTCAGTACTGCCTTACAGAAATGAATATTCTCAAAATTAATCACTAACCTTTTCCTATAATTCCTTCTCATATGAGCACATACATTTTTCAAAATATAAAACTGTAAACATCACCTTGAACCTAATATTTATTTCAAAAGACAGTTACAATGAGTGTCATGTAGCTGCTATAAAAGGAAAAATGCAGTCTAGACAGTCAAATACAATGATCTTTTATTCATTATTCTCATAATCAACAGTGAGTAGAAAAGTCTGCTAAATACATGGTCATGAATCATAACTTCACTACTCAAAATGCAGAAGTAGACTTTCAAAGTACATTTAAATAAGAACACAAATTTGTTTTTTGGATTACTTACCAAAATCCTTGATGGAAAATGATACAGTTTTGCCAAAATATTTTTAATTTAGAAAGTGAAACCAAAAACCTCTTTAGCATATCATGCGTCTATTTAATTTTAAAATACAAATTTTAATGTTGCATTTGACAGCCTGGTGAGGTAGACATTATATTTTTAAGGCAGCCATTTTAATATAGTGAGAGCATGTGTGAATATGTATTAACATTCTAAGCCATTAAGGCCACTTGTTCACAGAATATATTTGAGCTCTAAAATTGTTGAAAGAGAAAATGCTCAAATAGCTTACAGAAATAATGGATGTTATACAGAACAGAAAGGAATCAAATTAAATAACAAAAGTTTGTAAGATTTCTTGACACCAAAAGCACAGTCCATAGAGGAAAAATTAATAAACTGGACCTCATCCAAATTAAAGCCTTTTGCTCTGTGAAATTCCCTGTGAAGAGGTTGGAAAGACAAGCTACAGACTGGGAGAACATATTTTCATACCACTACCTGACAAATGATTAGTATTAAGAATAAAAAGGCCAGGGGCGGTGGCTCACGCCTGTAATCCCAGCACTTTGGGAGGCCGAGGCGGGTGGATCATGAGGTCAGGAGATCGAGACCACCCTGGCTAACACGGTGAAACCCTGTCTCTACTAAAAATACAAAAAAAAAAAAAAATTAGCCAGGTGTGGTGGCGGGTGCCTGTAGTCCCAGATACTTGGGAGGCTGAGGCAGGAGAATGGCGTGAATCTGGGAGGCAGAGCTTGCAGTGAGATTGCACCACTGCACTCCAGCCTGGGCAACAGAGCGAGACTCCGTCTCAAAAAAATAATAAAAAACTCTTAAAACTCACCAGGTTAAAAAAAAAATCCAAATAGAAAATGGACAAAAGACATGAACTGATATTTCACTGAAGATACAGAGAATGGCAAATAAACACATGGAAAAATGATCAACATCATTGGCGATCAGAAAAATGCAAATTAAAACTAGGAGGATATATTACTACACACCTATGAGAATGGCTAAAATAAAAAATAGTAACAGCACCAAATGCTGTCAAGGATGAGGAGCATTCACACATTCCTGGTGGGAATGTAAAATGGTACAGCCACTCTGGAAAATGGTTTGGCAGTTCCTTAGAAAACTAAACATGCAAGTGCTATACCACCCAAGAAGTACACTCTCAGGCATTTCAGAAATTTATGTTCACACAAAATCCTGTGGACAACTGTTCATATGAGCTTTATTCAAAATAGGCAATAAATAAATAAATAAATAAGTAAAACAAACAAAAACCCTGGAAACATCAGATGCCCTTCAAGAGGTGACTGGTTAAACAAACTGCAGTAAATCCATATTATGGAATACTACTCAGCAATGGAAAGGAACAAGCCATTGATAAAAGGTATATTCCTTGCACTAATCTCCAAGGAATTATGCTGAGTGAAGTAAAGTCAGTCTCCAAAGGTTATATACTGTGTGATTCATTTATATAAGCATTTTTGAAATGACAAAATTATAGACATGAAAAACAGATCAGTGGTTGCCAGGAGTCAGGGATGAAGGGAGATGGCTACATCTATAAAAAGACAACAAAAAGGATCCTTGTGGTGATGCAATTGTTCTGTATCTTGACTGTGGTAGTGCTTATATAAATCTACACGTGATAACATTATGTAGAACTAAATACATACATGCAAATGACTGCATTAAAGGTGACGAAATCTGAGTAAGGTTGATGGATTGCATCGATTTCAATTTTGTAGTTGTGATGTTACACTATACTTATGCATGAGGCTATTATTGGGGGAAATTAGATAAAGCGTATTATTTCTTACAACTATATGTGAATCTACAACTATCTCAAAATAAAAAGTTAAAAGGGAAAGAAAGAGTATATAAGACCAGCCAATGGTAGAAGTGGAAAAACAAAGCTTTTATTTTTGCTAAAGGCTCAGCAATTGAAAGGATGGAGAAAAAGGTAATGTCAAAGAGTCTACAGGCTACAATTAATAGAATCATCTCTTCCTCCCCTATGGAAACTTAACTTCTCCAGAATTTTGTTTGTCCTTGATTTGACTGTTGTTGTTTTTAACAAAAATAAACTGGATGTACATCTGTCTCTCCACATGCCCCCCAACCATCTCCATCAGCCCAAAGTATAAACTCATAGAGTAGGGTTTGTCTTAACCATCATGTCCTGAGGGCCTGACATACGTGACAGATGAAGGAAGAAGATAGTTGAATGAATTAATAAATGAATGAGATGCCCACATATTATTTTAAAGTTCCTAGCCAATTACAGTTGTAAGGCAGTATGTGAGTGCGGTGGCGCGATCTCGGCTCACTGCAAGCTCCACCTTCCGGGTTCACGCCATTCTTCTGCCTCAGCCTCCCAAGTAGCTGGGACTACAGTCACCCACCACCACGCCTGGCTAATTTTTTGTATTTTTAGTAGAGACGGGGTTCCACCGTATTAGCCAGGATGGTCTCGATCTCCTGACCTCATGATCCGCCGGCCTCGGCCTCCCAAAGTGCTAGGATTACAGGCGTGAGCCACCACACCCAGCCATTCCCTTATAAATTTCTAAAAGCCATGGACATTTAAAAAATAGTGCGGTATAACACACATTTCACTTGCAAGCAGAAATTAACATAATACCCAACATTTGTAAAATGCTTCTGAGTTTATAGATTTTCACATATAATTATTTATTTAATCAGGATTAAGAACTAAGTATACCTAAATTGAAACCACTATACACAAACCTTTGAGAAAAACATTCTAGTCAACTGGTATAACAGGATTTATAACAGCCTTAACGCAAATTGCATTATATGTGTGTGTGTATACCTATATATACACGTGTGTATATATATATTTGTCATATATATTCATTATAAGAATATATCATTCAAATTGGGGGACTTGTGGATCATTTCAACAACCATAAAGACACTTATTTTACAGATGCAAAAACTAAGAGAGGTGAAGTGACTTGTTCAAGGTTAAATATATATCTAGAGTTGGGTCTAGAACCTGAGCCTCTCCAGAGTTCCAATTCATTTCTCTTGTCTGAATTGAACAAGACTCTTCTTTCTTCACCCATCTCACCCCTACCAAAAATACTGAAAGAAATATCTTAATCTAAATCACTTGTGTTTTTAAATAGGGGGTTTTCCAAAAAAAAAAAAAAACCCACAAAATTGAATTTACTCAAGCTTTCAATTGCTGTATTACACCTTCCATGGATTTTTAGTTGTCAAATTATTTCTTATAGCAGGACAATAAGGTACTTTATTCTAAGGTACAAGTATACTAACAGTTTAATGTTTCATCCCCCACCTAAATGGCAGAGAGTGTTAATTCTAACAGGAGTCTTACATGTCTTACACTTTAGCAGTTTCAATCAAAAGATGAGCTATTTTACAATTTAAGGAAGAGGCCTTACACTGTTAAAATCTTGACCGATATGCTCAATGGCAGTACCATCATTGAATCTCCACCTGCTGCCTTACGTATCAAGAACATTTAAAAGTCTTTCTTGTTAGAGACAAAATAAAAGAAAAACTAAGGTGACAAGCGACTATGAGAAATAAGGCTTTAATCAGGTTAAATTTGCATTATGCAGCCTGCATGAATTTAGAGGTCCTAGAATCAAAACACTAGAAGGAACCTTTGATATGCTCTAGTTCAACAGACTGATTTTTGCAGAAGAGGAAACTGAAGCGCTGATGAGACCATTAACTGATAAAGCAAACCGCTTACTTTTTCAAAGGGATTCATTTCAATGCCATTTTACCCTTATTTTGCATCTCACTGTTGTTTCTCAGAGCGACGATTGACCTTTTTTTAGGTGAAAAGAGCGAATAGAGCGTATTAATTTCAAGAGGGTGAAAAATGCCTTTGAAGGAGGAGATGCTGGAGTGAAGAGGAGAAATGACGTCTTATTTAAAATATGTAACCCCTTGATGGGGTTAGACAATGAATCATATTCTCCTAGATTTTTCTATGTCTATAGACATCAGCCACAGTTCTTTCAGGCACTCAAACGAGAGGAAGAGGAAGTGAATAAAGCTCATACTAAATATATAGCACCCACTGAAGGCAGGGATGTAGACAGAAAGAACGGGGGTGGGGGAAGGAAGGAAAGCACGCTTCGCCAGGATCCAGCTGTTTTCTAACAAACCTAAGCCTACGGAAGCTAGGAAGATATCGGAAGCAAGGAAGATATCGGAAGCGACGGCATCCCTCAAATTCGAGAGGGCGGATGCCTCTAGGGCTAGAGAGGCTCCCTAGCCCTCAGTTACAGAGCGACTGGGAGGGGACAAAATGGAGTTGAGGTTTAGGGGCACCCTAAAGGTCGTTTGGAGGTCTAGCAAGCACTTCATGGTCTCCTCCGGAAAGGGCCGTGGCAAAGCCTAGTACCCCGATCAGGAAGATGACTTCTGGCCCTCGGGATGCGGTGAGCGGCAGGAAGAGGCAGGCTGGGGTTCCGAGGACCCCAGAGTCCATCACAGGAGCAGATACAGTGACCTCGGGAATCTTCCCGGCCCCAGCGGAGGCGAGCGGATAGATAGCCCTGGCTCAAGGAAAAAAGCGAGCCGACTCCAGGAGCTGGAATGCCCACCCAACCTCCTCCCGGCTCAGGTGAGGTACGCCAGTCCCCCTCTGGAAATGGGGCCCTGGTACCGACAGGGCAGGGGTGCCGGGGCCGCAACCTCCCCATCCAGGGATACTCACCGGAGGGGCGGCCCACCGCGTCTTCGCAGCCGGCCGGCGCCTGGCACTCGGAAAGCTCGCAAAAAGGAACCGCGTGCCCGCTAGCGCTGGGACGAGGAGGAGCGCGCGGCGGAGGCCAGAGAAAAAGCCGCAGCGGCGCGCGCGCACCCGGACAGCCGGCGGAGGCGGGACTCAGCGCGAGCCCGGAAAAGACGCGCCCGGAGGGGCGGGCGGAGCGGGGGCGCGCGGTGGTGTGGCAGAGCCAGCCGAATCGCTGGCTGCAGACGGCTCGGCCCACCCACGCGCCCGCCCCCGCTCGCCCGGGACGTCAGTCGAAAAGGCGGAGCCGAACGGGCTTCCCGGGGCGCGGGAGGGGCGCTGCGAGGAAGGCGAGGCGGCTAACGGCTCGCCTCAAGTTGTTGCTCCCGCTGGCGATCCGCTTCTGTCAGTCTCGCTGCTGGTGTCGTTGAGTGTGTTTCGGGATGTCCTTGCGCCTAACAGCAGTGAGGCGCAGAATTGGCCCACGCCCTCACCTGCGGCTTGCTTCGCAGGACTCCACCCCAGGATAAAAGTTCCCCTCGGGTCATCTTCCAGCTGCCCTCAAAAGACACTCATTTTTGGGTTTCACTGCTCCTCTTTAAGAGAGCTATCTTGAACACTTTGACTAAAAGCATCTTGCTCCTGTAAGCCTGAACTAATGCCTCTCATCCGTTTATCTTGCCTCTTACTGCGTTAAGATCCCCGCTCACTCCCACTGATGAAATATCACAAGGACGCAGGATTTTCACGTTGTCTTTCATTTCCACGATGGTATCATGGCAAAAAAACCCCCAACTGATAAGGAAAAGTCACCGCAGCTTTGTGACATCTTACTAGCCCTGATCATTGCTTATAAGCCGGTCATACGAATGCTGTTCCAACAGATGCAAGAAATTGCTATTAAAATTAAAATGCCAGCGAACTATCTGAGGGCTTCAAAAGGGACAGACCATAATTGCAAATGAGGCCTGATAAACTGCCAAGAATATATCACCCAAAAAAATAAATCTCAAGAATTCTTCCAGTTCCCTGATGCGTAATGGTGAACTAGCTTCCTGTTCCTGATGGTAATTGACATTTCACTTCACTTGCTGATTTCCATTTTCCCATAGAATTACCATTTGTGCTTGTGTGTGTGTATATATATATGTATATATAAAATGCCTTACCACCTGAGATTACAAGCTAGAGTAGTTCTTCAGTGTGCATCACAATTATCTGGGGTGCTTGTTGAAATGTAGGTACCTGGAGCTACAACCCCCAGGTATTTTGATTCTGATCTGGGTAGGGATAAGAAATTTGAATTTTTAATAAGCAGCCCAGGTGACACTAAAAGTGGTTAGCTGAGAGCACAGAGCTATAGTTTTTGTGTTACTACTCTAAAGCCATATTACCAATTCAATTTCCAAGAAACCCACCCACTTACATATAATATACCTATAAATATTGCTAAGACAGTCATGTAGCTTCCTTTTTCAAGATTGACCTACAAAGTTCAGTACTTCAAACAACGAGTTTAATTGTCATGTTTATTTTATGAAATCTTGTTTTAATACCAGAAATAAGCAATCATATGTCAGGTACGTAATTCACTGGGTAACTATGATGTACAGAGCACTATCACCTACAGTTGGGTTAACACAAATGAAATTGAAGAAATGAATATCGCTGTTCTCAATAAAGTTAGTGTCTAGTTGTGGAATTAAAATATAGATATAATACAAACCCAGTGTAGCACATAAATCAGTGTGCTGGATGAAGATGAAAAAGAACTTGTAATTAAAGAGTACTTTTGCCAGTTTCCTTTATTGTCGGTCTCTTAGCCCAGACATTTTCAATTAGGTAATTTCCTCTGAACAGAGTCTTCAGCTTACTGAAGTTCCTCCAGCTCTACAAGATATAAAGGAAAGAAATCACTATAGCCTGAAACTATCCGTTTTTTGGTATACAAATGTGTGTATGATATACATATAGATATGTTTATCAGACCAAGAAACTACTTGGATTTTCAAGATCTCTTATTACTTAAGCTATTCATTAGTGTGTACAGTTCTGGCTGTCTTCATCACCTACCACATCTCACCTTCTTCCACATTTAACTGCACCCAAGTTGAAGAGGAAAGAAGAACTATACCTCCAAAAAGGAAACCAAGTATAACCACGCTATTTCCAGCTTTCCTTTTTCGGAGTCAAAACAAACCTTGCTTAATTTCTTGTCATCAGAAACCTTCCAGAAATTACTGCCCAGGAGCAAAATATTTCCCAAGCAGCTGTCTGACATTTTAAAGAGAACATTTGCAACGTTGTTTATTAGTTAGGAAGATAGGGTATTATTATCCCTATTTCACAGATGAAGAAATAGATGCAGGTTAAGTGTCTTGTCCAGTCACACAACTAAGTAGTAACAGAGCCTGAATTTCCTACTACACTGCTTATGACTCCTAGACCAGGGTGCTTGCCGCTACATTAAGCTGCCTCTGTAATGAGTCCTACCCAGAACTACCAACCCAATTAGAAATGGAGTAGATAAACGTATGGAAATGGAAGAGTTAGGAAAATGTACAATGCAATTGACAGATTCAAAATGCAATGTAATAAGTACTAAAAGCATGAGAATTAGTCTGTTAGAAGCTAAACAGAATTTAAAGGACAGCTCTGTTAACAGGCACTGATATTTAGGCCTTGCCTATTTTATTATTCTGTAACAAGAAGCTGAAACAGATAGCCAGGCTGCTCTTGGCATTAGTTATTTATGGAAGGGCAGAAAACAACTGTTCTTCATTGACTGTGTAACAAGCCTTTGCGTGTTAAACTTCACGGGTTTGTAGAATAATAATAATTTTCTCCTGTGGTCTAAATACAAGCAGCAGGGCTTCATAATAATATTTGCATTGACAAGTTGTGTTAGATTTTGTCATTAACAAACCTTATTTTTTGCAGACCCAACAACCAGGCCAAATATTGTCTTTAGTGGCTTGTGTTAAACAACCGGTGAAATCAGAAACCTACGTAGATGATCATCTCACTGTGAACATAAATAATAACCTAAGCCACTCCTTTCAAAAATGATCAAAGGCATAGTAGCTACATCTAAATGTTATTTTTGAGAAATGATTTGTTTTTTCAAAATAACTATTTCTTTTCATTCTGGCACATTTTTCAGGTTTTTAAATTAATGGAAACACCAAAACAAATAGACATCTAGTGCACCCAGATAGGAAGACACAGTATTGCATGGAGTCAAGTTTTTCCAAATTAATCCGTCAAGACAGTGTGGTCCACATCAAAATCACAGCAGGATTTTAATGGAACTTAATTTCGGTTTCTCTCATGAAACTCATTTGTCCTTTTTAAAGATAACTACAACACCCTCTAAATAAAATCCTCCACAGTTATCCTTGAAATTGTTTGTGTGACCTTCCCATAAAGAATCAAAAATAACAAAATATTTTTATTATCCATAAGGCCATGAGTATGTGAAAAATCTATTGTGGTTGTCATTGAATCTGTAAGAAAGTTGCCTTTGGTATATTTTTGCCCACTCTCTGTAGTGATTCTAGCCTAGTAATATTACAAAAAAAGATAGGTCATCAATTTCATAACTTGCCTTAAATCTCTTTTTATTATGCTTTCCCTTTAACATACAAAAAGCTTCCAATATGTCCTATTCTTAAAAGACCAGTAAAATAACAAAATTTTAAAATGTCCCTTACTCAAAATCTTCGACTATTAGTGCTGGGAAGCCACTTAGATGCAGAGTAGCACGATGGAAACCATATGGGTTTGGACTTAAGCCAACCACCCTAGACCAAGTTATATAACATTTTCCTGAGCCTCAGCCTCTTCTGTAAATTGGGGATAATAATGGTACCTCATTCATAAGACTCTTCTGAGGGAGGATTAAATGAAATCATGCCTATAAAATTCCTGATTTATGGCAAGTGTGTATAAAATGATGGCTATTAATCACCAAGTTCAACCTCTTCATTTCACAGATGAGAAAAAGGAAGCTAGAACCAGAACAATCTTTCTCCAGATTCTCCTATTCAGTAACTTTCTTTACAACTAAGGACAAATTCCTTGAGAAGTGGTCTACAGCCACTTCATTCACTAAGTCACTATCTGACCTCCAAGTTAATCTCCATTCCCATCAATCCTACAAATATTCCTGTTGCTAATGCCGTCTATGAAATAGACAAACCCCATAATTATGCTTAAATAATTATGGGACTATTTCACTCTGAAACTGAGTGAATAGTCCCCACTGGGACTATTGGACTGATTAAACCTTTGGATATTTATTCAAAGCATCCCTCTTCAAACCAAAATTCTGTAATAAAACTGTCTGCTTCACTTGGACCCTACATGGCACCTGATACAAGCCAAATTACTGTTATTCAAATAAAACATTTTTAACAATATGTTTGAATGAATAATTATTACTTTTAGAAATAGATATAAAAGATTATTAAATATTTTTAATTTTTCTTTTCAAGTTGGTAAGATCTTTAGATTGATAATATTCAATTTTGGCAAGAATATGAAGAAACTTGCACTCATATATTCTAAGTAGGAGCGTAAATTGGTTTGGCCCCTTTATTTTATTTTATTTGTTTATTTTTGAGACAGAGTCTTGCACTGTTGCCCAGGCTGGAGTGCAGTGGCACGACCTCAGCTCACTGCAACCTCTGCCTCCCGGGTTCAAGAGATTCTCATGCCTCAGCCTCCTGAGTAGCTGGGATTACAGGTGCCCGCCCCCATGCCCAGCTAACTTTTGTATTTTTAGTAGAGATGGGGTTTCACCACGTTGGGCAGGCTGGTCTTGAACTCAGAACTCAGGTGATCCACCTGCCTCGGCCTCCCAAAGTGCTGAGATTACAGGCGTGAACCACTGCACCCAGTCTGGCCTTTTTAAAAGACAATTTGGCAGTATCTTTTAAATTTTAAAATGCATATACTCTTTGACATTTTCATGTACAGGGCTCTACTATACAGAGAAACTTGAACAAATACACAAAGATCTATGCACAGGAATAGTAACCAGAGTATTATTTTAATAGTGAAAAATTAATCAAAAATCCCAAGTGTTCATTAATAGGAATGCGGTTAATACCTTATGGCATATCCATACTATGGAATACTGTGTTAGGTTAAAAAAAAAAAAAAGAATGAGGCACAATTATTTAAATATCTATATGCAAACATAATGACATGAAATGATGTTTGTGATATATTATTAAGCAAATAAGAGCAATTTGCAGTTCGATACACATAATTCATTCTCATTTTGAAAAAATATAAGTATATGTCACAGTATGTGTGTGCAGCAAACATCTGGAAAGATCTGTACCAGATCTGTACCAGATCTATTCCAGATAATGAACAGTTGTTATCTCTACAGAAAGGGATCAGAGACTTCTTTATATACTTACTTCTATTGAGCAAAACAGGTGAAGTGAACAGGCACTTCTTTTGTAATATAAATAAGAATAAAGAGACAATCAGTGGAAAAATGAGCCTTACTGAATGAAAATTTGCTTTACAAATAGCCTTTCTGGAATGTGTTTAGCTTATGTACAGTGATGTACAGCTACAGAGAATTTGGGAACCTTCACTAGGGCCTATTTGCACCATGGCTCAATAGAGTATAGTCTTAGGGAGGACCAATTCCTAAGCTGTTCTAGATCATCCTACCTAAATTTTTGCCCTTTGGCAACAAAATTAGATTTGTTGAACTATTTCATAGATACCATTGAAACAAGCTTGTAAAAAGTTGAGGTTAAGACCAGGTGTGGTGGCCCAGGCCTGAAATCCCAGCTACTTGGGAGGGTGGGGCAGGAGGATCACTTGAGTCCAGGAGTTCAAGACTGAGGCAGGAGAATGGCGTGAATCCGGGAGGCAGAGGTTGCAGTGAGCCGAGACTGAGCCACTGCACTCCAGCCTGGGCGACAGAGGGAGACTCCATCTTAAAACAACAACAACAACAACAACAAAATTAGCCAGGTGTGGTGGCAGGCGCCTGTAGTCCCAGCTACTGGGGAGGCTGAGACGAGAATGGCGTGAACCCAGGAGGCGGAGCTTGCAGTGAGCGAGATCGCACTCCAGCCTGGGTGATAGAGGGAGACTCTGTCTCAAAAAAAAGAAAAAAAAGACCCTTCAGCTTCAATCATACCTCCCTTCCCCACACCCCATACCATACCTTGTTTCCCAGCATTGCAGAAGCTGCTATTTAAAAAAAAAAAAAAAAGTTAACCTAAGGCTGAAAGAAAGACTAAATACAGATACACAAGGAAAGCACTGATGCAAAGTACATTTGTAAATTAACAAAAAAGAAATGGCCATGGGGTAATAAAAATATCAAAATCAGATTTTCGGATAATCCAGATCAGATCAGTTCCCTGATAAAGTTATCTGATAGTGAAATTTAATAGAGCCTTTATCTGCTACAGTGTTCAAGACGAGAAAACCTCTAAAATTGAAAAAAAAAATACTAATGTATCGACCATGTCAGCGACATTCATCTGAGATTGCTAGCCTTTCCCTTTCCATTGGCTTTTTGTATTAATCCCAGGATTATGAACAAACTCATGCTGTGCTGTACCTAAATGCAACATAATCCTTCCCAGGTAGATCTTAAACTCCTGACTCCTCATCAGAGACTGAAGTTGCCAGTTGTACTCTTGTGGCAATGTGATGACCCAGAGCTCACTGGGGCCTATGTTAGAAGAAAACCCCTATAGTGGCAGGGCAGAATGACCTCACCATTTATTATGACTTTTCCCAAAATGGGAAAAAAAGGGGGGAGTTTCAAAACCCAGTACCTTCCTGTAGAAAATAAAATGCATCATCAGATTAAATGAAAATTAAAGTGTCCTCATTTGAGATCATCACAGACGTTACAGCATGAAAGACTGGAAAAATGCAGAAGATGAAAAGTGTTGTAGCTACTGAATAGGAGACAGTGCTATGTCCTGTCTGAGCCCGTTGCACCATGTTTGAAAAACAAACATCTATGACACACATTGCAAAACCTAGATTAAGAAACCTCAGGGCAGAGGGCAGATCATCACACGTACAAGTGTACCCAGGCACTTGGCCAGTACACAAAGAGGTGCATGGCTTCAGCACTTCGAAGTCTGTGTCCTTGGGCCTCTTTGTTTAAAAAAAAGAACCATTTTCATGATACAGGTTTGATCAAGGCAACAGTTTTACTTTCTGTAAATGTAAACAAAGAAAGGATATGCATTTGCCTGTGAAATTTAAAGTGCCTAACACATGAACTTTTCAAATAGAATGATAGAGCTGTAAAGAACTTTAAAGATCATCAAAAGTCCAGTCACTTATTTATTTAAAAATGAGGAAACTGGGGCTCCAAGAGGTTAAATAATTTACCCAAGGTTACAAAACTTGTTATTTCAGAACTGAGGACTGGAACACAGATCTCCTGACTCTCAGTTCAGTGATCACCCCACTTTGCCATGTTGCCTACCTCATACTATTTCCTAGAGATTTTACAATATAACCATAAACAAAGTTATCATAACCACACTTTCTAAAGTGCCCTGATTTGCTTGGATTAAAAAATCAACAGGAATATCTAAGGAAAACAGAAAAAGATGATCTGTTGGATTTATGTGGAATATGTCTGAGGAAGCAACTGGAATTTTTGAAGAGAAAGATTATTTCTTCTCCTTTACATAATTTGTTATGGAAAAAAGTCTAAACTTTTCCAATACATTTGTTATCATCTGGATGTGCTTAATCTACCCCTCAACAAACGTCCACTCCAGGTTGCAAACTCCTCCTTACCCAACGTGCTGATGGTGTTGATAGCTTGCTTTTCTTATTTCCTATCTGCCACTTTTTGTTTGCTTGTTTGTTTTTTGAGACGGAGTCTCCCTCTGTCACCCAGGCTGGAGCGCAAGGGTGTGATCTCGGCTCACTGCAACTTCCTCCTCTCGAGTTCAAGCGTTTCTCCTGCCTCAGCCTCTGGAGTAGCTGGGATTACAGGCGCCCGCCACCACGCCTGGCTAATTTTTGTGTTTTTAGTAGAGATGGGGTTTCGCCTGTTGGCCAGGCTGGTTTCAAACTCCTCACCTCAGGTGATTCACCTGCCTCAGCCTCCCAAAGTGCTGGGATTACAGGCGTGAGCCACCACACCCGACCCCTGTCTGCCACTTTTATGACATTCTTGCTATTTCATTTAACTATATGAGCAAATATTCCAAGCCTGTAGACTTGATATCAGAAAGGAACTTCCCAGTGTAGCAGAAAATGTAACACTCTCAGGGGTTAGGACCAGGAAGCCATTTGGGGCATTTGACAAATATAATTTTGTAAAAACAGCTTTCTCATTCTTGTTTGCTTCTGATCTTTCCATCTTCTGTACTATATAACAGAAGCTGTAAAAGTTTAGAAATACCCAAATGTAAGAAATAAGCTACATTAAAAATGACCACGAAACACATGAAAAGGTGTTCAGCACTACTAGTCATTAGGGAAAGGCAAATCAAAAACACAATTAAATATCACTCCATACCCACTAAGATGGCTATAAAGATAATTTTTTTAAAAAGCACTGGAAAATAACAAGTGTTAGCAAGAATATGGAGAAATTGGAATCCTCCTACATTGCTGGTGGGAATGCAGAGTGGTGCAGCTGTTAAGGAAAACACTTCAACAGTTCCTCAAAAAGTTAAACATAGAGTTACTAATAACCCAACAATTCTACTCCTAAGTATATACCCAAAATAATTGAGGCTGGGCATGGTGGATCATGCCTGTAATCCCAGCACTTTGAGAGGCCAAGGCAGGTAGATTGCTTGAGACCAGGAGTTCGAGGCCAGCCTGGGCAACAAGGTGGACACCATCTCTACTAAAAATTAACAAAAAATTTAAAAAAAAGCTATGTGTGGTGGCACATGCCTGTAATCCCAGCTGCTCAGAAGGCTGAGCATAGGAATTGCTTGAACCCAGGAGGCAGAGGTTGCAGTGAGCTGAGATTGTGCCACTGCACTCTAACCTGGGTGACAGACCAAGACTCTGTCCAAAAAAAAAAAAAAATTGAAAACAAGTACTCAAATATATGTACACTCATGTTCATAGCAGCACTATTTACAAAAGCCAAAAGGTGGAACACTCCAAATGACCATCAGCATATAACTAGACAAAGAAATTTGGTACACCTATACAATGGAATATTTTTCATCCACAAAAAGGAGTGAAGTACTGATACACACTACAACATGGAAGAAACTTGAAAATAGTACATTAGGCCAGGCATAGTGGCTCACACCTGTAATCCCAGCACTTTTGGAGGCCGAGGCAGGTGGATCACCTGAGGTCAGGAGTTCGAGACCAGCCTGGCCAACATGGCAAAACCCCATCTCTACTAAAAATACAAAAAAAAAAAAAAAAATAGCCAGGTGTGGTGGCACGTGCCTGTAATCCCAGCTACTCAGGAGGCTGAGGCAGAGGTTGCAGTGAGCCGAGACCACACCACTGCACTCCAGCCTGGGCAACAGAGCAAGACTCTGTCTCAAAAAAAAAAAAAAAAGAAAATAATATGTAAAAGAAGTCAAACACAAAACATCACTTATTGTACTATTCCATTTAAATGAAATCTCCAAAATAAATTCGTAGAGACACAATGCAGAATAGTGGATGCCAGGAGCTAAGGAGAGGGAAGACATTGCTTAGTGGATAAGGAGTTTTATTTTGGAGAGATGGAAATGTTTTGAAACTAGATAGAGGTGGTGATTGCACAACATTGTGACTGTACTAAATACCAGTAAATCGTTCACTTGAAAATGGTTAATTTTGTTATTTGAATTTCACCTCAAATTATTATTAAAAAGAAATAAACTGCATCGAAAGAATGAAGCAAAAGATTGTAAACTTTCAATATTCAAAAGTTCATGTAACGAAGCATTAGAGAAGATACTGCAGAAAATAATATCTCAGAAAATAAAACGGAGTAGACCAAGTTCCCTTGGGGCAAAATTTAGGTTTGAAGAGTTATGAGGTGTTTTTCTCACTCATTTAACTTGGCTAATTTTCTAAGAATGAATTTTTTTTTTTTTTTTGAGATGGAGTCTCGCTCTGTCGCCCAGGCTGGAGTGCAGTGGCGCGATCTCGGCTCACAGCAAGCTCTGCCTCCCAGGTTCACGCCATTCTTCTGCCTCAGCCTCCTGGGACTACAGGTGCCCGCCACCACGCCCGACTAATTTTTTATATTTTTAGTAGATACTGGGTTTCACCGTGTTAGCCAGCATGGTCTTGATCTCCTGACCTCGTGATCCGCCTGCCTCGGCCTCCCAAAGTGCTGGAATTACAGGCGTGAGCCACCGCGCCGGGCCAGAATGAATATTTTCTATATCTGCTTAGAACCCTAAGTGTTAAGACATAACATCTTAATTTGTTTTACTATAGCATCAATATTTTTATCTGTCCTCAAGGGTTTTTCTGCTTCTCTCTAATGGGCAACATATAGGGATAAAATTTTAATTATTTTATTAATTCAGCTTTAAATTTATAATTATGTGAATAAATTTTTATTTACATGCAATATAAACAAATACATCATTTTGTGATCTAACCACATTTGCATACTATGTCATGTGTTCCTAAATGATGTGGCATTAAAAGTATAAATGGTTCTTTTAAAAATTCCATATTCTGGCCAGGTGTGGTGGCTCACGCCTGTAATCCCAGCACTTTGGGAGGCCAAGGCAGGCAGATCACCTGAGGTCAGGCATTCAAGACCAGCCTGGCCAACATGGTGAAACCCCATCTCTACTAAAAATACAAAAATTAGCTGGACGTGGTGGCAGGCACCTGTAATCTCAGCTACTCGGGAGGCTGAGGCAGGAGAATCGCTTGAACCTGAGAGGCAGAGGTTGCAGTGAGCCGAGACCACACCACTGCCCTCCAGCCTGGGTGACAGAGCGAGACTCTGTGGCAAAAAACAAACAAACAAACAACAAAACAACAACAAACAAACATATTCTACAACTTTACTCCCAAATTTAAATTTCCTTTTTTTTTTTTTTTGACAGGCTTGTCTCGAACTCCTGACCTCGTGATCCGCCCTCCTTGGCCTCCCAAAGTGCTGGGATTACAGGCGTGAGCCACTGTGTCTGGCCCCCAAATTCCATTTTTAAGAGGCTAAGGAAACAACAACAAAAAAATGTGTTCCACAAATTTAGAATTTCAAGAGATTTTAAATCTTTACCTCAAACTCATTCATGCAGTTATTCAGTCATTCAACAAATATTTATTTAACTGTGACTTTGTGACCAACTGGGAGAGGGGAACACAGATATGGTGCCAAACTCAAGGGACAGGTCACCTCCCTTAGGGAGCTTATATGTTGATGTGTAAGACAACCAAATGAGATAACTTCAGAAAATGATGTCATAGACAACATAAAACATGACTATGAGATTAAAGGTGCATTTTTGTGTAAAGCTGTACTTTTTTTTTTTTTTTTAGTCTAGTGTAGTGAGAAGGTGGGAAAGAGTAGAACAAGGAGTTTGATCTGTAACTGACTGTGAACAATCAATTGAGATAAATTACTAGCTTTGGACCAGCCTCAAGGTGTATTTTTTATTTTTATTTATTTTATTTATTTATGTATTTATTTATTTGAGACACAGGCTTGCTCTGTCGCCCAGGCTGGAGTGCAGTGGTGCAATCTTGGCTCACTGCAACCTCCGCCTCCCAGGTCAAGCAATCCTCCCACCTCAGCCTCCCAAGTAGCTGGGATTACAGGCATGTGCCACCATGCCCGGCTAATTTTTGTATTTTTAGTAGAGACGAGATTTCACCAGGTTGGCCAGGCTGGTCTCAACCTCCTGACCTCAAGTGATCCATCGGCCTCGGCCTCCCAAACTGCTGGGATTACAAGCATGAACCACTGCGCCTAGCCTTGAGGTGTACTTTAAATAGGGTGATTTGGAAATGCCTAGCTGCAAAGTCAACATTTGAGCTAAGACGTGAATAATAAAAGGGACCCAGTCAGGCCCAGGTCAGGGGGAAGAATGGTCTAGTCAGAAGGATCATCAAGAGCCAGACATGGTGGCTCACGCCTGTAATCCCAACACTTTGGGAGGCTGAGGTGGGTGGATCACCTGAGGTCAGTAGTTCCAGATCAGTCTGATCAACATAGTGAAACCCTGTCTCTACTAAAATTACAAAATTAGCCCGGTATGGTGGCTCAGGCCTGTAATCGCAGCCACTTAAGAGGCTGAGGCAGGAAAATCACTTGAACCCGGGAAGCAGAGGTTGCAGTGAGCCGAAATCATGCCATTGCACTCCAACCTGGGCAACAAGACCGATCGATACTCTGTCTAAAAAAAAAAAAAAAAAAAAAAAAGATCATCAAGAGCAAAAGTCATAAAGCCAATCTGGCAATCTGGGCTTGGGCCTTGTACAACTGGATGGATCATAGAAAACTAGAGAACTAAGGGCAGAGGCGACATGGAAAGAAGTCAGAGAGGTGAGGAGGAACTGGTTTGTCAGGGTAGTATAGTCCAGGGTAAAAAGTCTGATTTTATTTAAGTACACCTATGCTCTGAAATGTTTACAACACCAAGAGTAATCTGGTCAAAGCAGCAGATAAAAGGGATTGGTGAAACACAAACAACACACACACACACACACACACACACACACACACACACACACACACACATACACATTTAAGAGAGGATATACCAAAACATATACTTCCCTTTGGTTGTCAGAAATTAATCTGATCAGCCTGAAAGATTGTTTTCTTTTCCTTCTAGCCCAGGGTTTCTCAAACTCAGCGCTATTGACATTTGGACTGGATAATTTTGGGAGGAGCTGCCCTGTACATTGCAGAATGTTTAACAGCATCCCTGATATCTACCTGCTAAATACTAGTAGCACCCCTCTCCGAGGCTGTGACCACCAGAAACATGTCTAGAGATTGCCAACTGTCTTATAGAAGCAAAACTGACCTTGGTAGGGTACAACTGTTCTAATGCAAGGCAGGAAAGTGAATAGATGCCATGTAGGGAGGTAGACTTTGAAGGAGGTGGCATTTTCTTTTTAATTTCGCCTTTCCCACCTCCAGCCTCATTCCAAAGCCTCTCCTGATTCCCCAGCCTATGGAACACATACACTGGTGTTAAGTAAATATTCAGTAAATTCTTCCAATACTGACTGCCAATCTGTACACACTGAGCCAAAATTTTTCTTCAACAACAGGGTGGTAGGTGGAGGATACCATTGGATTTGAGTAGTCTGGGTAACTGCCTCAACTTTTCAGCTCATTTTGTTTATATAGAGCCTTAAAGAGACAAAACCTCCTACTGGATGTCTACAGAACACCAAAAGAATTATTCATTTTCTAAATTCCAACAAAGTTTTCTGAAAACACAACTTTTATTCACTGACTTCAATTATAAACTTAGAGTTGCATTTCCATAAGCAGCACCTCCTAACAGAGTATGAGACTGTGAGAGTAGCAGAGAGTAGTCAGAGACTCTCGGGCAGGGTTTCCCATTCTCAGTACCATTGACATTTGGGGCCAGATAATTATTTTTGTGGGGATCTGTCCTGTGCATTATAGGATATTGAGCAGCATCCCTGGTCTCTGCCCACAGGATGCCAGAAGCACCCACCCCACTCCTTTTGCAAAAATAAAAAAAAAACTGTTTGTAATGAATATCCAGGAGTCCATACTGATGTAAAGAAATGATGGATAAATAAATAGATATGGGAGAAGATACAAATTTCCCACAGAGAAGAATTCTAAGTAATTTATGTAGATACACTTTCCTCAAGGAGGTAGTACCTAATTCCTCACTCTTTGAGTGAGGGCTGCACCTAGTGACTTGCTTTCAAAGAGTAGAGTATGGAAAGGCAGGAAAATAACTTTACAAAGAAGAAACTTCGGCCAGGTGCGGTGGCTCATGCCTGTAATTCCAGCACTTTGGGAGGCCGAGGTGGGCAGATCACCTGAGTTCAGGAGTTCGAGACTAGCCTGTCCAACATGGTGAAACCCCACCTCTACTAAAAATACAAAAATTAGCCGGGTGTGTTGGCGCACATCTGTAATCCCAGCTACTGGAGAGACTGAGACAGGAGAATTGGTTGAACCTGGGAGACAGAGGTTGCAGTGGGCCGAGATCACAGCATTGCACTCCGGCCTAGTCGACAGAGCAAGACCCTGTCCCCCAGGCCAAAAAAAAAATCTCACAAACACTACCTTGGATAAGTGGCCAAGATTAACATCATCAGTGATGTCATGTTGATAGTCTTAGATATGATAAAATGAGAATGGCAGTTCACCTCCATGGTGCCTCCCCTCAAATCCCATATCAGAATAACATTAGATAAATTGGCCAGGCATGGTGGGTCACACCTATAATCCCAGCAATTTGTGAGGCTGAGGCGGGCGGATCACCTGAGGTCAGGAGTTCCAGACCAGCCTGGCCAACATGGCGTAACCCCGTCTCTACTAAAAATACAAAAATTGGCCAGCTGTGGCGGTGGGCGCCTGTACTCCCAGCTACTAGGGGGCTGAGGCAGGAGAATCGCTTAAACCCGGAAGGCACAGTTTGCAGTGAACCGAGATCATGCCACTGCATTCCAGCCTGCGCAACAGAGCGAAATAATAACATTAGACAAATCCTAACTAAAAGATACTCTGCAAAATACCTAATCAGTACTCCTCAAAACTGTCAAGGTCATCAAAAACAAAGAAAGTCTGAGAAACTGTTATAGCCAAGAGAAGTCTAGCTAAATACAATGTGGTTTCTTGGATGGGGTCCTGAAACAGAAAAAGGACATTAAGTACCAACTAAGTGTGTCCGGAATTGGTGGGTTCTTGGTCTCACTGACTTTAAGAAAGAAGCCACGGACCCTCGTGGTGAGTGTTACAGTTTTTAAAGGCGGCGTGTCTGGAGTTTGTTCCTTCTGATGTTCAGATGTGTTTGGAGTTTCTTCCTTCTGGTGGGTTCGTGTTCTCGCTGGCTCAGGAGTGAAGCTGCAGACCTTCGCAGTGAGTGTTACAGCTCTTAAGGCGGCGCATCTGGAGTTGTTCATTCCTCCCAGTGGGTTCGTGGTCTCGCTGGCTTCAGAAGTGAAGCTGCAGACCTTCGCGGTGAGTGTTACAGCTCATAAAGGCAGTTTGGACCCAGAGAGTGAGCAGCAGCAAGATTTATTGCAAAGAGCAAAAGAACAAAACTTCCACAGTGTGGAAGGGGACCTGAGCAGGTTGCCACTGCTGGCTCGGGCAGCCTGCTTTTATTCCCTTATCTGGCCTCACCCACATCCTGCTGATTGGTCCATTTTACAGAGAACCGATTGTTCTGTTTTACAGAGAGCTGATTGGTCCGTTTTGACAGGGTGCTCATTGGTGCATTTACAATCCCTGAGCTAGACACAAAAGTTCCCCACGTCCCCACTAGATTAGCTAGACACAGAGTGTCCATACAAAAGTTCTCCACTTCCCCACTAGATTAGCTAGACACAGAGTGTTGATTGGTGCATTCACAAACCCTGAGCTAGACACAGGGTGCTGATTGGTGTGTTTACAAACCTTGAGCTAGATACAGAGTGTTGATTGGTGTATTTACAATCCCTTAGCTAGACACAAAGGTTCTCCAAGTCCCCACCAGAGTAGCTAGATACAGAGTGTCAATTGGTGCATTCACAAACCCTGAGCTAGACACAGGGTGCTGATTGGTGTGTTCACAAACCTTGAGCTAGATACACAGTGCCAACTGGTGTATTTACAATCCCTTAGCTAGACATAAAGGTTCTCCAAGTCCCCACCAGAGTAGCTAGATACAGAGTGTCGATTGGTGCATTCACAAACCCTGAGCTAGACACAGGGTGCCGATTGGTGTGTTTACAAACCTTGAGCTAGATACAGAGTGCCGATTGGTGTATTTACAATCCCTTAGCTAGACATAAAGGTTCTCCAAGTCCCCACCAGAGTAGCTGGATACAGAGTGTCAACTGGTGCATTCACAAACCCTGAGCTAGACACAGAGTGCTGATTGGTGTATTTACAATCCCCTAGCTAGACATAAAGGTTCTTCAAGTCCCCACCAGACTCAGGAGCCCAGCTGGCTTCACCCAGTGGATCCCTCACTGGGGCTGCAGGTGGAGCTACCTGCCAGTCCCGTGCTGTGGGCCCACACTTCTCAGCCCTTGGGTGAGGATGGGACTGGGCACCGTGGAACAGGGGGTGGCACTCGTCGGCGAGGCTCGGGCTGCACAGGAGCCCATGGAGGGGGCGGAGGCTCAGGCATGGCGGGCTGCAGGTCCCGAGCCCTCCCCCGCGGGGAGGCAGCTAAGGCCTAGTGAGAAGCTAAGGCCCCGGCACTGCTGGGGGACCCAGCACACCCTCCGCAGATGCTGGCCCGGGTGCTAAGCCCCTCATTGCCCAGTGCAGCAGGGCTGGCTGGCCACTCCGAGTGCGGGGCCACCAAGCCCACGCCCACCTGGAACTCCAGCTGGCCCGCAAGCACCACGCGCAACCCTGGTTCCCACTTGCGCCTCTCCCTCCACACCTCCCTGCAAGCTGAGGGAGCCAGCTCAGGCCTTGGCCAGCCTAGAAAGGGGCTCCCACAGTGCAGCGGTGGGCTGAAGGCCTCCTCGAGTGCCGCCCAAGTGGGAGCCCAGGCAGAGGAGGCGCCGAGAGTGAGCGGGGGCTGCGAGGGCTGCCAGCACTCTATCACCTCTCATAAGGACATAGAAATAAAGTATAAACTTTAGTTAATAATAATGTGTCAATATCTCTTCCTTGGTGTAACAATACATCACACCAATGTAAGACGTTAACAATAGGGGAAACTAAGTGAAGATATATGCAAGTCTTTGTACTATGTTTGCAACTTTTTTTGTAACTCTAAAACTACTGTAAAAACTTTTTAAGTTTATTTTTTAAATGTCTTCAGATATTGCCAAACTTCCCCTAGGGAGCAAAATCTCCTTCAGTTAAGAATCACTGTTCTAGGTCAATCTAGTCATTTGCTTTATCATTATAACACTTTCCACCTTTTACAATATTTTTACTAACTCCCAGCTCTCCTCTATGTTGTCAGCAACTCTTAATATTCAAGAATTCTTAGACTTTAAGATCTCCTTTGTTCTCACCCACAGCTTCCAGAGCTTTCCTCCTCTCCACTTTTGTCTGTCTATTCACTACATACCAATTGAAGTGGAGTTCAATGTCATTTCCCTCATAGGTAATGCTATCTAACAATTCAAGTCTGTAAATTCTTCTACTTCAAGACATGAGGTAATAGTTAAACTACTTTTTTCAGCTTGAAAATCTGCACATTGTGATTACATTAAAAAGGGCTACTTGCACTTCATCAGTGTTGCAAAAACTTCAGTTCAAGAGTGATACTGTCTTAATATTAAGACTGCTTTGCCCTGAAAAGATATTCCACCAATATATGGAACAGAGGCTTCAGCTGCAGATATGAAATAGAATTAGTTTAAGGCAAAATGGTCTGCCAAATCCAACATTGTCAGTCACTCTCCATAGCATTTTGTGATTTTAAAAATTTTTACCTAGTAGTTGTTCAGCCATGAATATGAATTTCTGCCTTATTCCGGGTTTAAATATGAAGAAACAAAAGAGTTTGACCCAATATTGAAATTAAACCTGAAAAAATTAAAGATACCAGTAAAAAGAAAGACAAGTGGAGCCACTAACGTAATTTATTTTTATTTTTATTTTTATTTTTTGAGACAGAGTCTCGCTCTGTCGCCCAGGCTGGAGTGCAATGGCACTATCTCAGCTCACTGCAACTCCACCTCCTGAGTTCAAGTGATTCTCCTGCCTCAGCCTCCTGAGTAGCTGGGATTACAGGCACGCACCACCACGCCTGGCTAATTTTTGTATTTTTAGTAGAGGCAGGGTTTCGCCATGTTGGTCAGGCTGGTCTCAAACTCCTGACCTTGTGATCGGCCCGCCTTGGCCTCCCAAAGTGCGGGGATTATAGGCATGAGCCACCACGCCCGGCCGCCCCTAACGTTTTCAAAGTGTAATCCTCTTTCTGAGGTGGTGGTTCCTTTTATACCACTATTTCCTTCCTCTGAATTGCTGTTCCTATTCCCACCCAACTCTAATAGAAACATAGCCTATGTTTTATTATATGTGTAGCAGTGTCTTGGCTGGGCTGAAGGTAGTGCCAGAACCTTGTCTGAGAGAAATTAGATGACACTTCCCCCATCGCTTCTTTTATCTATTTGCATAAGTTTATATGCATGGAGACTGGGGTTTGGGCCGAAGGAGGAGTGATAAGTTGGTTTTCATTTGTTGTTATTTGCTGGAGCACACAGAAAAAGATAATGAAAGCTGGAAAGAAAAGAAGGTAAGGTAGAGTGCTAGTGCTATGGCTGAATCTTTGGATTTGAGGCCTGGTAGGGGAGAAGGGTATATGGCCAAAGCTGAGGGAGTCATTTTCTTGAAGGACTTTATGTGATTCTGGGCTGAAATAATGCTGTTTAGGTACAAAGTTAGAAAATTATTGTAGAGTTGGGTGAGGGGCCTAGATCCCTGTACCTCAAGGACTGGAAACTTTGTGAAAATAGGGAGCCAGTACCCTTGGCACAGACAATGCTGTTTGCACAAAGGGTATCTGCAGCAGAGGCAGTGATAAGATGCTTTGCCTAGCAGGCTAGAGTATAAGAATGTAAGCGAACTTGTTACAAACACGTGGCAAACAACTCTTCTGAAAACAGCCAGAAATAACTAGAGAGTCCTTGGAAGGGGTTTAAATTCCTCTGTGAGCAGGTGAGGGCTTGCAGGTGATGAAATTTGGATACAAGTGTACATGTGATCTCATTTTACCAGCAGGAAAAATCTGGAATATTTGGGTTATATAATTTTTGTTTTCTAGGATTCAATTCTAATAAGATCTGATATTTCTTAAACCTGTCTCCATCTTAGAAGAATACTACTCCATACCTGAGCCATCATTTACCTCCAAAGTCTAAAGACACACTATTATAGTTTCCACTGAGAGTCCTTTGAGCAATCTTGTCTAACAGCATGCTAACTGGCTATAGGTCTCATTCTCTGGAAGTTCCCTAGAGTTAGCCTTCCTCAGTCACCTAAGTTAACAAGGATACTTCTCCTTCAGAAAAGTAATGTAGCTTATTTTTACTTTAACCCCCTTGGAAGCCTCTAAATATCCTTTTAAAAACACTTATCATAGGGAGCCACATGCTCCTTTCAATAACCAGTGTTTCTTTCTATGAAAATAGGCCTCTTCGGGCTGGTCACGGTGGCTCATGCCGGTAATCCCAGCACTTTGGGAGGCTGAGGTGGGTGGATCACAAGGTCAGGAGATCGAGACCATCCTGGCTAACATGGTGAAACCCTGTCTTTACTAAAAATACAAAAAAAAAAAAAAATGAAGTGAACCTGGGAGGCGGAGCTTTCAGTGAGCCGAGATCGTGCCACTGCACTCCAGCCTGAGCAACAGAGTGAGACACCGACTCAAAAAAAAAAAAAAAAAAAAAAAGAATAGGCCTCTTCAGACCATTACTCTTTGCTGAAAATCCAGACTTTTGTGTCCTAGATAACTACAATAATTATCTTGCTCCTTTTCTATTTTTCTTTGTACTTTTTAGTTAATACGGAAAAATAGACACTCATGTTCTCTGCATGTGGCAAGTACAGAAAAAAATTCAATGAACACCAAGGCATCTAGACTATATATCAACTAATGAAAGATTTAGAAAGACAAATTTCTTGGACTGTAGCCACATGTCTTGTTGCCTAAGAATTTAAAGATTTAAAGTGGATTCATTTAAGATCCACTTAATATTCCATAATAATATGGTCAGTTAGGACATAGATGTTGACAACTTGAACATTTTCCCCATTACTAAGGAAGTGAAAGAAGATTGCATAGTAAGTTCAGTTTTATCTTTGGCTACAAAAGCTAATAACCCAACAAGAAACTTACAAATTGGTCTTTGGACTAAGCTTCCAATCTGCCTTTCAATTAAAATGAGTTTATATGAGATCTAAGTACTCTTGTAGATTGACTATGTGCAATGGAAAATATTCACAAGATGATGTGCAAAGGATCCAGAAAATAAATATATTTACTACTGAGGTCATGTACCAGTCTATATCATGGAAATTTAAAATAGCATCCTAAGATATTCCTGTAGATAGGCAACTGAACAGTACTGCCAAATCTTACTTTCTAGACAAAGCAGGAAACCAAAGTTATAGACTCAATGTGTCAGGAGATTTAGGTAAGCAGAAATAGTGTTAAAGCAACATGAATCCAAAGGTCATCATAGTTGAATATCAGGTTTCTTTAATAGCTACATGACCATTGCTTTTTTTTTTTTTTTTGACTGAGTTTCACTCTTGTCACCCAGGCTTGAGTGCAATGGTGCAATCTCGGCTCACCACAACCTCCGCCTCCCGGGCTCAAGTGATTCTCCCACCTCAACCTCTCGAGTAGCTGGGATTACAGGTGTGTGCCACCACACCCAGCTACTCTTTTTGTATTTTTAGTAGAGACAGGGTTTCGCCATGTTGGCCAGGCTGGTCTCAATCTCCTGACCTCAGGTGATCCATCTGCCTCGGCCTCTCAAAGTGCTGGGATTACAGGCATGAGCCACTGCACCTGGCCAACCATTGCCTTTAAGAAATCCTTGTTGGGAAGTGGAGCAAGAGGGCTCAATAGAATTCTCCAGCAATTAGGCCAGGTGTGATGGCTCATGCATGTAATCCCAGCATTTTGGGAGGCCACGGTGGGCGGATTACTTGAGCTCAGGAGTTCGATACCAACCTGGGCAACATGGTGAAACCCCATCTCTACAAAAAAAAAAAAAAAAAAAATTAGCTGAACTTGGTGGCATGCACCTTAGTCCCAACTACTTGGGAGGCTGAGGTGGGGGGATCACTTGAGCCTGGGAGGCGGAGGTTGCAATGAGCCATGGTCATGCCACTGCACTACAGCCTGGGTGACAGACCAAGACCCTATCTCAAAAAAAAAAATTATCCAGCAATTTTCTTTCCCACAGGAACAACAAATTGAACAAATATCACCACAAGAGATAAAAAGAAACAAAACTGAAAATGTAGGAGAGGGAGATGATGTTAAAGTGTAGAGTTTTTATTAGTTTTCTCTTTGTTTGCTAGTTTTTTTTTGCAGAGTTAAGTTCTCATCAGTTTAAAATAATGGATTTTAAAATGTTGTTTTCAAGCCTCATGGTAACCTCATATCAAAAAACCTATAACGGATACACAAAAAATAAAAAAGCAATAAATTAAAACATACCACCAGAGAAAACTACTTTCACAAAAAGAAAGGTGGAAAGGAAGGAAGGAAGATAATGCCACAACGCAAGCAGAAAACAAATAACAAAGTGGCAGGAGTAAGTCCTTACTTATCAATAATAACACTGAATAGAAATAGACTAAACCCTCCAGTCAAAACACATACAGTTGCCAGGCATGGTGGCTCATGCCTGTAATCCTAGCACTTTTGGAGGCCAAGGTGGGCAGATCACTTGAGGTCAGGAGTTCGAGATCAGTTTGGCCAACATGGTGAAACCTCATCTCTACTAAAAATACAAACAATTAGCTGGGTGTGGTGGCAGTTACCTATAATCCCAGCTACTGGGGAGGCTGAGGCAGGAGAATTGCTTGAACCCAGGAGGCTGAGTCTGCAGTGAGCCAAGATTGTGCCACTGCACTCCAGCCTGGGCGACAGAGTGAGACTCTGTCTCAAAAAAACAAAGCAAAACAAGACAAAACCACATAGAGTGGCTGAATGGATGAAAAAAAATAAGAACCAACTATCTGCTGCCTACCAGGAACACTCATCACCTATAAAGACACACATAAACTGAAAACAAAGAGATGAACAGAGATATTCCATGCAAATGGAAACCAAGAAAGAGCAAGAGTCACTCTATTTATATCAGATAAAATAGATTTCAAGACAAAAACTATAAAAAGAGACAAGGAGGGTCATTGTATAATGGCAGAAGTCAATTCACCAAGAGGATATAACAATTGTAAATATATATGCAGTCAACACTGGAGCACCCAGATATACAAAGCAAATATTATTAGAGCTAAAATGAAAGACAGACCCCAATACATAAATAGCTGGAGACTTCGACAACTCACTTTCAGCATTGGACAGATCATCCAGATAGAAAATCAACAAAGAAAGATCAGACTTAATCTGTACAGTAGGCCAAACGGACCTAATAGATATTTACAGAATGTTTCATCCAATGGCTGCAGAATACACATTTTTCTCCTCACTACATGAACATTCTCAAGGATAGGCCATATGTTAGGCCACAAAACAAGTCTTTAAAATTTCAAGAAAACTGAAAGCATATCAAGCATCTTCTCTGGCCACAATGGAATAAAACTAGAAATCAATAATAATGAGAGGAACTTCAGAAACTATACAAACATATGGAAATTAGATAATATGTTCCTGAATTACCAGTGAGTCAATGAGGAAATTAATAATGAAATCAAAAATTTATTGAAACAAATGATAATGGAGACACAATATACCAACACATATGGGATATAGCCAAAGCAGTACTAAGAGGAAAGTTTATAGCAATAAGCACCTACATCAAAAAAAAATAGGAAAACTTCAAATAAACAACCTAACAGTGCATCTCAAAGAAGTAGAAAAGCAAGAGCAAAGCAAGCCCATTAGTAGAAGAAAATAAATAATAAAGACCAGAAGATAAATAAATGAAATTAAAACAAAAAATACAAAAAATCAAGGAAGTGAAAAGTTGGTTTTTGAAAGGACAAAATTGACAAAACTTTAGCCATACTAAAAAAAAAAGTGAAGAAAAGAGAAAAAAAAAGAGTGGAGGCCCAAATAAATATAATCCTAAATTGAAAAGGAGACATTACAACTGATACTGCAGAAATTCATTAGTGACTACTACGCTCATTAGAGACTACTATGAGCATCTATATGGCAATAAATTATAAAACCTAGAAGAAATGGATAAACTTCTAGACACACACAACCTACGTAGATTGAACCATGAAGAAATCCAAAACCTGAGTAGACCAATAACAAGTAAAGAGATTGAAGTTGTAATAAAATGTCTCCCACCTAAGAAAAGCCTGAGACCTGATGGCTTCACTGCTGAATTCTACCAAACATTTAAAGAAGAAATAACACCAATCCTACTCAAACTATGTTGAAAAATAGAAAAGGAGAGAATACTTCCAAACTCATTCTATGAAGCCGGTATTACCCTGATACCAAAAACAGAAAAAAGCATATTCAAAAAATAAAACTACAGGCCAATAGCTGATGAATGTTAATGCAAAAATCCTCAACAAAATATTAGCAAATCAGATTCAACAATACATAAAGAAGATCATTCATCAGGACCAAGTAGGATTTATCCCTGGGATGCAAGGATGGTTCATCATATGCAAATCAATCAATGTGACACATCATATCAACAGAATGAAGGACAAAAACCATACCATCATTTCAATTGATGGTGAAAAAGCATTTGATAAAATTCAACATTCCTTCTTGATAAAACCCTCAACAAATGGGGTATAGAAGGAATGTACCTCAACACAATAAAAGCCATATATGACAGACCCACTGCTCATATCAAATTGAATAGGGGAAAAAATGAAAGCCTTTTCTCTAAGATCTGGAACAAAACAAGGATGCCTACTTTTACAACTGTTATTCAACATAGTACTGAAAGTCCTAGCTATAGTAATTAGACAGGAGAAAGAAATAAAGGGCATCCAAATCAGAGAGAAATAAGTCAAATTATATTTGTTTGCAGGTGATATGATCTTATATTTGGAAAAAACTGAAGACTCCACACACACAAAAATCTATTAGAACTGATAAATTCAGGAAAGATGCACGATGCAAAATCAGCATACAAAACTCAGTAGCATTTCTATATGCCAACAATGAACAGCTGGAAAAAGACATCAAGAAAATAATCTCATTTGGAATAGCCATAAATAAAACAAACTATCTAGGACTTAATCAAAGAAGTGAAAGATCTCTACAATGAAAACTATAAAACACTGAAGAAAGAAATGTTTCATCATTTTAAAATGTCCTTTGAAGATGACACCAAAAAATGGAAAAATATTCCATGTTCATGGATTGGAAGAATCAATATTGTTAAAATGTCCATATTACTCAAAGCAATCTACAGATTCAATGCAATCTTGATCAAAATACCAATTACATTCTTAACAGAAATACAAAAAAAATCCTAAAATTTATATGGAACCACAAAAGACCTAGAATAGCCAAAGCTATCCTGAGCAAAAAGAATAAAACTAGAGGAATCACATTACCTGACTTCAAATTATACTACAGAACTACAGTAACAAAAATAGCATGGTACTGGCATAAAAATGGACACATAGACTAACGGAACAGGACAGACAACTCAGAAACAAATCCATACATCTACAGTGAACTCATTTTCAACAAAGGTGACAAGAACATACATTAAGGAATAGACAGTCTCTTCAATAAATGGTGTTGTGAAAACTGGATATCCACATGCAAAGGAAAAAAACTAGACCCTTGTCTCTCACTATATACAAAAGTCAAATCAAAATGAATTAAAGACTTAAATCTAAGACCTCAAATTATGAAACTACTACAAGAAAAATCTCCAGGACATTTGGAGTTGGCAAAGATTTCTCGAGTAGTACCCCACAAGCACAGGCAACCAAAGCAAAAGTGGACAAATGGAATCACATCAAGTTAAAAAGCTTCTGCACAGTAAAAGAAACAATCAACAAAGAAACAACCCACAGAATGGTAGAAAATGTTTGTAAACTACCCATCTGACGGGGGATTAATAACCAGAATATATAAGGAGCTCAAACATCTCTATAGGAAAAAATCTAATAATTCAATTTAAAAATTGGCAAAAGATTTGAGTAGACATTTCTCAAAAGAAGACATACAAATGGCAAACAGGCGTATGAAAAGGTGCTCAATATCATTGATCATCAGAGAAATACAAATCAGAACTACAATGAGATATTATCTCCCCCAGTTAAAATGGCTTAAATCCAAAAGACAGGCAATAACAAATTTTGGTGAGGATGTGGAGAAAAGGGAACCCTCATGCCCTGTTGGTAGGAATGTAAATTAGAACAACCACTATGGAGAACAGTTTGGAAGTTCCTCAAGATCCAGCAATCCCACTGCTAGATATATACCCAAAAGAAAGGACATTAGTGTATCAAAGAGATACCTGCACTCCCATGCTTGTTGGTATACCGTTCACAATAGCCAAGATTTGGAAGCAACCTAAGCATCCATCAATAGATGAATGAAGAAAGAAAATGTGGTACCTATACACAATGGAGTACTAGTAAGCCAAAAAAAAAAAAAAAAAAAAAAAGAATGCGATCCTGCCATTTGCAACAACATGGATGGAACTGGTGGTCATTATGTTAAGTGAAATAAGCCAGGCTTGGAAAGACAAGAGGATGGTTACCAAAGGCTGGGATAGGTGGTGGGGGGTTTAGAGGGTGCGGGCAAAGTGGGGATAGCTAATGGGTACAAAAAAAGTTAGAAAGAATGAATAGGAACTAGTATTTGATAGCATAACAGGGTGACTACAGTCAATAATAATTTAATTGAACATTTAAAAATAAGTAAAAGAATATAGGCCGGGTGCAGTGGCTCACGCTGTAATCCCAGCACTTTGGGAGGCCAAGGTGGGCGGATCACCTGAGGTCAGGAGTTCAAGACCACCCTGGCCAACATGGTGAAACCGGTCTCTACTAAAAATACAAAAATTAGCTGGGCATGGTGGCGGGCACCTGTAATCCCAGCTACTCGGGAGGCTGAGACAGGAGAATCACTTGAATCCCGGAGGCGGAGGTTGCAGTGAGCTGAGGTTGTCCCACTGCACTCCAGCCTGGGCATCAAAAAGTGAAACTCCGTCTCAAAAAGAAAAAAAAAAAAGAATATAATTGGATTGTTTGTAACACAAAAGATAAATGCTTGACGTGACGGATACCCCATTTATCCTGATGTGATCATTATGGATTGCATGCCTATATCAAAATATCTCATGTAACCCATAAGTATATACACTTACTATGTCCCGAAAAAAATAAAAAATAATTTAAAAAAAATCAAATGACAAACCAGAAAAGTCTTTGAATGAAGGTAAGTGGAATTATAATAGTTTTGATACCCATTCCAACAGTTTTCACATAGCAAGCACAAGTTGGGTAACTATATACAGGTAGCCCCTATCCCCAAGAAAATGCCATATAGTCAAAGTAAAGCGAAGTTTTGACAATTTTTTCATAACTATAGAATTTCAGACATCCATAGCAGTAAACACTCCAATGTGTCAGACAACAATTAAGCAAGTCATCAACAAGCAAAAGCTGCTATGTGCCTTCCACTGTGCTAAATGCTGTGGGTCATATGAAAGAGACAAGATATAATCTCTTATTGAGGAGACAGGCTCTGAATACATAAGACAAAGGAAACCATACAACAAAACAAAAAGGCTGAATGCTGTGGAGCAGACTAGAAGAGTCAAGATAAGTCCAAAAAGGCCAGAATAGTGGAGGGTTTCACAGAGAAGTCTGGATTTGAGCTGGATGGCACAGAGGAGGGCAGAATGCATCCTTGGAAGAAGAAACAATATGAGCAAGGGTAGAGACTGAGAATAAAGATGGCACATTGGGAAGAGTCCAGAAACTAGACTAAAAGGAGCAGAGGATTCTTGTCAGGGAAGAATGATAAGGAAGTTTGGGAGAGACAGTCTGCAAGTTGAAATAGAACTTCAGAGCTGTAAACCCTGAAAAACCACAGAAATGATTACTAGATGTTCTCACGCACACTGGTATAGAGAGGGCTGCATCACTAATGAGACCCTTCAGTCACTCTTTCACATGCGGAGGTCTCTGCCAATAGTGTCTCTTTGAATAATACAAAAGGAAGAGATGATGAGGAAGAAATTGGGTAAACATAAAAAGTAATGTTTTGGGGTGTAGTCTCTGTATTCTGAAAGCAAACCACTATTGCATGCTCCACCCATTGAGGTTGAAATTCTTTTCTTACAAAAAAAACTTAACCTTTGCCTGTGGAGAATAATAGCTATTTAATCTATCGTACAGTTAGTACACAATTAAGTGCCTACCTTTCTACCTTGCCAATATTTCAGTAAGCAATTCACATTATAACGCAGATCAGATTACTGTCTTTTGTGTTTTAAATGTTTATCTAAGAGTTGCAGAGATAACATCTACATTGAAAAGTGGCATTAAAAACCCAACAGACATTTCTGGTTTCCTGTCCAGTATGTAAGGAGCTTGAAAGTTGCCATTCCATCCTAACAATGAGTAAAAAACTGAACAAACTGAAAAATCAACAACTCTTCTTACATCTGTCGGGGAAGTAAGGTCACAGTGCAAACTGCTGCCCCCAGAATTGGAGAGACAGGCAGGGGAATCCAGAGAATCACAACTTACCCGAGCAGAAACATCCACAGGAACCAGCACAGGGTAGGAAAACCTAGAATGTAATTGATGAATTGCTGGAGGCTCAGTGTCGACAAGCCTGTGAGCTGAAAACTTCTTTGTTTTACCTCCTGGGAGTTCTACCAGGTTCTCACAGTAAAGATCAGACAAGAACTCCTTAGGGTTTCAAGTAGCAGAAGGAAAGTAATTATTTTGAAATATGCCAGAGCATTCTGTTCTTAACAAGGCCTGCCATCAAGATAATCTATTTTACTGGAACCTAACCTATTGGGGTTTCATCAGAGCCTAACTGACCTGGCTGAAGGGAAATGGCCAACTCCGGTCTGCTCTACCTTTCTGCCTGTAGGAAGGGAAATACCCAACTCCAGCTCCAGTCCCCTCCAGCCATTCTATCCCATCTAAGGTGGGGGGAAGGGAGGACACAGAGAGGCGCTTTTGAAGTTTACAGCCCAGGGGCACAGCATCACTAAAATAGTGAGACCTAATTATAAAATTATAGAATGCTTCCCCTCTCCCAAAACCTTAGCACCATGTCACTAAAGGCCTATTGAACAGTTTCTTTCACCCAGTACCTGTACATCATGACCAGCTTTCGACAAAAAATTGTAAGTCATACTAAAAAACAAAAAAAAAATGCACTTTGAAAGACAGAGCAAGCATTAGAACCAGACTCATACATGGAAGGGGAGTTGGAATTATCAGTTGGTAGACTGAAAGAAACTATGTATGATTAATGTGATAAGGGCTCTAATTTAAAAAGTAGATAATACACAAGAACAGCTGAGTAATGTAAGCAGAGATATGGAAATTCTAAGAAAGAATAAAAAAATGGTAAAGATCAAAACACTGTAACAAAAATGAAGAATATTTTTAATGGACACGTTCGTAGACTGCACACAGCTGAGAAAAGAGTCTCTGAGCTTGAGTATATGTCAATAGAAACTTTCAAAACTGAAAAGCAAAGAAAAAAAACACTGAGAAAAAGAAACAATGTCTAAGAACTATGAAACAAAGACATAACACATGCATAACAGAAATACAAGGAGACTTCAACAAGTTTGTGGAAAAAATAGAATTAAGAGATAAAAATAGGCAACATAGCAAGACTCATATCTACAAAAGAAATTCTTTTAAAAAGCCAGGGGTGAGGGTGCATGCCTACAGTAGTAATTACTCGGGAAGCTGAGGAAAGAGAACTTGCTTGAGCCCAAGGGTTTGAAGCTTAATTGAGCTTTGAAAGCACGACTGCACGCCAGCCTAGGCAACAGAGCAAGACCCTGTCTAAAACAATTTTTAAGATAAAAATAAAAATACATAAACTTTATTTCTCAATACAAGTTCCATCAATGTCAAGACACTTATATAAGCAATAATACCAGCTATCTAGTCTATCCCTGAGGGCCCTGGGAATTTAGTTATGTCAATGTAGTCTTTTTTATATAACTAACAGAAGAAAAAAATAGGTGCCATTTAAAGAATTTTTAAAATTAGGAAACAAAAAGAAGTCAGAAGGAGCCAAATCAGGGCTGTAAGGTGGATGCCTAATAATTTCCCATCAAAGCCCTCACAAAATTGCCCTTATTTGATGAGAGGAATGAGCAGGAGCATTGTTCTGGTGAAGAAAAACTTTCTGGTGAAGTTTTCCCAGGAGTTTTTCTGCCAAAGCTTAGGCTAACTTTCTTAAAACACTCTCATAATAAGTAGATGTTATTGTCTTTTGGCCCTCCAAAAAGTCAACAAGCAAAACGCTTTTACCATCTCCAAAACCCATTGCCATGACCTTTGCTCTTGACTAGTATGCTTTTGCTTTGACTGGACCACTTCCACTTCTTGGTAGACATTGCTATGATTGTGCTTTGTCTTCAGGATCATACTGGTAAAGCCATGTTTCATCTCCTGTTACAATTCTTCAAAGATATGCTTCAGGATCTTGATCCCACTTATTTAAAATTTCACAGCAAACTAACACAAGAACAGAAAACCAAACAACGCATGTTGTCACTCGTAAGTGGGAGTTGAACAATAAGAACACATGGACACAGGGAGGGGAACATCACACACCAGGGCCTGTTGGGGGCTGGGGGGCTAGGGGAGGGATAGCATTAGGAGAAATACCTAATGTAGGTGATGGGTTGATGGGTGCAGCAAACCACCATGACACGTGTATACCTATGTAACAAAACTGCATGTTCTGCACATGTACCCCAGAACTTAAAGTATAATTTAAAAAAATAACAAACAAACAGAAAAGTAAACAGAACCAGAGCCCAGGACCCTTCTAAATCAGGATACTTCGCAGCTATACAGATGGGACATTCATGCAGCCAGACTTACCCTTTCAAAGTATCTCCTCACAAAATATTTAGATGTGTGGGGAGCTGAAAAAAAAATTTTTTAAGAAGTGAACTCCCTACTAGCAAAGTTGCACATGACCCCCTAACCACACAAGACTCAGCAGTAAGAATTCAAAACCACCAAGTATGGTGCACTTGGACGCATACAAAACTAGTTGAAACACCTGATTCTAGTCCCAACCTTTACTGTTTCTAGTCCCAACCTAGTCCTCACTTTGCTATGAGACCATAGGCAATGCATTCTCCTCATTTGTAAAATGAAGGGATTAAAGTATATGATGAAAATGTCAAAAAAAATTTCAATTGAGCTTGAGAGGATGGATACTGCATTCTCTATGATGTGATTATTACTCATTGTATGCCTGTATCAAAATATCTCATGTACCCTATAAATATGTACACCTACTATGTACCTACAATAATTAAAAATAATTTTTAAGAAACATAATACAATCTCCATCGAAAGCTCTGCTCTTGTCTGAAGCTGATCTGGGTGCAATGGTTTCAACACTCGTCAAGTGGAAAGTTTGCTCACCTTTAATTTTTCAGTCAGAATTGTGTATGTTGAACCAACTGAGATGTCTATGGTGTTCGCTATTGTTTCTGCTGTTAATCGTTGGTCCTCTTCAATCAGGGCACGAAAAAGATGAATTTTTTCCTCACAAATCGATATGTATGATCTGCTGCTGCAGGATCATCTTCAATATAATCTTCTCCCTTTTTAAAATGAGTTATCCATTTGTTAACTGATGATTTCTTTGGGGCATTGTCCCTGTACACTTTTCATAAATCATCAATTATATCATCATTATTCCACCCAAGTTTCATCACAGATGTAATGTTGGTTCTTGCTTCAATTTTAGCAGAATTCATATTGTTCTGATAGAGACTGTTTTCAAACTGATGTCTTATTCTTCTTAGTTCTTCAAACTAGAACCTGTTCAGACATGTTAGAACAAGTTAGGGTGACTTTAGTTTGGTGCAAATAATTTTTAAGTCATGTATAGCTTTTTATAATATACACTTTCCATGAACTTTTAGAAGACCCTTTGTACAACAAGGAGAAGTAAAAGAGAAAGGAACAGAAAATATTTGAGGGAATAATGACTAAGAATTTTCCCAAATTAATGTCAAACTCCATCCCACAGACCCAGGAAGCTCAGAAACGTCAGGCAGGATAAATATTAAAAAAAAACTACATGTAGGCATATATTATCAGGAAATCAAAGATAAAGAAAAATGCTTAAAAGAAGACAGAGGGAAAAACATCTTACCTATAGAGGAGTGAAGATAAGAATGACATCTGATTTTCTTCTTTCTTTCTTTCTTTTTTTTTTTTTTGATGGAGTCTCACTCTGGTGCCCAGGCTGCAGTGCAGTGGCGCGATCTCAGCTCACTGCAACCTCTGCCTCCTGGGTTCAAGTGATTCTCCTGCCTCAGCCTCCTGAGTAGCTGGGACTACAGGCGCACACCACCACGCGCGGCTAATTTTTGTATTTTTTAGTAGAGATGGGGTTTCACGATATTGGCCAGGCTGGTCTCAAACTCCTGACCTCGTGATCTTCCTGCCTCAGCCTCCCAAAGTGCTTGGATTACAGGTGTGAGCCACTGCACCCGGCCTGATTTTCTAAGAAACTACACAAGCAAGAAGAGTGGAGTTAAATATTTAAAGTGTTGAGAGAAAAAAAAAAATAACCAAGCTAGAATTAAGTATCCTGTAAAAAGTTTCTTCAAAAGTGCAGGAGAAAATAATGACTTTTGCAGACAAGAAAACATTGACAAAATTTGTTGACAGTGATTTGTTTTGTAAAAAAAAAAAAAAAAAAAAAAGATTTAGGCTGGGAGTGGTGGCTCATGGCTGTAATCCCAGCTAATTGGGAGGCTGAGGCACGAGAATTGCTTGAACCCAGGAAGCGGAGGTTGCAGTGAGCCAAGCTCGCACCACCACACTCCAGCCTGGGTGACAGCACAATACTGTCTCAAAGAAAATAAATAAATAAATGAAGTTTTAAAGGTTCTTCAGAGGGAAGGAAAATTATATAGATCAGAAACTTGGATCTATATAAGGAAAGAGAAAGCATTAGAGATGAAATAAAAAAAAGGAAAGGAAAACTTTTATTTACTGATTTTTAATTGATTTAACAGGTAATAGTTGCTCAAAATAATAAGAGCAACAAGGGTTAGATTACATATGCACATTTATGTGTATATAGATATATAGTTACGTACACTTGTGTATTAGTGAAATAAATGATAGTAATAATGCAAGGGACAGGAGGGAAGAATTAGGGATAATTTGTTATAAAATACTTGCGCTACATGTGAATTAGTGAAATGTTATTTGAATGTGACTTGAATTTAATTGTAAAAGTATATTGCAAACTCTAAGGCAACCCCAAAAAAAAGCTTCGGAAAATATATAATTGATATGCTAAGAGAAGAAAGAAAATTGGATCATATAAAATACTCAATTAAAACCAAAAGTGGCAGGAAAAGGGTAGAGGACAAAAATAGGAACAAATAAAAAGGGCAACAAATAGAAAACAATAATATAAATATGGCAGATATTAATCCAGATGATTAATCAATGGTGATTTTAAATGTCAACGATCTAAGTATACCAATTGAATAACAGAGATTGTAAGAATGACTCAAAACAACAGGACCCAGTTAGATTATTTCTACAAGATGTCGGTTATAAATATAAAGACACACATAGATTCAAAGTGAAGGGATGGAGAAAGATATACCAAGCTAACACTAATCAAAAGTCTTGAGAAGCTATCTTAATTACAGACAGAGCAGACTACAGAGCAAGAAAAATTATCAGGGATACAAAGGGGCATTGCCTAATGATAAAGGGGTCAATCTTCAGGAAGAATAACAATCCTTAATAATCCTTAATGTGCATTTGTCTAATAACAGAGTATTAACATAAATGAGGCAAAAATTTATAGAACTACAAGGAGAAATAGATAAACCCACTATTATAGTTGGAAACTTCAACACCCCTCCATCAGAAATGGACACATACAGCAGGCAGAAAATCATTAAGGACATAGCTGAACTCAACAGCACCATCAATCAATTGGTTATAATTGACATCTATAAACGATTTCATCCAACAACAGCATAATACACATTCTTCTCAAGCTAAATTGAAACATACATCACATTCTGGCCATAAAACACACATTACATTTTTAAAAAAATAGAAATCATTCACCGTGTGCTCTCAGACCACAATGAAGTTAAACATCAATAACTGAAAGATAGCCTGAAAATTCAAAATATTTGGAGATCAAACAACACACTTCTAAATAACACATGGGCTAAAGAAGAAATCTCAAAAGAAACTTAATAATATTGTCAACTAAATGGAAATGAAAATACAACTATTAAAATGAGTACAATGCAGCAAAAGCAATGTACTTAGAGGGAAGTTTATTGCATTACATGTGTATATTAGAAGAGAAGAATAATCTAAAAGCAATTATCCAAGCTTGCACCTAAGGAAACTAGAAAACGAAGAGGAAATCAAATCCAAAGTACGTAGAATAAAATAAATAATGAAAGTTAGATCAGAAATCAGTAACATTGAAAACAGGAAATTAATAAAGAAAACCAACAAAACCAAAGATCTGGCTCATTGAAAAGACCAATAAAATTAATAAATGTCCTGCCAGGTAAACTAAGGAAAAAAACATGACACAAATTACTAAGATCAGAAATGAAAGAGGAACCATCACTAAAGGTCCCATGGACATTAAAATGATAATAAAGGAGGTTGAGTATTGTGGCTCATACCTGCAATCACAGCATTTGGGAGGCCAAGGCAGGAGAATCACTCGAAGCCAGGAGTTTGAGATCAGCCTGGGCAATAGAGAGAGACCTTGTTTCTACAAAAAAGAAAGAAAGAAAGAGAGAGAGAGAGAGAGAGAGAAAGAAAGAGAAAGAAAGAAAGAGAAAGAAAGAAAGAAAGAGAAAGAAAGAAAGAAAGAAAGAAAGAGAAAGAAAGAAAAAGAAAAAGAAAAGAAGGAAAGAAGGAAAGAAAGGAAGGAAGGAAGGAATGAAGGAAGGGAGGGAGGGAGGAAGGAAGGAAGGAAGGAAGGAAGGAAGGAAGGAAGGGAGGAAGGAAGGAAGGGAGGAAGGAGGAAGGAAGGAAGGAAAGAAAGAAGAAAGAGAAAGAAAGAAAGAAGCCAGGTGTGGTGGCATGCATCTGTAGTCCTAGCTACCTAGGAGGCTAAGACAGGAGGATCACTTGAGCCCAGGATTTCAAGGCTGCTATGGTCACACCACTGCCCTCTGGCCTGAATGACAGACAGAGTAAGAAGCTGTCTCAAAAAAAAAAAGATAATAAAGAAATACTATGAAAAAAAAATTTGATAACCTTGATGAAATAGAGCAATTCCTTGAAAGATACAATCTGCTGAAACTCACACAAGAAGAAATAGATAATCTAAATAAGAATAGAGACTTTCTTAATATATTAAATAAATTGAATCAATAATTAATAACCTTCCACAACAGAAAGCACCAAGCACAGATGGTAAATTCTATCAAGGTGAATTCTACCAAACATTTAAGAAAGAAATTATACAAATTATCTACAATGTCTTTCAGAATATACAAGCAGAAGGAATACTTCCTAACTCGTTCCTAACTCGGCCAGCTCTTCCCTAATACCAGAATCAGACAAAGCCATTAAAAAAAATAAAACTACAAACCAACAACTCTCATGAACATAGATGCAAAAATCCTCAACAAAATTTTACCAAATCAAATCCAACAAAGAATTTTTGAAAAACCATGCACCACAAACAAGTGGGATATACCGGGTGTACAGGATGGTTCAACATTTGAAAAATCAATTAATGTAATCCATTACATCAACAAGCAAAAAAGAAAAATCTCATAATTATATCAACAAATGGAGAGAAAGCAATTAATAAAATCCAACACCCATTCATGATTTTAAAAAAAAAACTCCCAGCAGAATAGGAATAGAGGAAAACTTCCTCAGCTTGATAAAGGACATCTACAAAAACCTACAGCTTACAAAAAATCTACAACTAACATCATAGTTTATGGTGAGAAACTAGAAGCTTGTTTGCAAAGATATGGAACAAAGACATCTTTTCTCACCACTTATTTCTAACATTGTATCAGAAGTCCTAGCTAATGCAATAAAACAAGAAAAAGAAATAAAAGATACATAAGTTGGAAAGGAAGAAATAAAACTTTGTTTGCAGATGACATGATCATCTATGTAGAAAATCCTTAAGAAACTACAAAAACAAAACAAAGTCCTGGAACTAATAAACAATTATAGCAAGGTTGTAGGATATGAGGTTAATGTACAAGAGTCAATCACTTTCCCATACACCAGCAATAAACAAGTGGAGCTTGAAATAAAAACACAATACCATTTACATTAGCATTTTCAAAAATGAAATATGCAGGTATAAATCTTGTGAAATATGTACAAGATTTATATGAGGAAAGCTATTGAACTCTGATGAAGCTGGGAGCGGTGGCTCACACCTGTAATCCCAGCACTTTGGGAGGCCGAGGCAGGTGGATCATGAGGTTAGGAGTTCCAGACCAGTCCGGCCAAGATGGTGAAACCCTGTCTCTACCAAAAATACAAAAAAATTAGCTGGGTGTGGCGGCAGGTGCTTGTAATCCCAACTACTCAGGAGGCTGGGGCAGGGAATTGCTTGAACTCGGGAGGCGGAGGCTGTAGTGAGCTGAGATTGCGCCACTGCACTCCAGCCTGGGCGACAGAGCGAGACTCCATTAAAAAAAAAAAGAAATTCTGATGGAGGAAATTCAGAGAACTAAATAAGAGGGATATTCCATGTTCAATATTGTCAAGATATCAGTTCTTCCCAACAACTTAATAAATAGATTCGATGCAATCCCAATCAAAATCCCAGAGAGTTATGTTGCGGATATCAGCAAATTGATTCTAAAGTTTATAAAGAGAGACAAAAGTCCCAGAATAGCCAACATAATATTGGAGAAGAGCAAAGTTGGAGTACTGACACTACCCAACTTTAAGACTTACTATAAAGCTATGGTAATTAAGATGATATGGTTGGCCGGGCATGGTGGCTCAGGCCTGTAATCCCAGCACTTTGGGAGGCTGAGGTGGGAGGATCATGAGGTCAGGAGATCGAGACTATCCTGGTTATCATGGTGAAACCCCGTCTCTACTAAAAATACAAAAAATTAGCCAGGCGTGGTGGCGGGTGCCTGTAGTCCCAACTACTCGGGAGGCTGAGGCAGGAGAATGGCATGAACCCAGGAAGCGGAGGTTGCAGTGAGCAGAGATCACGCCACTGCACTCCAGCCTGGGCGACAGAGAGAGACTCCATCTCAAAAAAAAAAAAAAAGATGGTATGGCATTGGTAAAAGAAAGACAAATAGATTAATTGAATAGAATAGACTAAAGAGCATAGAAATAGATTCACATAAACATAGTCAACTGATCTTTCACAAAGGAGCAAGGACAATACAATTGAGCAAAGAAAGTATTTTCAACAAACGGTGCTGCAGCTGGGCATGGTGGCTCACATCTGTAATCCCAGCACTATGGCAGGGAGGATTGCTTGAGCCCAGGAGTTTGAGATGAGTCTGGGCAATAGAGCACGACCCCATCTTTAAAAACAAAAACAAGAAAAAAAATGGTACTTGAACAACTGAACATCCACATGCAAAAAACAGAATCTAGACACGACTTACACTTTTCACAAAGATTAGCACAAAATGAATCATAGAGCTAAATGTTAGATGCAAAAGTGTAAAACTCCTAGAAGGTAACATAGGAGAAAATCAAGATGACCTTGGGTATGGTGATGACTTTTTAGATATAACACCAAAGGCACAGTCCACAAAAGAAATAATTGATAGATGGGATTTCATTAAAATAAAAAACACACGCTCCTCAAAAGATACTGTTAAGAGAATGACAAGACACAACACAGGCTAGGAGAAAATATTTGGAAAAAACATATCTGATTTAAAAATTGTTATCCAAAATTTGCAAATAACTGTCAAAACAGAACAATAAGAAAACAAACAATTCAATTGAAAAATGGGCAAAAGACCTGAACAGACACCTAGTCAAAGAAGATATACAGATGGCAAATAAGCGTGTGAAAAGATGTTCCACATCTTATATCATTAGGGAAATACAAATTAAAACAATAATGAGATACCACTACACTCCTATTGGAATCCCCAGAATCCAGAACACTGACAACATTAAATGCTGGTGAGGATGTGGAGCAACAGGAACTCTCAATCATTGCTGATGGAAATGCAAATTTGTACAGCCATTTTGGAAGACAATCTGGTGATTTCTTACAAAACTAAACATATTCTTACCATAAAATCCAGCACTTGTGCTCTTTGACTTTTACCCAAATGATCGAAAACTTCTCTCCACATAAAACCTGCACATGGATGTTTATAGCAGCTTTATTCACAATTGCTAAAACTTGAAAGCAACCAAGATGTCCTTCAGTAGGTGAATGGATAAATGAATTGTGGCAAATCTAGACAATGAAATGTTATTTGACTCTAAAAACTAATGAGCTATCAAGCCATGAAAAGGCATGGAGGAAACTTAAATGCATATTGCTAAGTGAAAGAAGCCAATCTGAAAAGGTTACATTCTGTGTGATTTCAACTATATGACATTTTGGAAAACAAAAAAATATATATGGACATGGTAAAAAGACCAATAGTTGCCAGGGGATAGTGAGGAGGAAGGAAAGAATAGGCAGAGCAGAGAGAATTTTTAGGCAGTGAGGCTATTCTGTATGCTATGCTAATGGTGGGTACATGTCATTATACCTTTGTCCAAACTCACAGAATGTACAAAACCAACAGTGAACCTTAATGTAAACTACGGACCTTGGGTGATAATGATGTGTCAGCATAGCTTTATCAATTGTAACGAATGTACCACTCTGGCTCATGATGTTGATAGTGGGAGGCTGGGGTTGGGGGTGGTCAGGGGGTATATGGAAACTCTCTGTACTTTCCTGCTTAATTTTTCTGAGAACCTAAAATTGCCCTAAACAATAAAATCTATTTAAAATAGAAAAAAATAATGCCAGATGTGGTGGCTCATGCCTGTAATCTCTGCACTTTGGGAGGCTGAAGTAGGAGAATTGCTTGAGCCCAGGAGTTTAAGCCTAGCCCAGACAACATAATGAGACCCCATCTCCACAAAAAAATATTAGCCAGGTGTGGTGGCATGCGCCTGTGGTCCCAGATACTCGGGAGGCTGAGATGGGAGGATTGCTCGAGCCTGGGAGGTCCAGGCTGCATTGAGCCATGATTGAGCCACTGCACTCCAGCCTGGGAGACAGAACAAAACTCCCAAAAAGAAAAAAACCAAAATGGAAAAACAAAACACAATGGAAAAATGTTAAAATTTATATTATTCTAGTGGCACTATAAGGTGACATTCGTTTCAGAGATTCACATCAGAAATTCCAGTTGCAAAACTCTATTTATTCTTCTCTTTAAACTGGTATTTAAATTTATGGGAGCCATGACTACATCTATTTTTCTATCATCGTAGAACATACTGTTATAAAATGTACGCAACTATTTGAACTTGGGCATGGATATGGAATCCAGTCAGTGGTTTAAAGAAGGTGAGAAAATAGCTGGGTGCGATGGCTCACGCCTGTAATCCCAGCACTTTGGGAGGCCCAGGTGGGAGGATCACTTGAGGTCAGGAGTTCGAGACCAGCTTGGCCAACATGGCAAAAACCCATCTCTACTAAAAATACAAAAAATTAGCTAGTTGTGGTGGCGGGCACCTGTAATCCCAGCAACTTGGGAGGCTGAGGCAGGAGAATCACTTGAACCCAGGAGGTGGAGTTGCAGTGAGCCGAGATCACACCACTGCTCTCCAGCCTGCATGACAGAGTGAGACTCTGTCAAAAAAAAAAAAAGGAAGGAAGGAAGGAAGGAGGGAAGGAAGGAAGAAAGGAAAGAAGGAAGGAAAGAAAAAGAAGTTGAGAAAACTGAAAATGTTTACTACTTTGCTCCCAGAGAAAAAAATTACTGACCTAATGTCCTTAAACATATTCAGTCATTCATGCAACGCATATCTGTTAAAGAGTGTACTATGTGCAGGCTGGGCGAGGTGGCTCACACCTGTAATTCCAGCAGTTTGGGAGGCCAAGGTGGGTAGGTAACCTGAGCTCAGGAGTTTGAGACCAGCCTGGCCAACATGGCAAAACCCCGTCTCTACTAAAAATACAAACATTAGCCAGGTAAGGTGGCAGGTGCCTGTAATCCCAGCTACTCGGGAGGCTGAGGCAGGAGAATTGCTTAAACCCAGGAGGTGGAGGTTGCAGTGAGCCAAGATTGTGCCACTGCACTCAAGACTGGGCGACAGAGTGAGACTCCATCTCAAAAAAAAAGAGTGTACTATGTGCTGAGCACTGTGGTAAGCACTAGGAATACCATGGTGAGTTCTTGCTCTCAAGGAACTCGCAATTTAGTGACAGATGATAATCAAATAATCAGGAACTGGGATGCTAGTCTCTGAGGTCAGCTGCTCCTTGGCATACCCTTGGAAGGTCAGCCCTTCTGAAGGAAGGTGGACTGTCCGAAGTCAAGAAGCCCTCAGTGGTAGGCAGGCTGGAGGGGCAGCAAGGAGTCCTCATAACAGAGGAACCCCATTGCTCTGTTCTTTAGATGTTTCCAGAGAGTAAGCCCAAAGCTACGTAGAAAGAACGGCTTCAAGCTGAGCATTGTGGTTCATGCCTGTAATTCCAGTGATTTGGGAGGCTAAGGCGGGAGGATCATTTGAGGCCCGGAGTTTGAGACCTGCCTGAGCAACATAAGGAGACCTCTACAAAAAAAAAAAAAAAGGGCGGGGTGTGGTGGTGTGCACCTATGGTTCCAGCTACTCAGGAGGCTGAGGTAGGAGGATCACTTGAGCCCAGGAGTAAGAGGCTGCAGTGAGCCATGTCTCAGTGAGCCATGCTTGCACCACTGCATTCCAGTGTGAGCAACAGAGCAAGACCCTGACTATATAAAATAGGAGGTAGGGGTGGGGGTGGGAGGTGGTTGCTAAGGAATCAGTGTTGTGGCCCCTGACAAGGAAGAGGGCTAGGGCACTTTCCATGCAGGCTGCCACTCCCTGGTGTTGATCAATAAATATTTTTTTCATGAAAAAACATAATCAAGTAATCACACTCAAAAATGTAAAAAGCAACTGTGACAAGTGCTCCAAGGGCATAGCACACAGTGCTATGATACTTTATAACAGCTGGATTGACCTAGTGAGGGGGACCAAAGAAGGCTACCCTGAAGAGATTGCTCAAAATGTGATCTGAAGCATGAATAAATGTTAGGTGAGAAAAAAAGGAGAAAGGGTTCCATCTGAAAATAAAGAAAACTCAAAATATGCAAAGTCCCCATATCAGGAGGAAGCATGGTGACATGAATAACTTAGAGATAAATGTAGCTGTGGTGTGGACAGTAATGGGGTTTCGGGTGACGTTGGAAACTAAACATGTGCCAGATCACACAGGGCCTTGTAGGCCACATTAAGGAGTTTTGTGTTTTACTGTAAGGGTGGTGGGAAGCCATAAAGGTTTTAAGTATGAGGATGATAAAACATTCCTTACAAAAAGACCATTCTAACTATAATCAGAATAGATTGGAGGGGAGCCAGAGTAGATATGTGTAGATATTAGGAAATGCTGCAGTACTCCAGGTGAGAGGTGATGGTACAATAGTGATAATGGAGACAGAAAGAAGTGGATAGATTCTGAATTTTGTTAGAAAGTAGAATAAGCAGAATTTGGCAAAACACAAGTGTCAAGTTGAGGGGAGGGACAGGAGGTATCAAAAGACTCCTAAGCGCAACGAGATAGAATGGTAGGGTAAGCCACTAAGATAAGGAAGGCTGGAAGAGTACCAGGTTTGGGGAGTGAGATCAGTTTGAGGGGGCTTTAAGACATCCTACAGGAGAGATCAAGTAGGCGGTTGGATATACAGTCCTAAAGGTCAGAGGAGCAGTCCGAGATGGAAATATAGATTGGGCTCATCTGTATGTCAGTGGTAGTTATGCTGTGGTTATGGGTGAGCTTGCCAGGGAGACAGTATAGAGTGAGATGGGAGAGAACTGAGGACTGGGCCTTAGGAAAAGCCACCATTTGTCATGGGAAAGAAGTTGCAACAATACATGGGTTATTTCTCTACTTCTGGAATTCAGAAACCCTGAATTTTTCTTTTGTTTTTTGGCTTGGCCACTCAATTATTTGGCACCATCCCCAAAAACAACTCTCCTCTGTTTAAATCAGCATTCCAGTTGTGGAAGGGAACTGTGTCATTTTTGAGGAGTACTTTAGCTTTTTACCAAATATCATTAGGAAGATGATCATAAATACACTGTAAATTGAGCATACGGCAACAAAGGTTTAACTTGTTAGAATATTGAGCAAAACAAGTAGGACTCACCGTGACTGCTGTACCCTTCTAGAGTGGTGGGAAGAGGGATGGCCCCTCGACTATTATGGTCTTCAAGATGGTTGTGGTCCTACATGCTTAGCTATTCTCTAAGAATACAGCTATGCTTTCTAAGTATAAAGGCTGTTCTGGAAGAAAGAGCGAGAAAGGAAAAGAAAAAAGCAAGGGCTTCCCCTCCACCTTTGTTCGCTTCATTCTGTAGTGCATACTTTTATGCCCTTGGGAAGTGGAAGGGAGGAATGAGCTAATAATTTGGTTGATTCAACCTTCTGACCTCTGAGTCAAAAAATTACCCAATAGTCCTTTTAGCAGGCGATGAGGGGGTAATGCATTCAGAGTCAGGAGTCTGTGCCTCTGATAATGATTCATATGCTGAGTGACCTTCGGGTAAGCCATGCAAACTCCCTCCGTTTCAATATCAGTAATACCAACTGTCCCCCCTATCTCTTGGGGTTGTTATGAGAGTGTGATGAGATCACAGATCTGAAAGCATTTTTTAAATGTCAGACATTATCATACCAAAAAGGAAGCCGTCCACCAAGAGCTGGTCTGTCTTGATATAACTTTGTTACACAATTGATGTATTAATTCCTGTTCTATTTTTCTAGCTAGCTGCTTCTACCACTACAAAGTTAGTATCAAAATGTCTAAATAAGCAGTTGTATTAATCAATGTTCCAGTTTACAAATGGAAACTCTGCAACAAAAAATGTAAAAACCTAGATTACTTTTTATCATAATGTGAATTCAAAGGTCTTGACTTAGCCCACTGGGCCCTACGTTATCTAGTTCCCAACTATGTTTTTGACCTCATCCTTGACTTTCCCTCACTCTGCTTTAGCCTTTTTGGACTTCTCGCTGTTCCTTGAATAACCCAAGCACTGTCTTATACAAAGGCCTTTGTATTGCTGCTATTCACTCAGAATGCGATCAATCCCTCCTGACATCCTTCATTTCATTTGAGTCTCAACGGCCTAAGATATGATGCAGAGGCCTTCTCTAACTACCCTATTTAACTACCCTAAATACTCCTATCTAAAGTAGCACATACCCCTATCACTTGCCACCCATGTGTCTGTTTCCCTCCTCTTAGGTTTGCTTTATTATTTTGCATAGCACTAATCACCACTTGACACCCAATATTTGTTTTTCAGTTTTCCTCCCAATAAGAGTGTAAGTTTTATAAGAACAGGATATTTTTGTTTGGTTTGTTCCTCTGCTGTATACTTAGCACTTATAATATAGGCTGGCACATAGTAGGCATATGATAAATAGCTGTTGAATAAAAGAACAAAGGAACATAAGTATACTACTGAACTAGCCAGAGCTCATAAGAAAAATGAAAAAAAATAGAAAGAAAAAAATAGAGCTAAGCAATTGTTGTGGGTGTAGTTGTGATAGAACTGTTCTGATGAAGTCTGTTAAATCACATCAGAAAACTGAATAAAATAGGTCAGATTTTGCAGTCACATTTCATTTCATGAAATGTATTATTCTTTTTAAACTCTATGGAGTATAACTTATTGATTTATTTTTATAGTTAATTAATTACTGCCTGCTTCTATCTTCTTTTGTTTACAAGGAATAAATAGTTAAAATATTCAGATATTTCTACTACTTCTTCCAGGCTCAGAGGGAGCCAGATCCCTAAGTACTATAACCAATACCTGGAACTATGTCCTCATTCATTGGCAATGACCTAGGATGAGACAAAACTCCTAGTAGAGATGTCTTTGTCTTCATCCTCTTCCTCCTTGACATCATCACACTTTTAACAACAAAAAAGACATTTGTTGATTGATTTTTTGTGTGTGTATCTGGCACTCTGGCAAGCATTGAGATTTTAATAACCTTTCTATATCTTACCCCCAACCGCAAAACTTTAAGTGGTCTCACTTGGAAACAATGGCACATAAACTGTCTTTGTATTTAGAAATCAGAAATAAGATGGCACTTTTGAAGTAAAGGCTTCATGCAAACAGGATAGTGGAATGGTTAAGAGCATAGGTCTTGTCTGGAGTCAGAGGTCAGAGCGCTCAAATCAAATTCCTGCTCAGGAACTTCCACAAGCTGTGTGACACTGGCATGCTGTACAACCTCTCTGTTCCTTACTGTCTTCATGTGTAAAGCAATAATAATAAATGTATACCACAGAGGAGTTTTGAGGAATAAACGAGGTAATTCATGTAAGGTGCTTAGAACTGAACCTGGTAAATTGAAAATGCTCAATAAGTATTAGCTATTATTGCACAAGGGACTCAAAGTTTGCAGAGTCTAAAAAAGGCAACTCTGGCTGCAAATCAAAGAACATCTTCTTATGTGAAAAAGGTGGAAAGACTAACAGTTACTCAATATCATTTGTGTCAAGCCCTCATACACAGTGATCATTTTAAGTTTATAACTAGGAAGTCCAGAAACATACTGGAAACACAGATACAAGGCTTTCAAAAAACCCATACATTTTCGTAAATCAGGAGTTGGCAAACTTTTTCTATAAAAGACCCTATGGGAGATATTTTAGACTTTACAGACCAGACAATGTCTGTTGTGACTACTCAACTCTGCTGCCATGGGGCGAAAACACTCATCAGCAATGTGTAAATGAATGGGCATAGCTAATAAAACTTTATTTACAAAAACAGGCAGTGGGCTGGCCCGTGGGTCATTATTTGCCCACCTCTGCTCCAAATAATGATCCTAGTCTATCAGGGTTCTAAAGGCCACTTACGCTGAGTAACCACAGAAAGCAAATACATTAGGGAGGAGAATATAAGGAATGAGGACAATTCAATAAATGTAAGAATAAACAATGGGTCATTTAATACCTTTCCTCTCCTATCCCAAATAGTAGTAGATGCCTTAGATGACAAGGGAACGGTGAACTTCGTTTATTCTCTCCTTCATTTAACACATAATTGTGAAGCACTTATGCCCCAGGCATTGTGCTGTGATCTATGATGCAGAGTGAAAACAGATCTAGTCCCTGCCTTCACGTAACTTACAATCTAATCAGATAGGGATACGGATAAACATCAGCCAAATAATCACACGAACAAACTTAAACCTGTACCTATGCTAGATCCTACGAAAGCTTATAAGAGGAGGATGGCTCTAGTTATGGAGCTCATGGTTGTCTTCCCTGAGAAACGTGAACCTAAAACTTGACCTGAGATCTGACAAGTGAGTTGCTTTATTAGGCAATAGAATAACTATTCGGAGCAAAGGGAACAGCATACGTTCTTTTAGAATAGAAAGGATGGTGCATGCAAGGGATGAAAATAAGATCACTATGATTGGAGTCCAGAGATCCAGACAGAGCATGGTGAGATGGAGCTGGAAAGATAGGCACAGGTCAGACTATAAAGGACCATGGCAGCAATCAATGCTTTATTTATTCAGCAAATATTTACTGAACACTACTCTACATCAGGCTCTGTGGATACTGTGGTGAATGAGAAAAGCAGACATTAAACAAATAAACACTCAAATCTTTAATTACGAAGTTCTGCCTTTAGAAGTTCTATGTCCTGGCTGGGCGCAGTGGCTCATGCCTGTAATCCCAACACTTTGGGAGGCTGAGGCAGGCAGATCACGAGGTCAGGAGATCGAGACCATCCTTGCTAACAAGGTGAAACCATGTCTCTATTAAAAATACAAAAAATTAGCCAGGTGTGGTGGCAGGCGCCTGTAGTCCCAGCTACTCGGGAGTCTGAGGCAGGAGAATCACTTGAACCCGGGAGGCAGAGGTTGCAGTGAGCCGAGATCGCACCACTGCACACCAGCCGGGTGACAGAGCAAGACTCCATTAAAAAAAAAAAAAAAAAGTTTTATGTCCCAAAACTCTGTCCAGTGGCTTGATTTGTTTTTTAAAAAATTACCTGGCCTGTTTCCACAATGCAGTCCCAATTTAACAAGGTGCCCACGTTAGAACCACATTCAGGCCAGGCACAGTGGCTCATGCCTGTAATCCCAGCACTTTGGGAGGCCGAGGCGGGTGGATCACTTGAGGTCAGGAGTTCGATACCAGCCTGGCCAACATGGTGAAACCCCATCTCTATTAATAATACAAAAATTATCCAGGTGTGGTGGCGCACACCTGTAATCCCAGCTACTGGGGGTGCTGAGGCAGAAGAATCACTTGAACCCGGGAGGTGGAGGTTGCAGTGAGCTGAGATCACACCCTTCCACTCCAACCTGGGCGACAACAGTGAAACTCTGTCTCAAAAACAAACAAACAAACAAAAACAAAACAACAACAACAAAACTACATTCAAATGTATTACTCTATCAATATCATTTTGGCAATCATGAGTGGATTTGATATAAGATCCCCAGTACTCAGCCTGTGAAACACCATGCCAAATTATTATTATTATTATTATTATTGAGACTGGATGTTGCTGTGTCACCCAGGCCGGAGGGCAATGGCACAATCACAGCTCATTGCAGCCTCAGTGAACCTCACTTGAGGGATCAAGTGATTCTCCCACCTCAGTCTCACAAGTAGCTGGGACTACAGGTATGTGCCACCATGCCTGGCTAATTTTTTTCTATTTTTGGTAGAGACAGTGTCTCACTTTGTTGCCCAGGCTGGTCTCGAACTCCTAGGCTCAAACAATGCTGCTGCCTTGGCTTCCCAAAGTGCTGGGATTACAGGTGTGGGCCACCACGTTCAACACAACTCCAGATTAATAATGAGCACTGATAGTTTCTTTTTTGGGATGCGGGCTTCCAGACAGATGTGGCCTTTCATGCTGTCCATAGTGACAAGTCTTTATAACTTGCTATTGAGGATGGTATCATGGACAGGACTGTGACAATAAACCAGATCTGAGTATCTGACATACTAATTCAATTGTTTAAATCTGAGGTGTTTTCTTTTATTTTGCTATCTGCTTTTTAAACATATTTATTCCTGTGGTGAAGTGTGTAGATATAGTCTAGCTTATATTATAAACTCTTAAAAGGGGCAGAAAACTCTTCTGGGGAATTGCAAGATTAACAAATGCTTTTCCATGTTGATTATGAAAATCTAACAAGACTTTTAAACAGTTTCAAAGTGATTTCATTACAATGATACTATTTCACTCTTAACTCCATGGTCTATTTTTTCTTTCAAAGAAGAAAATTAAAATGTCATAGGATGGGCCGGGTGCAGTGGCTCACGCCTGTAATCCCAGCACTTTGGTAGGCCAAGGCAGGCGGATCGCCTGAGGTCAGGAGTTTGAAACAAGCCTGGCCAACATGGTGAAACCCCGTCTCTACTAAAAATACAAAAATTAGCTGGGCGTGGTGGCAGGCGCCTGTAATCCCAGCTACTCGGGAGGTTGAGGCGAGACAGTCGCTCGAATCTGGGAGGCGGAGGTTGCAGTGAGCCGAGATCGTGCCATTGAACTCCAGCCTAGGCAACAAAAGTGAAACTCCATCTAAAAAAAAAAAAAAAAAGGCCATAGGATGATTTGCTTTATGTGAACCTGGGCTGATTGCTATCCAGTACTTGATGCTAGTCTCTATGGGTAAATGAATTACATGATGATCTCCACTGCGGCAGTTCTGGTTCTCGACATGTTGTCCACAAATGCCTGGGGGTTCCTATGACCCTTTTAGGGAGCTGAAGAGATCGAACTTATTTTCAAAATAATGCTAAAATATTATTTGCCTTTTCCAGAGTGTTGGTAATTGTAATGATGGTGAAAAAGCAATGGTGGGTAAAACTGCTGGTGCTGTAGCATGGATTAAGGCAGGGGTACCAAACTATACTACTGGTTATTGTGTGCTTTATTACCACATATTGGCAGAAAAAGAAATGCCATCTCACTTAAGAATGTCCTTGATTAAGCAGAAGAAGTTATAATTATTATTCATTAAAATGCTATTTAACACACAATGGGTTGTTTTTTATTTTTAAATAATCTACCAAATATTTTTAAATGTCTTAGTTTTAATTTCTAACTTGATAAGTATAGATAGTTATAGCACATAAACAAAATATCTTTTGGGTCCCTAATAATGTTTAAGGGTACTAAGGACTCCTTAGACCAAAATGTTTGAGAACTACTGCTCTCTTAGTTTTCCAAACATCACTCTTTTCAATTATGGGTTGTATGCAGACTTTTCACTTCACTAGGTCTAGCTATTCTTCATGACTTCTCAAAAATAGTGACTAAGACCTCTAAAACAAACTTCTAAAACTCCTTAAATGCTATCCTTTGTGTTCGACCAGTTTGTTTCACCTCATGCTCTCTTAGCATGGTGTTTTAGAAAGAGCCACCCAGACTTTCCAGAATTTGGGTGTAGTGGGCTGCAATACTTGGTGTTTTTGTCTACCTCACACACATTCTTCTTTGTCCAGTAACATCATCCCTTTCCCTTTGAAGAACTCTTTCCCCATTCGTTGTCTTCCAGGTGAAGCTGGCAATCATGGTGCACTCGCCCTTACCCGACTACAAGGGTGGGCACATGATTCAGGCCTGTTCCAACCATAGTGAGGCAGGAAAATAGGGTCTGGAGGCAGGGAACATAAGGCCAATTCACACTTCAGCTATGACAGGAAATATCCTCTCCATAGGGTGTAGGCCAAGTTAACTTTGTAACTTTACTTCATCCTCTTCATTTACATAGGACATACCCCAAGTAACCAATGGAATCCTGGAGAGGGTATTTAAACTCTTACAAATTCTGCAACAGGGCCCTTGAGCCCCTATGCTTAGGCTAGCTCCCGCACTGTGGAGTGTACTTTCATTTTCAATAAATCCCTTCATTCCTTCCTTGTTTTTTTGTGTGTTTTGTCCAATTTTTTGTTCAAGACACCAAGAACCTGGACACCCTCCACTGGTGACAGTAGCACTGCACCTCTTGGGAAACAGTGATTGGTCCAAGAGAGAGATTTCATGATCTAAGCTAAGTGAATTTGAGTCTTACCCAAAAGTGTCTGAAGTAAAGGTAGCCCTCACTTTGATCATGAATCGTAAGGGTACATGAGTAGGCTACCACCCACCATCTTTCTCACCATATATAGGGAGACTGTCTACAGAGTGAATCCAAGCAGAGACAAGAAAAAATAAAGATGAGTAGAGAGAATGTTCTGGCAATTTTGAATCCTTATTAAAATCTCTGAACCCCAGGTTTCTGGCAACACTTTCTCCATTCAGTTCTGCCAGGTACCATGTAGTCATGTGAAAAAATTCCCTTTTGTACTAAAGTCACCCTTCTAGTTGAAAGAGTTTGGCATACTACATTTGAGGAACTTATTTAATCTTCTGACTTTAGTTTCCTTGTGAGAATATCATCAACTCCCTCACCACACAGGTTGAGGGGATTTAATAATACAATATTTAAACACAATGAAAACTATAAATCATTATATGAGTGTTGCATACAATAAATATTTTCTCTCTACATCCAAGTAGTATGGTGGTTAGCCTCTGTTTTCCAGCAATCATTTTTAGATCACTAAATATACTCATCCCAAATCCTTGGGCCCAAGAATAGCTTAAAAAATCATTAAATTTCCTCTGGAAGTCAAGTTAGATTTAGGAACACTTTCTACCATAGTTACCCTATCTGGAGGGCTCACCCTGCACCTAGGCAGTTTGGTTTGGATTAATTCTCAGAGAACTTCAGAATATCCAGACCCAAAAGAGAAGTGGCAGGCTGGGGGCAGGGTGGGGGCGGCGGGGGGGATGGAGGGAGAGAGAGAGAAGAGTATTAAAACCATTGACTCTTCCTTACTAAGAAGGTTCAAACAACCAAAAATAAATAAGACTAGAAAGACTTCAGGGGATTGTCACATGTTAACCAAAAGGATTCCTACACAAATAAATGCCACTTACTACAAAGCATAAATAAATGAACCCCATCTCCCCCGCAAAAAACCTAAGTTGTGGGAGAAACAAAGCCAGGTGCATCACTGTGGCATATGGAATTTGGGGTGTAGATGGGGACTAAATGCCATGGGAGCATTAGTGATTTTGACAGTGCACTCAGCAGCTCTAGGTTTCAAAGGTATTTTAGCCAAGTATTTTCTCACTGCGGCCTAAGCCATCCAAGGACACTGCTGAATCCAAGAATGAGAACCAAGATTTTCTCATTCGCTAGTGGCTTGCTACGCTGTGCCGTTTTAGAAAATGACACAAGGAAATGTGATGCCTCCTGGGGAACATTCTTTGGTTCTGCCTTATCAGTAGACTGACTTCCTCCTCAAGCGAATCTTCTAACATTTCTCATTGTCTCTGTAACTACATTTGATTATGTGACTACAGAGAGCACAATTTCCCAGGTGAGGCTTCCCACCAACAAGTGGATCATTTCGACGTGAATGAATGATAAACCACACAGCAAGAGGGCGAGAGCAGCAGCAGAGTCATTGAATTTCAATTGTTAAAATAGCAATCCTCCCTACCCATTTCAAAAAAATCCAAGGACAGTGAGACAGGCATTTGCAGTTTATATTCCAGGTAAATATGCATCATTTTTACTCATTAGATGAGGAACAAAATAGCTTTTAACTTTGAACAAGGACTTGAGAATTAACATTCTTTGTTTCATTTTCAATTCTGCCAAGGACCTGCCAGATGGCCATGTTTCTGGAGGTGGAAGGATGTCTTACTCATCACTCAGCTTACTTTTTAATATAACAATCTAACAAACCTCCATCCGTTCTAGTAGCCTTTATGGCCTCTTCCCTGCCCCGCACACACCCACCATTGGTGAGAAATCATGGGGCCTCATAATTGTTAAATTCAGAGATGAACATAATATATCACCAGTTGATGCTCTGAATTCACAACCACCCTCTCCCCTGCAAATGTAGTTGAGCCTACTCCTTCTGTTAAAAACCAAATTGAACCTCTGAGAAATTTGGTTTGCCTTTCTCAATAGACAGTATTCCCTTTACAACTACACAGGAATAGACTTTGCAGCAACTTGAAGTAAATTTAGAACATGAAACTTGTAGCTTTACCAGACTAAACTGGAAAAAATGAAGTCAGTTCGGTTCACCACAGAGAATGAAACTCAGTACCCTAGTGAGGCCGGAGGCAATGCTCTAAACAGCCCCCGTGACCCAAACTGCCTCAGTTTTGGCCCTACAGCCTGAACAGACCAGAGCGGTGAGAGTGAATTGGATTTTTATGAGCTCTGCCTTAATGAAAAGTAGATTTGCTTGATATGGGGAAACAATCGGTTAATGTTCTATGCCATTCAGGTGTAGGTTTATTATTACTTTTTTTATAATCAAAAGAAGTGGATTTAGCTGGAACTGGAAAATTGCATAATAGGAAACGCCAAGATAGGGGTGGAGGTTAGAACAGTTAGCCACGTCTCTGACAAGTATAAATCTTTGCTTAACCCTGTTACAAGGCCATTTGGCACACTTTGCTTCCTGATCCAACTCAGCAGGTACATTCCAGGCTCCAGGGCACCCCCAACCGAACCCTCCCAACTCCAAGTTTTTCCAGTACTTTGAATGCCTTCCAGGCCTTCTTCTTTTATAGGAAACATAACCGAGATTTTAGGAGGCAGTATTTAGCAACACTAGCTTTGCAAATGTTCACAGAGACATAGACAGTGATCTTACTGAGGCTAGACCTTTGACTATGACTATTTAGCTTATGTGGGATCTAGAACTTATCTGGAAAAGTCATGTTTGTATCTCAAGGATGAACCAATAGAGCCTTGAAAGCAAAAGTCTTCAAGCCCCTTGCTTTACTTGTACAGATTTGGTCAGCTTCTGGGTGAAAGAAAACACAAAGACCAATTGCCCAAATTATTAGAAGATAATACAATCTGACTCATTTAAAGAACACGGTATGGAAATATTTATTTGTACCCATTGAGGTACAAACATTAAGCAGAAGTGTACCTCCCAACATGTATATTGGTCCAGAATAATAATAACAGTTGTTGACACTTTCAAGAGGCTCAACATAGACAAGTGCTTTAGACAAATTCCTATTTAATCCTTATACCGACCCTATGAGGCAAGTATTGACTTCACCACTCATTCACTGGGAATTGAAAGTCTGTTAGTAGAACCTGTACGCTTAACCACTGTGTCCCATTTTTAGAGGACAATGATGAAGATTCTGTGAACTTAAATTAACTAGATCTATCATACTAAAAGTGTGTGCTACAGACCAGTGCTGGTCTGTGACGAGATTAGTCAGAGACTGAGAGTTAGAGTTTTTAAAAATGTATAGCAATGTAACAGAATATTCTTGTCTGTTGAACCTAATTATTTAAAAAAATTGAGCTTGTATTTTTACAACTTTGATTTTTATTAAATATCATTTTATAATAATTTATTTGTATTATTTTTAAAAGAAAGTATCAGTCTATGACAGATTGGAATTTTATTTGAAAGAAAGGAAAACTGTTCCTTCACTATAAATAGTTTGGGAAGCACTGGACTAAATAATATATCTTAGTGATGACCATTGGAGAAAGGAAAATGGAAGATAGTGAAGTTTGACCTTCTTCATGAGGTTCATGGGGGTTTTCTGTCTTTCTTATCAGCCATCTCCACTTCTTTCTGATAAATCTACTCATTTCTCTGTTGGGTTTTAAGAGATCAGTAACATCCCCTTTCCTCTTTCTAATTTAAAAGCAACTGAGACACGAACACCAGAATCAGATAGCAGCTCAAAATGTCAGTTATAAAACTGAACTGGCGGACGTAGCTGAGAATGTGCAACCTCAGCAGTCTTTCTAATACCTCCCTCACCTCTGAATTAGGGAGCCTCATACACCTATTCACCAAATTTAATCTCTCAGAAATTTGGGACAAGATTCTGAGAAAATTAGGAAACAGAGAGACAAGCTAAGGCCTGCCTCACAAGCTAACAGCGGACCACAATAAAATCCTTAGAAAGACTACTTGAAAATGGCAGAGCATTCTCAATTTATTCTCAAAAACTCATTACTCAGATAAGTCTTTCTTCACTCGGTAGGATGTAATGGAGGGGCACGGAGAGAGACTATGTCCCTCTAGTGTATTCCCTCAAGGACATGCAAGGCTAAGGGAATGTTGGTTCCCCTAAGTTGTCATTTAACCATTTATTTAATTCCCACCTCTGAATATTCTACAAAAGCACACCCAACCCAATTCCACTAGCTTTTTCTCCCATCATTTAAACAGCTCTTGAAATCCATCACCACAAGACAAGCCTTGAAAAAGTGGCAGTAATTCCTTGTTCTAGCTCCTTTGCTCAACTCTGGTAAATGCACTTTCCCTCCTATTTGCACTCAATGAAAATATGTAATTTACTAAATTAATGTAAGTTATTAATTTTTCACATTCTACATGTGTTTACTATACTTCTACCACGGAATTGTCTACACCATTATAAATCCCATGTTGGCAGGAGACCATGCACGTGTTTACTCATTTGCTACAGCTCAGTGCACCAATAGGTATTTAATGACTGCTTTAATCCCAAGGATGATGAAGATGCAAATGGCAGTAAAAACATCTCTCTTGGCTATTTGCATTTAGCCCTTAACCCTGGATGATAAACCAGGTTTCCCACTTTCACTCTTGTTTTCTGGTAATACCTGATTTGCAACTTTGATTCCAGAGCATCAGTTCTCAGCCAAATGCCTTTCAACAACATACTAATATTAGGAAAATTAAATGTCTCTTATACAATACGTGACTTGGCTTTGTGAAACTCAGTTATTCTATGAAGTAATTTTTTTTCTTTTTTGATATGGTCTCGCTCTGTTACCCAGGCTGCAGTGTAGTAGTGCAATCTCACCTGACTGCAGCCTCAACCTCCTGGGCTCAAGAGATCCTCCCACCTCAGCCTCCCAAGTAGCTAGGACTACAGGCATGTGTCACCAGGCCTGGCTAATTTTCATATTTTTTGTAGAGACAGGGTTTTGTCATTTTGCCCAGGCTGGTCTTGAACTCCTGGGTTCAAGCAATCCTCCTGCCTCAGCCACCCAAGGTGCTGGGATTATAGGTGTGAGCAACGGTGCCTGGCTGGAGTAATTCTTAATGTATTTGTATTATTGGATACTGTTGTAGGGACATCACAACTTTGTGGTACATTCAAGTTTTTCTTCTTATGCTTCCAGTATTCATTTCCTGCCTTCCTTGTCACTGATAGTCCTTCCAGGTGCCTAGAGGCTCCCATGGCACCTCCAGGGCTTTCCAGAGCTGCCCACATAGCATCGTTCTTAGGCCTACCCTTTCTGCTCCCATTGTAGACATTTTCCCCCGACTTTTTTGTTATCTTCTTTAAAAAAAATCTTGTTGCATTTTAACAAATGCCTTCTGGAGTTAACTCTTAACCCAAATAAGTAACATTAATGGTGGGAATGTCATAAATGACAACAGATCACTAAGGGACATCTGAAAGTAGGGAGGCTTTTGATCACCCTAATGATCACACCATGTAGGTGGCTGCCTATATGGAAAGCCAAGTCTATATATTAATATTTGTATCACTGTATATAAGTACATAATTATATTTAAAAAGATGAGCTACCTATTCATATATATGGACATGAATGCAATTTTCATAAGTATATGTTTGTACAAACCATTAATTAGGACCTCAGTAAAACATCTTCTCTGCTTACCTAGTACTTACAGTTTCTGGCAGTAAGGAAAATGTATCCATGTTAATCTCATAAAATTAATTACTATGTTCTTTTTTTCTCTTTTTTTGAGATGGAGTTTCACTTTGGTTGCCCAGGCTGGAGTACAATGGCACGATCTCAGCTCACCACAACCTCCACCTCCCAGGTTCAAGCGATTCTCCTGCCTCAGCCTCTTGAGTAGCTGGGATTACAGGTATGCACCACCACGTCCAGCTAATTTTGTATTTTTAGTAGAGACGGGGTTTCTCTATGTTGGTCAGGCTGGTCTCGAACTCCTGACCTCAGGTGATCTGCCTGCCTTGGCCTCCCAAAGTGCTGGGATGACAGGTGAGAGCCACCACGCCTGGCCTACTTTCTTCCTTTTCTTTCTTTTAAAAAAAATGCTGTGCTAGATATAAATTTAATTAAATGATGATCTGAATCTGGGTGGTATATAATTGGCCAGCCTAAAATGCACCCACCACCATCTACCACTTAGCAACTTGGAAACCTCACCTTTCTTTGAACCTTCCTTGAACTCAAAACTGGCCTGGCTTAGAGGAGTTCTCTCTGAATGACTCTTTGTCAAATTAAACTGCTTTCCTTGTGCTTAATTAGGTTCCTCACAAGCTCCAGACCAGCTTGGGAGTACAAAGTTTGGTGTCACGTATTCCTAACCCCCACCTCAGCCCTGAGATTATGTACTACTTGCTGTTACCTTATTTGTATTCTGTTTATGTCTAACTGAAGTGTATAGGGAAATTTGGAAAAAGCAAAAAAGATTACTGAGTGTCCCCAGTGGAAACTATGCATTATTTAGAACAGATTCTTCTGGGTTATCCAATTCCAGTCTTTTATTTTCTTTGAGTTATTTTAAAACTCTGTAAGTTATAGTTAACTGATAGTAATGCAAAATAATTATTGTCCATATACATGCATATAAACTCTGTCTGGTGTGGGTTCAGTTAACTGACTTTCCTCTCCCCCACCATGGAAAAAGCCAGTTTCCCATCCATTTGTAAATTCACTTCAACATTACCTCATATAAATATGTGTACCTTTGACTACTCCTTTGAACTGGTTATAACATCTTACAAGCTCTCTCATTAATAATAAGTTAATAAAATATTTAACACGTTTATATTATATCTGTATCAGAGTCATGATTAACAGGTGCAGGCTCCTTCCAGGCAGAGGTTTTGCCAGAGCCAGAGTGGTAGACCTTGGGCAAGTTACTTAACCATTCTGTATGTCAGAGTCCACCTATGGGCTAGAATAATAATGCCCTCTCTGTCTACCCTAAGGGCTTGACATAAGATAAATATATGGAAAAGAATTCTATAAGCTGCCGGGCGTGGTGGCTCATGCCTGTAATCCCAGCACTTTAGTAGGCAGAGACACGCGGATCACCTCTGGTTGGGAGTTCGAGACCAGCCTGACCAACATGGAGAAACCTCGTCTCTACTAAAAATACAAAATTAGCTGGGCATGGTGGCGCATGCCTGTAATCCCAGCTACTTGGGAGGCTGAGGCAGGAAAATTGCTTGAACCCAGGAGGCAGAGGTTGCAGTGAGCCGAGATTGTGCCATTGCACTCCATTCCAGCCTGGGCAACAAGAGCGAAACTCCATCTCAAAAAAAAAAAAAAGAAAAAAAAAGAATTCTACAAACTGGAAAGTGTTAAACAAATGTGGACTCTTCAACTCTTCCCCCTCTACTGAAGTAAATGTTGCCCACACTTTAAGACAGTGTGATTCTTAACTTCTGCCATATGAAAGTGTATTTGCCTGCTTTAGCCACACTCCTGTCACCTTTCTCTGAACTTATATTGTACTTATATAAGTTTATATGAGCAATATCTACCAATCATTATTTATGATTTCATGTGTGTTAATTTCATCTCTTCAGGTATATTATAAGCTTGTTTAGAGCTAGGGCAGTGCCTTAAACTTGCCTTGCATTCTTTGTTATTTGTTTTTTTGTTTTGTTTTGTTTGAGACAGAGTTTTGCTCTTGTCACCCAGGCTGGAGTGCAGTGGTGCAATCTCGGCTCACTGCAAACTCCTCTTCCCAGGTTCAAGCAATTCTCCTGCCTCAGCCTCCTGATTAGCTGGGATTACAGGCACCTGCCACCACACCCAGCTAATTTTTGTATTTTTAGTAGAGACAGGGTTTCGCTATGTTGGCCAGGCTGGTCTCGAATTCGTGACCTCAGATGATCCACCAGCTGCAGCCTCCCAAGGTGCTGGGATTACAGGTGTGAGTCACCACATGCATTCCTTGTATATCTGGCAATGTTAGGTCCCTGGTAAGAGGGACTATTTGATTGAAATAGAACATTATTCTTTTTTCTTTTTCTTTTTGAGACAATGTCTTACTCTGTTACCCAGGCTGGAGTGCAGTGGCGCCACCACCAAGGCTCACTGCAGCCTCAACCTCCTGAGCTCAAGCGATCCTCCTGCCTCAGCTCAAGCAATCCTCCTGCCTCAGCCACCTGAGTAGCTGGAACTACAGGCATGTGCCACCATACTTGGCAACTTTTTTTTTTTTGCATTTTTTATAGAGATGGGGTTTCGCCATGTTGCCCAGGCTGGTCTCGAACTCCTGAGCTCAAGCAATCCACCCTCCTTGACCTCCCAAAGTGCTAGGATTACAGGGATGAGTCACCACACCTGATTGAAATAGATTATTCTGTTGTAAACACAACACCTACCTTGTAAATAGTATACACTCAATTGAAGATGATGATGATGAAGTTCAAGATGATTGGTACCATCACCATCAATCAGGCATTTATATGGTAGAAAAGATGATTCAGGACTATTCTACCTTCAAAAAAGTGACAAGAAGAATAGCTAATTCTTATTCAATTATTACTATGTGTTTGACACTGTTGTAAACCTTTACATATATTGGCCCACTTGAGCCTCACAAGAACCCTATAAGGTAGGTACTGTTATTATCCTTCATTTTACAAATAAGGAAATTGAGACACAGAGAGAATAAATAACTTGCCCCAAGGTCACCCAGCTAGTGAGTGAAGGCTGGCTCCAGGGTCTGGGCTATTAACAACTGTGCTGAGAAGAAGAAAGGAAATACACAAAAGAGTTCTCTGGGGCAGTGATTTTTACATTACGTTTACATGATGATCATTTTGATTATGTGAACAAGGAATTACAGGAAGAAGGTAGAATTCGGGGATTAAAAAGGATGTTGGCAAGGAAAAAAGAATAATGATAATGGTCAGGAGCCTTGAGAGTACGTGACCTTTGGGCGCGGTGGCTCACGCCTGTAATCCCAACCCTTTGGGAGACTGAGGTGGGTGGATCACCTGAGGTTGGGAGTTCAAGGCCAGCCTGGCCAACATGGCGAAACCCTGTCTCTACTAAAAATGCAAAAATTAGCCGTGCGTGGTTGTGCACACCTGTAGTCCCAGCTACCCAGGAGGCTGAGGCAGGAGAATCGCTTGAACCCAGGAGGTGGAGGTTGCAGTGAGCCGAGATCATGCCGCTGCACTCCAGCCTGGGTGACAGAGTGTAACTCCGTCTCTAAATAAATAAATAAATAAATAAATAAATAAATAAATAAGAGAGAGAGTATGTGACCTTGGGAAAGTCATCTAACTTCTTAGTAAAATTATCCTGTGTATGACATGAGTAATTTATGTAATGTGCATAAATCAGTGCCTGACACATAGGAAGCCCTCAATAAATGGAATAATTACTGTTTTTGAAATTATTATTACCTGTTACTATTATTAATCAGAGTACATGAAGACAACTTATTATTGTCAGGATCTGGGATTTTATGCCACTGGCAAGCTAACAAATTAGCTTTCCACAGTTTAATGGATGATGGCAGAAGACATGAGAGTTCAGGAGTAAAGGATTTTACTCACAGCACAGCAAGTAACATGAGCATCAGCATATTTGCATTGGTTCCCCGTTGCCCTCAAGTTCCACAGGCTTGACATTTGGGAACCCAGGTAGATGCTGAGTACACAGTGGGTTTGCATCAGAGTGGAAGAACACTGAGCTTGGAGAATTTATAGCTTTTACAATGGGCAGTAAGCAAGCTTGCTCTTTGTCCCTGAAGATCTTGTCTCCTCTCTGATGCACACTGGAAACAAATGTCTTAGAAATGGCCTTTCCTTGGAAACTTGAGAAGCAGGTTGAGAGAGGGAAAGAGAAGAAATGGCCCAAGTAAAGAGTAGGCAAGGCTTTGCATACTCAACAAAAGCATGCAGGGATGTTCAGGGACCATGGCAGATTGCCTCTCACAACTGTTATTATTATTATCACCTACTACTATGAACCAGAGTAAAACATGACTTATCTTTTGTCCCTGTTTCTATCTGCACACATTACATGCTGTACCTTCTTTCTCTGGACCCTGAATTGATCTTTTGAGGAATTACCTAATGACTCAAATAAAAAGACTATTCTTCCCTTACCTCTTCTGATTTCCTTTTCCTGACTGCAGACTGAGGTGTCTCTCACTCTTCCTTCCTATTTTACTTCAGCCTGAGACATCATACAGAGTTTTACTCTTTTTTTTTCCCCACTACAATAGGCATTTTGAAAACTCATTAATTTTTTGGAGCCAGAACAAGCATGCTATCTTCCAGCATGACATCTCCAACTGGAAGCATTGCTTTTTCCACAGGGAGCCAAATAAAATGTCACCTTTTAGGCAAGGTGTGGCTTTCTCCAGAATGAGCTTTGAAAACTTATGATCATCTGTAATCCCAGCACTTTGGGAGGCTGAGGCGGGCAGATCACTTGAGGTCAGGAATTTGAGATGAGCCTGGCCAACATGGTGAAACCCTGTCTCTACTAAAAATACAAAAATTAGCCAGGCATGGTGGTGCGCGCCTGTAGTCCCAGCTGCTCAGGAGGCTGATGCAGGAGAATTGCTTGAACCCGGGATGTGGAGGTTGCAGTGAGCTGAGATCACACCACTGCACTCCAGCCTGGGTGACAGAGCGAGACTCTGTCTCAAAAAAAAAAAAAAAAAAAAGAAAAGAAAAGAAAAGAAAACTTACGATCAACATACATTTCATCAGGCTACCTGGAATAGTCATCTATATTTCACTGAATATTAAATATGCCTGGCACAATTAAACTGCAATATCCATCAGAAATTCTTTTCTAAATCAGGGCCAGAAAGTGTTAGTGCAGAAAGAAAACTTAGATGTTGACTGTATTAGTTTCTTAGAGCTATCATGACAAAATACCACAAACTGTGATGGCTTGAAACAACAGAAATTTATTCTCTCGTAGTTCTGGAGGCTAGAAGTCCAAAATCAAGGTGCCAGCCGGGCTACAGTCCTTTTGAAGCTTCTAGGGGTAGATCTTTTCTTACCTCTTCCAGCTCTTGGTAACACCAGGCATTCCTTGGCTTGCAGCTGCGTAACTCCAATCTCTATGTCTAGCTTTACATGGAGTTCTTTTTGTGTGTTTCTCTTTTCTTCTAATAAAGACACCAGTTACACTGAATTAAGGGCCCACTCTACTCCAGTATGACCTTATCTTAACTAATTACATCTGCAATGACTTTATTTCCATATAAGGTCACATTCTGAAGTGCTAGTAGTTAGGACTTCAACATATTATTTTGGGAGGGGACACAACTTAACCTATAACATTGATTGATTCTTTTACTTTGCTGATAATAAAATGAGACACAAGAAGGTCATGAAGTTCCCACAGTCACTGCTCTTTAAATTCCATCTTTCTGGATTTAGGACCCTTCCCCACTTTCTCCCCCAAGAATGGCTGAAGCCCTCAGACCTTGTCTAACCTCTTGGTCTTCTAACCCATTCTCTCTGTTGACTTTTAATATCTTATCCCTCACCTTGCTGCTCTGCTGCATGACCCCTGCCCTGATGCCACCTATGCCCCAAAGTGTGCGCCATGAGAGGCAGTCTTCATGTCTCTGAACACTCCATGGTGAAAACACAATAGACATTGGAGTGCACTTGTGCCTTTGCTTTGGATGAAGTCAGAATGAGCCTCTTGAAGAATGTGTGGGCTGGTAGAAAAATTAATATGGACAATAATCATATATGGAAGTTTATTGCTGAAAATTGTCTTGGGATGATAGGCAAGTCATAGCTATATTATTTTAAATGATACAAAACAAACACACCTGAGAGAGGACTTTTTTTCAGACTACCACAGGGCAAGTATAAGCAAGTGAAACCTACGGACCTAAAGCCTTTTCTTGGTTCTAGAGGTGTGCTCACATTCCTCTGGGATGGTAAAACACACAGGAAGGTGATTCAGAGCTTCCTTCAGGAGATTAATGCTTCAAAAGCCAAACCCTCTGGGCAAGCAAACTTTCCCTTGGTCTTCTTGGATTTTCTTCTTTACTTGATGCTGAAGGCGTTTCATGTACTAATTAAGAGATATTTATCTTCTTTTTAATTCAACTGAAAAATACCTATAGAAAGGCTATATCAAGTTAACGCCTATCACTGAATAGACTTAATAGTGTTATTTTCTCTTATTGAAATGTACTCAGCACCATCAAGCCTATTATTGTATTTATATCCTGAAAATGCCAACTACATAAATAGAGGAAGACCAGGTTTGATGATTACATGAATTATTACAATTTAGAGGAAGATCATAGAACTTGCAAGATCCAAAGGAACCTTTTTTTTTTAAGTGGTCTTCCACAGCACTCATGTTTGCCTCTAGAGTTCATCAAATTTCATTTATTATCAACTGGCATGGTTACTTAGGTCATTCCTGCCGCTTAGAATAGAATTGGTAGAGCAGGTCCCTGATCTCTACCATAAACCCTATCAATCATTTTGGGTTGAAAAACAACAACAACAACAAGTACAACAAAAACAGTGTGGTCTTCCTTTAATATCCCAACTGAGCCTTTTGTGAGCAGGGGCCAACTCAATTCAAAAGTAGGTATACTCCTAATGGTGGTTGCCCAGGGCTGGGGGAAGGGGAAAAGGGGAGTTACAGTTTAACGGGTATAGGGTTTCAGTTTTGTTTGTTTTTTTTTTTTTTTTTTTTTTGAGACGGAGTTTCACTCTTGTTGCCCAGGCTGGAGTGCAATGGCGCACTCTTGGCTCACCACAACCTCTGCCTCCGGGTTCAAGCGACTCTCCTGCCTCAGCCTCCCAAGTAGCCGGGATTACAGGCATGTGCCACGACGCCCAGCTAATTTTGTATTTTTAGTAGAGACGGGGTTTCTCCATGTTGGTCAGGCTGGTCGCGAACTCCCAACCTCAGGTGATCCACCTGACTCGGCCTCCCAAAGTGCTAGGATTATAGGCGTGAGCCACCACATGTGGCCAGAGTTTCAGTTTTGCAAGATGAAAAAGTTCTGGAGATCTGTGGTACAACAACGTGAATATACATAACACTACTGAACTGTACCCTTAAAATGGTTAAGGTGCTAAAATTTGTTATGTATTCTTTTACCACAATACATTTTTTTTTTTAAGATGGAGTTTCACTCTTGTCCAGGCTACAGTGCAGTGGCGTGATCTCAGCTCACTGCAACCTCTGCCTCCCGGTTTCAAGCGATTCTCCTGCCTCAGCCTCCCGAGTAGCTGGGATTACAAGTGTGCACCACCACACCCAGCTAATTTTTGTATTTTAGTAGAGACAGGCTTTCACCATGTTGGCCAGGCTGGTCTCGAACTCCTGACCTCAAGTGATTCTCCCACCTCAGCCTCCCAAAGTGCTGGGATTACAGGCGTGAGCCACCACGCTCAGCCTAAAAATGTTTAAATTAATTTTTTAGAAAGTAGATATGCTAGTATGATTAAATAGGGGCCCCAAAGCCTCAGCCATCTGCTGAGCCTCATCTCAGCCTCTCCACAACTACCTACTTTAGTACCTAACAATCCCCCTACATCCAATTAAAGTTCCTCTTTCAAGTAAAAGCATTTTCCACATCAGGTCCCCATATAGACTACATACAGATTTGCAGGGAGAAAAGGGATAGTCAGGTAACTATTAATATGAACTAATTGAATAAAAATGTATAGGTGAGAAATTAGGACATGAAGCTACACAATATTTTTTTGAAGGAAACAATCTAGAAAAGTTGGAAACAAGGGATACCCTAAGAGTAGAGACACAGGAGGACCAGCGAGGTATGAGTGAGGTGAGACTCCCTGGAACGGGAGGAAAGGTCTTCAATATGAATCCTGAAAGGGCTTAGTAGTGTACCAAACATGCAATGTACCTATGGCACAACCAAATCCAGGTTGGCCCTGTGTCAAAACTAAGAACATAAATGCTGACAATATCAAGGACCAGGATGAGTGTCTGGGACTGGAAAACAAAAGCCAAGGCTACAAAGTCCAGGACAGCTGGATACACAAGGAGGTTCACATACGATGAAGATCACAGAAATAGATGGCTATGACAAAATTGGAAGTCTGGAATCAGGACAAGATAACCAAGGTTGGCAGAGCAAGATGGTGGCCAGAATAAGATATTCAGACAAGAGTGAAGGTTTAGGAATGTATAAGGTTAGAACAGAGAGCAGTTCTGGAACACCACCAGACAGAATGAACTTGGAACTATGACAAAGAGTGTGTTACGAGAATTAGAAACCAGATTAGAAGTCATGGGATCAAAGATTAGAACAGAGGCAAGAGGTCCTGGCAACAGGTAAAAGGTACAAATGACAGCTTGATGCTGATCCAGTTTGTCTGCGATTTGGAGCTTAACATTCCTTTTAAGGCATGAATCAATCTCAGAAAATTTCACTGAGGTCCCGTAGGTGAGAGTTGCTGTTTGGGACTCCCTAGTTGAGATATGGGTGTGTGGGCAAGATAAAGCATAGCTTCTTGAATCAAGATTCTGGCTGGCACTTTGGTGCTGAGGGAACATGACAAGGAAGGCGAATTTAAAAGCACAGGCTTTTAATTATTTACCTTTCACTGATTCACTGATTCTTAGACTTTAGCTTTGTTCATTTGGTGTTCCTAATAAACACTCATCCCTCAATTTTTGTTATCCTTCTTCATTCATCCAACATTTACTACCAGCATTTGGACATACCAAGATGAAAGACCATATGCAGTCTTATGTCTGTCTTGGGCATTCTATGAGAAACGTTTTGTAACACTGCATTAATAATCTGATAATTGACCGGGCATGTTGGCTCATGCCTGTAATCCCAGCACTTTGAGAGGCCAAGGCCGGTGGAGCACCTGAGGTCAGGAGTTCGAGACCAGCCTGGCCAACATGGCAAAACCCCACCTCTACTAAAAATACAAAAATTAGCTGGGCCTAGTGGTGGGTGCCTGTAATCCCAGATACTAGGGAGGCTGAGGCAGGAGAATCATTTGAACCTGAGCAGCAGAGGTTGCAGTGAGCCGAGATTGTGCCATTTCACTCCAGCCTGGGCGACAAGAGCAAAACTCCATCTCTAGTCGTCGTCGTCATCATCATCATCATCATCACCATCATCTGGTAATCGTCATATATAGTTTTTCTATGAAGTATAGAATCCTGTCAGAAATGTTTAAGAGTGATTCAACAATAATTATTATTTCCACAGATGTTTATTTAAATTTGATATTGAGCTTTAAATATAGGCGGTAAGTGAAATGACCTGCCTGACTGGGTCATTTAGACCCTACCTGCAGACAACCCCATCTCAGTCCCAGTGACCAAAGGTATTCCTTGTCAAGGAGACAAGGAATCCTAGGCTAGTAGCTCCTAGAGTCTCAACATTAAGCCAGCTGTGGTGTTAGTGTGTACTGGATCCCTCTCCCCTATCAGACGGGGACTGGACAAAGTGTAGGACCAAGTGGATGACTCTAATGGAACCATAACAGAGTACAATTTCTCTGTGGCTATAGTGCGAAAAGCCAGAGAGCATATCCAGGCTTTTGAGGTGTCCTAGAGGATCCCATGAACAAAAGGACAGTATGTACAGTTACAGGGGCAACATTCTAATAAATTATATGAGTGCAAGAGCTAAAGTCTGGAATCAGAATTGGGTAAAACAAAACAAAGTAAATACAAACAAAGAACAGCCAGAAAGTAATAAACAAAGGACAATTGGGTGAATGGAATGAAACATGAAGAAATTCCAGAGATAAAGTGAGTGCAGAAGCCTTCCACATTTTTTCTTAACCCAGCCACAGCACAGGTTTAAGTGGGTTTGTATACAAAAATCATATAAAACAGCTTGAGTAGAGGGAAGAGTCTGTTTTTTTCTTGTTTTGTTTTGTTTGTACTCATATTTTGATTACTGGACCCTTGCCTTGTTTCTTTTAACTTGGTGCTCCCTTTGCTCCCTTATTCTTGCATACCAGACTTGGTAATGTCAGAATCCTGATTCATCTGGGCCTGGGGCCCTGCCATACCTGTCCTAATGTTGTCTCTGCTTGAACTTCAATCTCCTCTACTTATTCCCTAATACTCATTATCTATTCCAGTGCTTTGGATATAGCCAAATGCCTCTATCAATGAGCTCTTCCAGGCTACTGAGGACCCACCTACAATTTCTAGTTAGATGTTGCTAATGCCAATTATTTATTTACCTATTGCCTGTTGTTAGACTTTACCAATGTGCTATCTACTGGTCCAGATGTCTTATCTTTGCACAATAAATGTGTATTGAATTTAACTTCCTGGAACCTTCCCAGATTGCCTGCGCTGCTCCAGTGGGTCTGGCTCTCCCTGGTGAGGTTCCAGGGTTGCCAGCTGTCTGGTTTTGACAAAGACAGTCTAACATTTGAACTTGCTGCCCAGTAAAAAATACCAGACATATGACTGTCCCTTTTTTTCCAATTAAATAAATGGTATCATTTTCTTATAGCAAAACTAGTATACACATAAGCAGTGCAATCTGATGAAAGCTAGAAATTGTTTTCAGTGCACTTTTTATACTATCTCTTTTCAAAATTAGAGCTTCAGGTACGTATCCAATGTGTCTAGTATTTTGCAGATACCATTTAGCAACATGAGCTGGACTATTGTTTCTCCAACCACATCTTACAGCATGAGAGAATATAGAGCAAAAATACTAGTCAGTTTGTACCTTAGTAATTAAATTTAGTGATAAGCACATCATTATCATCAAAATACCTGCTTTAGTGTTGAGCACAGTTTTAAAGTAAATGCAATGATTGCTAATATCTCCACTTCCAAAAGGGGAAAAAATATTTTAGGTGTAGCTTCCTTAGATGGCATTCAATAGATAGATAGATAGATAGATAGATAGATAGATAGATAGATAGATAAAAATAAGCATGAACACCGTTAAAAATAAAGTAGGAGACTTCTGATTCTTGGAAGATGTAGTAGATGTATTTTTATCTATTCCTCCCACCAAGTACAAGTAAAACACCTGGATATTACATATAAAACAAATATAAGAAGACTCGGAAAGGTGAACAGAAGAAAGCAGACCAGCTAGGGACTTTGGGACCAAAGAATGACAGCTGGTGGTTTACCTAGATTTTCCTTTTGCCTCACATATCCCAGACTTGGAGCTGAAGAAGCTGGCAATCCAGAAACACCAAGAGGTACATAAAGAAACAGTCTAAACATTTAAGCCTGCTCTTTTTAGCCAAAGGACCAGGAAAGAGGCAGCCTTGCCAAACAGAAAACTTTTAGACAATAACTGCTCCACATTAGCCAAACACTACAGAAAAAATGATGACACCCCCCCGCTAACCCACCCTGCCCATGTCAGTAAAGTTCAACAGGCAAGTTTATACTTACCTTTTCACCAGGCTGTAATAAGATATCTCAACATCTCCACCTAGAAGGTGTCAGAGAAGGCCAAGTAGGAAATCCAGACTTTCATCTAAATTAACCAGTAATGATCCCTCCTCCTACTCCCGTGGTGTCAGTGGATACCATCGTGGGGAGCCAGAACTTCCCAGAGTAACAAGTAGCCTCCAATGTCAGGTGTCACCTAGGCCAAATGGGGAACCTGGACTTTTACTTCTACCTAACAGTAATGAGGGAGCCCTACTCCTTCCCCTTCTAGAGGGGTATCAGAGAAAGCCAGCTGAAATAAGCTTAAATGGGATACAGTGTCTCATAATATGTGAAAATTTCCAGGTTTTGATAAAAAAAAAATCATGCATCAGATCAAGAACCAGGATAATCTCAAACGGAATGAGCAAAAACATCAACACTGAGCTGAAAAGGATGTAAGAATTTATCTGACATAGATTTTAAAGTAGCTATAATACAACTGTTTCTTTATGCAATTATAAACACACTTGAAACAAATGGCAAAACAGAAAATCTCAGAAAATAATAGAAAACAGAGTAGAACCATATGGAAATATTAGATCTTAAAAATACGATAATTGAAATAAAAAGGGATGGGTTCAACAGCAGAATGGAGGGGACAGAGAAAATAATCTGTTAACTGAAAGATAGAACAAGAGAAATTATCCAATCAAAACAACAAAAAGAAAATAGACTGAAAAGAAAAAAAAGAGACTCAAGCATTCATGGACCCATAACAAAAGAGTAACATTTATGTCATCAGAGTGTCAGAAAGAACAAAGAAAGTGAGCAAGGCTAAAAATATACTCAAAGAAAGATGAAAATCCTCCAAATTTGGCAAGAGACATAAACCTACATATCAAATCAACAAGATGAACAAATCTCAAATAAGATAAACTGAAATGAAATCCACACAAAGACATATCATAATTGACTTCCAAAAACTAAAAACAAATGAAAAATCTTGAAAGCAGCCAGGGAGAAACAATACCCGGATGGGCAAAAACAATTCAAATGACGGGCCGGGTGCGGTGGCTCACGCCTGTAATCCCAACACTTTGGGAGGCCGAGGTGGGCGGATCACGAGGTCTGGAGATCGAGACCATCCTGGCCAACACGGTGAAACCCCGTCTCTACCAAAAATACAAAAAAATTAGCCGAGCGTGGTGGCGGGCACCTGTAGTCCCAGCTACTCAGGAGGCTGAGGCAGGAGAATGGCGTGAACCCAGGAGGTGGAGTTTGCGGTGAACCAAGATCGCACCACTGCACTCCAGCCTGGGCGAGAGAGCGAGACTCCGTCTCAAAAAAAAAAAAAAAAAAAAAAAAAAATTCAAATGACAGCTGACAGTTTCTCATCAGAAACTATAAAGACCAGAAGAGAGTGGAACAATATTTTTCACGTTTTGAAAGAAAAGAATTGTCAACCCTGAATCCTACACTCAGCAAAAAAAAAAAAAAAAAAAAAATCCTTTAGGAATGAAGGGGAATCAAGTTTTCAACTGGACATGGTGGCTTGCACCTGTAATCTCAGCTACTTGGGAGGTTGAGGCAAGAGGAATGCTCAAGGCCAGGAGTTTGAGAACAGCCTGGGAAACATAGCAAGACTCCATCTTTAATTTTTTTTTTAATTAGCTGGGCATGGTAGTGCACACCTGTAGTCCCTGCCACTCTGCAGGCTGAGGTGGGAGGATTGCTTGAGGCCAGAATTTCAAGGCTGCAGGGAGCTATGACTGTGCCACTGCACTCCAGCCTGGGTGACATGCAATTATAAACATGCTTGAAACAAATGAAAAAATAGAAAATCTCAGAAAAAATAGAAAACGTAGAGTAGAACCATATGGAAATATTAGAACTTAAAAATACAGAGTGAGACCCCATCTCTAAAAAAATTTTTTAAAGACATTTTCAGATGTGGGGAAACTATAAGAGAATTTGTTGCTAGCAGACGTGCCCTAAAAGAATGGCTAGTAGATGTTCTCTAAACAGAAAGGAAATGACAAAAAAAAAGAAGCATGAAGTATCAGGAAGGAAGAAAGAATACAGTAAGCAAAAATAATACACGAAAACACAAAATTTCTTCTTTGCAGCCATAAAAATGAATGAAATCATGTCTTTTGCAGCAACATGGATGGAGCTGGAGGCCATTGTCCTAGGTGAACTAACTCAGAAACAGAAAATCAAATACCTCAGTTCTCAGTTATAAGTGAGAGCTAAACGATGGGTACACATGAACATAAAGATGGAAATAATAGACAGTAAGGAGGGTGATGGGGGGATGTGGGTTGAAAAATTACCTATCAGGCACAATGGTCACTATTTGGGTAATGGGAACACTGGAAGCCCAATCCCCACCAGTACGTAGTATACCCATGTAACAAACATGCACATGTACCCCCTGACTCTAAACTAAAACTTTTAAAAAAGAAATACATGAGGCCCTTCTTGGGTTCCTAGAGCTGAAAGATGCACAAATGTAATCCAAACTAAATGGAATTCCATATAGAAATGTGACCACATGCCACACTCAAGAATCTAGCTCTCAAAGCCAGTAAGAAAGAAAGAGACAAAATTCAGCACACAAATCTCATGACAGAAGGATGGGCCTTTAAAACAAGCAAACAAACAAACAAACAAACAAACCTGAACCAGCATCCTTAAGGCTTACTTATTTCAATGCTCTGAACAACAACAAAAAATTAATTCAGACTGTTCAGACTGACCTTTAGTAATGCTGATCTTTGATCATCTCCTATGAGGAATCCTTAGTAAATTAAAAAGAAAACTTTTACTGGTTTGAGAACCATATGACAAAAGAGTATTTGCAAGTATACAACTGAACTTGCTTTAATACATTTTTCAGTTGAGTTTCCATGTAAGAGCTCAGTTAAAGATCCTGGAGGGCTATGGCATGGCAAACTTGATTTTTTAAAAATTGCCTTGTGGCCGGGCACGGTGGCTCACGCCTGTAATACCAACACTTTGGGAGGCCGAGGCGGGCAGATCACAAGATCAGGAGATCGAGACCATCCTGGCTAACACGGTGAAACCCCCTCTCTACTAAAAATACAAAAAATTAGCCGAGTGTGGTGGCTCATGTCTGTAATCCCAGGACTCTGGGAGGCCAAGGCAGGCGGATCACCTGAGGTCAGGATTTCGAGACCAGCCTGGTCAACATGGTGAAACCCCATCTCTACTAAAAATACAAAAATTAGCCCGGTGTGGTGATGCACCCCTGTAATCCTAGTTACTTGGGAGGCTGAGACAGGAGAATCGCTTGAACCCAGGAGGCAGAGTTTGCAGTGAGCCAGGATCACGTAATTGCACTCTAGCCTGGGTGACAGAGCAAGACACTGTCTCAATAATAATAATAATATGTATGTTTAATATAGGAAAAAAATCTTTCTTCTGTTGAGTTTTCTGAATTATATTTGACAGTTGAAACAAAAAATCTTGCACTCTCTGATGTGGTTCTAAATGTATGTAGATAAAATATATAAGACAATTATAGACAGGGAAGGATTAAAGGAGGAAAAAAAAAGCTTTTAGGGAGAAAAACATAGGAGAAAACCTTTGGGATCTAGGCCTAGGAAAAGAGCTGTTAGACTTCACGCCAAAAGCATGATCCATACAATGAAAAATTGTTAAACTGGGCTTCATCAAAACTAAAAATTTTTATTCTGTAAAAGACTCTGTGAAAAGGATGCAAAACCAAACTACAGAGTAGGAGAAAATATTTGCAAACCACATACCTGGCAAAGACCTACCATCTAGAATATATAAAGAACTCTCAAATCTCAACAGCAAAAAATCAAAACATTCAAAAATGAGCAAAAGACATGAGCAGATACTTCACCAAGTAGGTTATACAGATGGTAAATACGCACATGAAAAGATGTTTAACATCATTAGCCATTAGGGAAATGCAAATTAAAATCACAATGAGATATCATTATATACCTATCAGAATGGTTACAACAAAAAATAGTGACACCACCAAATGCTGGTGAAGACATAGAGAGACTGGATCATGCATGTATTGCTAGTGGGAATGTAAAATGGTACAACCACTGGGAAACACTGTCTTATAAACTAAATTGCAACTACCATATGACCCAGCAATTTTACTCCTGGGCAGTTATCCCAGATAAATGAAGACCTACGTTCACACAAAAACATGTAGATAAATGTTTATAGCAGCTTTGTTCACAATAGCTCCATACTGAAAACAACATTCAATGGGTGAATGTTTAAACAATCTGTGGTGCATTTATTCCATGGAATACCACTCAGGAATACAAAAAAAATGAACTGGAATGAACTACTTATACACACAACAAACTGGATGAATCTCCAGAGAATCATGCTAAATGTGAAAAGCTAATCTCAAAAGGTTGCATACTGTATGATTCCATACAGTATGTATGAAGTTTAATGGTTCCCAATGGTTAAGAAAAGGGCTGGATGTGGGAGGAGAAAGTGGGTATGGCTATAAAAGGGCGACATGAGGGATCCTGGTGGTGATGGAAATGCTTTGTATCTTGACTGTATCAATGTCGATTTTCTAATGAAACTAGTGTTCTAGGGTTTTGCAAGATGTTACTGTTGGTGGGAACTGGGTTAAGTGTGCAAGGAATCTCCATTCTTCCTTTCCTTCTTTCTTTCTTTTTTCTTTTTTTTTTTTTTAGATAGAGTCTAACTCTGTCGCCCAGGCTGGAGCGCAATGGTGTGATCTCGACTCACTGCAACATTTGCCTCCCGGGTTCAAGTGATTCTCCTGCCTTAGCCTCCCAAGTAGCTGGGACTACAGGCGCCCGCCACCACGCCCGGCTAATTTTTTGCATTTTTAGTAGAAACAGGGTTTCACCGTGTTAGCCAGGATGGTCTCCATCTCCTGACCTCGTGATCCGCCTGCCTCCGCCTTCCAAAGTGCTGAGATTACAGGCGTGAGCCACCGCTCCCGGCCTGCCTGTATGATTTCTTAAGACTACATGTAAATCTACAAGTGTGTCAAAATTAAAAGATTTATTAAAAATAAATAATTATGTTAAGAGATTATAATCCATGAGCAAAATGGAAATACATAAGTCTGTACTGATATAAATAAATAAATAAACCTAAAAATATAAAATAGTACTCAAAGGTTCATAATGAAAAGTAGCAGTAATTTTTCCTCCTCACCTCCCAGTACACTTCTCAGGGACAACTACTTTCAACACTTTCAGTTGGGTTCTTCTTTTATTTATCTGTATATTTCTATATGTAATTTCTAAGCTTATATTGCTGTTTTTATCAGTTTTTTCCATTATCTAGTGACTTCCTGTTTTGATACATGAGAATTTCTTCCACCCTCCCAACTCATTCTGCTAAATCAGTGGTCAAAATCTCTAAATATCTTTCATTTTTGAACCAAGGAGATTCAATGATTCTTTTTTGTATATCCTTTTGTTTTTAAAAGTTCTTAAAAGCATTGTATTTCCTTAGGCAATATGTACCTATCAAAATGCTTTGTCAGATCAGTCAAATGTCCACCAAAATTTTTCTGACCCCTATGTGTATCAGGTAATGTAAAAATTCCATTTTACTTATTGGAAACTTCCTTCTTAGAGCTGCCTGTCTTTTTATTTGCCTGCTGTAAACTGGACTAATTGTTCCATAGGCTTGCAGCACTATTGTCATCCTGGAGCTTCCCTCCACTGTTACAGTATTGATGCCTTTGTTTACTAGACCTCATGTCTTCTTTCTCAGTTTACAACCTCATTTTGCAGGAGAAAATCCTCTAGTGTCCTCAAATCAGAGGATAAATGGGACGTAAAAATTTTAAGTCCTTTGATATTCTTGCATGACTGAAAATGACTTTAGCCTAACTTGGCTCAATATAGAATTATACAATGAAAATAATTTGAAAGTGTTGCTGCACTTTCTCTAGGCTTCTAATATTGGTGCTGTAAAATTCAATGCTGCTTTCATTCCTGTTCTTTGTATGAAAAAAAGGACATAGGTATATATGCATAAATTGTCACAAATTTAAAAGCACGAAGAAATAATGTAAACAACTTTGTGCAAATACATATGAAGGCAGATGAATGGCATCTTGTACTAAAAAGCATAAGTTACCAAAATTGGCCTGAGAATAAATAATGACAGTTAAATAACCTAATAACCAGAAATAATTTGAATTACATTTAAAAGGCTTCCCACCACTTATACTGCAGGCCCCAATTGTTTTAGCAGTAGATTTTACCTCAACTCTTTAAGATGAAAAGCCTCCAATATTCATTTTTTATGAATATATTGTAATCTAATCTACGAATACATTACAACTAAAACCAGATAAGATCAGTACAAGAAAAATTACAGACCAAACACCCAAATATAAATGGAAAAATCCAAAATAAAATTTTAGCAAGTCTATTTCAGTATTTTTAAAAAGTACATCATGAGCAAGTATAGTTCATTCCAAGAATGTAAAGATGTTGCAACATAAAAAGTCTACCAACATAATCACCACATTAACAGATTAGAGAAAAATATGACCATTCAATACATGCAGAAAAATTATTTAATAAAATTCAACACTTACTCATGATTTTAAAAAGAACAATCTTTAGCAAACCAGGAATAGAAATGAACCTTTACTTAACATGATATAGGGTATCAATTCAAAACTTAAAGGAAATATCATACTTTATGGTGAAACCTTAGAGGCCTTCTCATTAAAATAAAAAACAAGACAAGGGCACCTGCTAGTATTACCTCTATTCCTGGGGTACAGAGGGAAGGGGTTGCTTCTCATCATAAGATCTCTTGTACTGTTGGCATGTTACTACATGTTCATTACTTTGATTTTTAAATGTTTTTACATAAAAACGATTATAATCGAATTTATGGTTATTTCATGCTTGCTTTGCCCACCATACCTATGATTAAGTCAAAGCTTAATCAGAAATATATCATCTAATTATAATGTTGCTATTATAGAAATTCATTAACCTACTTTATAATGATCCTTCTTTGATGTGATTTCTAGGAATACAACATAGTGAGAAGTAAAGATAACCTGAAGTGACCATGTAAAATAAATTAAATTGTATCAACAGTCTTCTTAAGGGTCTTGTGATCAGCCAAAGCCTAGTTCATGAAACACGCTAGGATCCCGAGTCTGGAAGGTCACAGAGGTATTCTTGTGCAACATGCCACCAAGTACTTGAACTCAGTATTTTCTTAATTGTTCCGTGTTCCTGACTTATTTTCATATCACCCAAGGTGTAGAATACTAGGTTTAAGTCCTAAAATATTTTAACTTAACAATAATAATGATGGTAGTAAGATAATATGAAGATGATGCCTAACATTTTTTGCACACTTATCATGTACCAGACATTGTGCTCAATATTTCTTTCTTTTCTTTTGTTTTTTTTTTTTTTGAGATGGAGTTTTGCTCTTGTTGCACAGGTTGGAGAGCAACGGCACAATCTCAGCTCACCACAACATCCGCCTCCCGGGTTCAAGTGATTTTCCTGCCTCAGCTTCCCGAGTAGCTGGGATTACAGGCATGCATCACCACGCCTGGCTAATTTTGTATTTTTAGTAGAGACAGGGTTTCTCCATTTTGGTCAGGCTGGTCTCGAACTCCCGAGCTCAGGTGACCTGCCTGCCTCGGCCTCCCAAAGTGCTGGGATTACAGGCGTGACCCACTGCACCTGGACTTTTGTGCTCAATATTTCATGTATGTCATCTTATTTGATCCTAGGGAACCAACTGATAGCTCCCTATAAATTACTTATTAATTACAAAAGAAAAACAGTAATTTACAGTGGAGAAACCTGAAATACATCACTCTAATCAAGTGATAAAGTTAATACTAACAATATCGGAACAATCTGACATGATTTCTCTCCTAATATGATGCACTGGGAAAGACACGACATAGCGCCTGTGGTATTTTTGCCAAAAATAAATAATCTCAATTTAATCATGATAAAACATCAGAGAAATCCAAATTCAGAGACATTCTGGAAAATAACTGACCTGTACTTTTCAAACATGTCAAAGTCATGAAACATAAAGACTCAGGAATCATTATCGATTAGAGGAGATTAAAGAGTGATGACAACTGAATTCAATGCATTATCCTGTTCTGGACTCTAAACTGGGAAAAATAACTATAAAGGATAATATTCAGAAAAATGAAAAATTTGAATGTATGCTACAGATTAGATAACAGTATTGTATAGATTTTAAATTTCCTGATTTAGATAAATGTACTGTAGTTATATAAGATAATGTTCTTGTTCTTAGAAAATATACACTGAAGTATTTTGGAATAAAGGTGCGTGATGTCTCCAATTTGCTTCCAAATGATTCAGGAAACAAATATATAAATATACTTTTACAAATATATAAATATATGTGTATGTGTCATACATATATATAAATGTATATGTATTTGTGGGTATGTGTATATACACACACACACACACACACACACACAGACATATATAGATACACCCACACATACATAAATATATCGACGCATACATAAATGTATGAGATGTGTATATATATACATACACACACACACCCCTATATATATATATATATATATATATATATATACCCCCACACATACATACAGAGAGAGAATGATAAAGTAAATTAAGTAAATGGGGCAAAATATAAACAATTGCAAGTTTGAAATTATATCAAAACAAAATTTACAAAAATGAAATAGCCATTATTATCCTATACTATATATCAGGAGAGTAAGGATCAGAAAGCTAAGTAATTTACACAATTAATAAGTGGTTGAGTTTGGATACAAACCCAGGTTGTCTGATCTCAAAGTCCATCCTCTCAATTATTAGGGCATATTGCCTCAAATTAGTATAATTTTTTTTTAAGAACAGGATGTATGCATCTAAATCAGTGCTTTCTTTAAAAGTACTTATCTTGAAGGGATATATGCATAATCAATTGATGCTCTTGCTGCCTCAAGTTCTATCTATGGAAATACCATCTAAGATCAGTTTGCTACTCACATACTCAAGTTCGCCCTGATTTTTTTATTCCTCATATCTCAGGGATATTCCCAAAATGATGATTTTGAAGGGAATGCATGAAGTATGCTATGTCTGTTTTAAAAGCTGTCCCATGACTGTACAGGCGTCTTTGTTTAATCTCCTTCAGCCCTTTTGAACACATTAATTACAATAATTGCTTTAACTTTTAATTTTCTATTTCAATTTTTATTTACTACTATTATTATTAGTTTTGAGTTGGAGTCTCACTCCGTGGCCCAAGCTGGAGTGAAGTGGCACAATCTCTGCTCACTGCAACCTCCACCTCCTGGGTTCAAGCGATTCTCCTGCCTCAGCCTCCCGAGTAGCTGGGACTACAGGTTTGCACCACCACGCCTGGTTAATTTTTGTATTTTTAGTAGAAACAGGGTTTCATCATGTTGCCCAGGCTGGTCTCAAACTCCTGGCCTCAAGTGATTCACCCACCTCAGTCTCCCAAAGTGCTGAGATTATAGGGGTGAGCCACCATGCCTGGCCAAGCACAATAATTACTTTTAAAGCCAATGTGTGGGCCAGGTACGGTGGCTCATGCCTATAATCCCAACACTTTGGGAGGCTGAGGTGGGCAGATCACATGAGGTCGGAAGTTCGAGACCAGTCTGAACAACATGGAGAAACCCCGTCTCTTCTAAAAATACAAAACTACCCAGCATGGTAGTGCATGCCTGTAGTCCCAGCTACTTGGGAGGCTGCAGCAGGAGAATCACTTGAACCTGGGATGCAGAGGTTGCAGTGAGCCAAGATCGCACCATTGCACTCCAGCCTGCACAACAACAGCAAAACTCCATCTCAAAAAAAAAGCCAATGTGTGGTAAAAATAATCAATGGGGAAATAATAGTCTTTTCAATAATGTGGTGCTGATATAATGGAATAGCCATGTGCAAAAAAAAAATGAAGTGGGACATCCTACCTCATACCATATACAACAATTAACTCGAAATGGATCAACGACCTAAATGTAAAAGCTCAAACTATAAAATTCTTAGAAGAAAACATAGGCTTAAATCTTGCTTTTTTTTAAGGCCAGCATTCCTTAGTTATGGCAATTTTCTATACCCTTAGAAAGCACAACTTTAAATATGACAACTTTCTATGTCCGTAGAAAATACAAACAACAAAAGAAAAACAGATAAATGGAACATCATCAAAATCAAAAATATTTGTGCTTCAAAAGACACTATCAAGAAGGTGAAAAGCCAACCAACAAAATGGGAGAAAATATTTGCAATTCACATATATCATAAATGACTTAGATCCAAAGCATATAATAAACTCTTACAACTAAATAATAAAAATATAATTTAAAAAATTTCAAAATGCCCAATTTTTTTAAATGAGCAAATAATTTGAATAGACATTTCTTATAAGAAGACACAGAGGCCAGGCGCAGTGGCTTATGCCTGTAATCCCAGCACTTTGGGAGGCCAAGGCAGTCAGGTCACCTGAGGTCAGGAATTCGAGACCAGCCTGACCAACATGGAGAAACCCCATCTCTACTAGAAAATTAGCTGGGCGTGGTTGCGCATGCCTGGAATCCCAGCTACTCAGGAGGCTGAGGCAGGAGAATCGCTTGAACCCAGGAGGCAAAGGTTGCAGTGAGCCGAGATGGCGCCATTGCACTCCAGCCTGGGCAACAAAAGCGAAACTCCATCTCAAAAAAAAAAAAGAAAAAAGACACAGAAGAGACCAATAACACGTGAAAAAATACTCAACATCATTAGTCATTAGGGAAATGCACATCAAAACTACAGTAAGGTACCACTTCACACCCACTAAGATGGCATTAATAAAAAAAAGACAGCAACAATGTTGGCAAGGATGTAGAGAAATTACACCTTACTGGTGGGAATGTAAAATGTAAAATGATGTATTCCCTGCAGAAGACCCTAGCAATTACTCAAATGGTGAAACATTAAGTTACCATATAATCCAGCAACTCTACTCCTAGGTACGTATTCAGGAGAATTGAAAACATACCCACCCAAAAACCTGTACACAAATGTTTATAGCCCCATCATTCAAAATAGTCAAAAGACAGAAAAATGCAAATGTCTATCACCTGATGAATGATAAGCACAATGTGATATATCCATACAATGGAATACTTATTGGCCATAAAAAGAAATGAAGTACTGACACATGTTATAATATGGATAAACTTTGCAAACAGTATGCTAAAGTGAAGGAAGCCAGATACAAAATGTCACATATTGTAGAATTATATGTGATTATATGGTTCCAATATGAAATATCCAGAATAGGCAAATCTATATAGACAGAAAGTAAATTAGTGGTTACGAGAAGCTGGGAGGAGGAGAGCAAATGAGGAGTTTCTATTTGGGATGATGAAAATGCTCTGGAATTGGGTAGTGGTGATTGATGCACAACTCTGTGAATATACTAAAAACAACTTTTAAAGAGTGAACTTCACGTACGTGAATCCTATCTCTTTATTGTAAAAGATGAGTCAGTCGGGCGTGGCGGCTTACGCCTGTAATCCCAACACTTTGGGAGGTCGAGGCGGGTGGATCATGAGGTCAGGAGATCAAGACCATCCTGGCCAACATGGTGAAACCCCGTCTCTACTAAAAATACAAAAATTAGCTGGGCATGGTGGCGTGTGCCTGTAGTCCCAGCTACTCAGGAGGCTGAGGCAGGAAAATCACTTGAACCCAGGAGGTGGAGGTTGCAGTGAGCCGAGATCGTGCCACTGCACTCCAGCCTGGGTGACAGTGCGAGACTCCATCTCAAAAAAAAAAGATGAATCAGTGTGGGTGCCTACATTACTATTCAGGAATTGCTCTAGGCTTTCTTCACTTCTATGTGACACTTTTCTCACCTTCTCTGTCTTCTCAAACATCTCTATGTATTTTCATTCTCATTTTCCAGCTTCCCTCTTAAATTTTTAAATTTTTTAAATTAAAATAATTTTTTTTAGAGACAAAGTCTTGCTCTGCTGTCCATGGTGTGATCATGGCTCACTGCAGCCTCAAACTCCTGGGCTCAAGCGATCCTCCCACCTCAGCCTCCTGAGTAGCTGGGACTACAGGTGTCCACCACCATATCTAGCTTCTTTTTTTTTTAAATGAGAGGAGGTCTTGCTATGTTGCCCAGACTGGTTACAAACCCCTGGTCTCAAGTGATCCTCCCACCTCAGCCTCTCAAGTTGCCGGTATTCCCTCTTGAATTTGAAGAGACTCAGTGTATGAACATTCCATCTATTTGACCACAATAATTGATCTAGTGATGGACATGTGACCCATGGAAGACCAATTAGTACTAACAATACTCAATTTAGGCACTTCCAGTTGCTCCACCAGGGAAGCAACTTCTACTGCTGGATGAAGCATTGTGACATTGAAGGCACCAGGGGTCTCTAGTAAGAGCCTGAAAATGAAAACCAACACAAGACAAGTATTTCTGACGGTTCCTGGTGAAATAATTTGCACACTGAATTAAGCCACACAGGAAGTTGGATCTGCCCCAGTCATTTATGCTTATAGTAAACCATAAATGGCCTGTTTTGCTTAAGCCAGTTTGGGTAGTTTGTTTTTATTATTTTTTGGTTACTTGCAATGAAAGAATCCTAAATGATGAGACTACTTTTCCTGGTGCGCAACCCTCTTTAGGACATGATTTCAAATCTCTGCCCCCTGTAGGACCCTGCCTATCAGGCCTATACTCAGTGGTTCCTGCCTATCAAAGGAGGGACATCAAATAATCCCTATACTACAGCACATGTAAATTAGACTCTCATGTAACACACACATAAATGAACATTAAACAGTTGCTACCCCTTTACTGAAAAGTTGGAAAGGAATTGGTGATGGCACAAAGCAAGAGAATGATACCAGAATCAGGAGTTATTCTCTTCTTACACAAAAGCCAGAGAGGTTGATTGCCAGTACCAGGGAGAAAAAGTGCATGAAGGCCACAATAACCTCGATAAAGGGTAACTTCAGCTGGCCTCTGAGAATTAAACTAGTAGAAACCCTACACAATGAATGGTCATAGCCATCTATGACAGCCAATGAAGAGAGTGCCTCTAAATGTGTGACTTGAGGTTTGGAAACATTTAAAGCTCCAATTAAAGTATTCATCTCCAAGAAACCCAAATGGAATGCAACTGTAATTAAGTAACCTGAAAGCTAATTATATGTTCTCTTGCACCTAGCCGCATGTTTGGTACAAAGCTGTGTCAGTAAATATTTGTTGAATGAGTGAATGAATGAATCTGCATGAATAAAAGGGTCAACACAGCAGGGAAAATCTAAGGAGCTTGAAGCAGGCATCCTCCACGTGTAATCCAGGGGACAGCGTGTCTCACATAGATATAGACATAGTTACAAACATGGATGTGGATATGGATAGACGGTAGAGACAGACCTGGCTCTGTGTGATTGGTTAATACACATCTACCACCAGACGCCCACTCTCAGTGAGGGAGTCAGACCTTGGACCCTATTGCACTGAACCAGGTAAATTTCACTTTCTGTGGCCTCTTGGCAGCCAGCCAGCTGGATTTCTTCTAGTGATAACCTCTGCATTTGTCATGAGCTAAGCTAGCCTTAGCACCGCAAGTACCTTAACCTACACATGGAGCAATGAAAAAACAACCTTAGCATCAGGAAGGACATTGAAAAAGTAGACATCGGGGTAAGGGGAGGGAGAGCATTAGGACAAATACCTCATGCATGCAGGGCTTAAAATCTAGATGACAGGTTGATAGGTGCAGCAAACCACCATGGCACATGTATACGTGTGTAACAAACCCGCAAATTCTGCACATGTATACCAGAACTTAAAGTAGAATTAAAAAAATTTTAAATTTTTTAAAAAGTAGAAATTGTGTTCTGGGCACGGTGGCTTACGCCTGTAATCTCAGCACTTTGGGAGGCTGAGGTGGATAGATCGCCTGAGGTCAGGAGTTCCAGACCAGCCTAACCAACATGGTGAAACCCCATCTCTACTAAAATACAAAAATTAGCCGGGCATAGTGGCGGGCGCCTGTAATCTCAGCTACTTGGGAGGCTGAAGCAGGAGAATCGCTTGAACCCAGGAGGCGGAGGTTGCAGTGAGCCCAGATCGCGCCATTGCACTCCAGCCTGGCAACCAAGAAAGACTCTGTCTCCAAAAAAAAAGAAAAAAGTAGAAATCGTGCTAGATAATAAGTGTATGTAATTTTTGCTGTGTGATTCCTCTTTCTACAATCATATATTGGGAGCACTTGAATAAGGATTGAGTGAGAATACTGCCTGTGCAAAAATAGCCCTAGGCTCTTTATGACACCAAGAGAGGGTCTAGAGAGCCCTCCCCAATATCCATTGAGGAGGACACCATATTCACATAGGCACTGATGCAATTTTTGCTCTAGATACAAACATTTTCCAGATTAAAAAATGAAAACAAGTTTTCCATTTCTAAACTTGCCAGGTCAATGCCAGGCCTTGCACTGTTCTGATGTGTGGTTACACTTTCTTATCAAAGGAAAACACAGGGGCCTCATCAAGCTCTCTGTGTCAGTCATAATTACAGAAAGAAAGTTTGATTCTATCTTGATTTATTCTCTCTCTCTCTCTTTTTTTTTTTTTTTTGGTCAAAAGGTCAACAACAACAAAAAAATGTTTGCTCAGAGAGAAAGGAGATTATGTAAATAATTAGCCCATTCCAAGATTATGTTGCATATATATAGTACAATGGAAAGTTTAAAAAAGGACTGGAATTCACAGGGGGGGCCAGACAGTTTATGAATTTGGGAAATAGAAACTGTCTATAGGTCTGCTTATCTGAATGCATGGAGGAAGAATTGGGCTGGTTAATGGAATGAGCCCTCCCCCACAAGCCCACACCAGGATTCTCAACTTGCAAAGAATCAGAAATCAGTGAAGGCGACCTAAATGTTAATAACATACTGAACCAAATGGAATCTCTTCATCAATTGCTAAAGCTATTGTGGTACAGAATTATGTAGTGTCTGGGTCATCTGTATGTATACCAATTCCTCCACATGGGACCAAAAAGAGAGAGAGCTTGAGAAGAAACGTGGACACGAGATTTCTAGGATAGCCAGGTAAGATTCTGCTCAGAGTAGCATCCCAGACACCTTCTCAGGCTCATTTTGATGATGCTTTCTTTCTCTGATTTTACAGGCTCACCCATAGCTTTCTCATGTGTGATTTGGTCTCCTGAGGCTGAAGTCTGAAGTATGAAAAGGTAACAACAGTGCCAAAGCCTTTACCTGACCATTAAGTGATGGGTCTATCCCCCTTAGGTGAAAATGGGTATATTTATCCAAATATCTTTGTGGGATTTTTGTTGTTTGTTTGTTTCATTGTTGTCCTCTGCTTTCAAAGAAGACACTGCGGATTTCAAAAGCTGATGAAGATTGAAACTGCGCCATGCATTGGTATATTGAGGGCATCCAGGGTCCACAGTTGATACGCTGTACTGGGAAAGGAAAATTTTGTGGAAAGTTATGGAGGGTTTAGCACCACATCAAAGAATCAGCAGCCAGTGAGGACAGGCTTCTGACATCCTCATCTTGTTTATGGCCTCCTCAACCTGCACTGAGTTCCTACTTTTACTAACTCATTTCAGGTATCCTTAGAGACTAATCCTGATTTCAGCCCTCAGATCTAATACTTAATTATAACTGTTCTTCCAGAAAGGACATTTTGCTTGTGTTGACTACAACTCATATTTATCTCTTGGATTACTTTCTGCTCTCTCCACTCCAGGTAAACACTCCACCTGATCCAGAAACAAAAACAAAGCAAAGTTAGAAGGAAGAGAAACATGAAAAAAGACATTTTAGCTCATATGGAGGCTCTGACCACTAAGGCAAGTGACACAGATCCAGCCACAGCAGCAGTACCCTCGGGGTGGCACCTCCAGTTCAGATTCCACTTGAAGATGCTCCGCCCATCGCCAGTCAAGGGGTAGATGGGCAGAAAAGCATGGGTCAAAAAGAGAATGATGAGATGGAAGAAATATCTCATTCTACTTTGCGTCCAAGTACAGTGGCTGGTTCTTCAGGCCCAAATGTGGCTCCGGTTCACCCAGTATTGGAGGGGGCATCCTCTGCTGCTAATGATGGGGGAAATGTAAAGAAAAAAAATAGCCATAAAAGGAGGAATAGAAAGGAATTAAGGTTGTGTATCTTTCTTGGCCTCTGATGCTACAGCCTCGGGCGTCTTCTGCAGCCCCGGTTCTGAGTCAGACTTATGTTATGGGGGCTTTGCCAGTTGCCAATATCAATGTCAATGTAGGGCAAGAAAGCAGGGAGCAAAGAGGAAATAATAAGGAGGAGAAGACAGTTCTCTTGCAGCCTTGGAAGACACCGGCTGGCACCCTGCTGCCAGCAGCAAGTCCAGTTCAGTCCTCTCTTGAGGGGGCCTCTCTGGCAGCCAATGGGGAGATTAAAAGAGGGCAGAAAAGCCGCTATAAAGGGAGACATAAAAAGAACAAAAAGATTGTGGCTAGTCCCTGGCCTCTGAGAGTACAGGCTTGGACATCTTTCACAGTCCCAGCTCAGGTACAGACCATTTTTGCACAGGCTTCTCCAGTTGCTAATGATGGGGTCAGTGTGGGGCACAAAAGCAAGGATGAGATGGATAAAATCTCAACTCCCACTTTGTGTCAGAGTGCACAGGATGGTGTCCCATGCTCAGCTGCAGCTCTGGAGGGGACGTCCCCTGCTGCTAACAGTGAGGAAAAGATAGGGAAGAAAAGAAGACATAAAAGGAGGAATAGAAAGAACAAAAGTGTTCTGGCTCATCCCTGGCCTCTGACAGTACAAGTTTGGGCATCACTCACAGTAGCAGATCCAGTCCAGACTTTTTTTCAGAGAGAGTCTCCTGCTGAAAGTTCAAGGGTGAATGTGGGGCAGAAAATTTGGAGAATTCACCTGGAGAACAGTGAGGAAGAAACAAAGGCTGTTCTTCCTTGGTATGTGAGGGCACAGGTTGGTGCCCCTTTCTCAGCAACAGCTCCTTTGCAGACTTCATTTGAGGGGGCTCCATTTCTGGGAGACATATATTCCAAGCTGAACAAATTCACAAGGGTGCCTAAGAGGGGAGATGAGAAACAAATGCAGAACAGCATAGAGCAGACCCTGAAATTCTATCAGGGTCGGAGAAATTCAGAGAGATACCCAGAGGATCAAAACTTGTGGAAATGTACTGTGATGAATTTTGTTAGGCAAGTCGACTGTTGTTGTGGGGAGCTCTGCACACAAGAGAGGATGGAGGCTTTGACTTTGGTAAATGCCCATACCCACATCAGTACTTCAGTGATGGAAATGCAGGGAAGAGAGAAGGAAATGGTTGAATGTCTGGATGGGGACATGGGAAGGTTTTTAAGGTACAGAAGAGAAAAGAAAGGGAATTAAGGAGCATTCAGTGCAATTGTCTACATTTGGTGGGGAGAGAGGTGTTTGAAATGCTACCCTGAGGAAAGGGAAGCTCACTACATAAATGGTAAATTTCTCCCTATTATACAGAATTATCACTCTTACTCTCTTGAGGGATGATTTCTCTTTGTAATTAAGTTTTAAGTTGATTGGCAGATACAGGGTAATACTTCAGAAAAGCAAAATCACCTTTTTTCTCTGTGTATCCTCTTTCCCATTTGTTCTCTAACAGCATTGGGAAAGGTCTGTTGTTTATGGATGATAAACAGTATTATGAGTCTGGATTATAAACCAAAGAAAGAATGTGTATTGAATCCTGAAAACCCTTCTCTTGACTGGAAAATGTTATTGTATATTGTATATTAGATTGTAAGCTGCCTTAATGATTGCATTTAGTTGTGATACTGGCCAGCTTGCAGTTGTTAAGAGCACAGACTCTAGAGCCACAATGCCTGAGTTCAAAGCCCAGCTTTGCTGCTTACTACCCGTGTTTCTCTAAGTAAGTCACTCATCTCTTCTTAGGTTCCCCCTCTCTCACATGGGGATACTAATAGAACCTGCCTCAAAGAGTTGTGTGAGGATTAAATGAGTTAAGACATGTGAGGCACTTAGAAGAGTACTTTGCATGGAAGCTCTCTAACAATATCACTTATTGTTATTTGACCTTTCAGCATTACAGTTCATGAAAGGTATGGCACTGTGGTATCATATGTTCTAAAAAACAAATGTCACTGCATGCATAAGACGGAATATGATGCCTCCATTTAAATTATGGTAACAAAGATTCCTAAAGGCACGGAAAATGCTTGTGGATGAAATACTTAAGGAGAAGAAAAGCAGGCAATAAAATGGTTGCTACCTTTTCCAGGTAGTAGGGTCTCAACTATGTCAAGAAAACATGGAACAATAAAGGCCAGGAGAGACATACCTTATTATGTTAATATTGGTTACCGCTGGACGGGGATATCGTGCATAGCTGCTAGGTTTTTCTACTTCTTGACCCTTTTGTGTAACTGGTCCAAATTTCTACATGACCACATACCACTTTCTAATCAGCAAATAATCTAAGATAAATTAATGAGGGAACCAAGAAGAAGAAGAAGACTTCTCCAAGGTGGACTTATTGGAGGACAGTCACCCAACGTTGGAGGTGCAGAGGGGACAAGGCCTTTCTGGGTGAAGACTACCCCCTAGCCTAGGGGTAGTCTGAAAAAGAGATCCAAGCACCTTTGACTGGGGCCAAATAGCACACAGACAGTTACTATGCTGGGAAGGAGAGGAGGGACTTCCAGTTTTCGCAAACAATTTGCGGGGCAAACGACGGGAGATGGCTTTTCTTGTGCTAGAAACAACCATTGCCTGATTCTGCAAGGCTGGCTCTGCTCTGGCTATTGTTGCTGCCATCTGTGAGGTTTGTTGTAAGCTTATCTGGGAAGCTTGGCTGGACAACGTAGTTGGGCATAGTTTGAGATTAAGAAGTACATTTTTGTATCCACCTTGTGTAGAGCCTGGCTTTGGGGTCATTTTAGTTAAAATGAAGCTATGATGGCAACATTAAAAGTGTAGATATTCATGGGAGGCTCTCTGTGTGTGTGTCAGGGGGTGAGGGCCCAAGCACCCCTTTTATATGTTCCTTTGGCGAAATTTCAAGAAGCACCTACATAAAGGTACAGACAGGACTTTTCTGATGCCCACTCATCTCCTGCTCCAAGGGTATGCTTTCAAACCTGGCTCACACAGAAGAAAGGGCACAGGCTGAGAAGAGGGCACAGTCACGCTGCTAGGAGGTGCTCAGGGAATTCCCCTTTTTCTTTTTTTTTCTTTTCTTTTTTTTTTTTTTTCGAGACAGAGTCTTGCTCTGTCGCCCAGGCTGGAGTGCAGTGGCACCATCTCCCCTCACTGCAAGCTCCGCCTCCCGGGTTCACACCATTCTCCTGCCTCGGCCTCCGGAGTAGCTGGGACTACAGGCGCCCGCCACCACGCCCGGCTAATTTTTTGTATTTTTTGTAGAGACGGTGTTTCACCGTGTTAGCCAGAATGATCTCGATCTCCTGACCTCGTGATCCGCCAGCCTCAGCCTCCCAAAGTGCTGGGATTACAGGCGTGAGCAACCGCGCCCGGCCTCCCCTTTTTCAAAAGCTGCTTTGTTCCATCCCTGCCCTCCAGCACAAAGTTTGAGAGTAGGTGATTTTCTTTCTTTCTTTCTTTCTTTCTTTCTTTTTTTTTTTTTTTTGCCTGGTGTATGGCTTATCTCTGGAGTAAATGTTCTGCTTTGTAGGAACACTGATATAGTTCAGGGTCAAGGTCTCTCATCAGCCACCAGCTGGATGGGAACTGAATTTTTAAGGCAAGCATTAAAGTTTTGAGTCCTCTTGGCAAACTCACTCTGTCCTCCCACTGAGTCCACACAGGAGCAGTGGGAAAGATTGGAACCCAGCTACCTGCCCAGCTGAATGCAAATACCATTATAAGGAGGGCATGCAAATACCTTTGGAATAAACTTTAGGAGGACACTAGTGTGACAGGATATGCAAAAACCCAAAGTACACAGCTTGCTTGCAGAAGTCCAAAACTGCTTTCCCGTCACCTTGCCATGCCCCTTACCTCTAGCCAAACTGTGCTTCCCACCCCAAAGATCACAAAAGCAAAATACAAGACATCCTTTCACAGAGGGGACCCTTAAAGGATGCAACAAGAAGCTAACAGCCGTCTTCTTGTTACATTTCTGCAGGATGAACAATCACTTGGCTGTTTCTCTCCTACTCCTTAATGACCCAAGCAATTCAGCTATTAAGTGATAAATCCTCTGTGTATTCATGACCGGCTGGTTTAATTCTGCAGCCCAAACTGCAACAATCAAGATAATTGAGCTGTCTCAGAAGCATTAGGGGAGCCAGCTGCTATCCAAAGCAGAAAACAAACTCACCGGGCAGCAGGAGCCCTGTCCCCCGAGAAAGAAATGCTGAAGAAAGGGACAGAATGGGATGAAGGGTATAAACTTTAAGAAGAGCTAGTGAAAGACAAAAACAGGGAAAAGTGTTTCCAATTCCTTCTGGACACCCTGCCACCTCCTCTTTTGGCCTATATCCTGGCACCCAGCTGCAGCAAGCTTGTAGAATTTACTCCAAGTGGCTCATTAACGGGTCCCAATCATCCTGAGGGAGCACAGGGAAGATGGACTAGCTACCTGATAAGAGAGATGACTTGGAAGGATGACTTCTAACTCCTGTGCCTTCGCTCACTGTTTACCCCAACCAATATCGGTTCTCTGAAAACAAAACAAAACAAAACAAAACAAAACAACAGCCCAAGGAAGGGAAACAGGAGAACATTTACTTATTGGTGTTCAGCTTTTTCCTTTGTGGATTGTGGATGCTGAATAGGCTTGGCTGGGCAAGCAGATGATGTTTGGATGAGCGACTTCTGAGTCTCCATCACTCAGGATGGGCATATCGTTCAGCCAGATGCCCACTCACTAGCTGGAGAAGATTGTACCAAACCCAATACCCTCTTTGTAGGCTACAGACCTTGAGAGGTACTTCCGTTGTGTTTTCCTAGAGAATAAGCTCTATTTTAGCTGGTCCAATGGCTGAGCAGATGGAATTGCTCCGTCTCTTTATAAACAGGTCAGAGCCTGACTACCTCTAGATGACTGCCTATAAAGTCACTCTCAATTCCAAACTCCCAAGACCAAACATTCTCATCCAGCAACACAGCATTTGGCTCAAAAAATGAATAAACTAAAGATCTTTTCCTTAGCTAAACGGTGGGAATGAGAGTTTTGTTTACCCGGGACTGTTCTCTTTTCTGAATGAACCGTGGTTAAGTGTTTAAGCAAGGAAATACATACTTGGAATGACTTTCTCTCAATTTCTTCTTATTTCAAACTATCATGCACACAGATAGCAGATTAATCTTTCAACAATTAATTTTATACTTTTTAAATTTTGAAATAATTCTAGACTCGTAAGAAGTTGCAAAAATAATGCAGAGATGTCCCTTGTACCCATTGCCCAGATTTCCCCAGTGGTGGCATCTTACATAATTATTGTATATTATCAAAACCAGACTCATTGGCTTATTAGAATTAAGTACACAGACGTTGCTCAGATATCAGCAGTAAAAAAAACTAAATTTTAAAACACTGCAATGGGCCAGGCGCGGTGGCTCACGCCTGTAATCCCAGCACTTTGGGAGGCCGAGGAGGGTGGATCACCTGAGGTCAGGAGTTCAAGACCAGCTTGGCCAACATGGTGAAACCTCGCCTCTACTAAAAATACAAAAATCATCTGGGTGTGGTGGCAGGCGCCTGTAGTCCTAGCTACTTGGGAGGCTGAGGCAGGAGAATCGCTTGAACCTGGGAGGCGGAGGGTGCAGTGAGCCAAGATCGTGCCATTGCACTCTAGCCTGGGCAACAAGAGTGAAACTCTGTCTGAAAAAAAAAAACAAAAAACAAACAAAAAAACACTACAATGAACCCCTAGTGCCCAAGGTTTCCAACTCAAGTGTCTGCCTGCTGCTCAGGTCCATCTGTAATAAGGCCCCACCCCACCCAAGCAGCTAGAATTCCTATCTCAGCTTCCCAAAGTGCTGGAATTACAGCACTGGCCATAACTTGCCTTCTCTATAAAACGTTCCTTAGTTACTCCAGCCCTCCTTGAGCTTTTTTTAAATTGTGAGTTCATTATAGCTACAAGTCACTTTCAGCATGGGCTGCATAATTTAGCACATGAAGATTTTTAAAAACTGTTGTGCATTATTTTTTTTAGATTGTAGTAAAATATGCATAGCATAAAATTTACCAACTTAACCATTTTTAGGTGTACAATTCAATGGCATTAAACACATTCATGTTTTACAACCATCGCCACTGTCTATCTCCAGAACTTTTTCATCATCTCAAACAGAAACTCTGTACCTATTAAAGAATAACTCCCGGCCGGGCGCGGTGGCTCACACCTGTAATGCTAGCACTTTGGGAGGCCGAGGTGGGTGGATCACCTGAGGTCAAGAGTTCAGGACCAGCCTGGTCAACATGGTGAAACCCTGTCTCTACTATAAACACAAAAATTAGCCGGGCGTGGTGGCAGGCGCCTGTAATCTCAGCTACTCAGGAGGCTGGAGAAGGAGAATTGCTTGAACCTAGGGGGCGGAGGTTGCAGTGAGCAGAGATCACGCCACTTCACTCCAGCCTGGGTGAGAGAGCGAAACTCCATCTAAAAAAAAAGAAAAAAAAAAAAGAATAACTCCCCAGGCCTCCTCCCCCAATTGCTGGTAACCTATTCTACTTTCTGTCTCTGTGAATTTAACTATTGTAGGTACCTTATATAAGTGGAATCATATAATGTTTGTCCTTTTATTGCACTATTCTAAAAAATATTTCAAAGATTCTGCTAGATTGGAAACCCTTTGAGGGCTCAGTACCCATCTTAAATAAGATAGATAGATAGTAGATAGATATATAATCTATTCCCACAGTACCCAGCACAATTCTGGGTGATTAATGGATGTAAATTTTTCTTACGTTGTCAGGAAACCAACCAAAAAAATTTCTTTTACAAACCAGGAATGTCTTATAAGATATCTCCTGGACATTTTGTGGTAACTTTCCCAGCTTTGGGTTAAAAGCACATTCTGGGGCTGGGCCTGCATCTTTGTAGGCCCAGTGGGTTTGGGCTGTGTGTACTGTGATAGGTTTGTATGCTGTTGAAGTTGCCTTCCTTTTGGCCAATCTCCCCAGATGATTGTTAAGCTTATTGAGGACAGATAAAATTTCTTTGGTGTTTCTTCACAGTACCAATGGCAGTGTCTGCTCCACACACCCATACAATGCACTTGAGCAATGTTGTCAAGATGGGCAGGGGGTGAGGGCTATGGGTAGGCCTTACATGGTTGTCAAGGAATCTAGCTTGATAAATATAGATGGGGAAGAAGTTGGCACTCACTTGGTTGGCAAACCAAAGTCCACAGGGCAAGATATTTCCACTCTTGGCATTCTCATTGGGGAAGAATGAATAATAGTAAGAACCAACATTAAGTGAGTAAATACCTGCCAGGCACTGCTCTAGGCACTTGACACATACTATCTCTTTTAATCCTCAAACTAATCTTAAGAGATAGATGCTATTATTTTCATTTTATAGATGAAGAAACTGAGGCATAAAAAGGTTAAGTAATTAAGAAAAAAAGTCAGGTTTTGAATTCAGATAGACTCCAGAGTCTGTCTGCACTCCTGGAGTCACGTGATGAATTAAAGAACATAAAAGCCTTTAGACAGCACAGCATGTATGGCTGGTTAGTTGAGGTGATTAGTTGAGGTGGTTAGAGCACAGGGCCAGATGAGTGAACTTTGTAAGGATCAATTAGCTTTGCTCCTTTTCATGGCCTAACCCTTGCTGGAAAATGGCTGTCCTTGGTCGCAAGGAACCTGAAAGATTGAGAGCTGCCTCATCCCTGCTGTTGGCAAAACAACTCCAAGCCTACTGCCTACTCTAATTCCTATTGCTAATGGGTCATTGATGTCATGATCATACACTAAGGACAGCATGTTTTGATATGAAGGGACACGTGAACTTCTGAGAAGCTGAGGACTATGTAAACTCTGGGTACTGCAGGATTGTTATTTAAGGCAGGTCCCATGAAAGAGCCATTGTATTTCAAAGCCCCACACCACCACCACTGCAGAGGGCCTGTTTATTTTACCGTAGGAAATAAATGATGTTCAGCAATTTCTTTACCTAGCTGTGAGATTAAAGCACAGTCCCTTGGGCTCCCAACCCACTTCGTGTGTACAGGAAGTGGCCCCCCCGCCCAAGTAGCTGACTCAGTTTTAGAACAATATATATCCTGCAGGAATACTTCCTGTCACAAAATTTCACTGAACCCCTGAAGAAATAAACAGCTTTGGTTCAGGTGAAAAAGAAAGACCCAGATAAAGCAATGAAAATACATCACTGGGCTAAAGGGAAGGCCTGGTGGGACTTTGCATTCAGGAATGGGAGAATAGATCAAAAGAGAAAGGCTAGGCATAGGGGAGAATGTGCGAACAGCCCTGAAATTGGGGATCTTCATGACATATTTGGGGGACACTAAGGTAAGCAGGTTGGTGGAAGCAAATGGTTTCTCTTGGGGAGAAATTGTAGACAGGTTTGGAAATTTAAAATATTCTTGGGGGAGAAAGGCAGACAGAAGGATTTAGCCCTTTTCCTATTTGCCTCGGTGCTTGTGGCTGCAGCGTTTTCCCTAAGAAAACTTTGCCAGGAAATCTATCACTTTTATTATTATTTTCACATTGCTCTAGTATATCAACTTTGGAAACAAAAGGCATCATTCTATTAATAGCATTCTGTTTTTAGTAGTGGTATTTCCATTTACAAAGTATAATAATTCTAAATCACCGAAAATGTCAAATCCCAGAAAACATAGCATTCCTACGTGTGATGTTAACATCATTCTCGAACAGTTGTTGGCCGAAGATTCACTTCATGAACCGAATTTTCTGAAATAGACGATTCTGATGATTCAGATGATTCTGGTATTAGTTCTGTTTAGAAATAACTCCAATAACAATTTTTATATTTTATTTTCTCATTGAAAATCAGTCTGATTTGCTTCAGCCTCAAAGAGCGTGTTTATGTAAAATTAAATGAGTGCTGGCAGTGAGCTGCACTTTTTTTTTTCTAAACAAGAAAAGGGTTAGATTTGAAACAGGAAGAAAGAGTGTGTTTTTGTCTCCTTTCCCTGGACCCTCTCCTTGCTCTGCTTAGCTCTCTTGCATCAGGTTTACAATGAATGTGGGAGATAGAGGAGGAGAGAACTCACCAGGAAAAAAGAAAGCATGGACTCCATTCATTATTCCTGTCCCTACAAAGCCCCACTCCACTGGAAGTCTTTCATTCCCCATATTCTAAGCTTGATGCATATCAGAGTGCCCCTCACTGAGTTTAGAGTGGGGTTTAGTGAGGCTATATGGCCACTCTCCAATTCCCACATATGCCCAGTCCCTGTTCTGGTTAAGGCCCTGGTTTTAACAGCAAGGCATGTGGCCAACTAAGATTATTACTGTCCCCTTTGAGGGAGATCAAAGGTGGCAGAACCCCTCAGGACAGGAAGATGAATGGGCATCAGAAAAGTCCTGCCTGCACCTTTAAGTAGGTACTTCTCCAAAATCTCCCAAAGCCCCTGCTAGAACATCTGGGACATGTAAATGGGGCACTTGAGCCCCTCGGAGCCTTCCATGACTATCTATCTACCCCTTCAATGTTGCCATCATGGCTTCACTTTAACTGAACTGACCTCCAAGCCAGGATATACAAAAGGCCAAAAGACAAATATAATTCTTAGTCAAAAAAACCCCTTTATTAGTATGGATAAGAAAATCCATTCAAACTCAGAGAGTTATTGTGAAAATTAAATATAACATACTGAAGAAAAAAATGTACTTCTTAGTCTCAAACTATGCCCAACTACCTTGTCCAGCCAAGCTTCCCAGATAAGCTTTCAACAAACCTCACAGATGGCAGCAACAATAGCCAGAGCAGCGCCGTCCCTGCAGAATCAGGCAATGGTTGTTTCTAGCACAATAAAAGCCATCTCCCCTCATTTGTTCCCACAGGTTGTTTGTGAAAACTGGAAGTCCCTCCCCTCCTTTCCAGCATAGTTGTCTGTATGCTGTTTGGACCCAGCCAAAGGTGTCTGGACCTCATATGCAGCAGCTGCTGCTGGGCCGGGGGTAGTCTTCACCCAGAAAGGCCCCATCCCCTCTACGCCTCCAACGTTGGGTGACTGTCCTCCAATAAGTCCACCATGGAGAAGTCTTCTTCTTCTTGGTTCCCTCATAATTTATTTTAGATTCTTTGCTGATAAGAAAGTGATATGTGGTCATGTAGAAATTTAGACAAAGTTCCACGAAAAAAGGGTCAAGAAGCAGAAAAACCCATCAGCCATGTATAATCCCATTGCCCAGTAGTAACCCATATTAACATAGTAAGGTGTCTTTCCTGGCCTTTATTGTTCCAAGTTTTCTTGACATGGTTGAGATCTTACTACCTGAAAATTGTAGCTACCATTTTATTGCCTGTTGTTTTTCTCCTTAAGCATTTTATCCACAAGCATTTTCCATGCCTTTAGGAGTCTTTGTTATCATAATTTAAATGGAGACATCATATTCCGTCTTATGCATGCACTGACATTTGTATAACTTTTTTTGGATAGTAATTCTTAATCTTTTATCATTCTGCACTAAATTTCATGGAAGAGTCTTGTACTGTGGTATTACATGTCCTAATAACCCCTGGGTCTTCGTTGTATGCAAAAGGTTACCTTCATTCATTTGCTGAAGTTGGCATAACCTGGCTCTAAAAAAATTTCCTGTCAACCCCATGTTTATTTATTTATTTATTTTAATTGAGATGGTCTCTCAGTCTGTCGCCCAGGCTGGAGCGCAGTGGCACGATCTCAGCTCACTGTAACCTCTGCCTCCTGGGTTCAAGTGATCCTCTTGCCTCAGCCTCCCAAGTAGCTGGGATTACAGGCGCATGCCACCACGCCTGGCTAATGTTTGTATTTTTAGTAGAGACGGGGTTTCACCATGTTGGCCAGGCTGGTGTCAAACTCCGGACCTCAAGTGATCTGCCCACCTCAGCCTCCCAAAGTGCTGGGATTACAGGCATGAGCCACCGCACCTGGCCTCTCAACCTCAGGTTTAAAGTTGGGGCACCTTTAGCTGCATGGCTTCTAAAGCCACCTACACGACAATGCCTACTGTAGTCCATTCCATGCTTCTAACATGCAGCTCTGTCCTCCATGGTATAAGATGACCAGCTCATCCCAGTTTGTGTAGGACTTCCCTGGTTTTAACACCAAAAGTCCTGTCTCCAAGGAACCACCTTAATCCTGGGTAGATTTGAATGATGACGGGACTGTCCTGCTTTAATTGCAGAAATTCTTGCATCCCCAGAAATCTTTCAGCCCCAACAGACAGAAATGGTTGGTCACTCTCCATAAGATTCCATGGCTGATAAGTGACTTATGGCATTCCTTCTGCCAGAGGCATTTACTTATTAATAAAGATGCTTTCTGAATCATGAAGTCAGCCAGGTGCGGTGGCTCATGCCTGTAATCCCAGCACTTTGGGAGACCGAGGCGGGTGGATCGCGAGGTCAGGAGATCAAGACCATCCTGGCCAACATGGTGAAAACCCGTCTCTACTAAAAACACAAAAAAAAATTCGTTGGGCGTGGTGGTGCATGCCTGTAATCCCAGCTACTCGGAGCCTGAGGCAGGAGAATTGCTTGAATCTGGGAGACGGAGGTTGCAGTGAGCCAAGATCGTGCCACTGCACTCCAGCCTGGTGACAGAGTGAGACTCTGTTAAAAAAAAAAAATCATGAAGTCTTCACAGTTTAAAGGAATGAATGCCTAATTGTGGGATTCCCAGACACTGGGACAAGTTGGCAGGAAAGCTATTTCTGGATTAATGGGTCAATCCCACCTTTCTCCCCACTGCCATACCCCTCTCACTTCTCATCGAATTGAATGTATGTTCTGCCATCCCAATTCTTTCTAGCAGACAATCTGCAGTGCTCTATTACAGTTATTGGGGGTCCTTATCCCCTAGGACATCAGTTCTCAAACTTAAGCTAACATCAGCTTCACTTGGAGGGGTGGCTAAAAACACAGGTTGCTTCACTCCACCCCCAGAGCTTTCATTCATGTGGTATGTGGTGGGGCCCAGGAATGTGCATTTCTAATGATTCACAGGTGGTGCTGCTGCTGCTGCTGGTCCTGTGACCATAGTGTGACCCATTGTGTAGAGGTTAGGAACACAAACTCTGTAGTCACTCTGCCTGGGTTAGAATCCTTTCTCTGGTACTAATCAGCTTCACAGTCTTAAGCTAGTTACTTGCCCTCTTGGGCTTCAGTTTCCCCATTGATAAAAGTGGAGGTAGTAATGGAACCTCTCTCCTAAGATTGTTGTGAGGCAATGAAACCGTGCCTAGACCATAGTAAGCTGCATGTTTATTATTATTACCCTCATGCTCAGGAGACTTGATCTGCTATTTTCCTTCTTTAGACTTAGAGCAAGCTGTAAACATTCAGGGCAGATGCACTCCTACAAGCATTCCTGTAATGCCTGACTACTGGGCAGAGGTTGCAGCTGCCCTGCATTCCCCTAGAGGCTGACTTGCCCTCTGGAGAAGTTTGGATGAGTCAACATTCAGTATCCTCTCTATCCTACCCTGCAGGCTCTTAGAGAGCTTCCAGAAGGTTTTCCAGGAGAATGCACATCAGTGTATACACAAAGCAGCCCAAAGTATTTGAATAACACATGGCCCTCTAAACACCATAGATAAAGCTTAGTTGTTGGAGAAGAAAGAGCTTAGTTGAAATAGACACATGTGGACTTTTTAGTTGAAATAGACACATGTCTGAGGAGAGATGAGTTTGTAGCAGGATGCAAACATACAGTATTATACACTCACACATTCAGCTTGTTTTATTATAATTACTACTTTTTTTAGAGACAGGGTCTTGCTATGTTGCCCAGGCCAGAGTTTAGTGGCTATTCCCAGGCACGATCATGGAGCACTACAGCCTTGAACTCCTGGTCTCAAGTAATCCTCCTGCCTCAGCCTTCTGAGTAACTGAGACTACAGGCACGTGCCACCATGCTCATCTTCAGCTTGTTGTTGTTGTTGTTGTTGTTGTTGTTGTTTGTTTGTTTCTTTTGATAAAGTCTCGCTCCGTCACCTGGCTGGAGTGTAGTGGCACTATCTCAGCTCACTGCAAACTCCAACTCCCTGGTTCAAGCAATTCTCCTGCCTCAGTGTCCCAAGTAGCTGGGATTACAGGCATGCGCCACCACGCCCAGCTAATTTTTGTATTTTTACTAGAGACGGGTTTTCACCATGTTGGCCAGGATGGTCTGTATCTCCTGACCTCATGATCCACCCACCTTGGCCTCCCAAAGTGCTAGGATTACAGGCGTGAGCTTCAGCTTGTTTTGTATTTTTTCTTTTCTGCATTTAGGAAGGTCATTTGGCTCATCTCCAGTAAAGGGCAACCTTCTGCGGATAAAAGGAATATCTCTTCTTCCCTCCAGGAAGCAGAGATAGGCAATTGAGTTTTGCCAATGCCAGGCAGCTTCCCTGACCTCCAGGTAAGAGAAACTTGTTTTCTGTTCCTACTGATTTAGGCTCCAGTTTTTTTGTTTTTTGTTTTTTTTGTTTTTTGTTTTGTTTTGTTTTGTTTTTTGAGGAGAGGGGAAGGAGCAGGAAAGGGAAGGGGAGAGACAAAGGGCTCCAGCTTTAATAAGCCATTAAGGCTCTTCCTGGTGAGCCCTAAGGGCTATTGCTAGTACTAGTGAAAGAGAGAAGTGGGCCAATGGGGACAGTGGCAAACCAGAGAGTACAAGGCTGGTTTAAAGGGGGCAAGCACCACTCAGAGGCAATGGATATTTGCCAACTGAGATTTGAGCCCCTGTTGTTAGACCTTAAAATCTAAAAAAGAAAAGAAAAGAGGCCAGGCATGGTGGCTCACGCCTGTAATCCCAGCACTTTGGGAGGCCAAAGTGGGTGTATCACGAGATCAGGAGATCAGGACCATCCTGGCTAACACGGTGAAACCCCGTCTCTACTAAAAATACAAAAAATTAGCCAGGTGTGGTGGCTGTCAGGCCTCTGAGCCCAAGCCAAGCCATCGCATCCCCTGTGACTTGCATGTATACATCCAGATGGCCTGAAGTAACTGAAGATCCACAAAAGAAGTAAAAAGAGCCTTAACTGATGACATTCCACCATTGTGATTTGTTTCTTCCCCACCCTAACTGATCAATGTACTTTGTAATCTCCCCCACCCTTAAGAAGGTACTTTGTAATCTCCCCCACCCTTAAGAAGGTTCTTTGTAATTCTCCCCACCCTTGAGAATGTACTTTGTGAGATCCACCCCTGCCCGCAAAACATTGCTCTTACCTTCACCGCCTATCCCAAAACCTATAAGAACTAATGATAATCCACCACCCTTTGCTGACTCTCTTTTCGGACTCAGCCCGCCTGCACCCAGGTGAAATAAACAGCCATGTTGCTCACACAAAGCCTGTTTGGTGGTCTCTTCACACCGACGCGCATGAAAGTGGCACGTGCCTGTAGTCCCAGCCACTCAGGAGGCTGAGGCAGGAGAATCGCTTGAAGCCAGGAGACGGAGGTTGCAGTGAGCCAAGATTTCGCCAGCACACTCCAGCCGACTGTCTCAAAAAAAAAAAAAAAAAAAAAAAAAGGAAAAAGAAAGAAGTCAAAATCCCAGCTTTTTTTTTAATAGGAAACCTCCTGATCTTTAAATGTTGTCAACCAACTGAAATTTTAAAAAAAACCATGTCAGTCAAACAAAATTTCCTCAGCACCTATTTGCTGCTGGTGTATGATTTCTGGATTGTTATGAGGGAAAAGAAGACACTAGGGCTTTTAGTGCCGATGGTAAATGAGGTTAGCAGCAGGCAGACAGGCAGGACAGACTAGGAGGTGGGGAAAAGCTGGGAGCCAGAGCCCCAAATGTGGTCCTTGAGTGGGAGTCATCCCTGCTCAGGAGGGGCTTGGTGAGTGGGAGTGGGCTCCAAAAGAGGCACGCTGAGAGAAGCAGCATTTGTAGTCATGAGCCGTGTTGGATCAGAATCCTTGCTGGCTAGCCACCCAGTCTTCAGTGGGTGAGAGTAACAACAACAACTAACATTTATTGGACACTTACATAGTGCCAGGTATTCTTCTGAAAGTTTTACATATATTACTTAATTTAATCATCACAATATCCCTGGGCGGGGGTGGGGGGGCAGGGGTTGATATTACCCTTATCTCCATGTAACTTCATCTCACTGGCACCCTATGCTTACCCCAGTTGACTTTACCAAGCAGGAGCTCTGACAAAGCATGCCACAAGCCAACTCACCACTGTGGGCAGAATGCACAGTTGGTGGCTAACATGAATTTCATGCAGCAACCCCACCCTGACACTAGGAAACCTGGGACTCCTGGCAGTGTTTCATAGAGGAGCTCCTGAACCTCTTCTTTGGAGCAAGGAACTGAGCATGTTAATATGCCAGAGTTGGGGCAGTGGAAGCAGCTATACTATTACAATTCGATCACCTGTCACCTTAGGAACCAATAGCCAGAACCCTGGGTGAGTGACCTACAGGACAGGTCAATTCGATGGGAGGGAGGGCAAGGGCTATCTATGCCCTGGAAAGCTACTTCATAAAAGACATATCAGAAAGGGATTTGGGGGGCTGGAGAAGAGCATGAAGATACTGGAGACACAGAGCATAGAGGAGTGGAAAGGTAGACAAGGAGGAAGCAAAGACAAAGTTGGCCTGCATATAACTTTTCTGAGGGTCAATCTTGTATAGAGGTTATTAGCCTGGCTGGGAAAGAACCACAGAAGGAAGTGGGGTTAGGAAATTCAATCAGTCCAAATGTTGGACTAGGGCCCCTGGTCTCTTTGAACATTTTTTTCCATTTCCTTGCATAACCATAGCCACAGAAGCAGAGGAGGAGATTGTGAATCTGGCCTAAGGTCTTGGTTTATCATTATCTAAATATATATTTAACAAAAACCAAACAGGGCTTTTTAAAGCTCTGAGTCATGTTGTTTCTGCTATTTTTTTTTTTTTAGGGAAATGAGCTTGTTGCTTCATCAAATGATGGGTTATTTATTGATGGAAAAAACTAACCAGGAGGACCGTTTCCCCATACTGTTTAGTAACTTTACACATACTCGGAAGTCTTATTTACATATCAGCTGAGGACTAGCAGTTACTAAATAACAGGAAATTCCGAAAATGTTTTAGTAACTGTAAGGTATCAAGGCTTTTCAGGTAGAGATGGCTTCATGTCCAATTTGTAATAGTAAAGCTGAAGTTGATGGAGTTTCCTCTCTCAACTACTGAATATGAATACTTGGTACCCACTAGTTAGTTGGTCATTCAACAACATTTACTGGGCACTCACTGTTGCCCTCACTGTGCCTAATAACAACAGCGACTATTTATGGAGAACTTATCATCTGCCAGACACTGGGTTAAGTAAATTATATCATTTAATCCTGATAACCTTCATACTTGGATAGAATTACTACCTTCATTTTACAGATAAGGAAACGGGAGTTGGAGACATTAAGTAACTTGCTCGGGGTCAGAGTTCAAGCCAGGTCTCTCTGCTTTCAAAACCTGTGTCCTAAACTATAATAACAACAACCACGACAATGACAACTGACTTTTATTAGATGCTCAATGTGTGCCAAACAAACGCATAGTGTTGTGTATGCATCGTCTCATTTCATCCTTATAATGACTCTATGAGTTCATCACTATTAGTATTATTAGCCCTATTTTGCATATGAGGAAAATGAGACTCCAAAAGGTAAAGTAATCTGCCCAGGGACACACAGGTGGTAAATGAAAGAACTGCAATTCAAAATAGCTCCATCTGACACCAGAGGCCAACTCAAAGGGTTACCTACTCCAGGAAGCTTTCTGTAAACCCTCTAAACTGTTTTAGGTGTCCATGCACAAGGTTCACATTGCACCTTGCCTCCTCTATCAAACATGTTATTAACATTACAAGGGGATTTCAAAACGTGAAAAATGGAATTAAAGATAAAAGTAAAAAAAATATAAACTTTATTTCTCAACATGAGTTCCATCAAGGTGAAGACATTTTTGTAAGCTATAATACCAGTCACTTCATCCATCCCTAAATAATTGACGGTCCTGGGAATTTAACTATGTTATGCAATATTTTTCACATTATTAACTGAAGAAAATTGGTGCCCTCTAAAGATTTTTTAATATTAGGACCCAAAGAAAAGTCAGAAGGAGCCAAATAAGGACTTTAAGAAGGATGCCTAATGATTTCTCATCAAAACTCTCACAAAATTGCCCTTGTTTTATAAGAGGAATGGGGAGGAGCATTGTTGTGATAGAGAAGGACTTTGGTGAAGCTTTCCCTGGTATTTTTCTGCTAAAGCTTTGGCTAACTTTCTCAAAACACTTTCATAATATGAAGATGTTATCATCCTTTGGCCCTCCAGAAAGTCAACAAGCAAATGCCTTGAGCATCCTCCAAAACCTGTTGCCATAACCTTTGCTCTTGACTTGACCACTTCTTGGTAACTATTGCTTTGATTGTGCTTTGTCTTCAGGATCATGCATGTTCCATTTCTGGTTACAATTCTTTGAAGACATGCATCAGGATCTTGATCCCACTCGTTTAAAATTTCTGTTGAAAGTTCTACTCATGTCTGCAGCTGATTTGCATGCAATGGTTTTGGGACCTATGGAGTGGAAAGTTTGCTCAACTTTAATTTTACAGTCAGAATTGTGTTAGCTGAACCAACTGAGATGTCTATGGTGTGGGGATTGTTTCTGCTGTTAATTGTCAGTTCTCTTCAATTAGGACATGAACAAGCTGAATTTTTCCTTTTCAAGTTGATGTGGATGGTTTGCCACTGTGGACTTCATCTTCAACATCTTCTTATCCCTTCTTAAAATGAGTTGTCCATTTGGAAACTATTGATTTCTTTGGAACATTGTCCCCATAAACTTTTCATGAAACATCAATGATTTCACCATTCGTCCACCCAAACTTCACCATAAATTTCATGTTTGTTCTTGCTTCACTTTTAGCAGAATACCCATCCCGTTGCTCTGATAGGGGCTCTTTTCAAACCGATGTCTTATTCTTCTTAGTGCCTCACACTAGATCCCATTCAGACACATTATAACAAGTTAGCACAAATTTATTTTGATGCAAAACAAATGAAATCCATGTGTGGTTTTTTCATAATACACATTTTCCATGAAATTTTTGAAGTCCCCTTGTATTATTGCTACTAGTATTGTCATTATTTGAGTGTTCGTGCAAACACTATATATATATTAGCTCTAGTCCTCACAAAAGTATGCAAAAACACATTATTAGCCTTGTTATCTGGGAAACAGGTTCAGAGAAGTTAAATAACTTACCCAAAATGACACCGCTAGTAGAGATTGTGCTGGGATTCAAATATGAGTCTGTCAGTCTCCATCGAATCAAAGCTCATACGTTTCACACCAAACACTGTCTTCCTTCATTTTGTATTGAAATTATGTTTATGTATCCAAGCGGACCTAATAGGCATCTACAGAACTCTCCACCCCAAATCAACAGAATACACATTCTTTTCAGCACCACACCACACCTACTCCAAAACTGACCACATAGTTGGAAGTAAAGCACTCCTCAGCAAATGTAAAAGAACAGAAATTATAACAAACTGTCTCTCAGACCACAGTGCAATCAAACTCGAACTCAGGATTAAGAAACTCACTCAAAACCGCTCAACTACATGGAAACTGAACAACCTGCTCCTGAATGACTACTGGGTACATAACAAAATGAAGGCAGAAATAAAGATGTTCTTTCAAATCAACGAGAACAAAGACACAACATACCAGAATCTCTGGGACACATTCAAAGCAGTGTGTAGAGGGAAATTTACAGCACTAAATGCCCACAAGAGAAAGCAGGAAAGATCTAAAGTTGACACCCTAACATCACAATTAAAAGAACTAGAAAAGCAAGAGCAAACACATTCAAAAGCTAGCAGAAGGCAAGAAATAACTAAGATCAGAGCAGAACTGAAGGAAATAGAGACACAAAAAACCCTTCAAAAAATTAATGAATCCAGGAGCTGGTTTTTTGAAAAGATCAACAAAATTGATAGACCTCTAGCAAGACTAATAAAGAAGAAAAGAGAGAAGAATCAAATAGATGCAATAAAAAATGATAAAGGGGATATCACCACTGATCCTACAGAAATACAAACTACCATCAGAGAATACTATAAACACCTGTATGCAAATAAACTAGAAAATCTAGAAGAAATGGAGAAATTCCTTGACACATACATCCTCCCAAGACTAAACCAGGAAGAAGTTGAATCTCTGAACAGACCAATAACAGGCTCTGAAATTGAGGCAATAATCAATAGCTTACCAACCAAAAAAAGTCCAGGACCAGATGGATTCACAGCCGAATTCTACCAGAGGTACAAAGAGGAGCTGGTACCATTCCTTCTGAGACTATTCCAATCAATAGAAAAAGAGGGAATCCTCCCTAACTCATTTTATGAGGCCAGCATCATCCTGATACCAAAGCCTGGCAGAGACACAACCAAAAAAGAGAATTTTAGACCAATATCCTTGATGAACATTGATGCAAAAATCCTCAATAAAATACTGGCAAACCGAATCCAGCAGCACATCAAAAAGCTTATCCACCATGATCAAGTGGGCTTCATCCCTGGGATGCAAGGCTGGTTCAACATACGCAAATCAATAAATGTAATCCAGCATATAAACAGAACCAAAGACAAAAACCACATGATTATCTCAATAGATGCAGAAAAGGCCTTTGACAAAATTCATCTGACTCAATAGATCAGAAGTCAGCATATATTTTTGGTAAAGGGCCAGATGTAAATATTTGATTCTTTGTGGACGGTAGGATCTGTGCTCCAACTATTCCACTCTGCTGGTGGTAACATGAAAACAGCCATAGACAATCCATAAATGAATGTGGCAGTGTTCCAATAAACCTTTATTTAGGGATAGTGAATTTGAATTTCATATAATTTTCATGTGTCATGTTATATACATATATATTTCATATGTCTCTGCATATACATATATATTGTTATTTTAATTATCTTTTCAACCATTTAAAAATGTAATAACCATTTTTAACTCACGGGCCATAGAGAAACAAGCAGCATGGTCAGTGGGCCCCTGCTATCGACTGATAATTCCTTGAAGGTAGAGGTTTGTCTTATTCGTCACTTTCTTCAGGATTTAGCCCCAGTGCCCATAGTTGGCATCCAGTAAATATTTCCTGAAAGACAGTGTAGAATAATGTTTGTAAAGAGCCAGACTTTAGCAAGAGCATGGACTCTAGAAGCAGTTTGCTTTTGGTTCAAATCTCTACTTTGTCACTTTCTAACTGTGTGAGCTTAGGCAAGTTGCTGTGAGGTTACTCTTTCAACTTTCTCATCTAAAAATGGATATAATCATTGTTAACTACCACATGGGTTGTTTTGAGGACTTAGTGGGTTAATAAAGCCCTTAAAGAAGTGCCTGGCCTTTTAGTTGTTGTTATTATTATTGGAATGAAATAATACAATCCCATTACTGTCCAAAAATGTGCAATCTTACCAGCCAGTTAACTGAAAATAGCAGGAAGAAATATGAAAGCTTTTGCAAATCAGCACATTGACAACTATAGACTTGTTCCTGACATGTCTGGTGTATCCCCATCTCCTATTTTTGACCTGAACTCCTTGGTGACTATAAAGACTCTCTTGAAACCTTCTACCAGGCCCCACAAACTTAAGACCAGGAACGGTATCCATAGCAGATGCAGTTTGTTCTGTGCAGTGGATTTTTGGTTGGTTTTTGTTTTTGAATTTAATATATTTAGGCATGGAATACACACTCCACCTACTGTAGGCACCATTGCTCTCTTCTGTTTTCAGTGCTCAGCTTTTCCGCTTAGCCCCTGAAGGCCTTTATGTTTGAGACCTCTGCCCTAGTACCTCTACCCAGAGCCTTCATCAGGGACCAGCTACCCTGTAGGATCGCTTGACTCTTCTATTTGAAATCATCACTCCAAAGGCCTGCACTCACCTTTGCATTGACCCTTCCTTTTCATTCTCATCTCTTGCCATTTCTGAGCTCATGCTGTATGCTTTGGCCTTGCCAGACTTCATTCAGTCCTTCAAATAAACCATGTTCTCTCTTACCTTCTGTCATTAGCACCTGCTGTTCCCTCGGGTTGAAATATTCTTAACCTCACTTCACTAGGCTAATTCTTCATCATCTTTCAGGTGACTTAGATGTCACTTCATCTAGGAACCTTTTCCTGATACTTTAAATAAATATTAAAAGCTCTACTGGCCGGGTGCAGTGGCTCACCCCTCTAATCTCAGCACTTTGGGAGGCTGAGATGGGCGGATCACGAAGTCAAGAGATCAAGACCATCCTGACCAACATAGTGAAACCCCGTCTCTACTAAAAATACAAAAATTAGCTGGGTGTGGTGGCGCACCCCTGTAGTCCCAGCTACTTGGGAGGCTGAGGAAGGAGAATCGCTTGAACCCGGGAGTAGGAGGTTGCAGTGAGCCAAGATCACACCACTGCACTCCAGCCTGGTGACAGAGCAAGATTCCGTTAAAAAAAAAAAAAGGAAAAGAAAAAGAAAAAGAAAAAGAAAGATGGAAAGAAGGAAAGAAAGAAAAGAAAAAAGCTCTTCTTCTGACCTACACTTCACTTGTGGAGACTAGTTTCTCACCGATCCCATTTCTTTCCTGGACAAAGAGGAAGATTATATTTCCCAGCATCCCTTGCCATTAGATTGGCTTCTGGTCACTTTCAATTTCAAGTCTGGCCATAAATCATGCTGCATGATACTCTGTGAGCTATCTTTCCTTGTTGACCTACAGAATACAGAGGCTCCATTTGAGGACTCTGAGGAGGTCTATGATGGTGGAGCCATGAGACAAAAATGGCCTTGTTCCTGAGTCACTGCTTGGAAGAGAGCATCCCAGGAGAGCTGCTTGACCTGCATTGGCATGTGACATGAATGATAAACTTCTATTGTGTTGAACTAGTGAGATGTGAGGGTTGTTTGTTACAGAAGTCAGAATGAACTACCTTGACTAATGTATCTTCCTATGTCATAGTACTTAATGAGATTGACTATATTTGCCTGTTTATTTGGCTTTACTAGTCAGTTGAATATAGGCTCCACCAGGGCAGGAAGTTTTAGGGGTTTGTTCCCTACTTCACCTCCAGCATCTAGAGTACCTGGCACTTATTAATGGCTCAATTAATATTTACTGAACAAATAAATGCATGAGCATTTATTTCCTTTTAAAACCCACCATGAGTCCAGGCGTGGTGGCTCACGCCTGTAATCCCAGCACTTTGGGAGGCCAAGGTGGGCAGATCATTTGAGGTTGGGAGTTCGAGACCAACCTGGCCAATGTGAAACCCAGTCTCTACTAAAAATACAAAAATTAGCCGGGCATAGTGGCTCACGCCTGTAATACCCGCCACTCGGGAGGCTGAGGCACAAGAATCGCTTGAACCTGGGAGGCGGAGGTTGCAGTGAGCCAAGATCGTTCCACTACACTCCAGCCTCGGTGACAGAGCGAGACTCTGTCTCAAAAAAAAAAAAAAAAAAAAAACACCGTGAAAGAATAGAAAGCCATGCTACGCCATCAGGGCCATACCACTTAATGCTGCCCGAGGGAGTAGCTGCCTTGGAAACTGCCAAACCACCAAGTATGCATTCTGGATCACAGCTCTGGAACTGACCTTACAAGGCTAATCCTATCAGGTCTTACATCTCTGTTCACCTCAGCCATTGCTACCACCCCACCCAAACTTCTTGCCAAGGTCACTTAAGACCTCCATGTTACCAAAACCAATAGTGTTCCTTTTGTCCTCATCTAAATTGATATTCCACCAGTATTCAACACAGTTGACTACTCTCTCCTCCAACAGTCTCTTCTCTCAGCTTCTGTGACAATACATATTTTTCTTAATTCTCCAGTATCTTTGACTACTCCTCTTCAGTCCATTTTGAAGATGCTTCTCTATCCAATGGACTCCTCCTGTATCCAATATCTAAATTTTTGAGTGGCCCAGCACTAGTTTCTAGGGCTTCCTCTCTTCCCTATCTGCACTCTCACTGAGTGATCTCCTCTACTCCCATGGGATTAAATATCATCTATATGTTGACTTCATCCATATTTATATCCCCAACTCCAAACTCTCCTTTATATGGTAGGCTCACATAACCAACTAGCTAGACATCTACTTGGATATCTCAAAGGCATCTTAGACTTAACCTGCCCCAAAATAGAACTCTTTATTCGTACCATCTTCCCTACCTCCCATTCCCCAAATATAATTTCCTTTCCCAGTCTTTCCTATCTCATCAAAAGGAACAACCATCTACCAGGCTATTGAAGCCAGAAACAGCAAATTGTTTTGGATTCTGCTATCTCTCTCATCTCCAACATCTAATCAGCAAGTTCCATAGTTTCTAGCTCCTCTGCCAAAAATCTCATACATGTCCACTCTTTTTAAATTTTCATTGCCAATACCCTACTGTAAGCCACCATCACTTCTTGCCTATACTACTGTAATGAATGCTTAACTGATTACCCAGTTTATGCTCTCCCCTTCCCTGCAGTCTATTCTGCACACATTAGCCAGATTAAGCTTTTAAAAGAGTTTCCCTTGCATTTTAAATGAAGCCCATGCTCCTTTCTATGGACTACAAAGCTGTAAATAACCTGGACTTTGTCTACTTCTTCCATCTCCTCTGTAGCCACTTTCCTCCAATACTACTAGTTATATGTCTACTTTCAGGTCTGTGAGCAAGGTAAGCTCTTTCCTGTCTCAGGCTCCTTACACATGCTGATTTTTCTGCATGCTGCCTGGAATTTACTTTATTTCCCCTACTCCTTGCTTCTCTTCACCAGACTAATTTTTTAGCAAAAACCTCTCCATATGCAAAACTTCCTTCCCTGACTGCAATTTTTAAGTATGCTCCCCTGTCATCCTATGCAACTTCTCTCCTGTGTTTTCTTCATACATCTATCATAACTTGAAAAGATATGTTTATTGGCTATTTTCTTGTTGATTATCTGTCTCCCCCATTGTACTTTAAACTCTATAGGGGCATAGACAACATCTATTTTATTCTATTAATGATAATTGCATTACATAGTACCTAGCACAGTGCTTGGCATATATAGTTCCTTAGAAATATGTATTGAATGAAATAGCAAGCATGCAACAGTGTACCTAGTTGGTGTGATTTGAAGAGGATGGCGAGGTTGTCCCTAATCCCATTCTAAAAAGCTCTCTCTCCACATCCCATTCAACTTACAGCACTATGTGAAACTCTCATTTGAATCAATCCTTTCATAAGGCATCAGTTGGGAAACTACAGCCCACGGACCAAATCTAGACCGCCTCCTGTTTTTTTGTGTTGTTTTGTTTTGTTTTGTTTGTATGTCCAAGCTAAGAATTTTTTTACATTTTTACATGGTTGAAAAAAAAACAAGAGATGAATAATATTTTGTGACATGAAAACATGATATTCGGTTTATTTCTTTATTGGAACAGAGCTACTCCAATTTGTTTATGAATTGTCTATTGCTGATGTCAGACTGCAACAGCTGAGTTAAATAGTTGCAACAAAGACAGTATGGCCTGCAAAGCCTAAAATATTTACTATTTGGCCTTTTACAGAAAAAGTGTGCCAATACATGGGCTAACATATTGTAGGATCCTTTGAAAATGCATAAATTGCCTGAGAAAAGTAGCAAAGCGAGATATTATCTATCTGCCATCATCACTCAAACCTGGATTTGATTATTTGACCTGTTTTAGTCATTCAAAAGAGGATTGAGAAAAATAGTATAGATCAAGAGAAATTTTATAAGAGAAAGAGAGAAAGGCATGCCTTAAGCAAGTATCCCTGACCACCTCTGGGGAGAAGAGCCACATTTAAGTTGTCCTACACTTTGAAGTCATGAGGAGAGGCTAGGGAAAGGGGACTGTGGTATTTATGAGGAACCTGGTGAATGAACAGTATGAAGAACAGCGGGTGGGAGGAGGTCTGCCTCCAGGGGAAAAGAAACGAGCGGCTTCCTGCCCATATCTCCTCCTACGGGCTGACGCTGAAATTGCCTGGGAGTTACAGAGAAGACAGCCCAGTAGAGGCCTAAGGCCCCGCTATGGAGTGGGTCAGGCTTCCCGTTCATGGTTTCCACTGTGATGAACTTTGGAAATGCTTGGCAATACTTGGGCTGGGAAGCTGCCCACCTGAGAGGGGGTGCTGAATTGAAAGTTGTTTGGAGAAGCACCGAGCATCATGAAAGCCCTGTGTCCCTGGAGGACGGGGGAAGGGGAAAGTAGAACTTAATTCACTATTCTGCTCTTTGTTCTCCTTTGTACAAGTCCTCCAGATTTAGGTTTGCAGTTGCCAAGATCTATCAAGTCCCATGGCTTCGAAGTCCTCTGTGACTGCCCTAAACTGAAAACTGGATGATTGGGATTTCCGCCCTCTCCAAACTCTTTTCCTCCGCCAAGGGGATGCCATGCCCTGGGCCTGTGAGGGTTTTTCCCAGGAGAGCTGACTGGTGTGCTCTTTTAGCTGTCTGCTTACCTCCCCAGCAATTGCCTTGTACACCCCCACACAGACAAAACTCTCTTTCCCTCCCCCATCAGGCAAATTATTCCTGCTCCTCAGTGTGAGTCACTACACAGTAAGAGCTACCACAAGCCAGATTACTGCGTCAGCAGCCTCAACATGCTGTTTTTTTTTTTTTAAATGGATGGGGAAATAGGAGGGAGAGAAGAAGTGGGGAACGGAACAAAGTGAGCAAACCACAAACCAAAGGGATAGCTCTGGTCTTCTACTTCCTACTGGCATGGAGCGGCTTTTGATGTGTTAGGCAGCCTTCCATTTGCTACTGACTTTTGTCTCCCTTGCTCTTTATGTTCTATTTGTTCCCTTGTAGATTAAGGAGTTTATTTTTGGCTATGGTGTTAGGGCCCCAAGGGGACCCCCAGAGCCATCACAAAGGGGATTTAGGGCAGGAGCCTGGTGAACATTCTCATGGACATAGGTGTAGTCTAGTCCTACAAAGTTGAAGACACTGTTGGAACAATAAACATAGCATTGAGATCCAAGGACAATATAGGGAATTCATGACAGTAACAGAATAGGGCAGAGTGGAAGAGCCCTTAACCCTGGTAATAATAATAATATTAGTAAATTATTATTAAAACACTGTTTTGAGACACATGCATGTATACACACACATATATAAGGTGTTTAATATAAACCTCACAACAATACAATGAGGTAGGTAGTGATATTAATGCCACATCCAAGATGAGAAAACCAAGAGCTCTCAGGTAAAGCAATTGCCCCAAAGTCTCTAGGTTACTAAGACAGAGAGTCAGAATTTGAGTCTAGGAATGTGGCACTGGAGCCCATGCCCTTAGTCACTATACCGCCACTCAGACAAAGAATTAGTGCTTAAACATTAGTGGCCGTTATGACTTTAGATGTGAGAGAATCGTTCGATCAATCTTTTCCTTCCACAGCAGACATTCTGACATGTAGCTCTCAGTGGAAGTGGGGAAAGATAGAAGGAAGTAAAAATATGAGATGTTGTTCATTTCCACCTGTCCCTTGCCCTGTTGCTTACATTTAGGCTTGTACTTAGCATTGGCTGGGATTGGCAGAGTTCAGTCTGCCAAAATTCTTGGAGGCTGGTACTACAGCTTTCAAAAGCTCCTTGGAAAAAAAATGCTATCTGTGGCTTGGATTTTAAAGAATAAAAATGAAAAAAAGGTCTTTGAGTGAAAGCTTCAAGCCCTCTGTGATCCTTTGTGTCTGTATCAGGGATTTGCTGCTCACAGGCTCCTTGCCTCCCACCATTCTTTCTCACTTAGTAGGGTATTATAGGACTATTCATACTCTTAAGGGACAGTATACAAATTTTGAACTTAAAGAAAAGTTTTTGGTAAGAGACAGTGAAGGAAGCAGTGACTCACAAATGGAAATTTTCAACCAGTCAGAACATTCTGTCTGATGCATTTGACCAATGATATGGTATGGAAAGAGTCTGCTATCATCCCCATCTTCAAAATCAAAAGCTGCCTGGGCTAGCTATCATGCTTTCCACTGAAACAAAGTTCACCAACAGAAATTTTCTGGTATTGGCTACTGGACAAAATTGCAGCCATGTGTGCCCAGAATCACACTGTAGATTTAGGCTATAATGAAGGACCTTTGCTTTACCAGCATAATACAGGAACTGTACTCAATATGCAGTGACAGGACAGTTCCTGGAACATAGCCAGTCTACTTGCAGTGAAACAATAATCATTCAAACACAGCCTCTCAAGGATGGAAAATGGATAACTGTCCCATATTCAAACAGCTGTAATATGATAGATTAAAGTGGGCTAACCACAAGCTGGGTGAACAGAAATTTTTTTTTTTTTTTAGTATCACTCTGTTGCACAAGCTGGAGTGCAGCGGCACGATCTCGGCTCACTACAACCTCCAACTCCCGGGTTCAAGCAATTCTCATGCCTCAGCCTCCGGAGTAGCTGGGACTACAGGCACGTGCCACCATGCCCGGCTAATTTTTGTATTTTTAGTGGAGATGGGGTTTCACTATGTTGGCCAGGCCGGTCTTGAACTCCTGACCACTTGATCCGCCTGCCTGGGCCTCCCAAAGTTCTGAGATTACAGACGTGACCCACTGCACTGGCCAGAAAAATTCTATATATGTGTTGAGTCATGACTTCAAAACACAGACTGCAGTTGCTGGGGAAAATTGCAACAGACAGAAAGAATACAAGGTGTGCCATACAACGGACAGAAAGAATACAAGGACTAGGGCTGCTCATTCTAAGAAAGAGCATTAAAAGGCCTGGATACTCTCAAAGAGCTTTCAGCTGAACCTGTAGATCAAAGGACAACCTTTATATATGGAGAATGGGTGATATTAATGGTCATGGGCAGAGATCTACATATATAGTTATATACAGATATATGTTGCAACTCAAGACCAATCAGCAATTACCATAAAGAATATTAACATTTAACACATAGAGCAATACAATTAAATTGAAATGCTGATGACCACCAACTATAGATCTTCCTAACTTCAACATAGCAGAGACAGATGGAAATGTTATAAACCAGCTATAATTTTCCTTTCTTTTTCTTTTTTTTTTTAGACGGAGTCTTGCTCTGTAACCCAGGCTGGAGTGCAGTGGCACAGTCTTGGCGGCTCACTGCAGCCTCCGCCTCCTGGGTTCAAGCGATTCTCCTGCCTCAGCCTCCTGAGTAGCTGGGACTACAGGCACTTGACACCACGCCTAGCTCATCTTTTTTTATTTTTATTTTTAGTGGAGACGGAGTTTCACCATGTTAGCCAGGATGGTCTCGATCTCCTGACCTCGTGATCTGCCCGCCTCAGCCCCCCAAAGTGCTGGGATTACAGGCGTGAGCCACCATGCCTGGCTAATTTTCATTTTTTAAAGAAAGTCTTGTGACCAGCTTTAAAAGGAATGGAAGGAGGTAAGAAGAAAAGATAGGAGCTAAGAATGGTGAAGCAGGGTTCTACTAGAATGAAAGTTTGAAGGGAAAAGCTAATGTTATTCTTTAAAATCTGCATCTGCCTAAAATTTTTGGCAAAAAGTTTTACAAGGTTGTTATGCCAACTACCTGGTCAGCTGCCCTACCTGTCCAGTCTTGTGCACCAGAGGTTCTTAACCTGGGGCTTTGGCGGATCCTTGAGGTTACATGCAGAACTCTGTGGGGGTTTCTTTGTGTTGATGAATGTGTGCACATTTTTCTATAGAGAGAAATTGTTCACCTTTTTGATATTAGCTGGGTTATCATGATACTACTTCTTATTTTTGCCTTTAGCTATAACATATTTTCCGTCAGTGCAATTAAGATATATGTTTCTGGCCAGAATAGTGCCTATAAAAACAATTGAAAAAAAACATAGAAGATGTAAACTTAACACTCTCTAGAATATTAGGCTGATACCTGGATCCTGTGGCTCAGTAAGAATAATTTGTCTCACTGTATGATTCCATATCATATCTAGTTAGGGAAGAAAGAAGATGAACCTACACCTAAAAATCACCTACTATGTGCTGGGCACTATCATTCATCTATTAATTCAACAAGTGTTTATTGAATGTCTACTATGTTTACATACATTATTATGTTTTCTAAGATCCAAACAATCAGTATTATTTCCCACATTTTATGGATGAAGAAATGAACATTCAGAGAGGTTCAGAGTGAGAGTAATTAATTGCCAAAGTTCAAACAGGAAATGTTAGAATGGAGTTTTGAACTTTGGCCTTGCCTGACTCAAAGCATGAGTTACTATCCTTAACTCCATTTTACAAGTAAAAAGACTGAGGCCTGGGGAAGCAAAATAGGTGACGCAAAGTCACAAGTAACAAGGTGGTGGGAAGTACCTTGGGCTGCCCCAGGCTTCTGTTCTCTGGGTAAGACCTTCTGAGGAGCCAGCACTCACAGCCTGTATTTGAGGCTCTTCCAAGCACCCTGGCACTGCTCAGATTGCCTTTTCCAGAGCAGACATGCCTCTATGCACTTGTTTCCAGGGGAACTGAAACTATTAGATTACAGGCTTCTCTGGCTAAAGTGACAAATGGCTCCTCCAACCAGCCAGCTGCCTTACTGAATCTTCCAAGACAGACTTTCCTAACAGAACAAATGCAAAAAAAAAGTCAGCTATTTGTGACATTATTGTTCGACTTCACATTTTGGCCTACCCCCAGGTTGTGACTGAGAAGTCTGACTTTTGGCTACCTATTACTGGTTTGTAATTGATCATTCTCTCCCCTTTAGCTGCCCCGTAGAAACCTTAGTCAGTGTTTAATGTTAGTTTCTTAAATTAGGGCTGCTTTTGGTCTAAGTCATTCCTACTCACACTACATCTATTAAAGGTTATAGGCCTTGAGATCAAAGCTGTAATGAGTAGCATGATGCTCCAAGATTGTTCATGGAAAGAAAACAAGGGCAAATGCTTCAGGCTTTCCCTGAGAATATGTGAAATGTATGTTGCTTCAGAGATCAGACAGAAGTCTTAGCCCCCAACTTCTAGAGGCTAATGATGAAAGACCTGACATGACATCACATACTCTTAGGGTCGGAGTCACATGGCCACACCCACATCCACACTTCTACCGTACCCATGGTAAGAGTGGGAGCACCGATGCTCTTCTGTCCCATACATACAATGGCACTCCTAATCTGCCCAGTGCTAGTTCTCTGTTTGTGCAGTTCCCTGGAGTCTTCTGCTTCAGTTATCCAAACAAAATTTCGGGAGAATGAGAAAATAACTCTTGCTTTTTCACTTCTTAATATGAAATGAAAATGGTGGGAGTTGTTGAACAAGACCTACAGATAGTCTGCCTAGGACCCTTTAGCTCCAGAAGAATAACCTTGGGCCTCAGGAGAGTTCTAAATCACATGGAACGAAAGAGGCAGGGGTTAGACATTTCCTGGGCTGAGGACATCATTGGTACTTTCTGGAGTTTTGGCCAGTTACAATTTCATTACATCACCATAAGAATACCCTACCTACTCTACCATAAACTTTTAGACTCTAAGATTTCTCAGAATCATCACTATATTCACAGAACCGTTGGGTATACTTCGGGCTTCCTTGGAAACCTGAACAATCCAAGTTCATCCCTTGCTAAGATGACAACCTTGAAAAACCCAGATTCATCTACTTCCAGAAGCCTATTGTACCAGAAAGTCACACTTTGGATGTGGTCAGGGCTTTTGCTTTTCCGGTGATTACAAATTCCAACCTTCTCTACCTCAGCCCTCATGGTTATGATCATTGCTCAAAGTAGCTGGTTGACAAATCCATATGCATATCATTTGACCAGGCCCTTGCTTTTAAAATTAAGTGTTTCCAAAACTCATGCGAACTGTGACCTCCAATGTGCCCGTGTCAGGAGGTGGGGCCTAGTGGGAGGTGTTTTGGTCACCAGGGAATATCTTTTATGAATAACTTGGTGGTGTTCTCTTGATAGTGAGTGAGTTTTCACTCCAATAAGACTTCATTAGTTCTCATGGAAATGAATTAGTTCCCAGGAGCATGGGTTGTAATAATGCCAGGACATTCCTTTAGTTTTATCTCTTTGCATGAGTCCACTTCCCCTTTGACTTTCCCTGAGATGGTTTGACCTACCACGCGGCCCTCATCAGAAGCTGAGCAAATGCCGGCACCATGCTTCTTGTACTTTCCAGCCTGCAGAACCTTGAGCTAAATAAACATCTTTTAAAAATAATAATAATAAAAAAAAGGTGTTTGAACAACTTTAAGGAAAGATGAAACCCAAGGTCAGTCTATACTTCTCCAGAGCTATGTTTACTGCAGAGACAGTAGGGGATGTGGTGGGGGTGGGATTAAGATATGATACCTTGAATCTTCTGGAGATTTCTTCAGCATCTCTGAGGGACTTGACTTAGTAGTAACTGGAGTATTGCATTTCATCCTGGCAGCCTCCTGAAGATTTGAATGGCAGGTAAATAGAACCAAGTTCATTGTCTAAACATCATTCTTCAACTCCATACACACTCATTATGTGTCTTCTAGGTACAAGACATTGTCTGCTGAATAAAGGTCTGCAAACATATTTGTTCTCACATTTTTTGGTAGTCTGTCTTCCTTTACTGCTATTTCTCATGATCAGGCTAGAATAGATAAATGGGATAATATCCAGGATGTGCAGGGAAAACCCAGCTCAACTTTCTGCTCAGCATGTGACTCCGAGAACATTCAATGGAACTTACCCAGGCCTCGTGGAAGAGGTGGTACTTGGTCTAGTTTACAGGAAGCTTTTTAGCTGAATCGTACAGTAAGTGAAAAAAGCATTTTTCTCTTGAAAAGCCAAGATTTTCCAAACCCAGATATGTATATGAGAGTACTTTTATCTATGGCTCTAATAACATTATCTTTCACCCATCAAATGCCAGAATAGTGAATTTTTTCCTCAGATAATTGCATATCTAAATGTTAAGTGTATGTAACAACTCTTAAATATGAATCTAACATTGATATGTATTTACCAAAGACCCGGGAGATGTTTCACTAGAAAATATGAACCTTAAAGTTTCAATTCACATCATTTACTCAGTTGGCAAACAGAACTTAGAGTTGAAAGTGAGGAAATCAGGGATTCTGGATATGCCAGAGACCAGAGTGTCTTTTAAGTAGAACATAGTAAGATAGGAAGTTGCCCAGCTTACCTAATCCTACTATTTTGCCAAGACAAGGATCTCCTTGGAAAACTAGGGAAAAGTTCAAATGACATCTGGGTAAGGTTCCTGTAGGAGTTCATTCTTTGCTTTCGTAAGCTCATTGTGCAATTGCATAATTCAGGAGAGGTGGCTGTTGGAGAAATGTCATGGGGCCTTACTAAGTGTGTGTCGGGGGAGTTCTACTTAGTGTACCCAGCCCAAATTCCAGGAAGGAAAGATGCCTTTAGTGAAAGGAATTCCTTTAACATGTAAGCCTAGACTTCAGATTCAGAGAAAAAAATGAGTCATGAAACAGTGTGGACTAGATGCTACTGCAGGGAATCCTGTACGATCACTTTTGCTCTGACTGTGTGAATGTGTTTGTGTGTGTGTGTGTGTGTGTGTGTTTGTCTGTGAGAGAGAGAGAGAGAGAGAGAGACACTCCTTGGTGTGAGGACAGAGGAGCAGAGAGAAAGAGATGTCCTTGAAAGGTGTATTCTGTGTGTATGTATGGAGCACCTCACTTTCCTCCTTACTTTCTCCACTTTTACTTACCCCCATCTTCACCTCTAAGCCTAACCCAGACAATCATTTAGAAAATCCAACCCTGAGTCACTTGGAAAGCAGTCCTTTAAGGGAATCTTTAATGCAATCTGTGGCTCAGACCAATTAGTCCGTTATCCCTGGAAACATGGCTGATTCAGAACACTTTGCTAGGTTTTTTGACTCACATCTTTCAGTTTAGCTCTTGAGCGGATAATAATACTCAAGGCCCAGAGACAGAAGCTCAGGCCCATGGGACTGTCTGGGCACAAAGGTAGTCAAGGGATTGTTCATCTTCTTTATCCATCAGGGTCCAGAAACTAGCCTCCTCTCTATCTGAAACAACTAGCGTCTGTGCCAGGATATTCTTCATTGGTATACCACCCCCAGTGAACTGTGGGCCCCACGTGCATCCCCGCAAAAAGAAGTATGTTTATTTAAATTGAATGTGGTAAATAAGCATGGAGGAGAGACTTGGAGACCAAAGAAGGTGAGGGGCTCTCATGGAGTCTCATAGAGCAAGAATAGGGAGGATTTAAAGGAAGGAGATGGTGCCATATCTAAGCAGCCCGCCTCAACTTAGCCACTCATTTTAATGTATTCATGAGTACATCGATCTTTTTAAACTCCTCTGAGTAAAGGCTCCAGCTTCTTTGTCCTTCCCTGCTCCCCTCCACCCCCTCCATCCACCAACCACCTGGTCTCTGGTCTCCGCTGCTGGGTGGGAACTCTCAGAGTGCAGGGTCAGGGCAATCACCCCATTAGCCATACCCTGGGGACAGTCTGGGTCACTGCCCTTTCAGAAAGATTTGCCTAACAGAAGGGGAGGGGTTGGAGGAAGAGCTAGAGAAAGGCATAGAAAGAGATTAAGGACACAGGAAGGGGAGGGGTTGCCATATGGCATAAAGGAAGCATGATTAAAAAGATTAGCTGCTGTTCAATCAGAGAGACTTGTGTGTGGGGCAGGGGACACGTTAGAAACCTAGAGAATCACAAAGAGCCTCGTGGAGTGAACAATGAATTTCAAAAGAGAAAAAAGAAAGAATGCCTTTTAAGTTTATGAGGTGATTTTAAGCCAAATCAAGGGAAGTCTGATTTTATGCAGTGGAGAGAATCCATTACCATGAGAAACAGCACAAGCTGGCAATATAAGTCACATTCCCAAAAAAGCACAAAAAAAGTACTATTAATAAACCCACAATGGAGTATTAAAGGAATGGTAGCTGACATTCAAGAGGCCAATTCATCCCTTGGAGGCCCTGTGAAAGATAGACTCCTGAGCTGAAGAAGGGGGCTGATCCAGCTTTTTCCATTTTTAGGTTTTTGGGCAATGTAGGGAAGAGCTGCTCTCATTTCCAATACCATTGATCTCTACATGTTCCCCCTAGAGAAGAATCAACCTACTAAAAATGATATTTTCTAGATGTCTTCTAAAGATTTTGCAAATCAGATTTCTACAATCTACCATGTTATAAATAATTTTGAATTTGGAGGCATAAACAACAGTTACACAAATATCCTAGCCCAGGTTGTAAATGTAATTAGACCTAAGGATCAGAATAAAAGTGGAAACCTACGACACACTTCAATTTTGCTAAAGTGAAGGGAAGTATTGAGGCAATTACAGGGTACTTTGGGAAACTCCACGACAATTGAGAGCAAGGCTGACTCGGAAGATGAGCTGCTTTCATAAGGGTCACTTTTAGAAGCACCAAGGCGGTAAGTAGCAAATGGAAAGACAGAAAGAGGGACTTAGTCTCACCTTGTAACAAACCACACACACACACACACACACACACACACACAGGCAATGCCTAGCCTGTGAGAGTGATCAGAGCAGATATTCACTGAAGCTGAATTCTACCTTGTCACAGGTAATCCCAGAAACATGTCAGCCAGTCAAGAATCACCGGATGGCATCCAAATTCAGAATGGCCCCACACAGAGGCAAGATGTTTATGAGGCTCTTTTGGGGTTGACTGCACTACAACAAATTTTAGATGTAACAGAATAATTTAAAAATTTCCCTAGGGACTGCTTTAGAATGGATAGGACATTTTTTAATCACTTGAAGTTGCTGCCAAGGGAGACATTAAAAATGGATGGATCGTTTTGGGTGATTTTAAGGAACTGGCAAAGGACCTGTTGAAAGCATGACTTTACTTTGCTCTTCAGATTCATTGCCAAGGGTAATGACATTACTTTTGCTAGGGGCAAAATCAGTCAGCTTCAGTAATTGTGGCCAGGCAAGCTGCTAGCAGCAATGCCAGAACATTGTTGCTGAAAAAATAGAATTTATATTAAGAATTCCAGGAAGTCAAAAGGTTTCTGGGTAATGTATAAATCATAGAAAAATTTTTTATACTTTTCAGATCAAATGTTGCCTCTCCAGTGATGTAATAAATTCAACAGGCCACGAGGCCTTTGCGTCTTACTTCAAGCTGCTTTGAAGACCTAATTGTCCGTTTAACGATGTAATGCTCTATTTATCAGAAACACCCTCTCTGAAGCCCTTAAGGAATGACTAGGAGGAGGGGACCTCCATCCTTGAATTAGAGCTATTAAAGAGCTGCCTTCTTGTGATCCAGGTACTTTCTCCTTCCAGGAGGGGGTCCTTGCTCTTCATAAATGCCCCCTGGGACTGTTTTTTTTAAGACATGGTCTTGCTCTTTTTGCTCAGGCTGGAGTGCAATGGCACGATCTCTGCTTACTGCAACCTTCACCTCCTGAGTTCAAATGATTCTCCTGCCTCAACCTCTTTAGTAGTTAGGATTACAGGTGCCCACCACCATGCCCGGCTAATTTTTATATTTTTAGTAGAGATGGGGTTTCACCATGTTGGTCAGGCTGGTCTCGAACTCCTGACCTCAGGTGATCCGCCTGCCTCAGCCACCCAAAGTGCTGGGATTTACAGGCATGAGCCGCCAAGCCTGGCCTGCCCCCTGGGACTTTTGAAGTCAGCCTCCTTCCCAGCACCTTGTGTTACCAGGAACTTTATATTCACTAGAAAATGGATTTTTATTAACTTTAGGTCTTCTTGTCTGTCCCTGATGCCATCTTTGTCCCCATTAGCAACATGGATCCTTAAGCTAAAAAAAATTACTACTTTGTACATGTTAGTTGTGCAAAAATAAGCAAACACAAAAAAAGCACAAAGAGGAAAATGTTAAGTAACTATACATTCAACCACTACAAGATTATCTCCATGTACCACTTAATGGTTTTAATTTTTCCAAAATTCCACCTATGCCTTTTCATGCTTTCTTCCCCCTTGGGGTGGCAAGCTCCCCAGAGCCATCTCAATCTGATTCATAATAGTGCAGTAACTTCTGGTTATTAAAACTGGCCCATTCTGGTTCTGAAGACTTTGTTCCTTTTGTTTTGCAACTTTAATCTCTTATTTGATTCAAAGTTCTCCTCCTCCTCACTCCCTCTCTGTGCTTTTTGTCCCACTCCCTTTGTGGTACATGTGTACTTCTAGTGTTGGGGTCAGAGAAAGAAAGAAAACAATTCACCACTGCGAAGGCTATCATTTGCCACCTCCTCTCATCAAATCTGCAATTGGGCTGTCCCTTGCATCTTCTAGCTGCTGGCCTGTCTCTGCATTTCTCTGAAGCTTGTGCCTCTTGACTCCCTGCTGTGTGTATTTTTCTTGGGAGTAGGGTAGGGCTGGAAAACCCATAGCTCCCAATCTCCTCCAGGGCCCTTGTTTCCATACCTCTTGGACACCAGAAATTCAAGGAAAATATTTTTTGCTTCCTATTTACCTGGCAACTCCATCACCCTATTCTAGAGTTCTTGACCCATTTCCAGTGGCTCTAGGCCTAGTCTGCAAAGCAGGATTGGTGATTAAGCACAAGTCTAACCACTGCTGTTCTCTGAGGCCTCTCTCTAGTGGTGCACTGGAACCAGCTCATCCCAGCTCATGAAAGTCAATTGTTAAATTTTCTGAAAATGTGTTAGCCAGTTGATGGATGTCACATTGGTAGCTTGAAATTGGCCATGGTGGGAGTGTTTACACAACATAGATACCTCCAATGAGTTGTTAAACATTTACCAGCACACCATTGCCTCTCTTTCACCAAGAAGAGGAGTAGTAGGGATAGGAATAGGTTTCTCTTCACCATCATTGCAGTTTTCAAAAGGCAACCTCTATTCTCTTTTCAGGCCAACTCTTGATGGGTAGCTGGGGTGGAGGTGATGATAGGGTCAGTTCAGCTGAAATGGGACCTTTTTAAATAGCTATGGGAAGTGGCTGGCCCTGATAACTGGGGCTATTAGATTGCTTTTAATGGCTGCCTACCATTTCATTGTATCAATGCACCATGACTTTTGGAATCAATCTCTCATTTTGGACATTAGATTATTTCCAGTCTTTTACTATGTTAAAGAATGATGTAAAGAACATACTTACTGGGGCCGGGTGCGGTGGCTCCTGCCTGTAATCCCAGCACTTTGGGAGGCCGAGGTGGGCAAATCACGTGGTCAGGAGATCGAGACCATCCTGGCTAACATGATGAAACCCTGTCTCTACTAAAAATACAAAAATTAGCCAGGCGTGGTGGTGGGTGCCTGTAGTCCCAGCTACTCTGGAGGCTGAGGCAGGAGAATGGCGTGAACCCAGGAGGTGGAGCTTGCAGTGAGCTGAGATCAGGCCACGCACTCCAGCCTGGGTGACAGAGCAAGACTCCGTCTCTAAAAAAAAAAAAAAAAGACCATACTTAAACTGGGGGTTGGTTGTAAAGAGTACCAAAAAAAAAAAAAAAAAAAAAGAGAACATACTTGTACAGAAATCTTGTGTTTGATGAAATAAGCCATCAATAAATGTTGGTTATTATTACAATTATGATAATAAAGAGGAGGATTTTTAAGTAAAGTTTCCAGGCTCAGTTGAGGACATGGATGATACTTATCATACCTTTCCACTTACCTTTCTCATCAACATCCTTAATTCTGGCAGTCAGAATTATATCCCCCAGGCAGGAAATTGGAAGCTTCCTCTCTGGGAAATTTGATTGGCTTAAGAGAAAAGGCCCACAGATACCAATAATTGTAGGGTCTCCCAATGAAGTGGCCAGGTCCACCTAAGGACATAAGGCTAATCAATCAATAATTGCCCCCCCGCATCTCCCCACACACAGATTTTCAGTTTCCACACTCCTAAATACAAATGAATAATTAAGAATAGTGAAGCATTGGCGAAAAGTCTTTAATAGAATAAAAGAATATGAAACACACATTGAAAAAAGGAACTTGGAAGAAACAGAAATAATGTAGGGAGGAGAAGAAGCCATAAAATCCCTATAATTAACATTTTCAGAGAGATGCATAGATACATCATGTCCATGAAACATGGATGCTAGAAATAAAAAGAAACATTCTAAGAATAAGAATGAATTCTGTCTGTGTCAGGGTGGTGCATGGTCCACATTGAGAAACAGAGATGCTCAGGCTGTGCCCTCAAGATGACCAAGTGGGAGACAGAAGCACCAGTGGTGGCAGAAACCCCTGACATCAAGTTCTTTGGGAAGTGGAGCACTGATGATGCACAGATCAGTGACATTTCCCTTCAGGATTACATTGCAGTGAAGGAGAAGTATACCAAGTACCTGCCTCACAGCATAGGGCTGTATGCCGCCAATTACATCCACAAAGTGTGATGTCCCATCATGGAGCATTTCACTAACTCAATGATGATGCATGGCCACAACAGCAAGTAGCTCATGACTCTGCCTTGTCAAGCATGCCTTCAAGATCATCCACCTGCTTACAGGCAAGAACCCTCTGCAGGTTCTGGTGAATGCCAGCATCAAATGTGGCCCTGGGAGGACTCCACATATATCGAGCAAGCTGAGACTGTGAGACAGCAGGATGTGGACATGTCCCCACTGTACCATGTGAATCAAGCCATCTGGCTGCTGTACACAGGTACCAGTGAGGCTGCCTTCCAGAATATCAAGACCATCACTGAATACCTGGCCGATAAGCTCATCAGCATTGCCAAGAACTCTTCCAACTACTATGCCATTGAGAAGAACAACCTGGAGCTCATGGCCAAGTCCAACTGCTGATTTCCTGGCTGTAGCCCAATAAACCTGTCTGCCTTTCAGGGTGGCCCCACAAAAAAAAAAAAAAAGAGAAGAAAAGAAAAAAAAAATGAGCTCCTAAAAACTCAAACTACTTGAATAGAAATTTCTTACAATTAAAAGTTTACTTATTATGTATCTATGGATATATTTTTAATTAATCTCTAAGAATGTAAAACAAAAGTGCAAAGAGTTGGGGAAAAGAGAAAAAGAATAGGAGAATTAGAGAACAAATATCCATTAGGAATGCCCAGAGAGACAACAGAAAAATAGAGGGGAAGAAATAATCAAAGACATAATAAAAGAAATTTCCCTCCAAACAGAAGGAAATGAGTTTACAGACTAAAGGGCCAACTATGTATTTAGCACAATGACTATATGACACATAGAGACATTGTTGTGAAATTTCAGAATGCTGGGGATAAGGTCTCCAAAAATGTACCTCTCACTAACCATTTCTCAGGAAGCCACAAGAACATGTGCTCTACCAAGACAAGGGAGTGGTCAAAGGAATATATGGGGTCCAGGAAGTAGAAGGTTGAACACAAGAGAATGATAAAGAAAATTCCCAGGATGAAGGTGAAAGGAAAGCCCAGGAAGAAAGCTGTGCTGTAGGTTAGGGATAGGTAAATGGAAGGGTCTGGAAAGATGTATCCAGGAAAAAAGATAGAACCAACAAATTACCTGATATGTTGGCCATATTGAGAAGCATTTTAGAGTCCTTTTGGAAAGTATGGGGTTGGGTTAGTACTAATAGGCACACAAAACTAAGCTAGTGAAAAAGAAAATCATCATTAATTCTAAGAAAAACTACAGAACTGTGTGTATGTAAGGAAGGGAAAGGATTAGAAGGAAGCTAAATCATCATATCCCATACAAGAAGTGAATTTTTAAAAACCACTTAAAATTTATATATCATAAAATAGCAATATAAGCTATAATTCCAGAATTTAGAGTTGCATACCAAAGCAAAACCATAAACCAACCAAGAGAGATAAGAATGGTTGTCTCTTAGAAGTGGGAAACAGGGATTGGGAGGATGGAGGTAGCTGTTGTTTTTTTTTTTTCAACATAGGACTTTGGGGTACTATCTGTTCAACTATATGCATTTATTACTTTAGTAAGAGTAGTAACTGTTGAATAGTGTCTTGTGGAGTTTATATAATTCAAATAAAATTCTTAGCACACTACTTGAAGCATATAAGTGTCATTTATTTATTTAGACAGAGTCTTACTCTGTTGCCCAGGGTGGAGTCAGTGGCATGAACACCACTCACTGCAGCCTCAATCTCCTGGGCTCAAGTGATCCTCCCACTTCAGTCTTCCGAGTACCTGAGAATACAGGTGTACAACATCATGCCTAGCTTTTTTTTTTTTCCAATTTTTTGTAGAAATGGGGTCTCACCATGTTGCCCAGGCTGGTCTTGAACTCTTGGGCTCGAGCAAACCTCCTGCCTTGGCTTCCCAAAGTGCTGGAATTACAGGCATGAGCCACCTTGCCCAGCCAAACGTCACTATTTAAACTCCCTGTTATATAGTATGTACTAAAAAAACATAAAGTGGAAAGTAGTTATAATATTAGCTATAGAAAACTATGTTTATTTAATCAGGAAGGTCAACCGGCTCTATAGTGTTGGAAATCATGTAAGTCTTTGGCTTTCAGCCATTTTAGATCATTAGGGCTACTTCCTATCTTCTATTCACACACAAAAATTGAGAGCTTTACTATCACTTCCTTTATTCTTGTAAGTCAAGAAAGACAATTGTGCCTTTGTCCTTCTGACATTTAGCCCAGAAGTGAAATGGGCTACAACACAAATAAATGACCTGGTTTTGTTTTGTAAAGCACATGAAACCTTGATGTCTCAGACTGGATAGAGTTTTCTCCAACTTTGCAAAGGTGCTGATACTTCTATTTGCAAGGCTGAAGACACTGACTTTCCCTGATAGCTAAGCAACCAAAACTTTGAACTCTCAGGTTAGGGAAATGAAATCTGAAAAAACAGCTTAAGGATCTCCTATGATCTTCTCCACATCTAGAAGTGTACCTGGGGAGTTTTTTTTTCCCAAGACTTCCCACATCCAAAAATCTTAAATTCTGCTTTGTTTATTTGTTTGAGTTTTTTCTTTCCTTCTATTTAATTGCAAACTAGAACTATGCATTGAGACAGTTTGATTTTGATTAAAGGCCTAGTCACACACAATTTGGATAACATTTCCTATTCTCCAAAAGAGTCGAAAATTTGTAGAATAAAGAGGGCATATAGGTGGTGTCGTTTCCAATACAACTCTGGACTGTGGTGTCAAATTGTCCTGGGTTTGAGTCTCAATTCTACCACTTCCTGTCACCGTAAGCAAGTTACTTAACTTCTATGCCTCAATTTTCACATCTGGTAAATGGAGACAGTCATAGCATCCACTCTCTAAAATTCTTGTAAAGATTAAATGAGATATGGCATGATAATCACTTCTCACAGTGCTTGGTCCATAGTAAGCACCAGAAAATTGAAAGCAGTTTTCCTTATTCCTCTTATCTCTCTAGGAAATGAAACCAATCCTTTCTATTTGAGGTATGGCAATCAAAAGGTACCCAATCATTGGATAAAGAAAATGTGGTATGTATACACCATGGAATATTATACAACCATAAAAAAGAATGAAACCATGTCCTTTGCAGCAATATGGATGCAGCTGGAGGCCATTATCCTTAGCAAATTAAGGCAGGAACAGAAAACCAAATACTGTCATGTTTCACTTACAAGTGGGAGCTAAACATTGGGTACACATGGATATAAAGATGGCAACATTAGACACTGGGATCTGCTAGAGAAGGCAGAGAGAGAGGATGGGGGCAGGAGCTAAAAAACTGCCTGTTGGGTACTATGCTCACTACCTGGGTGACAAGATCATTCAAACCCCAAACCTCATCATCATACAATAAACCCACAACAAACGTGTACTCTCGAAATCTAAAATAAATGTTTAAATTACAAAAAAAGTTACCCAATTGAGCCTTAGATATATCATCCAAACTGGAAAAGTATAAAAGTTGGAGGTAGCCCAAATTATCAAAATTAATACTTTTCATTTCTTCATGGTAAAAGGAAAGCTATTTTTAAAAATTCAACTGTGGTTTCTCATCGTGTCTCTGGCGCCCACTAGTGGTAAAATACATGAATTTTCTCCCAGTTTCTGGGTGCATTTTGAAAATACGGCCCAATATTTAAGCTCTAAACTGGAACTGAGAGATAATTCTTTAAACTGCAGCTGTGATGTTTGTTTTTTTGACTCAAATCAAGATGTTACATATTTTATCTGTGTTTACCCTTACAACTCTGGCTGCTGAAAGCACGCACACGTGCACACACATTTCCTGGGTCAAATTCAGGTCAAACTTTTGAAAGAAAATAGTTCTTGTTTTAGACTTGGATTCTCTACTTAGACTGGGATGAAAATACAAGATGACCTAATGAAGAACTAACAACGCACCAGTAGTTACAACCTTGGAGATTACCAGGCCAGATCTATAGGAACCACACAAGAGCTGAAAAACTCCAACTACGGATTGGCACTGGTAGTTTACATGGATAACTTTGATGAAGAAAATAATCTTTCATAGCCTGCACTGAGGAACTTCTGGGAAAAGTCATTTGAAGTTCTGTTAATTATTCAGCAAATTATTTTCATATTTTACTTTAAATCTACATTACTTAGATTGTCTCTTTGTCATTGGTTGCTTGAGAAAGATTTAAAAGAGATCAAGACAACTACATTTTCAATTAAAAGACAATCATAAAACCTTCTAATTTGGATCACCATGCAACATCCGGCCTGGGGAAAAAGGAAAGGCCATTTCCGATTCCAGTGGCTTGAGAAATTTCTGACGTAAAAGTTCTATTAAATGTTTATTTAATCAAAAAGAATGACTAAATTCTTTGTTGTCATGCCTCATGTTGCTTCATGATTTTCTCTATTTTTTCCTTCTTTGTGTTCTTTACCCTATCTATTGCCATTCCTTTTCCCTACACCTCTCTCAAATCAATTCTGCTTTATCTTACAGGGTTAGGAATCAGATTTCAAGTTTCCTGAGACACCACCTCCACAGAACCATTGAATTTACATCATCATTAAATAGTGTATTCCAGAAAATATGACTAAATAACCAAAGTTGCCACGGTTTCAGAGCTTCTAGGAAGGGAGTTGCTTTTCTTGGCTCTGCTCTGAAATATGCTCCCCAACATGCCCAATTTTGCTTTCTCTTTGTCTGTTGGACAATGCAGCCTGCACCATATTCGCTACACCTCCCACATTGCCTAAGACCTCAATTATTGTAACCTTGTTCTATCTCTGCATATTTGGTAATTGAATAAAATAACGTATTGTACCCAGCAAATAGTGTCCTGTACCCATCCAGTGCAGAACACAGAATGCGCTGGAGAATTAATGGAGCACAGAGAAAACGTTCTAGCAGTGGGAATCATCTGAGAAAATCTTCAGCTAATGAGCTGGGAAGCTGGTTTTGCCATTTGGGATATGAGCCTCCCCAAACTACCAAAATGTGACTTTACTTTGCCTACTATGGATCATAATGATAACAAACAATAAAAAAAAGAAAAATCAACAAAGAAATAGATCCTAGGTCTCCCAAAATACAACTGAATAAAAGCTAGAAGACACAAAGGTATAAACCTTGCTTGTAAAATCTAACCCTACTTATAAAAGTTGTCATATTGAGCAGAAACTATGTCTTGACTGAATTTTTTGTATCTTCTCCCGAAGCCAGAAAAGTGCTCTCAATGAACTCAAGTGAGCGTTGACATGAACTTGATTGTCTCTCTCTTGGTTAGGGAAAAGTGCAATTACTGAAATGGTTGTGAAATTCTGGGACCAAGTTCGGCCCATTTCAGGCAGAGGGGTTACCCACTTCGAGGAAAGTGCTGAGATTAGCCCAGTTTCCTATGACTTCTGCACCACTTTAATTTCTGCTCATTACAGAGCAAGACCCTCAAGGGCTTTTGGAGCCCTTGAAGAAAGAATCAGCCACGCTTAGTAGAATTTTAGTGTTAAATGTGTTTTACTGTCTTCCTATTCTTTTTTAAATTGAGAATTCTCATACAGGACATAAGTAGTTCCAAGCTTACAAATAGAGTCAGTTCTAAAAATGTGTTTGTAAGTCAGTTTTTTGAACTCAGATTCCATTTCCCCAAGGATCAATAGTGTAAATGTTGACTAGGTTCCAAGTCCAACCTGGAAGAGTTTCTCTAACCTTTAATGTTGATGAAATACTGAATCTTGGCCAAAGAAAATAGCAGAAAATGGTTGTAGCAAAACCAATAATTAAATGAAGCAGAAATAAATTGAATAATTATTTTTTTCTCTAATGCTAATGCTTGGAGCAAAACAAGTTTAATTGTAGAAGAAGGTGGAAGTAGGTGGAGACTTTTGTAGCAATTTAAATTGGGAGGCTTTTGGGTTTCTTGAGGAGCTATGCACTCGCTGGCTCCGGTGCCTTATTCTGCTTTACTGCTAATCTTCCTCTCCTATTTCAGAGTGAGGTTCATGGTGCTCAAGAGTTGACCATCTGGCAATTAGTGGATCTTGGACTACCATGTTCAAACTCCTATTATTCGGCTTGTTTTATCACTTAGTTATTGCAGGCTAGCCTGGCGATTTGATAATCATACAGTTACGCATTTTTTAAATTTATAGTCATGTATTCTTTCATTTATGCCCACAGTGGATTGTTGGCTAAAGACAAGAAACACAGGACTGCTGTTGAAATGCAAGTGAATAAGGATGATAAGAATGATAGTGATTCTGAAAATTCGTTTTTGTATGAGCTGAATTGTGTTCCCTACCCCACAACAAATGCATATGTTGAAGTCCTAACTTCAAGTACTTCCGAATGTGTCTGTGTTTAGAGATAAGGTCTTTTAAGAGGTAATTAAGTTAAAATGAGGTCATTAGGGCAGGCCCTAATCCACTATGACTGCTGTCCTTATAAGAGGAGGAAATTTGAACACAGACACACACAGAGAGGAGACCATGAAGACACAGGGAGAAGACAACTATCTCCAAGCCAAGGAAAGAGGCCACAGAAGAAACCAATCCTGCCAACTCCTTGATCTTGGCACCTAGTCTCCAGAATTGTGAGAAAATAAATGTCTGTTGTTTAAGCCACTCAGTCTGTGGTACTTTGTTATGGAAGCCCTAGTAAACCAATATATTGTCTGAAACTGCTGTTTATCAGATTCCTAAGTGATAACAATCTGATTTTAAAAATTATATAGTACATTAAGCTATCTCTCACACTTTAAACATCAATGGCAAAACTAAAGGTATAGTAACAATTATATCTAATTTGGCTCTACATTTCTTGGGGAAAAAAGAATAAACACATTTGCTATGTTATTGGTGAAGAAAGTCTGGAGAAATAGTATTTTCTTCTAATGTCTTCATTTAGAAACAAAATACTAAAATTATGTAAATATGTGAACTTATCTTTACAATACAAAATGCAACAATTTCAAACAGCATGACATGAAAGCAGTTTTTGTCTAGTTTTGATGCCATAATACGTAACTGCTTTTGACATTTTAATATACATTCAGTCTCCAAATAAAACATACTGTAATATTATGTTTATAGTTGTCAAAAATTATGTTCATTTTGCATACTTTAAACAGTTTGCATCACTCAAATAAGATAAATCAATTTTTCCTATATTTTAAATAATATTAAAAATTGCATTAAAATGTATTTTTAAAATGTTAGCATTGTGGTAGGAAGCCTCTGAGATTGCCCCAGTGATTCCCACCTCCTGGTATTTAGGCCCTTGTGTAATCCCAACCCCATGCATGTGGGCTGAATCTAGTTACTTGCTCCTAAGAGAATATGGCAAAAGTAATGGGACTACACTTTTGAGACTAAGTTATGATTTCTCCCTTGCTTTCTTTTTCTCTCTCCTTTGCTCATTCTGAAGGAAGTCAACTGCCATTTTATGAGCTGTGAGCTGCCCTATGGAGAGGTCCACATGGTAAGGAACTGATGTCTCTGGCCAACAGCCAGAGAGGACTGAATCCTTCTAGCTACCACAGAAGTGAGTTTGGAAGCAGATCCTTCCCCAAGCTGAGCCTTCAGATGAGACCACAGACCATGCACTGCACCTTGATTGCAGCCTTCTGAGAGACCCTAAGCCAGAGACATCCAACTACACCATGCTCAAGTTGCTGACCCACAGATACCATGAGATAATAAATGTTGTCTTAAGCTACTGATTTTGGGGTAATTTGCTTTGAAGTAATAGATAGCTAATGCAATCTTCAATAATATAATGATCTAAAATAAAATACTTTTGTTTACCATTTATTTTTTATTATGGCAAGAATGAGAAAATCTCTGGAAAATCTTTGGGTTGTACTAGCCAGGAATGATCACAAAGGAAGCAATTATTTCCCCTAGACCTGAGTTACCTGAAGGCACTGGTTAAAAATTCAGATGTCTGAAGCCTACCCTGGAACTACAAGATCAGAAGATCTAGTGGATGAGTCCAGAAATCTGTATCTTAACAAATCCCACCCCACCAAGCAAATCCAATGCTCATTGAAGTGTGAGACTTATTTTTTTTCAGAGAGGCATTTATACAATTTAACTGTTCTCAAGCATGGCTGTGCATCAGATTCCTCTTGGGAGTTTATTCAATCCTGAATTCTACTCCAGACTTGTTGCAGCAGAATCTTTGAGGATAAGCCAAGGAATCTGTATTTTTAAGGCTGCCTAGTTACTTCTGAAGAAATTCCTTAATGACAAGCCAGGCCTGGTCAGGAAATGTCACTGAATCATTCTTGGCTTGTGCCACCCACCTATTCTGTCCTTAAACTTGGAAAATAATGCTTATACTATCTTATATCTTATCAGTCCTAGAGGCAGCCACCCACACCTCAGGTCACATGGGCTAAGAGAGAAAACAGGAGCCTGGGTTTGGGGGAAAGGCCCTTGGACTACAAGTGACAACATTCAGTGATATCAGGGTAGGAATAAAGCACATAAATGAGTATTCTACATATTCTACACTTCTGGAGGCACCTGCAACTCAGGTCACATGGACTATAAGAGAAAACAAGGACTCCATCACTAACAGTATCTGGAAATCTCCACGGTGGCACGATGAGGCATGACTGTCAAGCAGTTTGACCTGTTTAGTAGTTGGCCCCCGACCTTTTCTTTTTCCACTATATCCCAGTGAGCAGGCTAACGAGATTCGTGATAACAACACTATGCCTTATTTCAGGAGTCTTGTTACAGTCAAGTTCTGTGTTAAAGGCTTAGCATGCAAGGACTCATTTAATACATTAACCTTGTGAAGGAAGTACATCAGTAGTCTCCATTTTATTCATGAAGAAACTAAGGCTCAGAGAGGTTGTGTGGCTTGCCATGAGTTACAAAGCTAGAAAGTGGCAGAGCTTGAACTCAAACCCAAGTCTATTTGACTCCAGAGGCTGGGACCATAAGCATAAATTCTTTTATTTGTAAGATGATACCACTTGTTTCCTTTGGCTAGTTTGTTCACCACTTAGCCTAACAATGGCCACAACTGGAACTGTTTCTTTTATTTTAGCTTCAGGGCTTCCCAGGTTGGGTGTCGAGTTGATCTCAGCTGGCTGCCAGCCCTGGCTGTAAGCTCTGAAGATCCTCCAGATAAGAACTGTTCTTATAAATTCTGGCTCCTGGACTAGTTATGGGGACAGGATGAAAGGCTCCAGAGTAATCCTTTAAGCTCTCCTAGGCAGTTGCAAGGGTATCCATCACCAGACCTGTTGCCTGAGACACTGGCATTCCTGAGACCCCAGGCCATACAGATAGAGTGGCCGCTGGCTCTAGTATAATCAGAAACTAACTGTCTTGTTAACTCTTTGTTCTGGTGTCAAACTGACACTCATAATTAGCTTTGAAAGCAACATAGGGGCTATGGCTGGCCATTGCATAGGAGACATAAAGGGCAAGGAGGAGAAATGTACTCAACAGTGTCAGTGGGCAAGTAACTTCTCTCTCTCAGGGACAGACCCTGACTCTGGTGTCCCTCTCCTGAGTTTCCTTATGTATAGCTGGAGTAGGAATCACTCCACTGGGCTTGGGGATCCTACCTTGGCTCTGACCTGGCCCAAGGGCCTTCTCTGCTGGTGAGAGCCCCAAAGCTGGTGCTGTGCTCCCTAGCTGAGAGAACCCTCCCCTTCTGAGCCAGCACTCAAGGGCCTCTTGGAAAAGCTGCTTCTGTGAACCAGAGGAAACAACAGCCCATAAGAGAAGATTCTAGGAGTTCTCGGGTCCCAGTAATTGTGGAGCAAGAGTGTCCACAATAACTCATTTCCTAGCCTCTGGCAACTAGGGGGCATTGAAGATCATTTTAGCAGGGACTGGAAGAGAGGCTTCTCAGACTTATGTGATCCAATGGGTCAGATTTGCCCGGCCTGGGGATTAGCTGAGACTGCACCTACTCATAACCACTCACTTGGTGGATTCAGAAGAGAAAACAGAAATAAATCCTATGGGTCAGGGAGACTGGCTGACTATATCATAAAAGCCCATGCAAGGCAAGAGGTTCTTGAAACTTGGAGTTAACTGGGATCTGTCCTACTTCCCTGAAGAAGTTCTAAGCAATTGGCTTTGGAACTCCAAGGACTTAACAAATAAATCACTGGGAGACCAAAGCCATCTTGGTTAGTGTTCTGAAAACAAAGTTAGGTCAAGGTTCACACGTCAGTGTTAAACATCAAGGGCTAAGGCTAAGCTAGAGTTTCCTGGAGGTTCCTTGCAAGCTTTTGGGAACCTCAGAGAAGATACAGCTCACTTTCTGATGATTACCTTAAGCAGCAAGAAAGGCCAACTTTTAACACTCTTGGGCCTGAGAGCAAAATTTTAGTAGCTGCTCCTGAGTTTCCTCCCATTCCTCACACTTGATGCCTAGTTATTCATGGCCTAAAGTAAGACAGAAATGCCTCAGGGGCAGCATTTCTGAAGAAACAACCTAGGTTTGTGTCTGTGGGAACTTGGGGAATAACTGGGTCCCTGGAGGTTAAACAGCTACTGCTCCCAGGGCAGTTTTCCCAAGCATTGCCAGAATTTCTGAGCTGTCTTCAGATTGCATCTAAGAAGAGGGTGTCAAGTGACTTACTCCTAAAGGGACAAAAAAAGAGGTGGTAAGGAAGAGGCCTCAGAGTAGCTGTATCCTGTGCTAAACCCTAGGTAGTCCAGTCCCAGCACTCACTCTCAGTCCAAGAAAAATATAGCAAAATATAGAAGACATTAAAATGGCCTAGGTTGGGTGTGTGTGTGTAGACTTTCTTAGTTTCTATGTCTCCAACTCAGATAATGGTGACTGTTTATAACAAATCTCAGTTAAAGTAACACCTATGATTATGGATATAAGCCATTTCCTACCATCCTGGATAAGTGCTGCTTGCATTCAGAATGTGACTAAAACTATCATGCCTAACTTGTTGCATTAGATTTATGGGATTATGGGATTTTGTTCCGGGACCTGCTAGGTCTAATTAAAGTGTTAGGACTCCTAGGAGACCAGTTGTGGTTTGCACAGACAGGAGCTTGAAAACATGCTGCCGTGAATGTGTTCCCAGCTCTGCAGCAGTGGAGATGCAGTTGCTGGAACTGAGTGCTCCAGGTGTCAGTGTAGAGTTGTGGTCTTTGTCCTTGCTGCCCCAAATCCCCAATCGTTAATTTATTGGGTTTTGTTAGAAGACATTCCCACACTAAAGAACTCAAGAACTGAAGTGACTGTTCTTGCCTTGCTTCATGGCCCCTCTGTGGGCATGAGTTCTGTGCACAGAGCTCCTTCCTCCTTCCTTCCCTCCCTCTCTCCCTCCTTCCTGCCTTACTTCCTTCCTCCCTCCCTTCCTCCCTCCCTCCCTCCCTTCCTTCTGTCACAGGCCTGAGTGCAGCCCTGGAACAAGGACCATGATCCTGAGGGGAAGGGGATGTTTCTGGGAAGGGCCAGAAGAAGGGTGTCTTCTCACTCCAGGCTGGCATCTGCTACCACCTCACTCTTCAAATACTGGGGCTCGCCTGACTCTGTCCCCAGCCTTTGCCCTGGAGGAGTAAAATGGGACAAGAGAAACCCCATCCAGTCCCATGAGGTCAACTAATATCCCTTGACTGTGGTGGCTTTCCAGCCCCCATGTCTCGCCTGGGCTCAAAGCCAAGATTCCCAGTTTCTTGCTGGACATGTCCTCTATCTAGCACCCCAAACCCAACAAGTCCAAACAGACCTTGTCACCTGTCTCCCCTCACTCCCCCTCTCTACTAACAGTCTTGTGTTCCCTGCCTCAGTTGACAGTATCACCACGGACCCAAGCTGGAACCTCAGGGTCCTTGTCATCTTTTCCCTCTCCTTGACCCCATGAGAGCCAGCCCTGAGGTTTCTACCTATTGACATGTGCCCTGAGTCATCCCCTCCTCTCGGCTCTCACTGCCACGGTCGTGGTTCAGAGCCTGTTCCACTTCTTGCCCAGACCCTGGAGATGGTCTCCCAATTGGTCCGCATGCAGCTGGCCTCTCTTCCCTCCAATCCTTCCACACCCTGGTGCGGTAAGTACTGTCTTCCTGGTCTGTCCCACATCTGCCTTAATAAAAAGCTCCAGTGGCTCCCTCTTGCTCACAGAACAAAACCCTCAGCTTGGCCAATAGGGCTGTGAATAGCTGACTCCGAACACTCGTCCACTTGCCTTCTGCTGCTGCCTGTGGTGCGCCCAGCCATGATTGTCCCACCCTCTGGAACATGCAGTAGGCCCTGTCACACAAATATTGCTCCCTCTGCCTGGAATATCCTTCCCCTCCCTCCACTATTCCTTGTGACGAAACCTGCCATCACCCAAGATGCCTCTCAAGCCTCCTTCATCCATTAAGCCTTCTCCAACTTCTCCAGGTATGTTCCTCTACCACAGCACCCATTGGACCATGAGGGCTTATGTGTGCCTCGGTCCCTCCTACTGCATGGGGAGGACCCCAAAGGTTGCCTGGGACCACGTTGGGTTCTCCTTTGCATTCTCAAAGTTTAGTGCAATGCTTGATATACAGTAGGTGCTTGATAAATGTTTGTTGTTTAATCCCTTCTTATTCTACAATCTTTCATGTGTGTCCGTGTGAAGAGACCACCAAACAGCCTTTGTGTGAGCAACATGGCTGTTTATTTCACCTGGGTGCAGGCGGGCTGAGTCCGAAAAGAGTCAGCGAAGGGAGATAGGGGTGGGGCCATTTTATAGGATTTGGGAAGGTAATGGAAAATTACAGTCAAAGGGGGTTGTTCCCTGGTGGGCAGGGGTGGATCTCACAAGGTACATTCTCAAGGGTGGGGAGAATTACAAAGAACCTTCTTAAGGGTGGGGGAGACTACAAAGTACCTTCTTAAGGGTGGGGGAGATTACAAAGTACATTGATCAGTTAGGGTGGGGCAGGAACAAACCACAATGGTGGAATGTCATCAGTTAAGGCTGTTTTTACTTCTTTTGTGGATCTTCAGTTACTTCAGGCCATCTGGATGTATACATGCAAGTCACAGGGGATGCGATGGCCTGGCCTGGGCTCAGAGGCCTGACATTCCTGCCTTCTTATATTAATAAGACAAATAAAACAAAATAGTGTTGAAGTGTTGGAGTGGCAAAAATTTTTGGGGGGTGGTATGGAGAGAGAATGGACGATGTTTCTCAGGGCTGCTTCAAGCGGGATTAGGGGCGGCGTGGGAACATAGAGTGGGAGAGATTAAGCTGAAGGAAGATTTCGTGGTAAGGGGTGATATTGTGGGGTTGTTAGAAGAAACATTTGTTGTGTAGAATTATTGGTGATGGCCTGGATACAGTTTTGTATGAATTGAAAAACTAAATGGAATAAGAGAAGGAGAAAAACAGGTATAAAAGGTCTAAGAATTGGGACGACTCAGGACATCTGATTAGAGAGTGCCTAAGGAGATTCAGCATAGCCCTGCCAGCAAAGATTATTTATTTACTTCAAGAGTTAAGAATGGCAGTTTGGGGATAGCACGAGGCAAGCGTGATCAGGGTGAGGAACAGGAAAGAAGAAAATATGGGGAAATGGGGTGAATATCAGGTGGATCAGAGAGATACAGTCATGAGGGTCAGGTGTGGTATCCGGAATAATGTGGGAGGCCGGATTAAAGTCCGGGCCAGGAACAATGGTAATTGTGGGAGACTCAACAAAGAGTGAGTACAGCTGAAGGAGCCAGGGAGCAGAAAGTATATGTGTCAGGTGTGAGGAAGAAAATAGATTTTGGAAATTATGAGAGCTGTAGAGAGTGAGTTGAGCATAGTTTGTGATTTTTAGGGCCTCTAACAGTATTAAAGCAGTGGCAGCCGCTGCACGCAGACATGAGGGCTAGGCTAAAACAGTAAGGTCAAGTTGTTTGGACAGAAAGGCTACACGGTGTGGTCCTGGCTCTTGTGTAAGAATTCTGACCGCACTAACCATGCTAGGAAGGAAAGGAGTTGTTCTTTTGTAAGGGATTGAGGTTTGGGAGATTAATCAGACACGATCAGCCAGGAGAGCATGTGTGTTTTTATAAGAATTATGCCGAGATAGGTAACAGATGAGGATGAAATTTGGGCTTGACTGAAGTAATGGGGCTGTCTGTGAAGCCTTGCAGCAGTACAGCCCCGGTAATTTGCTGAGCCTAATGGGTGTCAGGGTCAGTCTAAGTGAAGGCAAAGAGGCTGGGATGAAGGGTGCAAAGGAATAGTAAAGAAAGCATGTTTGAGATCCAGAACAGAATAATGGGTAGTAGAGGGAGGTATTGAGGATAGGAGAGTATATGGGTTTGGCACCACGGGGTGGATAGGCAAAACAATTTGGCTGATAAGGCACAGATTCTGAACTTGTAAGCCTTGTCTGGTTTTAGGACAGGTAAAATGGGGGAATGGTAAGGAGAGTTTATAGGTTTTAGAAGCCCGTGCTGTAGCAGGCGAGTGATCACAGGCTTTAATCCTTTTAAAGCGTGCTGTGGGATAGGATATTGGCATTGAGGGGGGTAAGGGTGATTAGGTTTTAATGAGATGGTAAGGGGTGCGTGATCAGTCGCCAAGGAGGGAGTAGAGGTCTCTTATACTTGTGGGTTAAGGTGGGGGAATACAAGAGGAGGACGCAAAGGAGGCTTTGGATTGGGAAGAAGGGCAGCAATGAGATGCGGCTGTAGTCCAGGAATAGTCAGGGAAGCAAATAATTTGGTTAAAATATCTCGGCCTAATAAGGGAACTGGGCAGGTGGGGATAACTAAAAAAGAGTGCATAAAAGAGTATTGTCTAAGTTGGCACCAGAGTTGGGGAGTTTTAAGAGGTTTAGAAGCCTGGCTGTCAATACCCACAACAGTTATGGAGGCAAGGGAAACAGGCCCTTGAAAAAAGGTAATGTGGAGTGGGTAGCCTCCGTATTGATTAAGAAGGGGACGGGCTTACCTTCCACTGTGAGTTACCGGAAGCTCGGCGTCTGTGATGGTCTACGGGGCTTCCGAGGCGATCAGGCAGCATCAGTCTTCAGCCACTAAGCCGAGAAGGAGTCAGTCAGAGAGCCTTGGGCCAGAGTTCCAGGGGCTCTGAGAGTGGCTGCCAGGTGAGCTGAACAGTCCAATTTCCAGTGGGGTCCCGCACAGATGGGACACGGCTTAGGAGGAATCCTGGGCTGCAGGCATTCCTTGGCCTGGTGGTCAGATTTCTGGCACTTGTAGCAAGCTCCTGGGGAAGGAGGTTCTGGAGGAACGCCTGGCCGCTGCGGTTCAGGCGTTTGGAAGTTCTTGTGTGCTGGAGATGTGGCTGGGGTTTGTCTCACAGTGGAGGCAAGGAATTGCAACTTTTTTCTATTATTGTACACCTTGAAGGCGAGGTTAATTAAATCCTGTTGTGGGGTTTGAGGGCCGGAATTTAATTTTTGGAGTTTTATTTAATGTCGGGAGCAGATTGGGTAATAAAATGTATATTGAGAATAAGATGGCCTTTTGACCTTTTAGGGTCTAGGGCTGTAAAGCGTCTCAGGGTTGCTGCCGAACAAGTCATGAACTGGGCTGCGTTTTTATATTTGATAAAAAAGAGCCTAAACGCTATCTGATTTGGGATAAAGAAAAAGGAGCATTAACCTTGACTATGCCTTTGGCTCCAGCCACCTTTTTAAGAGTAAATTGCTGGGCAGGTGGGGGAGGGCTAGTCACGGAACGAAACTGTAAGCCCGACCAGGTGTGAGGAGGGGAGGCGATAAAAAGATTACAGGGTGGAGGAGCAGAGGCTGAGGAAGAATTGGGACCTAGCTTGGGCTGGCGAGGAGGGGAGAGGTCAGATGGGTCTGTAGAAAAGGAAGATTAGAAAGACTCAGCAACGCTTGGGGTTGGGACTGAGGGGACAGGTGGGAGGGAAAGAAGGAAGATTTGGGATGAGTTGCACTGGGCACAGAGACTAGGAAGGGACTGATGTGTAAAGGAATGCCTGGACTTCAGGCACCTCAGACCATTTGCCCATTTTACGACAAGAATTATTTAGATCTTGTAGGATGGAAAAATTGAAAGTGCCGTTTTCTGGCTATTTGGAACTACTGTCGAGCTTGTATTGGAGTCAAGCGGCATTGCAGAAGAAAATAAGGCATTTAGGTTTTAGGTCAGGTGTGAGTTGAAGAGGTTTTAAGTTTTTGAGAACATAGGCTAAGGGAGAAGAAGGAGGAATGGAAGGTGGAAGCTTACCCATAGTGAAGGAGGCAAGCCCAGAAAAAAGAGTAGAGACACGGAGAAGGGGTGGGGGGTTCTTGCCCTTCAGAAAAGCAGAGAAGGGGTTGGGTCACGGAAATAAGGGATTGGGGCACAGAGATAAGAGGTCAGGGTGCAGAAATAAGGGATTGGGGCGCAGAGATAAGAGGTTGGGGTGTGGAAATAAGCAATTGGGGGTTTCTTGCCCCCTAGGAAAGTGGGACTTGCCGCTAAGGGTGAAGGAGAAGGGGTTGGGGTACTTGCCCCTGCCCCAGGAAAGCGGGACTTGCCGCTAAGGGTGAAGGACCAAGGCAGGCGTCCCTGCGTGGTCTGACACCCTTGAAACGTGAGTGTATAATCAGAGAGGTGTCCCTGCAATGATTAAACACCAAGGGAAGGCTGCCTTCCCAGTCCGTGACCGGTGCCGGAGTTTTGGGTTCACGGATAAAACATGTCTCTTTTGTCTCTACCAGAAAATGAAAGGAATTGAAATTAAGAGAAGGGAGAGATTGAAGTGTGGCGCCAAGATTGAAAGGAGAAAGAGGTTGAGGGATAGTGAGGGAGGTTGGAGAAGAGAGTAAAAAGAGGCCGCTTACCGGATTTGAAATTGGTGAGATGTTTCTTGGGCTGGTCGGTCTGAGGACCTGAGGTCGTAGGTGGATCTTTCTCACGGAGCAAAGAGCAGGAGGACAGGGGATTGATCTCCCAAGGGAGGTCCCCCGATCCGAGTCACGGCACCAAATTTCATGCGTGTCCGTGTGAAGAGACCACCAAACAAGCTTTGTGTGAGCAACATGGCTGTTTATTTCACCTGGGTGCAGGTGGGCTGAGTCCGAAAAGAGAGTCAGCGAAGGGAGATAGGGGTGGGGCCATTTTATAGGATTTGGGAAGGTAATGGAAAATTACAGTCAAAGGGGGTTGTTCTCTGGTGGGCAGGGGTGGATCTCACAAAGTACATTCTCAAGGGTGGGGAGAATTACAAAGAACCTTCTTAAGGGTGGGGGAGACTACAAAGTACATTGATCAGTTAGGGTGGGGCAGGAACCAATCACAATGGTGGAATGTCATCAGTTAAGGCTGTTTTTACTTCTTTTGTGGATCTTCAGTTACTTCAGGCCATCTGGATGTATACGTGCAAGTCACAGGGGATGCGATGGCCTGGCCTGGGCTCAGAGGCCTGACACAATCCAGTCAAATATGCCAAACTAATCTCAAACACACAGCTCTAAGTCTTCACATATACCATTCCCCTTATCCTGATTTCCCATTTATTTCCTTTATTTTTGTTTGCTTTCTTCAATATCCATCTCAAGTCACCTCTTCAAGGAAGGCTTTCCCCGTGAGTATCACCCAATTTTGCTCTTTTAGCTTAAGTTCCCCTCAGCAACCATGTAGTTGTAGCTTCTACAGCAGTACCCACTAAAATAGTTCTGTCTACCAGCTCCCTTGGAAAGTATTCCATTCCAAAACCCCCCTCCCATGCAAATGGTGAGTCTTTAGGAGAGGAATTCCATCTCTAGTCTATTTCAGCTTTCACCAACATTGGTCTTTCCAATTTATAAACATTTCCCCCCAAATTAGGAGTAGCTTCTAATCCTGATTCATGACTTAAGATCCCACACAGTGAAGTAAATCTTTTGCTTCTACATTGCTCCTAAACACCAGAAATGTTTAGTTCCTGTGAAAAGAGGAGTTAACCAACTGTTTCTTAGAGGAAAATCTGTTCCTCCCAACTCCTTCTAATGAACTAACACATGTATTGCACAAGAAACTATGCAATATATTATGGTGGCAGCATACAAAAAAAAAAAAGCTAGAGTTTCTGATGTTTGCATTCATGCTGGTGGGACTTCTTTACCTGGAGCAACTCTAGCATAGTTCAACAAATGAGACTTCAATGGACACTCTTTCAGAAGGCAGTATATAGCTGGGTGATTAAAAGCATGGGCTCAGGCATAACGTATACCTGGATTCAAATCCCACGTCTATAGCTTATGGACTGTGTTACATTAGCCTCGATATGCTCATCTGCAGAATGGGGATAATAATAATTTCTACTTCGTAGGGTTGTTGTGAGGATAATATGAATCAATTCTTGGCAGTCAGTAGTTTATAAATGTTATTAATTATGATTGTTTCCCCTCATTCTTTCACATATGTAAGAGCCCTATCCTTCCTGTCTTGTGCTAAGCCATAGGAAATTCCACAATTCGGGACATTTATGTGCCATAAGCCAAAAGAGGCAACAGTGATTAAGAGAATTAGGATGCCAGATAAAGCTAAAGGGTTCCATGTCTTTACAAATGGCAACCATTAAGAGGTTTACTGGAATAGCTGCAGGACATGATGGCAAGAAAAATAACGTGTGACTGAGTCAGCTCGTTGGCCCATTTTCCCCTGCCTCCTCCTCCCTCTCCCACCCCCAACCCTCAACTTTAGTGAAGCCCAGTCTCAAGTAAGCCTGGCCAGAGGCAGCAGGTGGTAACAACTAACCTTTAGCCAGAGTGAGTGCAGGGCCAAGAAAACAACACAGCTCTCTCTGGCAAAGGCAATTCCCAGATGTGCCCATAGAAAGATGTAATATTTGCTCACCACAAAGTCTGCAAGTTTACATTGCAAGGATTGATCTTTCAAGCTTGCAACATTTTGAATAAACCTGAGTGGGAGATTGAGTCATGAGTTTATTTTGTAATCAATAATTTCATGGACAGATTTTATCCTTTCATTGCTTAATTTCTATCCTTGAGTCAATAACGGCCCCATATTTTGATCTCTGTGGTGACTTTCAATCAACTTTGGGGTTTCGCAGTTTTCATTCCAATGGGCTCACACTGCCAAAATGGATACTGTCATTCAATAAGGGGAAAACAGCTGTTTCCAGGCTCAGGCCTGGCCAGGAGATAAAGTAGTGCTGGTATCTGGTAAAAGGAAGTTATGCCTAGGTGGCATGTAAATAGTATTAGTACTTTTGAGCCATGGTCTCTAAATAAAATAGCATGTAAAAAAAAAATATATATATATATATATATTGGCCAGGCATGGTGGCTCATGCCTGTAATCCCAGCGCTTTGGGAGGCAGAGGCGGGCGGATGATCTGAAGTCAAGAGTTTGAGCCTGGCCAACATGGAGAAGCCACATCTCTACTAAAATAAATATAAATATATATATATAGAGAGCGAGCGCCTCATCTCTACTAAAATATATATATTTATATATACATATATATTTATATATAAATATTATATATACACATATATATAAATAATATCTATACATATATATATAAATAATATCTATATACATATATATTTATATATAAATCATATATATATATATAAAAGCCAGGCATGCCTATAATCCCAGCTACTCAGGAGGCTGAAGCACAAGAATCGCTTGAACTCAGGAGGCAGAAGCTGCAGTGAGCCAAGGTCCCACCACTGCACTCCAGCCTGGGTGACAGAGTGAGACTTCATCTAAATATACATATACATATTCCATGCAATAGTTGTTGTCATATATTATTTATAAGGGTAATTTGATGGCTAAAAATGAACATAGATAGAATACATGTTCTAGGTAAGTTCATGTTCTATAACCTAGTTCTTAGGTTAACTGACTTTATTCCCCAGGCCTTTCATACAATTTTCATGTTCTGTCTCTTCTTCCTTTGAAATAAAAAACCTATTTTTTTAATTTAACATTTCATTAGTGACAATTATTTCAAACATATACAAAGTTAGAGAGACTTATATAATGAACTCCCATGCATTCATTGCCTAGTTTTAACAATCATCAATATTTTGCCATTCTTGTTTCATCTATCCAACCCTCTCCCTAGTTAAAATAAAGTTTTTTGGAGGGAATGAGCATTTTAAAGCAAATCCCAGACATTATGTCATTTCATTCATAAATAGATCAGTATGTATCTCTAACAGATTGTTTTTCAAAACAGAATCACAATACCATTCTAACAAAATCAGCAATGATTTTCTAAAGTTAGTTAATACTTAGTCCAATTTCAATTTTTCCTGATTGACAAGTTCTGCCCCAGAAGAGACTTTTGAAATGAGGAACTGGAGGCAGAAAAATGTGACATGCCTTGCCCAAGATCACAGAGCCAAGTAGTGAAAGAGCCATCCAGTAGTTCTTTTTACCTTCTCTACTTTTTTTGTTTTTGTTTTTGCTTTCTACTCTCCATTTACAGTCTCTGGTTGTCGTTCCTAGCTTTTTTTCCTTTCCATCTGATAAAACAGTTACCAGTTTCCATTTTAGGGTGAAAACAAACAACAATAAAAAATAGGATCATGATGTTAGAAGTCATTGCTGCTCTATATGTTCTCAATGGAAGATTTGGCAGCAAATCAATGCCAGCGCTGATTGCTACCTGGCTTAGATGACTTTAGCAATCTCTTGTTCATATATTAAAGCTAATGGCATTCCCGTGTCTCTGTCTGTACGTGTTTGCTCTTCTGGCCGCACTGCTTCGGCATTTGGATACTTGGGAACTTTGCAAATACTTGCCCAAGATTCCAGCATTTCTTGAATCAGTGGCACACCCTGGCATATGCAAACAAGAACAACATTGTAGGGAGCAAGTCAAGTGCTCCATAGAAGTACAAAGAGAATTAACAACTAAAACCCTTTTTCAAAAAACTTTTAGGTTCAGGGATACACATGAAGGTTTGTTACATAGGTAAACTCGTGTCACGGGGGTTTGGTATACAAATCATTTCTACACCCAGGTACTAAGCCTAGTACCCAATAATTACTTTTTCTGATCTTCTCCTTCCTCCCACCCTCCACCCTCAAGTAGTCCCCAGTGTGTATTGTTCCCCTCTATGCGTCCATGAGTTGTCAACGTTTAGCTCCCACTTGTAAGTGAAAACGTGGTATTTGGTTTCCTGTTCCTGCATTAGTTTGCTAAGGATAATCGCCTCTATCTCCAACCATGTTCCCACAAAAGAATCTTGTTCTTTTTTACAACTAAAACTCTTAAAAGCAGCTGTGGATTAGGGATTGCTAGATGATGTGTGAGTGGGCCCTAAGGACCAGCAGAATGACTCAGGAAAAGCAGGGCTGAACATACCCTGCAGGAGATCTATGGAAAGATCAGTATAACTAGAGCCAACAATCCATGCTGGGAAAGGCCATGAGATTAAGAGAGGGCAGATTGTGGAGTGCCAGATGTGTTTAGCAGAGGAATTTACATTTTTATACAAACTCCAAACAAACAAACACACAAATAAACAAACCACCAGGCCAACTTGTGATAAAATAGTTAGAAATGTAAATGAAAGTCCTATTAAACCCTAGGCCAGTCTGGGCAAAATAGTGAGACTCCATCTAAAAAATATATAAATATAAATATAAATATAAATATAAATATAAATATATATGATCATGGTAGTGTGTCCAGAATTGGTGGGTTCTTGGTCTCACTGACTTCAAGAACGAAGCCGCAGACCCTCGCGGTGAGTGTTACAGTTCTTAAAGGCGGCGTGTCCAGAGTTTGTTCCTTCTGACGTTTGGATGTGTTCAGAGTTTCTTCTTTCTTCCTTCTGGTGGGTTCGTAGTCTCACTGGATCAGGAGTGAAACTGCAGACCTTCGTGGTGAGTGTTACCGCTCATAAATGGAGTGTGAACCCAAAGAGTGAGCAGCAGCAAGATTCATCGTAAAGACCGAAAGAACAAACCTTCAACACTGTAGAATGGGACCCAAGCGCGTTACCGCTGCTGGCTCGGGCAGCCTTCTTTTATTCTCTTATATGGCCCCCCCCCCACATCCTCCTGATTGGTCCATTTTACAGAGAGCCGATTGGTCTGTTTTACAGAGAGCTGATTGGTCTGTTTTGACAGGGTGCTGATTGGTGTGTTTACAATCCCTGAGCTAGACACAAAAGTTCTCCACCTCCCCACTAGATTAGCTAGATACAGAGTGTCCACACAAAGGTTCTCCAAGTCCCCACCAGAGTAGCTAGATACAGAGAGTAGATTGGTACATTCACAAACCCTGAGCTAGACACAGGGTGCTGATTGGTGTGTTTACAAACCTTGAGCTAGATACAGAGTGCCGATTGGTGTATTTACAATCCCTTAGCTAGACATAAAGGTTCTCCAAGTCCCCACCAGACTCAGGAGCCCAGCTGGCTTCACCCAGTGGATCCCGCACAGGAGCCGCTGGTGGAGCTGCCTGCCAGTCCCGCGCCGTGCGCCCTCACTCCTCAGCCCTTGGGTGGTCGATGGGACTGGGCGCCTTGAAGCAGGGGGTGGCGCTCCTCCGGGAGGCTCGGGCAGCCCAGGAGCCCACGGAGGGCGGGGAGGCTCAGGCATGGCGGGCGGCAGGTTGCGAGCCCTGCCCCGCCGGGAGGCAGCTAAGGCCTGGCGGGAAATTGAGCACAGCAGCTGCTGGCCCAGGTGCTAAGCCCCTCACTGCTGGGGGCTTGCGGGCCGACTGGCCGCTCTGAGTGCGGGCCCGCTGAGCCCACGCCCACCTGGAACTCGCGCTGGCCCACAAGCCCAGCAAGCCCCACGCGCAGCCTGGGTTCCCGCCCGCGCCTCTCCCTCCACACCTCCCTGCAAGCTGAGGGAGCCGGCTCCGGCCTTGCGCAGCCCAGAAAGGGGATCCCACAGTGCAGCGGCAGGCTGGATGGCTCCTCAAGCGTGGCCAGAGTGGGCGCCAAGGCTGAGGAGGCGCCGAGAGCAAGCTAGGGCTGCCAGGGCTGCCAGCAGGTTGTCTCCTTTCAGTAGCACAAGCCTGGAGGTGGGCAGATCAATTGAGGTTGAGAGGTCGAGGCTGCAGTGAGGCATGACTGCACCACAGCACTCCAGTCTGAGTGACAGAGTGAGAGCCTGTCTCAAAAATAAATAAATAAATAAACAAACAAACCTCAGAGTTCAGTATCTTTTCATTGGAAGAATATCTCCATGAAATGTTTGTAAGATTTCAGCTTTTTGCTTCATTGTGGTATAACATATTTAACCTAAAAGAAATGCAGCTGTTATATTGGCCTGAAATAAACCTTGGGCCAACTGCTCAAAAGGCAGATCTGCCCACCTGGACAGGCTATGGGGTGGGCTCCAGCCAGCTTGGGGTGATGAAAGGTGAGATTTGGGCAATGCTTTTTCTCTTTGTTTGAGACGTTGTCTCACTCTGTCGCCAGGCTGGAGTGCAGTGGCGTGATCTTGGCTCACTGCAACCTCCGACTCCAGGGTTCAAGCGATTCTCCTGCCTCAGCCTCCCAAGTAGCTGGGATTACAGGCACGTGCCACCATGCCCAGCTAATTTTAGTATTTTTAGTAGAGACGGGGTTTCACCATGTTGGCCAGGATGGTCTTGATCTCCTGACCTCGTGATCTGCCCATCTCGGCCTCCGAAAGTGCTGAGATTACAGGCGTGAGCCACCACCCCTGGCCAAGATTTGGGCAATGCTTAGGTTCTTAGATTTTTGGTAGCAGTTGAAAAATCACTGACTAAAGGTGAGAAAGAAGAGGGCAAGCTGACTCCCTAACTGGTTGGAACATGAAAATTTGACAGAAACAATGCAAAGTTATATTCAAATTATCTTGCTGTCCTTCAGTTCCAAAGCCAAACTATGTCTCTGATCAGTCATTTCCCACCATTACCAGTGAAGTTCTATTTGCGTTAGTGCAGTCCGATTATAATACATAATCAGGGAGAAATAGAGGCTTAAACAGCTTAACCCACTTACCACAAATGGTTGCTAGTCTACTTCTATTGAGGTCCAGAACTCAAAATTCTTGATTCCCTGTTCTTTCCACTTGTATAGTAAGTAATCTCCCTTTACCTTACTTTTCTCATCTGTTAAATGAGATGATAGTTCCTCTGTCATAGAATTTATGTGAGATTTCAATGAGTTAAAACATATAAGCACTCAGTAAATATAATTATTCCTCTACTCATTTATCCATTCACTTAACTAGTATTTGTTTATTATCTACCATGTATGTATACAAGAAGCTAGGCACTAAGAGGCAATACAAGAGTAAAGGACAGTCTCCTTCCTTCTAAAACTTAAAATGTGATGGGAAAGGCAAGACATATTTCATCAATCCATCACAAAACCTGTGTCAAGTTAGTAAAACAAACAATATAGGATACAAAAGAGGCCAGGAGAGGAGAAAATTTCTCCAAGCTAACTTTTGCTCTTCTTTAAGACACTTAAGGTTTCTAGGAAGACTTCCTTCCTTGACACCTCTCCATTCCATCCCTAAGCTCTGCTGCATGCCTCTCCTCTGTCCTCCCATAGTACCTTAGCATACTACTCTCATTCGTGCTCCATGGTGCTGTAAATTGTCTATTTTTCTGTCTTCCCCATTACAACCTGCTACTAACCCGAGCTCTCTGTGCCTTGGTTTCTCATCTATTTAAATATTTAAATCAAATGACCTTCAAGAGCACTTCTAGCTCTAACATTCTAGAGGTATTTGTTATTTTAGCATCATAGAATATCTGAGGGCTGAGCTATTACTGCACATCTCTTCCCTACATTGAATGTGGTTAAAAGTCATAGTGGGAACTCTATAGGCTCTCAGGGACTTTAACTTTCTTTCCAAAGTTTCTTGGTTGAAAAGTAACCTTTCCACATTATGTGAGCAGGAAGAGGAGATACTAAAACAATAAACACGTCTAGAGTTGCTTGTAGGGTGAACTTTTTTGGGGGCTATGTGGAAACATTTGACTGAATTTGTAACAAAAAATGATGCCTATCTCAATATGACTTTATCTTCCTTCCTCTTTATAAAAGGCCTATCTCAGTGACTTTCCTCTTTCAGCAACTTCAGCTCAGTAGTAACCATGTTTCACTTTGTGAAAGAAATAAGTATAAGAAAGTCACCCTGAACCAGGGAAACCATAAACCTGTCTTTGTCCATTCCTCTGTTCTCTGCAAGTTTCCTCCTCTTCCTATCGCTAATCCAACCTCTCTGGCTGAACTTCTCACATCCTTCAATGCCCTGAAGTCCTCATTCATAACCCTTTATGCCATATTGCCCACCCTTGATCCCATGAGCTACCTTTAATTTATGCACTTACCTGTTCATCAGCATTCATTAAGCACCTAGTCTCTATGAGAGCCAAGGATTGGATCTCAGAAAGTTTCACAGAGAAGACATTGGAGCTTGGTCTTGAAAGAGAATAGGAGTTTGCTGGGGGATAAGGTTAGGAGGAAAAGGAAAGCGTTTTTCTGGGCAGAGAAACAACATCTACCAAGTCAATGGGACATAAAACTCATAACATATTTAGGGGCGCTGTAAGTAACTCAGTTACCTAGAGCATAAGAAATATCTATGTTCCCTATGTTGAAGGTGATGTTGGAAAAGTGAGCAAAGTACAAATATTGGAAGGCTGTGTGTGCTGTGCTAAGGGTTTGGATGTTATCCAACAAGCTATAGGGAGCCATTGAAAGCTTTTAGGCAGGAGATTAAAAATCAGATTTGCATTTAGAAAAGTCACTGTGACAGCAGCAGGAAGAATGGCTTGGGGAGGAAGATGACTAATAGAAGAGGGGGCTTGTCAGGACACTATTGCAATATTCCAGGTAAAAGAGAGGCCTGAGCCAGAGCAGTGGCATTGGAGATGAATGGAAATGGACAGCTGGGCACACGAGTGGGACATTTAGGAGGTAGGTGAAAAGACTTAGCAACTGATCAAATGTGCGAGATGAGGGGGAGGTTTCTGACTCAGTTGATTGGTTGGATGGGAGTGCTGTTTATTAGAACAGAAGGCACAGGGGAAATCAGGCTTGAGGGAAAAGTAATGAAACACATTTCAGACACATTGAGTGCAAAAGGGTCTCTTTCAAGACTTAGATAAACAGTGCCCGAAAGAAAGGTGAGCACCTTCTAAGTAGCTTAATGAGAAACTGCATGATTCTGTACAACTAATAAAATCAAAGATTAAGTTAATGCTACTGACTTGATTTCTTCACAAGAAGTCTGTTGTATTTAGAAATATTCATTAATTTAAAAAGCAATTTAGAAACCGACGCTTTATAAAACTGAAATGCATACAAGAGAAAAAATACATTATCGTGACCTTATTAAGTGACTGGTGTACAGCCTTTTAGCTGAATTGTATGAAATAAGTTGACCAGATTTTCCTTCTTCATTATAAAACCTTTTTACCAGAGACTTGGAGCCAACTTAATTAGCTATGCTGATGGAAAGAGGAATAGCAAAAGTAATTGAAAACCACAGATGAAAGCCATGGGCAACTCCCAGGAAAAATGGCCTGATGTAGCTCCTTGGAACCCTGCGTTGCTGAACTCACTGGCAGACACAAGTGGTCAGGCAGTGGCCTTCACAGAAAGTTCTGTGAAGAATGTTCTGGAAAGTCCACGTTTATAAGTAGGCAGCAAGAGAAAATAGCAGGAGGAAATAATAACATAATAACAATGAAGTGTAAAATTAAGATTAAAAGACCGTTCATTATTATGATCACACAGCTATTGATGGAGGTTGGATTATTTGAGAGAGCAAAGGGTGAAACTGCAATATAGTACTGAATGAGTAACTAAAGAAACAAGGACAGACCTACATATTGCATTCCTGAGTTATAACTAGATACAGTCTTAAGTTTTCACATAGCCAAAAAGAGCTCTAAAGATATCTGAAACAAGAACAATTATTTATTTGTAATTCATACCAAAAATCTAGAAGTTATACCCAATTTCTCTTTTTCCCTCCCTCCCACCTCACACTCTATGTCAGTGTGTCCTGATGATTCTGCCTCCCAAGTATGTCCTGAATCCACCTGCTTCTCCCCATCTCCTCTGTTACCTCCTTCGTCCAGGCTACCGACACCACCTGCTTCTCTACTGCAGTAGCTTCTCTACCCACCTCTACTTTTATCCCACTTCACAAACTATTCTCCACCTGGCAGTCAGAGGAATCTTAAACATTTTTAAACCAGATCATGTAATTCCCTTGCTTGAAACTCTCCAATGCTTTCTCACTATGTTGAGAAAAAAATCCAAACTCATTAAAATGGTGTAAAAAACCCTATACTTTCTGGTCTTTACCTACTTCTCCCACCTTATCTTTCATCACCCTCTCCCTCACTTGCTCAACAGCAGCCATACCCAGCTGCTTTCTGTTCCTCAAATAAACCAAGCTCTCCCCACCGTCAGGGCCTTTGCACTTGTTGTTCTCTCTGCCTAAAACCCCTTTCCCTCACATCACCATATGACTGACTCACTCTTTTTTTTTTTAATGTTTTTTCTGTCACTGTGAAATGAGTAGCAAAGTACTGTTTCTCAGGCATTCATGATCTGATCCTTTTTTTTTTTTTTGACGGAGTCTTGCTGTGTTGCTCAGGTTGGAGTGCAGTGACATGATCTTGGCTCACTGCAACCTCTGCCTCCTGGGTTCAAGCAATTCTCTTGCCTCAGCCTCCTGAGTTGCTGGGATTACAGGTGCCAGCCACCAAGCCCAGCTAATTTTTGTATTTTTAGTAGAGACAGGGTTTCACCATGTTGGCCAGGCTGGTCTTGAACTCCTGACCTCAGGTGATCCACCCATCTCGGCCTCACAAAGTGCTGGGATTACAGGCGTGAGCCACCGTGCCCAGCCCATGATCCAATTTTTATATTTCTTTATTGAAATATAATTCACATACAATAAAATTCACCAATTTGAAAGTATATAAACCCATGGTTTCTAATATATTCAAAGTTGTGAAATCATCATCACTATCTAATTTCACACTTTTCTTCACCCCAAAAAGAACCCCCAGATCTTTTAGCTATTACCCCTTATTCCTCTTCTCCTCACCAACCATGAATGTGTTACCTGTCTCCATAAATTTGTCTATTCCGGAAATTTCATATAAATGGAATCATACAATACATGGCCTTTTGTGACTGGTTTATTTCAACTGGCATAATGGTTTCAAAGGTCATGTTATAGCACAACTTCATTCCATTTTGTAGTGGAATAATATTCCATTGTACGGTTATACCACATTTTGTTTATCCACTAATTGGTTGATGAACATTTAGGTTGTTTCCACTTTTTGACAATTATGAATAATATTGCTATGAACATTTGTGTACAAGTTTTTGTATGAGCATAGGTTTTCATTTCTCTTGGGTATATATGTAAGAGTTACATGACTGAGTCATATAATAACTATACTAATATTTGTTGACTGACACACTTTTATTCAGGACTCTGCTCAAAGGGTACCTCCTCTGAGAGGCCTTCCCTGACCACTCCATCTAAACTAATTACCCATCCCCACCATCACATTACCCTATTTTGTTTTCTACGTAGCACTTTCCACTATCTAAAATAATCTTGTTTATTGTTTCAGTCTCTCCCTACTAGAACATCAACTCTACAAGGACAGAATGTTGTCAATCTTGCTCACTGCTGTGCCCTCAGTACCTACGGACAATGAGCAGCACACAGAGAATATTCAATAACTATTTGCTGACTACAGGAATTAATCTATGGCAGAAATGTTCTTTTTTCCTACCACAGGGAGTATTTACAAATCTACTAATGACTATTTTAGTGCTTTTCTATTCCTTTAATTGTTCTTTGGGAAAAGTAAAAACTCACTCATTTCAATTATAGGAAGAAATAGCTATAGCAAAGACTGTGTCGATTATTTGACTTAGATTTGCCCTTCCCATCCAACCCTTTCATCTCCACCCCAGGGATTGCAAAATTCAACCAAAACAGTATTCCTTTAGCGGCTGATCCCTAAGATTGAGAGGGATCGGGGAGACCAAGGTGGGCAGATTGCTTGAGTCCAGGAGTTTGAGATCAGCCTGGGGAACAGGGTGAAACCCCGTCTTTACAAAAAATACAAAAATTAGCTGGGTGTGGTGGCATGCAACTCTGGTCCCAGCTACCTGGGAGGCTGAGGTGGGAGGACCACTTGAACCCAGGAAGCAGAGGTTACAGTGAGCTATGATCATGACACTGCATTTCAGCCTGGGTGACAGAGCAAGACCCTGTCTCAAAAAAAAAAAAAAAAAATTAGATGAGGGTATTAAAGGAAAGAAAACTCCAGTGAGTAAAATGAGTTGTGAGATGCCCCATGTTGCAGAGTTGTAAATTGAGGGTTTCTCCTTTGAAAAATGAGGCACTCTTCAAAATGCCTAGAATTCCTTTTTTTTTTTTTTTTTTTTTTTTGAGACAGAGCCTCACTCTGTCGCCCAAGCTAGAGTGCAGTAGCAGGATCTCGGCTCACTGCAACCTCCGCCTCCCGGGTTCAAGCGATTCTCCTGCCTCAGCCTCTTGAGTAGCTGGGATTACAGGCACGCGCCACCACGCCCACCTAATTTTTGTATTTTCAGTAGAGACAGGGTTTCACCATGTTGGTCAGGCAGGTCTCAAACTCTTGACCTCGTGATCCACCCGCCTCGGCCTCCCAAAGTGCTGGGATTACAGGCATGAGCCACCAAGCCCGGTCCCGATCTTTAGATATAAATTTAAACGCATTTTTCCCTGGCAATACTCATATATCTAACCTGGAAATATTTCTAAGAAGAACAGTACTAGTTTGTTATAGCTTTATCAGGTAATGACAGAAAAGTTGTGTGATAACTTGGTTTTGACCCTGAAAAACAGTCATTTGCGTAAAACAAATGGTGCAAGTGTTGAGGGTAATGGGAGGAGGGTTATCTGAGGATTTTTTTCTCTTCTTCTTCTTCTTTTTTTTTTTTGAGACAGGGTCACACACAGTCTCACTCAGTCACCCAGGCTGGAGTATTGTTATCACGGTTCACTGCTGCTTCAACCTCCTCAGACTCAGTGATCCTCCCAACTCAGCCTCCCAAGTAGCTGGGACTACAGGCATGTGCCACCACGTCTGGCTATTTTTATTTTTTATTTTTTAGTAGAGATGGGGTTTTGCCACATTGGCCAGGCTGGTCTTGAACTCATAAGATCAACCGATCTGCCCACCTCAGCCTCCCAAAGTGTTGGGATTAGAGGAGTGAGACACAGCGCCCAGCCTTTTTCTCTTCTTTTTTTTTTTCTTTTTTTGAGACGGAGTCTCGATCTGTCACCCAGGCTGGAATACAGTGGCGCGATCTCCTCTCATTGCAACCTATGCCTTCCGGGTTCACACCATTCTCCTGCCTCAGCTTCCCGAGTAGCTGGGACTACAGGCGCCCGCCACCATGCCCGGCTAATTTTTTTTTTTTTTGTATTTTTAGTAGACACGGGGTTTCACCGTGTTAGCCAGGATGGTGTCGATCTCCTGACCTCATGATCCGCCTGCCTCAGCCTCCCAAAGTGCTGGGATTATAGGCGTGAGCCACAGCGCCCGGCCCTTTTTCTCTTCTTAATAGGAAATGATATCAAAATTTGTATGGAAAATGTTTTCCTAACTGGTTTGCTTCAATTTGCCTTCATATGCCCCTGTTTGAGAGTGGAGGCTTAAAAAAATTCTAGATGCAGAATTGAATCGTGTGATAACTCATTAACATTTCAGGAGAAATCAGAGTTGCCTGTATAACATTTTTGTATGCATCCTAATACCTTCCCTCATAACTTTGCATGTCAAGGATACCTTTCAGGAAGTGTTCGTTGTTTGAAATTTCTGGTTGAATATATTAAAGCTTTAAACAAGCATGTGTTGGGTATAGTCTTGGATAGAGAGTAGAGGCCTGGCAGGAGGAGTAGAGACCGTTTTCTAGAGCTTTCCCCAAGTTGGAAATTCTCCCAAATGTAATCACTTCTTAAAAGGAAGTTTTAAGTAGAATAGCTCAAAGTGCAAAAGAAAAGTAATCACAGTGTAAATGTTTATAAACGTAGATACATTTCTTACAACCATTTATTTGCTAATGCATGCCTGGTGTCTATAATAATATACAAAGCAGTGTGGAGTAAAACTAACAAGGTGAAGAGGAATATACTCAGGTCACCATTTACATGCAGTTTAAAAAGACGCAGAAGAACACTACATATTGTTTATGGATGCACTTATATGACGTAAAAGTACAAAAATGTGCACAAGAAGGACAATGTTCACATTCAGGGTCTTTGTAGATAGTAGGAGGATGAGAGCAGGATAATACACGGAGACCTCATTTGTATCAGTCACCTTTTGGTAAATGTTACTGAAATGTAATATATATATATATATATATATATATATATATATATAATAAATTGAAGGTGTACCCATGTAATCAGTGCTGTATCTGTGAAGTTTTGATTTGATTCCTTTATTATTTTATTATTATTATTTTTTGTTTTTCTTTGAGATGAAGTCTTGCTCTGTTGCCCAGGTTGTAGTGCAGTGGCTCCATCTCAGCTCGCTGCAACCTCCACTTCCCGGGTTCAAGCAATTCTTCTGCCTCAGCCTCCTGAGTAGCTGGGACTACAGGTGTGTGCCACCACGCCTGGCTAATTTTTGTGTTTTTAGTAGAGACAGGGTTTCACTATGTTGGCCAGGCTGGTCTCATCTTTCTAACCTCAGGTGATCCGCCCCCTTTGGCCTCCCAAAGTGGTGGGATTACAGGTGTTAGCCACTGCACCCAGCCATGCCTGAAATATTTAAAGGGAAAAAAACAAAACAAAACAAAACTCCACAAGGTCCCTGTAGGGCCAAGGGAAAACTTCCCATTCACCCTCTGAAGTTTCACTAAAAATCACTGACAAGAGGCAAATGAGCAGGAGAAAAGGCATACAAATTTATTTAACATGTATGGGAGTCTTCATTCTGAAGACTCAAGGATACAGAAGTTGTCCATTTTTATGCTTAGGTTCAACAAAGTATGGACAGCCGTGTGGAAATGTGGTTGGACAAAAAGAGTATGATCTAATGAATAGACTTGAGTGGAGGAAACCCAGCAAGTCCTCTCTAGATTCTTTTAGGCCTCTCTGAGCACGCATTCCTTCCTTCTGGGTGTGGGGCAGGACCCTCTCTGGAATGGGAGGTCTTATGACCTACAGTCAAACAAGGTAGGTCACATCATTTCTTTATGGCTGGTTTTGACACAGAAAAGTGGAAGGAAAATTAGAGCAGTATTTTTACGTTTTGTGTCTGGCTTTGGGGGAGAGGGGTTCTGGTTTCCATGACCTGTTTTGGGGAAGAGCGATTCTAGTTTCCTTGGCTAGCCTTGGGTGAGAAAGGGACTGAGAGACAGGAGGGCAGGAGAAGGTCAGAGAAAAACTTCTGCTCCTGTGGATGCTGCTGAGGCCTTCATTTTGGGGTATTGTTTTCTGAATCCCAACAGCCCCAAGTGTTAGAGTACCCACTCCTTTAAATTCCCTTTCGCCTGTAAAGGCCTATGAAAATCCAATCAAAAAGAATCTTTGGGCAAAGTGATTTAAAAAACATAAGCACTACAAGTTACAATATGTCATTTTTCATTTTATGTCATTTTAATGTATGCTATCATATCAAAATTTAAAGAATTGTATTGACTTGGATCCAATGAGAGGGAATTTAATGTATATTGGGGCAAACTTCCCCCTTTTTTTCTTCAGCCACCTCCTAGCCGAACCCCAAATTTCCACAAAACTGATGGGGGGTTCTATTGTCTGCCAGAGAATCAATCCCCTTTCTCCTCCCAGTGATGGAAAAAAAAGAAAAATAAATTGGGGGGAAGGGAACATGGGCTCAAGGTTGTTTTGGTTTGGATGCTACCAATGTTGCCCTCTGCTGGTGGAACGCTCAACTTGCAGATGACCAGTTGCGTTCTTTTGCTGCTGTCAATCTAGTCCAACCCCAATTTATAAACAGGCTGTGCATGCTGAAATTCACTGTTTAAAGCTTACCTGCATTTTCCCATAAATGGAATCACTGTTTCTCACAGTGGCTGAGCCCCCAGGGTCACCTCCCAAATCAATAAAGTAATCAAAACCTACCCATGTTTCTAGGGAAAATGCTATTTGGATTAAGTATTCACCAAGTGTTTCCTATGTGCAAGGTATTGCAAGGGGTAAAAATGTAATTCAAGAAGAGTCTTTGCCTCTAAGACAGTTATTTATCTTGTTAGGAGAAATAAAACATTAGCATGAGAGACTATAAGAAGCTATCTGAAGTGGCCTCTTGTAGTATATGCAGGGAAGAGCGGTACATTCAGAGAGATACATATGGGAAACAATGAAGATCAAAAAGAGGAAGATATCCCTTCTGGGAAGGAGAAACAGGGGAAAGCTTTTTGAAAGCAGTTGAAGTTGAGATGAACAATGACAGTAAAGGGGGTAGTTTGTTTCAAGGAGAAGTAATTATGGAAGCAAAAGCATGGAAGTAGGAAAACATGGGTTGTGGTCTAGAAATGGCAAATAATCCCTCCTATTGAGACAGAGTATGAGGGGAGAATCCAGATATGTAACTAACCGGAAGGTCCCAGGCTATCCTTGACAGCAGGAATAGGGACAACTTGTTGGAACTGCTTGGAGCTGGACAATGACTCCCCTCATTCAGGTGGTTCTGGGTGAGGGGGTAAAGATGGATAGTCCAGCGGATTGAAGACTGTGAGTTGCTGGGGAAAGGATGCTGGGATCTAGAATAGGTTTGTGAATTTGGAAGAGAAGCCCTGGTGAGGGCTGGGAAGTGAGCAGGAGATAGGGAACAGAGTCCCCCAATTTTCCCCATTCTGTCCCACTTCTCTATTCTCTTCTCTCTCATTTGTGGCCAGCCCAAGCAAGAGACTGGCACTGAAAGAACAAGAGGGTGAGGTGGGAAAACTTCAGGGGTAGCATGACTGGCTGAGAAGGATAGGATTCTCTCCCTTTTTCTCTCCCTTGACACTGTTATCTACTGCCTGCAGGGGAGGCAGGGGTCTTGGTAGTGGGTAGAGGAGGGGAGGTGAGAGTAGCTATGGAAATCAGGGGCTAAAAGGGATTTTTCCTTCATTCTTCTTCACCCTTCGAAGATAGCCTTTGTCACTGCTTGCCCTGCCAGGCGCCTGGCCTACAAGGGGCGAAAAATGGAGAAAGAGATGGATATCCTCCAGCCATGCAGCTAGGGTGTCAGTTCTTCTTTTTTTTTTTTTTTTTCTTTTCTTTCTTTTCTTTTCTTTTCTTTTTTTTTTGTTGTTTGTTTGTTTTTTTGAGACAGAGTCTTGCTCTGTTGCCCGGGTTGGAGTGCAGTGGCACGATCTCGGCTCACTGCAACCTTCACCTCCCGGGTTCAAACCATTCTCCTTCCTCAGCCTCCCAGGTAGCTGGGACTACAGGCATGCGCCACCACACCCAGCTAATTTTTTTGTATTTTTAGCAGAGATGGGGTTTCACCATACTGACCAGGCTGGTCTCGAACTCCTCACCTCAAGTGATCCGCCCGCCTTGGCTTCCCAAAGTTCTGGGATTACAAACATGAGCCACCACACCCGACCAGGGTGGCAGTTCTTGGGTGGCAAATAGATGTGGTTAGTCAGACATCCATCAGAGAGGCTGCCTACCTCTTTTTCCTACGTAAACGGAGGGAAAATTTATTGCTATTTGTGACATTCCCTGTGCAGGAGGAGAGAGCAACTTACTGTCACCAGAGAAGTTAAGGCACGAGTTTCAAACTCAATTTGACAGCAGTAATGATAACCATAAAATAGCATTTAAGCTGGGTGTAGTAGTGGCTTGCACCTGTAGTCCCAGTTGCTCGGGAGGCTGAGGTGGGAGAATCACTTGAGGCCAGGGGTTCTAGGTCAGCCTGGGTAACAGAGGGAAGACCTGCATCTCTAAAAAAAAGAAATAACTAAAATAACTAGCTAGCATTGGTTGAGGGAATGCTGTGTGGCAGGCACTGAGCATCCTTATCTCACTGAATCCTCACAGTAAAAGCAGTACAGATGCAAGCCCTAAGGTCAAGCCAATCTGAGTTTAAGTCTTCACCCTGTCACTCACTAGTTAAAGCATAGTGCTTGACACAGAGTAAAAACTCAGTAAATACGGAATAAATATTCATCAATTAACAAATCAATTGATATTAGTCATTAATATGAATAAATATTACTATATACACACAATCAATCATATGAAGCAGGTACTATTACTATCTTCTTCTTATAAATGAGGAAGTTGAGGCCCTGAGAAATTAAGGACTCTGTACAAGTTTACACAGCTACTAAGTGGCAGAACCTGAATTGAAAACTAGTTGTCAGTGCAGAGTTTCTGTTTGAGATGATGACAATGTTCTGGAAATAGATAGTAGTGATTGTACAGCACTGTGAATAGACTTAATGCCACTGAATTATATACTCAGAAATGATTAGAATGGTACATTTTATGTTATGTATACTTTAACACACACACACACACACACACACACACACACACACACATACACACATCAGTTGTCAGACACTGGGATTTTAACCACTGTGTCATATACATGACCTCTCAATGGGCATTAATCAAGTTTCTATTATTCAGAAGACCCTCCCAATGTCATAAAGCGAGGGCTAAATTTGCAATCAAAAGACCTCTGTTCAAACACCGTATCTGCTTCTTACAATGAGTAAGTGGCTAAGACTTGTCTGAGTTTTCTTGGGCCAAAAGGGGTACAAGTCATACACAAGCCTTTCTCCAAGAGTTCACTTCAGTTGCAGACACTCAGGTCCCTGTAATGTTACTGGATAACCTTGGGGAGAGGGGATCCAGATCAATTTGAGCCCCTGACAAGGAGGGCAAGGAAGCTCTGAGCCAGCTTACCCATTCTTAGTTACTCCTCTTCCCAAAGTGAAATGTGGCAGCTACTGGGTGGGGACTTTTAAGAGGAAGTGAGACAGCTACTGATAGGGGAACTTGAGGAGGGCCCCCTTGGAAAGGGGAAGGAAGATGAGCACATATTGAGATAAACCATTTTCAGGGTGTTAAAACTAGATTAAAACCAGTGTTTTTACATGTCACAAAAAAGAAATCCACACCACAAACAATCCTAGTAGCTACTTTTCCTGCAAAAGTAATCATTCTTTTATCCAAGGTTCCTTGGGGATTAAACAACAACAACAAAAATCCCTCAAAGTCCTTGTCAGCTTCTTTGGTTCCTCTATGACTTTTTACTGTACTCAATGGAGAGAAGTGCTCAGTAACAACCGAGTCCCCAGATACACCATGACATTGCAAGAGAAGATGAAACATGAGGAAATCCACCCCCTTCCCATTTTCCAGACCACATCCTCCTCCCCTGTTCAATCTCCCTAAAGTTTTCACTAGGCTTGTTCAGGTCAGGAATGAACTATAACCAGTGGATGCTGCCCTCTGCTGCAAAGCAGGCTTCATCCGCGGCTGCACAGCCAGTCTTGGCTTCCACAAGACCTCTCTTGTGTTAATGATTCAAAGCACATGTTTGTAATTAAAAATAACAATAATAATTCAGGGTACCAGGCTGACCACGCAAATATAGTTATCCTGAGAGGGGGGCTTGCAGAACACCTTTCAGGGCAAATCCCCCACCACCTTTACATAGGACTGAGACAGCCTAGAAAAGTACAGAATGCTTTACTGTTATTTTCCTCATCCTGGCCCCATGCACTAACTAGACACAGTCTTTCCAGAGAAATACCAACATGACACAACCCCACGGGGGCATTGGGTCCCTCTGTTCTGGATTTGCCTCCTTCTGCTTCACTTCAGTTGTCTTAATTCCATTCACCTTGGTTCTCTGAGCCCCGGTTGACACAGCACACTGGCTCTCTACGCTCCCCTCTGTCTCCTTCTGCTGCCATGCCCTATTGTAGCCATGTCCTTCCATCTGGCACTCAGAAATCTTTCCCAAATGTCATTCTGCTAGTCTCCTGACACCTTCACACAATCTGCCCATCCTCTTGGACAGAGCTGACATGGTCCCCGAGGCTGGGGATGCTAGAGGCCACCTAGTAGCCACTAGGAAGCAATGCTTGTACTCTGTGCCCTGTGCACTCAGTGACAGGCAAGGAGGCTGTGGAACTATTCTCACAATCATCCGGACCTGTCTTCTCAACCCCATTGGTGCTGCCACCTAAGAGATTAACAAGGGAGGCCACTAGACTCAGATTGCTCAGATACAATTATAACTGGAAACATTGGGTTCTAAGGAAACACTGCATAAATCACACTCTTCCCTAGCTGGCTGACTGGCAATACGGTGGGATCCCTTTTGCAAGCCAGAATATGTTGGAATTATACTGGAGTGATGTGGACTATACTGGATTTTTTCAGATTTCTAAACTGCTTTAAGAAACATTCCATAGCTCCACTTGGCAAGATATAAACAAACTTGTAGGAAACTGGGTTAGTTTTACCAGTCAAATGAGTTGGCAGCCCAATTCTTCTGTCTCAAAGAGATTAATGAGCAATTAATTTCCCAGACCAGCTAAGCCTGGGAACTTCTGGGAGCTAACGGATTTTACCTGAAGGTGAAGTCCAGCCCACGTCCGTGGGCCACCACATCAGACCCTCCCAAGAACGCAAGGGAAGGCCTAATTTACATAGTTGCCCTGCCCCCTAGTGTCCACAGGCAGCAATAACAGCAGGCAGGACTCAAGCTTCTAGGTATGGGCAGCAGGGCTGCAGGGCTTTTTTTGTGCTCCACACAATGGCGCCTGGCTAAAGGGATGTGGGAATGAAATTAAGCTCATGCTCTTCTCACCAAGCCTTGTGCCCTGCACAGGACTGCATCCATCTGGAGGTTGACCTCTTTTTTCTAATCTGTCTGCCAAGAGGAGCCATTTTTTTTTTTGGTAATTCTATTTTAAAAATTTCCACATAGCTTGAGATTTCTAATGTCTAAAGCTACCAGAAAGGCTGATACCAATCCCATGTGATAGGCCAGGCCGTCGGCATGTACTCAAATGTATATTCCATTTCTGAAAATTCACTTGTCCTATAAGAATAGCTCAGGGTGTTTGTGTAGAAGTGGCCCCATTCCAGAAAATTCCCGGACTGGGAACTTCATAGTCATCCATCCAGCTATGAACTTCTGTTAGCTCCACCCCCAAAATATATCCTGAATCCATCCACATCTCTCCATCTTCACTCATTTCTGATCCAAGCTAGCAGAAATTTCTTGCTACAATGGTAGCAATACAGGGAAAAACATTGGCCTGCTACAATGGTCTCCCTGCTGCCACTCTGGCCCCTCCACACAGCAACCAGAATTATTTATTAAAATATATGTAAATTCATGTGACTCCCCGCCAATGGCTTCCCAATGGGTTTAGGATAAAATCCAAAGTCTTTCCGTGGGTTACTAGGCTGTGGATAATCTGTCTTCTGCTTAGCTCATCTACCTGTCGCTCACCACTCTCCTGCTCATCCACTAAGCTCAGCAACACTGGCCATTTGTTTTAATTGACATTTTTATTGAGATAATTGCAGATTCACATGCAGCTAAAAAAAACAAGAGCAAGATCTCTCATACATTTTGCCCAGTTTTCCCCAATGGTAACATTTTGGAAAACTGTAATATCATAGTAAGAATAGTGATGTTGATACAATCCACCTATATTATTCAGATTTCCCTGGTTTTATTAATATTTATCCTCATATGTGTGTATGTGTATTTAGTTCTATATAATTTGATCATCCATGTAAGTTCATGTGATGGATACCACCACATGTTAAATAAGCATATCATGGAAAATGGGGTATGCATCCTAAAACAGTAGGTCTTATAGTACATAGTCAAAGTACTGAACAGTGCCATCACCTTGAGGATCCCTCCTATTGCCCTTTTATAATCATATTCATCTCCCCCCACCTCCTTAAACCTAGGCAACCATTAATCTGTTCTTCATTTCTATAATTTTGTCACTTCACAGACATGATATAGATAGAATTGTACAATATGTAACTTCTGGGACTGGCTTATTTTCACTCAGCATAATTTTCTAAAGATTCATCCAGGCTGTTGCATGTAGTTTTTTTTATTGCTGAGTTGTATTCCACAGTATGGATGAGCTTCAGTTTAATCATTCACCCATTGAAGGGCATTTGTGATATTTATTTACAGGTCTTACATAAATATAAGTTTTCATTTCCCTGGGATAAATCCCCAAGATTGCAGTTGCTAAGTCACATTGTAAGCACGTGTTTAACTTTTTTTTGTTTTTTTCGAAACAGGGTCTCACTTTGCTCACTCTGTCATCCAGGCTGAGTGCAGTGGCATGAGCATGGCTCCCTGCAGCCTTCATCTCCTGGCCTCAAGCGATCCTCCAACCTCAGCCCACCCAAGTAGCTGGACCACAGGTGTGCTTCTGGCTAATTTTTTTTTTTTTTTTGTAGAGATGGGGATCCTCCTACGTTGCCTAGGCTGGTCTCAAACTCCTGGGCTCAAGTGACCCCGACACCTCGGCCTCCCAAAGTGCTGGGATTACAGGTGTGAGCCACCACGCCCAGCTACGTGTTTAATTTTTAAAGCAACTGCTAGACTGTTTTCCAGAGTAGCCATACCATTTTACATTCCCACAAGCAATGTATGAGTGACTCAGTTTCTCTACACCTTCACTAATAGTGGTGTTGCCACTATTTTTTATTTTGGACATTCTGATATGTATGTAGTACTATCTCATTGTAGCTGTAATTTGCATTTCTCTAATGGTTAACAATGTTGAATAGCTTTTCACATGTTTATTCTTCATGTGTATATTCTCTTCGCAAAATGTCTGTATATATCTTGCCCATTTTCTAACTGGATTTATCAAATATTGAGTTTTGAGAGTCCTTTGTGTGTTGTAGACATGAGTACTTTCTCAGATACGTGATTCGTACATGTTTTTTCCCAGTCTGTAGCTTGCCTTTTCATTCTCTTCATATGTACTTTCACAGAGCAAAAGTTTTAAAATTTTCGATGAACTATTTTTCCTTCTATAAACCCTGCTTTTAGGGCTGACTCTAAAAACTCTGCTGAACTCTAGATCCCAGAGATTTCCTCCTATTTTTTTCTAAAAGTTTTATAGTTTTTCATTTTATGTTTATGTCTGTGATCAATCCTGACTTAGTTTTAAAAACTTTTTATTTTTAGTGCTTGTGGGTATATAGTAGGTGAATATATTTATGGGGTACATGAGATGTTTTGATACAGGCATGCAATGTGAAATAAACACATCATGGAGAACGTGGTATGCATCCTGAAACACTAGGTCTGATTCATTCTTTCTAACTATTTTTTGTACCCGTTAACCATCCCCAACTTCCCCTGACCCCCCACTATCCTTCCCAGCCTCTGGTAACCATCCTTCTACTCTCTATCTCCATGAGTTCAATTTTTTTTTTAGCTCCCACAAATAAGTGAAAACATGAGGTTTGTCTTTCTGTGACTGGCTATTTCACTTAACATAATGATCTCCACTTCCATCCATGTTGTTGCAAATGACAGGATCTCATTTTTTATGGCTGAATAGTACTCCCTTGAGTATATGTACCACTTTTTCTTTATCCATTCATCTGTTGATGGACGCAGGTTGCTTCCAAATCTTAGCTTTTGTGAGCAGGGCTGCAACAAACATGGGAGTGCAAATATTTCTTGGATATACTGATTTCCTTGCCTTTGGGTATATACCCAGCAGTGGGATGGCTGGATCATACAGTGGCTCTGCTTTTAGTTTTTTAGAGAAATCGCCAAACTGCTCTCCATAGTGATTGTACTAATTTACCTTCCCACCAACAGTTTACGAGGGTTGCCTTTTCTCTGCATCCTCACCAGCATTTGTTATTGCCTGCTTTTTGGATAAAAGGTATTTTAACTGGGGTTAGATGATATCGCATTTTACTACTTCAAGTGAAGTGTGAAAACCTCACTTCTATTTATGTTTCTTCATCTTCCATGGTCTTAATTATCATTGTCCTCAGTATCACAGGGTGTTATAATTTTTGTTTCAGCAATCAAACATGACTTATAAAACTCATGAGGAAACTGATAATGTCTTCTGTGTACTAGTATATTTGTTTTATATACTTTTTTCCTGATGTGCCAGGATTCCTTCTTTTATCGTTTTTTTCTGTTTAAAGAGCTTCTCCTAGCTATTATTTAAGAGTTCTGCTAGTGACAAATTCTTTTAGTTTTTCCTTCATTTAAGAATGCTTTATTTCACTCTCATTCCTTAAGAATATTTTTGCCAGATATAGAATTTGCAGTTGACAATTCTCCTGTCTCCATACTTTCAAGTTGTGTCACTTCGTTCTTGCCTCCATGGTATCAGATGAGAAATCTGCTGTAATTTGAATTGGTGTTTCCCCATAGGTAATTCATTGTTTTTCTCTGGCTACTTTCAAGATTTCTTGTTTGTTTTTAGTTTTATTTTTCCTGCTTTCTTTCCTTATTTATTTATTTATTTATTTTTACTATTTCTTTTTTTTTAAAGATTTTAAACCACATTTTTATTCTTTGATGCTTCATTTTCAGACTTTTTAAGTCAGTCATTACATTTACATTGCATGAGGAAAATTTTTCCAGAACAACAGTGTGGAATAGTTCTGAATTATGCTATTCTACAGATAGAAAAAAAGTCCAAATGTCTTTAAAAATTTACTTCTTACTACCCAACATGTTTTTGCAAAGCAAGAAGTCTTTGTAAGACACCTTAAACAAAGTCCTTCAATTCTATAGCAGAGGAAATAAAATCCCCCAGAAGCCAAAGGCTCACATTCACATTGCTAGTGCATGACAGACCCAGGTGTGCTTCATTAGAGATAAAATACATTCCCTTTGGTATCACAGGAAGTTACTGGGGATGACTTGACCTCATTACTTAGCTAACGACTGGATAAAATTTCTTAATTATTTGAAGTAACATTGTATTAGTGTTTGCATTATTAATTTGAATAGAAAATAATCACATTTTTGACCCATTTATAAAAATTGTTAATGTTTATTTATTTATTTATTTTTTATTATACTTTAAGTTTTAGGGTACATGTGCACAACGTGCATGTTAGTTACATATGTATACATGTGCCATGTTGGTGTGCTGCACCCATTAATCCTCGTCATTTAACATTAGGTATATCTCCTAAAGCTATCCCTCCCCCCTCCCCCCACCCCACAACAGGCCTCGGTGTGTGATGTTCCCCTTCCTGTGTCCATGTGTTCTCATTGTTCAATTCCCACGTGTGAGTGAGAACATGTGGTATTTGGTTTTTTGTCCTTGCAATAGTTTGCTGAGAATGATGGTTTCCAGCTTCATCCATGTCCCTACAAAGGACATGAACTCATCATTTTTTTATGGCTGCTTATATTCCATGGTGTATATGTGCCACATTTTCTTGATCCAGTCTATCATTGTTGGTCATTTGGCTTGGTTCCAAGTCTTTGCTATTGTGAATAATGCCGCGATAAACATACGTGTGCATGTGTCTTTATAGCAGCATGTTTTATAATCCTTTGGGTATATACCCAGTAATGGGATGGCTGGGTCAAATGGTATTTCTAGTTCTAGATCCCTGAGGAATCACCACACTGACTTCCACAATGGTTGAACTAGTTTACAGTCCCACCAACAGTGTAAAAGTGTTCCTATTTCTCCACATCCTCTCCAGCACCTGTTGTTTCCTGACTTTTTAATGATCGCCATTCTAACTGGTATGAGATGGTATCTCAATGTGGTTTTGATTTGCATTTCTCTGATGGCCAGTGATGATGAGCATTTTTTCATGTGCCTTTTGGCTGTATAAATGTCTTCTTTTGAGAAGTGTCTGTTCATATCCTTCACCCACTTGTTGATGGGGTTGTTTGTTCTTTTCTTGTAAATTTGTTTGAGTTCTTTGTAGATTCTGGATATTAGCCCTTTGTCAGATGGGTAGATTGTAAAAATTTTCTCCCATTCTGTAGGTTGCCTGTTCACTGTGATGGTAGTTTCTTTTGCTGTGCAGAAGCTCTTTAGTTTAATTAGATCCCATTTGTCAATTTTGGCTTTTGTTGCCATTGCTTTTGGTGTTGTAGACATGAAGTCCTTGCCCATGCCTATGTCCTGAATGGTATTGCCTAGGTTTTCTTCTAGGGTTTTTATGGTTTTAGGTCTAACATTTAAGTCTTTAATCCATCTTGAATTAATTTTTGTATAAGGTGTAAGGAAGGGATCCAGTTTCAGCTTTCTCCTACATATGGCTAGCCAGTTTTCCCAGCACCATTTATTAAATAGGGAATCATTTCCCCATTTCTTGTTTTTGTCAGGTTTGTCAAAGATCAGATGGTTGTAGATATGTGGCATTATTTCTGAGGGCTCCGTTCTGTTCCATTGGTCTATATCTCTGTTTTGGTACCAGTACCATGCTGTTTTGGTTACTGTAGCCTTGTAGTATAGTTTGAAGTCAGGTAGTGTGATGCCTCCAGCTTTGTTCCTTTGGCTTAGGATTGACTTGGCAATGCGGGCTCTTTTTTGGTTCCATATGAACTTTAAAGTAGTTTTTTCCAATTCTGTGAAGAAAGTCATTGGTAGCTTGATGGGGATGGCATTAAATCTATAAATTACCTTGGGCAGTATGGCCATTTTCACGATATTGATTCTTCCTACCCATGAGCATGGAATGTTCTTCCATTTGTTTGTATCCTCTTTTATTTCCTTGAGCAGTGGTTTGTAGTTCTCCTTGAAGAGATCCTTCACATCCCTTGTAAGTTGGATTCCTAGGTATTTTATTCTCTTTGAAGCAATTGTGAATGGGAGTTCACTCATGATTTGGCTCTCTGTTTGTCTGTTATTGGTGTATAAAAATGCTTGTGATTTTTGCACATTGATTTTGTATCCTGAGACTTTGCTGAAGTTGCTTATCAGCTTATGGAGATTTTGGGTTGAGACGATGGGGTTTTCTCGATATACAATCATGTCATCTGCAAACAGGGACAATTTGACTTCCTCTTGTCCTAATTGAATGCCCTTTATTTCCTTCTCCTGCCTGATTGCCCTGGCCAGAACTTCCAACACTATGTTGAATAGGAGTGGTGAGAGAGGGCACCCCTGTCTTGTGCCAGTTTTCAAAGGGAATGCTTCCAGTTTTTGCCCATTCAGTATGATATTGGCTGTGGGTTTGTCATAGATAGCTCTTATTATTTTGAGATACGTCCCATCAATACCTAATTTATTGAGAGTTTTTAGAATGAAGGGTTGTTGAATTTTGTCAAAGGCCTTTTCTGCATCTATTGAGATAATCATATGGTTTTTGTCATTCGTTCTGTTTATATCCTGGATTACGTTTATTGATTTGCATATGTTGAACGAGCCTTGCATCCCAGGGATGAAGCCCACTTGATCATGGTGGATAAGCTTCTTGATGTGCTGCTGGATTCGGTTTGCCAGTATTTTATTGAGGATTTTTGCATCAATATTCATCAGGGGTATTGGTCTAAAATTCTCTTTTTTGGTTGTGTCTCTGCCAGGCTTTGGTATCAGGATGATGCTGGCCTCCTAAAATGAGTTAGGGAGGATTCCCTCTTTTTCTATTGATTGGAATAGTTTCAGAAGGAATGGTACCAGCTCCTCCTTGTACCTCTGGTGGAATTTGGCTATGAATCCATCTGGTCCTGGACTTTTTTTGATTGGTAAGCTATTAATTATTGCCTCAATTTCAGAGCCTGTTATTGGTTTATTCAGAGATTCAACTTCTTCCTGGTTTAGTCTTGGGAGGGTGTATGTGTTGAGGAATTTATCCATTTCTTCTAGATTTTCTAGTTTATTTGCATAGAGGTGTTTATAGTATTCTCTGATGGTAGTTTGTATTTCTGTGGGATCAGTGGTGATATCCCCTTTATCATTTTTTATTGCATCTATTTGATTCTTCTCTCTTTTCTTCTTTATTGGTCTTGCTAGTGGTCTATCAATTTTGTTGATCTTTTCAAAAAACCAGCTCCTGGATTCATTGATTTTTTGAAGGATTTTTTGTGTCTCTATTTCCTTCAGTTTTGCTCTGATCTTAGTTATTTCTTGCCTTCTGCTAGCTTTTGAATGTGTTTGTTCTTGCTTCTCTAGTTCTTTTAATTGTGATGTTAGGGTGTCAATTTTAGATCTTTCCTGCTTTCTCTTGTGGGCATTTAGTGCTATGAATTTCCCTCTACACACTGCTTTGAATGTGTCCCAGAGATTCTGGTATGTTGTGTCTTTGTTCTCGTTGGTTTCAAATAATGTATTTATTTCTGCCTTCATTTTGTTATGTACCCAGTAGTCATTCAGGAGCAGGTTGTTCAGTTTCCATGTAGTTGAGCGGTTTTGAGTGAGTTTCTTAATCCTGAGTTCGAGTTTGATTGCACTGTGGTCTGAGAGACAGTTTGTTATAATTTCTGTTGTTTTATATTTGCTGAGGAGTGCTTTACTTCCAACTATGTGGTCAATTTTGGAATAAATGTGGTGTAGTGCTGAGAAGAATGTATATTCTGTTGATTTGGGGTGGAGAGTTCTGTAGATGTCTATTAGGTCCACTTGGTGCAGAGCTGAGTTCAAATCCTGGATATCCTTGTTAACTTTCTGTCTCGTTGATCTGTCTAATGTTGACAGTGGGGTGTTAAAGTCTCCCATTATTAATGTGTGGGAGTCTAAGTCTCTTTGTAGGTCTCTAAGGACTTGCTTTATGAATCTGGGTGCTCCTGTATTGGGTGCATATATATTTAGGGTAGTTAGCTCTTCTTGTTGAATTGATCCCTTTACCATCATGTAATGGCCTTCTTTGTCTCTTTTGATCTTTGTTGGTTTAAAGTCCGTTTTATCAGAGACTAGGATTGCAACCCCTGCCTTTTTTTGTTTTCCATTTGCTTGGTAGATCTCCCTCCATCCCTTTATTTTGATCCTGTGTGTGTCTCTGCACGTGAGATGGGTCTCCTGAATACAGCACACTGATGGGTCTTGACTCTTTATCCAATTTGCCAGTCTGTGTCTTTTAATTGGAGCATTTAGCCCATTTACATTTAAGGTTAATATTGTTATGTGTGAATTTGATCCTGTCATTATGATGTTAGCTGGTTATTTTGCTCGTTAGTTGATGCAGTTTCTTCCTAGCCTCAATGGTCTTTACAGTTTGGCATGTTTTTGCAGCAGCTGGTACCGGTTGTTCCTTTCCATGTTTAGTGTTTCCTTCAGGAGCTCCTTTAGTGCAGGCCTGGTGGTGACAAAATCTCTTAGCATTTGCTTGTCTGTAAAGGATTTTATTTATCCTTCACTTATGAAGCTTAGTTTGGCTGGATATGAAATTCTGGATTGAAAATTCTTTTCTTTAAGAGTGTTGAATATTGGCCCCCACTCTGTTCTGGCTTGTAGAGTTTCTGCTGAGAGATCCGCTGTTAGTCTGATGGGCTTCCCTTTGAGGGTAACCCGACCTTTCTCTCTGGCTGTCCTTAACATTTTTTCCTTCATTTCAACTTTGGTGAATCTGACAATTATGTGTCTTGGATTTGCTCTTCTTGAGGAGTATCTTTGTGGCATTCTCTGTATTTCCTGAATTTGAATGTTGGCCTGCCTTGCTAGATTGGGGAAGTTCTCCTGGATAGTATCCTGCAGAGTGTTTTCCAACTTGGTTCCATTCTCCCCGTCACTTTCAGGTACACCAATCAGACGTAGATTTGGTCTTTTCACATAGTCCCATATTTCTTGGAGGCTTTGTTCGTTTCTTTTTATTCTTTTTTCTCTAAGCTTCTCTTCTCACTTAATTTCATTCATTTTATCTTCCATCTTCCATCACTGATACTCTTTCTTCCAGTTGATAGAATCGGCTACTGAGGCTTGTGCATTTGTCACATAGTTCTCGTGCCTTGGTTTTCAGCTCCATCAGGTCCTTTAAGGACTTCTCTGCATTGGTTATTCTAGTTAGCCATTTGTCTAATTTTTTTTCAAGGTTTTTAACTTCTTTGCCATGGGTTCGAACTTTCTCCTTTAGCTCAGAGTAGTTTGATCATCTGAAGCCTTCTTCTCTCAACTCGTCAAAGTCATTCTCTGTCCAGCTTTGTTCTCTTGCTGACGAGGAGCTGTGTTGCTTTGGAGGAGGAGAGGTGCTCTGATTTTTAGAGTTTCCAGTTTTTCTGCTCTGTTTTTTCCCCATCTTTGTGGTTTTATCTACCTTTGGTCTTTGATGATGGTGACGTACAGATGGGGTTTTGGTGTGGATGTCCTTTCTGTTTGTTAGTTTTCCTTCTAACAGTCAGGACCCTCAGCTGCAGGTCTGTTGGAGTTTGCTGGAGGTCCACTCCAGACCCTGTTTGCCTGGGTATCAGCAGCAGAGGCTGCAGAACAGCGGATATTGGTGAACAGCAGATGTTGCTGCCTGATCGTTCCTCTGGAAGTTTTGTCTCAGAGGAGTAGCCAGCCATGTGAGGTGTCAATCTGCCCCTACTGGGGGGTGCCTCCCAGTTAGGCTACTTGGGGGTCAGGGACCCACTTGAGGAGGCAGTCTGTCGGTTCTCAGATGTCCTGCTGCGTGCTGGGAGAACCACTACTCTCTTCAAGGCTGTCAGACAGGGACATATAAGTCTGCAGAGGATTCTGCTGCCTTTTATTTGGCTGTGCCCTGCCCCCAGAGGTGGAGTCTACAGAGGCAGGCAGGCCTCCTTGAGCTGTGGTGGGCTCCACCCAGTTCAAGCTTCCAGGTTGCTTTGTTTACCTACTCAAGCCTTGGCAATGGCGGGCACCCCTCCCCCAGCCTTGCTGCCGCCTTGCAGTTTGATCTCAGACTGCTGTGCTAGCAATGTGCGAGGCTCTGTGGGCGTAGTACCCTCCGAGCCAGGCATGGGATATAATCTCCTGGTGTGCCATTTGCTAAGACCATTGGAAAAGTGCAGTATTAGGGTGGGAGTGACCCAATTTTCCAGGTGCCATCTGTCACCCCTTTCTTTGACTACGAAAGGGAATTCCCTGACCCCTTGTCCTTCCCAGGTGAGGCGATGCCTCGCCCTGCTTCAGCTCACGCTGGGTGTGCTGCACCCACTGTCCTGCACCCACTTTCTGACACTCCCCAGTGAGATGAACCCGGTACCTCAGTTGGAAATGCAGAAATCACCCGTCTTCTGCATCGCTCATGCTGGGAGCTGTAGACTGGAGCTGTTCCTATTTGGCCATCTTGGCTCCACCCCCTATTTATTTCTTTATTGAGATGGAGTCTCACTCTATTGCCCAGGCTGGGATGCAGTGGTACAATCATAGCTCACTATAGCTTCAAACTCCTGGGCTCAAGTGATCCTCCCTACTCAGCCTCCCAAGTAGCTGGAACTACAGGTGTGTACCACCATGCTCAGCTAATTTCTTTTTAGAGATGGGGGTCTGTCTTTTTAGAGATGTTGCCCAGGCTTGTCTCAAACTTCTGGCCTCAAGTAATCCTCTTGCCTCGGCTTCCCAAAGTGCTGGGATTACAGGTATGAGCCACTGTACCTGGCTGCCTTTAGTTTTAAAAGATTAATTATGATGTGTCTTGGAATGGATTTGAATTTACCCTCTTTGGGGATTGCTCAACTTCTCGAATCTATAGGTTTGTGTCTTTCACAGAATTTGGGAAGTTTTTCAGTCATTAATTTTTCAAATGCTCTTTCAGCCCTATTCTCTTTCTTGTCTCCTTGTGATACTCTGATAATATAAATATTAGATCTTTTGCAATTGTCCCACAATAGTCTCTGCTTTTTTGTGGGCTATGTTCTCTCTGTTAGTCAAATTAGGTAAATCCTATTGATCTGTTCTTCGAGTTCACTGATTCTGTCATCTCCACTCTACTATTGAACCTACCCAGCAAATTTTTCATTTCTTGGTTCTTGGTATGATAGGTGACTTTTCATTGTATTCTGAACATCATGTCTATTATGTTAGGAGACTCTGGGTTCTATGTAACTTTTAATTTATCAGGCAGTCATACTATTTAGGTTTAGCACACAAGTCCTAGTTTTTATGGGCTGTGATTCCAATGGTAGTTTTATTTTCAGAATCTATGAAGTGTCATATTGGTCTGCTTGATTTATCTGGTGCCACCGGGGCTCTTTCTGGTCCCTGATGTTGCTTCCTGAAGGGGAGGAAGTGTTTCTCTAGGTTGACAGCAAGGTGCCTTTTGGTGGGGGAGGGGATGTGGTGGGGCACCCTGTTAGTGTCTGTAGCTATCTAGCATCTTTGGGAAGGGCAGAAGAGTGTCAGGCCTACAGAGACAAAGAGACTTCCTGGAATAGGCCACTTACTGTGGCTACATTCCTTTTTTCTCTTCTATCTGCCTACTTCAGCATCTCGCAGCAAAAGAGGACAGTCTAAGATCTACCCAGCAGGGAAGGGGAGCACTTCTCCAGCTGTTTGTTTTTGTCGGGGTTTCTGATTGATCTCTCTTGCCACTGGTGTCTGACTCACTGACTGTTGTTGGAGGGACTCCCATTCCATCTGAGGAGAATAACTAACGGGCTTAACTAGGCTGCCTTCTGGTGCTCAAACAGGGTTAAGGAAATGTCAGGTTTGAATGGCCTTTCTTGGTTGGGTGGAGAGATGCAAGATGCTCTGCTTTTGTACTGTTTCTCCACGAGTCACAAACTGGTTTGCCTTCCCCTTACCACCATTCAGAATTCTGCTTGGTTGTCTCTTGTGCCATTTTCAGAGTTTATAGTTGTCTTAAAAGGGGGAAATGGGTTTTCTCAATCTTGTCCGGATCAGAAGTCTCCTAAGCCTTTTTTGTTGTTCTTGTTGCAAGACAAACTTGTTCTAGCCATAAAGACTTTTCCCTTGATGTTCTCTGCCTGGAATGCTCTTCTTTGAGATTGTTGAATGTTTGGCTTATAGTCTCTGTTCAAATGCCATCTTAGAGACACTTACCTTACCTAATGTAGTCTCCCATCACCACTCATACTTACTCAATTACTTTGATCACTTTATCCTGTTTTACTTCTTTGTAGCACTTAATACGTTATGGGATAACCTTGTCATTTTGATTGTTTGCTGTGGTCTCCACCATCTCTAAAGTAAGCTCTAAGGGAGAAGATTTCTGTCTGTAAGAGTAAAAACATAGAATGAAGTGGGCCATTTTCTTTCTTGTTCATTGGTGTGTGTTTATAACAGTACCTGACAGAGAATAGGCCCTCAATACATGTTTGTTAAATGAATGTATGCATCCAGCCCTAATTAAAATATCAAGGTGATCTGACACAGGTATCAGACAGATGTCCAGTGCTATTACCAGCAGACTGATATCCTGAGCTGTCTAGGACAGGTTTTATGGGTATGGAGTATAGAGGAGACCTGTTCTATTATAGTAAATAGTTGACTTCAAATATACTTTTTTTTTTTTTTTTGAGACGGAGTTTCACTCTTGTTGCCCAGGCTGGAGTGCAATGGCACGATCTCGGCTCACTGCAACCTCCACCTCCCGGGTTCAAGTGATTTTCCTGCCTCAGCCCCCCAAGTAGCTGAGATTACAGACGCATACCACCATGCCTGGCTACTTTTTGTATTTTTGGTAGAGACAGGGTTTCACCATGTTGGTCAGGCTGGTCTCGAACTCCTGACTTCAGGTGATCCACCTGTCTCAGCCTCACAAAGTGCTGAGATTACAGGCATGAGCCACAGTGCCCAGTCCCAAATATACTTTGAAGGAACATCTGGGAGGTCCACATTTGCTAATATCTGCCATTCTCTGAAACACTTCTGTCTAGGTTAAGGCCAAGACAAGGTATCCTGAATTCCTAACTTTTGCATTCATGAAGATGACATCACCATGTGCCTCATCATTATGATCATTTATTGTCATACTCCAGGATTTATATGGATCCTAAAATATAGTAGGCTTCCAACAATATGCTAAGAATGTTCATCTAAAAATAGCTTCTCCTTCTCCCAGCCACAGCACCATCTTAGTGAAGATAGACACTATTGAGGAAATGGCCCACTTCATTCTATGTTTTTACTCTTTATGCATACCAGCCTCTGCTATCTTTCTCTTCCAGGACCTTCCCCTAAGCAAATCTCAGAAAACCCAAACTTCGCCTCCCCTTGAAAGGGTGACCTGAGCCCTAGCGACAGTAGCTCAAGGAGTAATAGTGTTAATTGTTTCGTTTCAGCTCAATTAAAGTGTTGGAGGTGCTTCAAACACATTCTAACCACTCGTTTGTAGCAGACATGAAGGTATGCTGCTCAGATCTGCCTTTAAGAGAACACCTGCCACAAGGAGTTCAATTAGCTGACAGCCTCCAGAGCTGTAGCATCTTTAGGATCTGCATCTTCTTTTGAGCTGAGCCCATATGCTTCTGGGCAGTCCTCACACAATGACTGAGGTAGGGGTGAATGGAGCTTACCATTTCTGGCCAGTGCAGGATGCCTCTGTGGGTAGTCTTTGTATGGGAAAGATTACTGTTGAACTGGCTGAGATTTCTCAGAGCTGCATCACAGTTTAAGGCTCTTCTTATCCTATTCTTCTTCCTTCTCCCTCTTGTTTTACAATGGTTATGCCTGTAGGTGGTATGAAGGCTTTCTCTGCCTACTTCTGCTTCCTATCCCCTCTTATCATTTACTGGTCTTACCCCCATTAAAATCTCTTTTGTTCCTATCTTTTGGCGTCTGCTTCCCAGAGGAACCAAAATGATGTATCCCTTACCCCTTCTTGATTTTAGGATCTCCGTGTCTGAAAGTTTTTCAGCTACTACCTTGATTCATATTATCTTCTGGGCTCTTTGATGCTGACATCCTGTTTTGGATGATCCTTTCATTATGGGCCATGGAACTTTGTTTCAGACAGAAGCATCATCTGACATTTTCTCTCTAGCTCCATAGACCATGACCACCAGTGTGGTCTATATATTTAACATTGGTTTAGAGGATAGAAACCTTAGGTTCTTGTCTCAGTTCTACTACTTATCACCATTTAACCTTGGGAAAATCACCTGCCCATTCTGTGCCTTAGTTTTTCTGTTTATAGTAAAAGGCTGGGACTAAATGACCTTGAAGGTCCATTCCATCTTTGACATTACCTATCTGTATATCACAGGATCCTCTGGGTCAGCAGATTTCAGTAAGGAACACTCTACTGCCATAAAAATACACAGAAAATGATGGTGGCTTTGCCCACAGCCTATTGTAAGACTATTTAAACACAAAAGGGCTAAATGTAATCATATGGGGTGAGTTTAGGAAGTGACAGGCCAGAGCTTGAAGCTAAGCCTGCGTCCTAAAATGAGATGGCAATAATGGGTAGAAGTGATGAAAAGTCCAGGCAAGAGGAAAAACTATGGTGTGCAGAAAATGTAAAGACACACCAGCTCTAGTCCTGTCAGCATCAAAGAAGTACAATTAAGTTAACAAGGCATTCATCCCATGAGCAGAGCAGCAGTGAGGAATCTAGGAATGTCTAAGCAGATGAGCAGTACCATCCAAAGAAGGAGGGAAATTGGAGAATCAGGGAAGGACAGGGAAGAAAGATAGGTTTTTAACCTTAGAAGTTGAGGCACAGGGCAGGTTATGAAGTCAGGCAACTAGGTAGCTAGACAGGGAGAGATAAGCTCTGGGCCCCAAGTGTACTTGTCTTAGGAACAAAGCCCAGCTATTAGATACAAGGTAAAAAGTTAGCCTACAAGCAGCTAGCTAAAGCTCTTTATCTGATGCCACTCATTTGCCAGCACTATTGGTCTGGGACAGAAGCTACTAGTAGGTAGGAAGTGTGAGAAGAGGAGGACTGTGCACAAGCAGGTCCATAGTATCACAGTTAAGAGCATGGGCTCTAGAGCCAGAGAGCCCTAGGTTTCAAGACTGGCTCTATGTCTTATATACTATGTGATCTTCAGCAAGTTGCTGAAACTCTCTGAACCTTTATTTCCTTCTGCAAAGAAGGGATAGTAATATCTCTTTATAGGCCTAGGGTAAGGATTGAATGAGTTACTCCACAGAAAGAATTGAGTCCTATGCCTGGCACACTGCTACAGTTTGAATGTTCCCCCAAAAACTCATGTTGAAATTTTTTTCACATAAGTTATTGGGGTACAGGTGGTGTTTGGTTACATGAGTAAGTTCTTCAGTGTTGATTTTGAGATTTTGGTGCACCCATCACCCGAGCAGTATACATTGCACCATATTTGTAGTCTTTTATCCCTCACCCCCTCCTACTCTTCCCCACAAGTCTCCAAAGTCCATTGTATCATTCTTATGCCTTTGTGTCATCATAGCTTAGCTCCCACATATCAGTCAGAACATACGATGTTTGTTTTTCCATTCCTGAGTTACTTCACTTAGAATAATAGTCTCCAATCTCATCCAGGTCGCTGCAAATGCTAATTCATTCCGTTTTATGGCTGAGTAGTATTCTATCGTGTGTATATATACCACAGTTTCTTTATCCACTCATTGATTGATGGGCATTTGGGTTGGTTCCATAATTTTGCAATTGTGAATTGTGCTGCTATAAACATGCATGTGCAAGTATCTTTTTCGAATAATGACTTCTTTTCCTCTGCGTAGATACCCAGTAGTGGAATTGCTGGATCAAAGGGTAGTTCTACTTTTACTTCTTTAAGGAATCTCCACACTGTTTTCCATAGTGGCTGTACTAGTTTACATTCCCACCAGCAGTGTAGAAGTGTTCCCTGTTCACTGCATCCACGCCAACATCAATGATTTTTTGATTTTTTGATTACGGCCATTCTTGCAGGAGTAAGGTTGTATCACATTGTGGTTTTGATTTGCATTTCCCTTATCATTAGTGATGTTAAGCACTTTTTCATATGTTTGTTGGCCATTTGTATATCTTCTTTTGAGAATTGTCTATTCATGTCCTTAGCCCACTTTTTGATGGGATTGTTTGTTTTTTTCTGATTTGTGTTCCTTGTAGATTCTGGATATTAGTCCTTTGTCAGATGTATAGTTTGTGAAGATTTTCTCCCACTCTTTGGGTTGTCTGTTTACTCTGCTGATTGTTCCTTTTGCTGTGCAAAAGCTCTTTAGTTTAATTAGGTCCCAGTTATTTATCTTTTTTTAATTGCATTTGCTTTTGGGTTCTTGGTCATGAAATCCTTGCCTAAGCCAATGTCTAGAAGGGTTTTTCCAATGTTATCTTCTAGAATTTATATAGTTTCACGTCTTAGGTTTAAGTCCTTCATCCATCTTCAGTTGATTTTTGTATAAGGTGAGAGAGAAGGATCCAGTTTCATTCTCCTACATGTGGCTAGCCAATTATCCCAGCACCATTTGTTGAAAAGGGTGTCCTTTTCCCACTTTATGTTTTTGTTTGCTTTGTCAAAGATCAGTTGACTGTAAGAATTTGGGTTTATTTCTGGGTTCTCTATTCTGTTCCATTGGTCTATGTGCCTATGTTTATACCAGTACCACACTGTTTTGGTGACTTTGGCCTTAGAATATAGTTTGAAATTAGGTAGTGTGATGCCTCCAGATTTGTTATTTTTGCTTACCCTTGCTTTGGCTATGGTCTCTTTTTTGGTTCCATATGAATTTTGGAATTTTTTTTCTAGTTCTGTGAAGAATGATGGTGATATTTTTATGGGGACAGCATTGAATATGTATATTGCTTTTGGCAGTATGGTCATTTTCACAATATTGATTCTACCCATCCATGAGCATGGGATGTGTTTCTATTTGTTTGTGTCATCTATGATTTCTTTCAGCAGTGTTTTGTAGTTTTCCTTGCAGAGATCTTTCGACTCCTTGGTTAGGTATATTCCTAAATATTTTATTATTTTGCAGCTATTGTAAAAGGTGTTGAATTCTTAATTTGATTCTCTGGTCACTGTTGGTGTATAGGAGAGCTACTGATTTGTGTACATTAATCTTGTATTCATGTTGAAATTTAACTGCTAATGTAACGGTATTGGGAGGTAAGACCTTTAAGAGGTAATTGAGTCATGAAGGCTCTGCCCTCATGAACGGATCAATGCTGTTATCATGAGAATGGGTTAGTCATCATGTGAGCAGACTCCTGATAAAAAGATAAGTTTTGTCTCAATTTTCTTGCTCACCATATGATGTATTCTGCCATGGGATAACCCTTGCCAAATGCTGGTGCAGTGCTCTTGGACTCCCCAGTCTCCAGAGCTGTGAGCCAAATGCACTGTTCTTTATAAATTACCCAGTCTGTGGTATTCTGTTTAAAGCACAGAAAATAGACTAAGACATACATTGTAAGTGCCTAGTAAATGTGAACTAATGTTCTTATCCCTTGTCTGACATTGGCCTTGAATAATGCAAGCCCCTTCTCATCAGTTCCCTAATTTGTGAGAATGAAAACAGGAGCCTTCATGGTTGTTTATAAGTTATAAATTCTCATTCTAGGGAAAGCGCTCATTAATATTCTTACCACTATTTCTTATAGACAGCACCAGAGGCTGAGATTTATTTAATATGAACAATTTAAAATAATTTCTGTAAGCGCACACACAGCTAGCTTTCAATTACTCACTCTAATGGAGAAGATCAGAGTCATAGGTAATCTAAAACTGTGCCAAATCCAAAGTCATCTCTGTTTGGCTTGGAAATGAACTGGATACACTTTTTTTTTTTTTTTTTTTTTTGCAGCATATTTACCTTTTGGATTTTTTTGTGCTTGGCCAATAATAAAATAAATTTACATTATCTAAGCACACTAGCTGACAGCACGTGAAAGTGCACAGAAATACTCCTGGGGAAAAAGAGAAGCTAAGATCATGATACTAAGTTTGCTGCAATGAAGAAGGGATTTACCATACATTTTTATTAGTGATTCTCAGAGTTTAGAAGAGATTTTTTAAAATTGTATGGGGAACTTGTTAAAAATGCACATTCGCAGCTCCAACCATTTTATAGGTGAGAAAACTGAGGTTCAGATAGGGGAACTGACCTGCTCCATGTTGTAAAGTTGAGGGCACAATGGGAAGTAGGACCTAAGTCTCCACAGCTCCTCATATAATGTACTAGGCAGCGATAATAATGGAGTCCTCTGAGGAAGAGAATAGAGAGAGAAGGCCATGTAGAAGGCAGAATAATGAAACTTGGGGATATTTTCACATTTGGTAGGGTGAGAGAAGGAAAAGAAGACAGCAAGAATGAGAAAGTGAATGAAGTTAATTTCTTTGAACTTGGCTGATCTCTCAGAAACTTCTAACCCAGTAGTTCTCAAACTACTATGCACCCAGGTCAATTTGAGCACCTGTTGAAAATATGGATCCCCAGACAATCTGATTTAATAGGTCTGAATTAGAGCTTAAGTTTGTGTTCTTTTTTCTTTAAGTCAGCACCCCATGTGATTCAGAATTAAGTAAATGGAAAATCACATCTTGAAAAATATTTGTCTAACCTTCTAAGATCTTGAAGTTTACGTCAAAATGTTTTAAGGAAATACCAAGATCTTTGAAAACGTGGGATTTCCCCTGTTGAATTACTTGGGACCAGGGATGAACTTTGACAGCCCAAAAGCTGCTGTGAGTGAGCACTCTGTCTGAGTAGTGAAAGCATGGCATGCTGCTTGAGGATGCAGGCTTTAGCACTACACTGGTCTGTGTTCAAATCCTGTTTCTGACACTTACTAGCTAAGTCATCTCTGTCAAATTCTTTGCTTCTGTGTGCCTCAGTTTCCTCATCTGCAAAGTGGGAATAATAATAGTATCTGCCTAGTAGAATTGTTTTGAGGGCGGTCTGTAAAAGTGTTTAATTTAGCAATCACTCAAACACAGCTTAGATTATTACTTTTTTCTTTTTCAGCGTTGCTTGCATGGTGGATCTTTTGCTCAGGATAAATCATCTGAAGACTCTAAGGCAGTTACAGTGACCAACTTTACCTGTTTGCCCAGGACCGAGAGGTTTCCCAGGATGCATGATTTTGGTGCAAAAAGACAGGCCCAAGCAAACCAGGATGGTTGGTCACTCTGAAGGCAGACCTCTCTGAAGCCCTTCAAGTACTTATTTGCATACATAATATTTTTTACTGGTAAACAGTAGTTATCAGCTGCTCTGCTAATTCAACAAGGAATAATTGCTGAAGGTTATCTGATACTATACATCTAGTAGCTACTCCAACTAAAATTTCTAACTTGAGCAGCTTGCAGAGAAGTGCATGGGAGTGATGCACACTTCTGGGATTCCCGAAATTCCCTATATCTGGATTGTGCTCAGCTGTACTGTATATATTTCTTAACTAGGTGATAGATTTCTTTTTGTAAATATGTGGTTGTCTATTAATAGGATCACAATAGTCTCAGAATTCTATTTGGTGGCTCAATAAATGTAAGCTGAATGAATAAATGACTATCAATTGAAATGTCTTCACTTGGGTGTTTGGGAGACTTGATTTATGAAATTGAGAGGTACAGTTTGAAAACCATCTCAGACAGCAATTTCCTCCCTTGCACAGCACTAATTCTCTCTTAATGTGGCTTCCCAGAATAAAGGCATGACACAAGACAGGCACTTACCTTGTCTTGGTGAAAAGGCTCTTGAGATGCCTGTGAAGAGGATTTTCAGAGTTTCTAAATTTGGCCCTGAAGTCATCTGAGATGCGTATACATTCACATATACATATACATATACATCTGTCAAAAACAGAGCAATGCCAGGATAAAGTCACATATCTCACCCAGCTATGTCCCAGATGGGACATGACCTTTGTTGTATACACTCTTTTGTGGACTAGTGCTTTGTACATGTTAGGGTGATGAGGTTAAGGGTTTAAAAGGCCTTTCTTTTTAAAGATCCATTGTGTTTTCTCAGGCTGGAAAAATTGTCATCCTCCATTCGCCACTAGATGGCCCATCATTCAAAAAAATTCCTTGTTTTCTAAAAAAAAATTTAGGGAACAAGGTTCCCATAATGATTTGAGTATTCCCATCATGATTTTTCAGCCATATCATAGCAAATCACCATATATTCTTTCAGTATTTACTTTAAATTGGCTACTTTCTAACTTAAATATGCCTATTTTAGAAGTAAACTGGAAGGTGAACAGGAAAAAAGAGAGAAAGTTATACATAGATGAAAAATTCAATGGCCCTGGAGAGAAAGAGCTGCCTCAAGGATGAATAGGAAGGGGAACTGGGCCTGGAGTTGGTGATTCAGGACTCAAGGGGCCAAGATCAATAGTAGGCAGAAAGATAAAGGGGGCGGGTGAGAAAGAAGGACTCTCAAAACTGACACGGAAAAGCTGGGCCAGAGGTAGGAAGAGGGAGGCATGGAACCTGGGGGATAGAGAGCGGAGCTGAAACAAATATAGAAATGTTGGCACAAAATGTTTGTGTAAGAGAAGGCTACAACTGAGTCGGGCATACCAGAAGCTGAAAGAAAGGTGAAGCCTAGCAGTATAGTTTGAAGTCAGGTAGCGTGATGCCTCCAGCTTTGTTCTTTTGGCTTAGGAATGACTTGGCAATGCAGGCTCTTTCTTGGTTCCATATGAACTTTAAAGAAGTTTTTTCCAATTCTGTGAAGAAACTCATTGGTAGCTTGATGGGGATGGCATTGAATCTATAAATTACCTTGGGGAGTATGGCCATTTTCACAATATTGATTCTTCTTATCCATGAGCATGGAATGTTCTTCCATTTGTTTGTATCCTCTTTTATTTCCTTGAGCAGTGGTTTGTAGTTCTCCTTGAAGAGGTCCTTCACATCCCTTGTAAGCTGGATTCCTAGGTATTTTATTCTCTTTGAAGCAATTGTGAATGGGAGTTCACTCATGATTTGGCTCTCTGTTTGTCTGTTATTGGTGTATAAGAAAGCTTGTAATTTTTGCACATTGTTTTTGTATCCTGAGACTTTGCTGAAGTTGCTTATCAGCTTATGGAGATTTTGGGTTGAGATGATGGGGTTTTCTAGATATACAATCATGTCATCTGCAAACAGGGACAATTTGACTTCCTCTTTTCCTAATTGAATGCCCTTTATTTCCTTCTCCTGCCTGATTGCCCTGGCCAGAACTTCCAACACTATGTTGAATAGGAGTGGTGAGAGAGGGCATCCCTGTCTTGTGCCAGTTTTCAAAGGGAATGCTTCCAGTTTTTGCCCATTCAGTATGATATTGGCTGTGGGTTTGTCATAAACAGCTCTTATTATTTTGAGATACGTCCCATCAATACCTAATTTATTGAGAGTTTTTAGCATGAAGGGCTGTTGAATTTTGTCAAAGGCCCAAAACAGCATGGTACTGGTACCAAAACAGAGATACAGATCAATGGAACAGAACAGAGCCCTCAGAAATAACACCACACATCTAAAACTATCTGATTTTTGACAAACCTGGCAAAAACAAGAAATGGGGAAATGATTCCCTATTTAATAAATGGTGCTGGGAAAACTGGCTAGCCATATGAAGAAAGCTGAAACTGGATCCCTTCCTTACACCTTATACAAAAATTAATTCAAGATGGATTAAGGACTTAAATGTTAGACCTAAAACCATAAAAACCCTAGAAGAAAACCTAGGCAATACCATTCAGGACATAGGCATGGGCAAGGACTTCATGTCTACAACACCAAAAGCAATGGCAACAAAAGCCAAAATTGACAAATGGGATCTAATTAAACTAAAGAGCTTCTGCACAGCAAAAGAAACTACCATCACAGTGAACAGGCAACCTACAGAATGGGAGAAAATTTTTACAATCTACCCATCTGACAAAGGGCTAATATCCAGAATCTACAAAGAACTCAAACAAATTTACAAGAAAAAAAAAACAACCCCATTAACAAGTGGGCGAAGGACATGAACAGACACTTCTCAAAAGAAGACATTTATGCAGCCAACAGACACATGAAAAATGCTCATCATCACTGGCCATCAGAGAAATGCAAATCAAAACCACAATGAGATACCATCTCACACCAGTTAGAATGGCGATCATTAAAAAGTCAGGAAACAACAGGTGCTGGAGAGGATGTGGAGAAATAGGAACACTTTTACACTGTTGGTGGGACTGTAAACTAGTTCAACCATTGTGGAAGACAGTGTGGCGATTCCTCAGGGATCTAGAACTAGAAGTACCATTTGACCCAGCCATCCCATTACTGGGTATATATCCAAAGGACTATAAATCATGCTGCTATAAAGACACATGCACACGTATGTTTATTGTGGCACTATTCACAATAGCAAAGACTTGGAACCAAGCCAAATGTCAAACAATGATAGACTGGATTAAGAAAATGTGGCACATATACACCATGGAATACTATGCAGCCATAAAAAATGATGAGTTAATGTCCTTTGCAGGGACATGGATGAAGCTGGAAACCATCATTCTCAGCAAACTATCGCAAGGACCAAAAACCAAACACCGCATGTTCTCACTCATAGGTGGGAATTGAACAATGAGAACACTTGGACACAGGAAGGGGAACATCACACACCAGGGACTGTTGTGGGGTGTGAAGAGGGGGGAGGGATAGCATTAGGAGATATACCTAAAGTAAATGACGAGTTAATGGGTGCAGCACACCAACATGGCACATGTATACATACGTAACAAACCTGCACGTTGTGCATATGTACCCTAGAACTTAAAGTATAATAAAAAATATATATGTATATATATGTATGTGTGTATATATATATATATATACACATATATATATATAAAAGGTGAAGCCTAAGGAAGAGATGTGGGGTTGGGGCCTGAGGAGATGAAGAGGATAAAGAGGTATATCAGACGCTCTTCGTTGCAATGTTTCCATTTCCCCTCCACTTCTTTCCTTTGGGGAACATTAAGCAACACCGTTTAGTAACCAAGCCCGAAATTGCGGCCCAATAGACCACAGACCTAGAATGCCTTACCTACAAACCTTGTTGCCATGTGTGTTTTGGAATTCAGAATTGTTTGGATTTCAGAAAGGTGACACAAGCATACACTAGACATTAGATAACATACCTAGTGAGGCCTGGGGCAAAACCCCATAAGCAAACACATTAACATTTCTGCAGTGAAATGTATGATTTATTATACTTAGTGGGCTAGATGAAGACTATGAAATAGTTCAGGTTTGGTTTTGTCGCCAAAAGCATTTTGATGCCAAACTAATAAAAAACAAACAGCCTTTGATTTTCAGAGCCTTTTGAACTGTGCGTACTGTTTATGTCTTATTTTTGAATCTGGGTCATGGGCACATAGCTGTTTGTCGTATTACTGTTCATACCTTTTGTAGGTGTGAAATATGATTTTTTAAAACCTTTGAATTGCCTAGGCTCATGTCTGTTCTAAGAGGGAGCATGACACAATACTACATTCATAGAAGGCTTACTAAACACTTGTGGAATTGAACTAACTGGATCTAGCCCTCCTACATGTATTCTTTGTTAACTTGGCCTTAGAGAAAGCAACAGATGCTCTTCTAATTAGGGAGGTTAGTCTGGTTACAAATATAAATAAGAGTTAAGCTGGAACAAAGGCTATGCCTAGGAAAAATGCCTTCATTCCTTTATTCATTAACTCGACAAATATTGAGGACTACTGTGAACTTAGCACCGTGCTAAAAGTTGAAAAGCCATAGGAGGTATCATATAAACAAAGTTCTATCTCTTCCATTGAGAAATTGAAAGTCTGGTGGAGAAGATGAGCTGCTCTCGCCTACCTGTGATTTAATGGGCAGAATGCCACAGGATAGGCATGGTGTGCCATGAAAGCTCCAAGCAGATGTGCTCTCTGCCCAGCATATGGATACTGATGCATGCCTGGAGAGTTTAATAGAGGAGCTGAGATTACAGCAGTTTCCACACTGTTACCATCTAAAATGGCAATCTGCTCTCATTGCTCCCTAGCCTATGGGGGATTGGGTCGTCATTAAATTAGATTTCTGAGGTTTTTCTGTATCCAAGAAGGAGGACAATGCAAGGCCACATTTGGCGCCATCTAGTGCTTAATGAGTGCCATCTTGGATGGCCCCCAAAAGCAAAGAGTCAAGGGCTCCAGCGTGATATTTTAAAAGTTTCTCTGACCTGGCCGGGCGCGGTGGCTCACGCCTGTAATCCCGGCACTTTGGGAGGCCGAGGCGGGTGGATCACGAGGTCAGGAGATCCAGCCCATCCTGGCTAACACGGTGAAACCCCGTCTCTACTAAAAATATAAAAAATTAGCTGGGCGTGGTGGCGGGCGCCTGTAGTCGCAGCTACTCGGGAGGCTGAGGCGGGAGAATGGCGTGAACCCGGGAGGTGGAGGTTGCAGTGAGCCGAGATCGCGCCACTGCACTCCAGCCTGGGCGACAGAGCGAGACTCCGCCTCAAAAAAAACCAAAAAAGTTTCTCTGACCTGAAACCCCCTGCTCCAAACACTCCTGCCCCAATAACTTACTTCATCAAAAAGAAGGGCTTTTCCTGGAGTCCAGAGATAGCTGAAGCTGAGCATCTTGGTTTACCTCTTCCTTGATCTGGCCTATTTCAGCTCAGCCTGGGGCTATACCGTGATGTGGGTAACTAGATTCTTCATCCATAAAATGGGGATAATTAAACAAATTGACATACATAAAGTAGTTAAAACAATACTTGGCACATAGTAAGCACTGTTAACGGTGTGCCCACCTAACTATTAGGTTAATGTCAGGATTAAGCAGTCAAGCAGTACCCCAGTTCCAATGAAGTCCACCAAGGAATCTGCATCTCAAAAAGTTGACTCTGTGGGGGTCAAAGCTTCTGTTTGGGAAGAGGAGCTGGTACTCAACACCAAGGCCTATAAATTTCACGAATGTGCACTCATAGCCTAGAAAAGGAGGCTGGGACAGGGATGCCCCCACCCATTCCAGTGAATTACTCTCACTAAGATCACCAATAAACCAATAACCTTCTTGTTGGTAAATTCAGTGGATGATTTTCAGCCTTTATCTTCTCTGACCTTTTTCTTTTAGCAGGTGGCATGGGCACTGTTGAGCCTTCCTTTTCTCCTTCATGAGACACTCCCTTGGCTTACAAGATACCACACTCTCCAGGTTTTCCTTCCCCTCTGGCCAGCCCTGACACTTATTTGCACACACTTCTTCCTCCATCCATCTCTCAATTCTGCTGGTGACCCTCAAGAGTCTTTCCTAGGAAGCCTTCTCTTCTCACTAGCCATATTCTCCCCTGGGCAATCTTATCCACACCTATGACTCCATTGACCCATATGCTGATGACTTCTAAATCTAGCCCAGATCTCTCTTCTGAACTCCATACCCATAGATCTGGCTGTCAACCAGACATTTTCACATAGATGTTTTATAAGCACCCCAAACTCTACATGGTCCTAATTCAACTTACCATCCCAGCTCACCTCCACAGACAAAAGATCTTGCTCCTCCTCCTATGTTCCCTACCCCTATCTCCCACTTCACCTACTTCTGATTGATGTGTACGTAGTTCTACTCCGAGATTATACCCTGTATGCATACACTTATTTGTTTCCACTATCACTACCCTAATCCAGGCCACCGTCATCTCTCGCCTACAACAGCTTTCTAATGGGTCGCCTTCCTTCTTGCTTTTTCCCCCTCCAGTCTACGTCTCACGCTAAAGCTAGAAGGAGTTTTCTGAAATAGTAAAGATGATCAGGTCATTTCCTATGCTTAAAACCTTTTGACAACTCCTCACAGTCTTTAGGTAATAATAATTATAGCTTATATTTATATAGTACTTAATATGTATCAGGCATTCCTCTGGGATATATATATATATACATATAGCCAACAACCAACGAAGAACTGAAGACTGGAACAGCTATGTGTAGGAGCTTGGAACTGGATCATCGAGCCCCAGTCAAACCTTGAGATTAATGCCCTGGTCAACAGGATGATTGCACCTTGAACAAGAACTATCCAAATAAAGCACTCCCAGATTCCTGATCCTTAGAAACAGATAATAAATATTTGTTGTTTTAAGCTGCCAAGTTTTGGGGAAAATTGTTACACAGCAATAGATAACATATCACTGTAGTATATTACCTCTAACTTCATTTATTTATTCATTCAACCAACCAAAAACTATTTAACGAGTACCAAATAAGTGCCAGGCACCATGTTACATACTGAAAACTATTTCTCTGTCCACCCTCTCTTACCTTTGTCTCTCTACATAACAGTGAAAAGGAAATATCTCCCAATCCCAAAAGGTGACATGAGTTCTCATGTTTCTGTGCTTCTGTGCTGCCAGAGCTCTCTTTTGCCTCTTTCTCAGCCTGGCTACCTCCCACTCTTTCTTAAAGTTGGGTTCCTGTATCACCACCTGTCTCAGTCATGCCACCACCTTCTACTCTATTAGCATTCTGTATATACCTCTCTTATATCATTTAACTCACCAGAGCATAATAGACTCTTTCCTTGTCCAACCAAACTGAACCTTGGAGGGGGAACTATATCTTACTGATCTACGTGTTCCCAGTGTGTGCTTCAGGGTATGTGGAATGAATGAACCAATGGATGAGAGAATGTAAGCTCTTGGGATGGCAGTGATCTTTGTCTTCTTGTTTAGTGATGTATCCCAAATGCCTGACACAGTGCCTGGTACATAGTCAGTGTTCAATAAGTATCTTTTGCATGTTTTTGAAGATTTAATGAAGAAACAAATAAATGAGTACAAAGCAAGTCACCTCATGTTGTCTTCCCACTATCTCACCCAAGCCTATCTTTCTTTAGGCAATGCCCAGTGTTCTAGTAGTATTCATCTCATCCTTCCTGTCTTTTAAAAATGCATTCTTTACAAAGGACTAATCTTCTTTTGTTCTATTTTTATTTATTTATTTACATTGTATTTTGTTTGTAATTGATATCTTAATTGTACATATTTATGGGGTACAGTGTGGGGTTTCAATACATTGTGTATATATTACATAATGATCAAATCAGAGTAATTAGCATATTTCTCACTTCAAACACTTGTCATTTCTTTGTAGTAAGAGCATTCAAAATTTTCTTTTCTAGCTATTTTGAAATATATAATATGTTATTGTTAACTGTAGTCACCCCACTGTGCTGTAGAACACCAGAACTTATTCCTCCTAACTGTAACTTTGTACCCACTGACCAACCTCTCCCCATTCCCCTCTCCGCAATCTCATTACTCACAATTTTTCTCACTACTTCTGTGAGATAAACTTTTTTATATTCCATATATGAGTGACATCATGGAAGTATTTGGCCTTCCATGCTTGGCTTATTTCACTTAACATAATGAAAAGACTAATATTCTTAATTTGTAATTATTAAGCATCTCATGCCTGTACCAAAACATTTCATGTACCCCATAAATATACACAGCTATATATCCAAAGAAATTAAATTTAAAAATTAAAAAAATAAAAATTTAAAGGGTTAAAAAAATATATAAAGAGCTCCTGGAAACTAAGTAGGAAAAGATTGACAATACAATGGAAAAATGAGCAAAGGACATGAACAGAGTGTCCATAGAAAATGAAATTAAAACAGCCCTTGAACATCTGAAAAGGCACTCAACCACACTCACAAGTATAAACTAAAACCAAATATACACAGCATTTCCCTCCTGTTAGGTTTGCCAGAATCCGAAAGTTTGGCAACACTCAGTTGTAAAGTAGTGGGGGAAATGAGCACTCTCATACATTGCTGTTGGGAATGCAAAAGTGTATAATACAACCACCACAGAGGGCAATTTGTCAATATTTGTTAATATTTCTAAAAGTATTTACCTTTCTGGTTTTTTATCTTACAGGCTGACTTTCACACTTCAGGAAGCACCTCATGTGCAGGATTATTCCTTGCAGTATTGTTTATAATAGTGAAAGGTTGGAAACAACCCAAGTGTCCATCTATAGGGAACTGAATAAATAAACAATGGTACATTCATGCAATGTAATGTTACGCAGTTGTTTAAAAAAATGGTTGAGGAAACTGTGTCTGTACTGATATTGAAATATCTCCATGATATATACTACATTGAAGGAGGAAAATATGGAAGACTCGTGTACATATCTGTACAAATAATAAAAAGTTATACAAGAAGTTAATGAAAGTGGTTACCTACTAGAGGCAAGGGGATTGAACAAAAAAAACAGGTAAATTAAGACAGAGGAGGAGAAAGACTTCTTAATGTATTCCTTTTACATAGTTTCGAATTTTGAATCACTTAAATGTACTGCTTATTTGAAAACATTACATTGTGAGACAAACATCCCTTCTTTTTATACATTTGAAGAGACAAACTTATTCCCTGAAACAAAGTAATGTGCTTCTCCAGGGACACTTGCATCCAAACAGGGAATTAAAACGAAAGCCAAAGAAATCAAACATGAATGATGAATTTTTTTTTTTTGAGACAGGGTCTCGCTCTGTTGCCCAGGCTGGAGTGCAGTGGCATGACCTTGGCTTACTGCAACCTCCACCTCTCAAGTTCCAGTGATTCTCCTGCCTCAGCTTCCCGAGTAGCTGGGGTTACAGGCATGCGCCACCATGACCGGCTAATTTTTGTACTTTTAGTAGAGACGGGATTTCACCTTGTTGGCCAGGCTGGTCTCGAACTCCTGACCTCAGATGATCCACCTGTCTCGGCCTCCCAAAGTGCTGGGATTACAGGCGTGAGCCACCGTGCCCAGCCAAATGAAATTTCAAGTAGCAGCAGTAAGTATTCCAGTGAGGGAGAGGGAAGGGAGCCTCCTCAGTACTTCTGAAACTTTATTCCCATTGTAACTTGACTCAGGCCTTCCATTTCCTGAGCGTGGCCTCTGCTCTGATCCCGTTTGCCACCCTGTCCGTACATTCAGCAAACAGAACTGAGAAGCTAGGTTCCTCTAACCCAGAGCTAACACCAGGCCCCCAGTTGTCCCAATATTCACAAATGCTAACTGTAGCTGGTCAAATAAATTTCTTTTATAAATGGAGAATCGAGGCCTTTTGAAGAAATATATGTGGAATTGAAATGTAGAAAGGTGCGCTCTGCCTTCCAGAAACAGAAAATAAAAAGATAGGAAAAGAAAAAAGCTATAGCTATTGACACCAAAGCCTGAGCAATTTATTTGCTGCAAATCCCATAATCACAAACATTTCAGAGCTGTAATTCTGCCTGATTACCCTGTGCTGTCAGGGGGGTGGAAAAACCCAGAAGATTAATGTTTTGTATGGCAATAAGGCGGCAGGCCTGCAACTCTGAGCTTATCGCCCATGAATCAGGAGCCGGGCTGAGAAGCTTCAGGAGACAGCAGCATTTTATAATGATTTTTTTATGGAAAGAATGCTGTCAAGCCCAGATTCATTAGTTTCTACCAACACTGGTTTCTTCAGCAGACAGTCAGGCCAAATCTCCCTGTGCACAACCCCCCTTCTCCAGTTTATTCTGTGGCATCAGAGTATCTGGGGCGGGTGGTATATGTACATAAGGGGCAGGGTTGGTTGAAAAGGGAGAAACCACTTCGAGTGTGAGCTTTAGCTTCTAACCTTCTGTTAAAAGGCTGGTGCTTCAGGAACTGCTGTAAAGCTACTAAAATGGGAAGCCAGCTTCAGATAGTTGTTTCTAGTTCTTTCATAAGGCACATTAGGAAAGGGTGGCCCATTTAAGACAAGGACTACTGTTCGGTTGACCTATCTGTTGACCCAAAGCATTTCCACTCTAGCACCCAGAATTTAAGTACAACCTTTATACATCTTCCTATTTAAATAGTAATACTATCCAAAATTTCAATGTAGAGCTATACTACATATAAGCTGTGTGACTCTGGAAAAGTTACTTAACCTCTCTGAGGCTCAAATTATCTATAAAATGGGGATAATAATATTTATCTAAGAAGACTGTCGTGAGGATAAAATGAGATGAAGTTATGCATGAAGAATGCCTGACACTCATTAAATAGCCTTCATTATTCAAGATATCATGGTTCAGAAATTAACTTCACCATTTACTAAACAAGTTACCTTGGGCAAGTTACCTAATTTCTCTAAATGTCAGTTTCCACATCTGTAAAATGAAGAGGAAAATCTTCATGACTCTATGAGGTAGGTACCATTAATCACAAGTTAATTACTTAGCACACAGCTTGGGCAACATGGCAAAACCTCATCTCTACAAAAAATACAAAAATTAGCTGGGTGTGGTGACATGCACCTGTAGTCCCAGCTACTCAGGAGGCTGAGGTAGGAGGATTGCTTAAGCCCAGGAGGTTGACACTGCAATGAGCCATGATCACACCACTGTGCTCCAGCCTGGGCAACAGAGTGAGACTCTGTCTCCAAAAAAAAAAAAAAAAAAAAGACACGGTGCCCAGCGTTGTAATCATTCAAGAAATGAGAGCAACTAGGAGCAGTAGTAGGAGTAGTAACAAGCAGAAGAGGAGGAGGAAGAGGAGAAAAAGAAGGAAGATAGAAATGTACATAAAATCTGCAGGAAGAAAGATTTAGACATAAGAATTTAGGGACATAAGTTTAGACATAAGAATTTAGGGACTCAATTTTTGTTTGTTTGTTTTATAGAGACAGGGTCTCTGTCACCCAGGCTGGAGTACAGTGGTGCAATCATGGCTCACTGCAGCCTCACACTCCTTGCCTCAAGCAATCCTCCCACCTCAGCCTCCCAAGCAGCTGTGACTACAGGCATGCACCACCACACCCGGCTGTTTTTTTTTTTTTTTTTTTATTTTTGTGGAGATGGGTTCTCACTATGTTGCCCAGACTGGTCTTGAACTCCTGGCCTCAAGTGATCCTTCCACCTCAGCCTCCCAAAGTGCTGGAATTAATGTCCTGAGCCACCTCACCCAAGACAGGGTCTTGCTATGTTGCCCAAGCTGGTCTCAAACTCCTGATCTCAAATGATCCTCCTATCTCAGCCTCTCAAGTAGCTAGGACTGCAGACACAAGCCACCACACTTGGCTGAATTTGTTTTTCAAAATAAAGTGTTTTGTTTTTTTTTTCTGAAAAAAAAATCATCTCCCCCACCCTCCACCAATCTCTCTCTCTCTCTCGCTCAAAATCTATGACTCCACACTCCTTAGTCGTGTAGGCTATCTGTCCTCTTCACATTTTGCCAGCATCATCTGCTGTCCCTTTCCCCAGTGCTACTGCTTAGACAGGAAGTCCCTTGAGTTCTCATGCCTGAACATGCAACAATATTTATACTATTCTTATTATACTACCATTTATAATATTATTTATCCTATTTATTGAGCACTTGCCATGTGCTAAGCACCTTACATGTGTTATCTACACCAGTCTACAGGCTCCATGGTGAGCAAGACCATCATTCTTATCTATTTACTTCTCTCCTCCCAGTGTCTAGCACAGTGCTTGGCACATGGCCGGCCCTGAATACATATTTTTGATGCGTGAATGAATCTAATCCTCACTACAATTCTATGAGATAGGTGTAACTATTGTTTCCATTTTACAGAAAAGAAACCAAGGCTCAGATACATTAAGTCATAAAATTTGTAAGTTTGAGCCTCAGACACCAGCATGTCTGACACCGTAGGCTCAGCTTGGAGCCCTTCCCTTGTCCACCTTACTTTCCCTAATACATACCATTACTTCTCATGCCTTCAGTCCTCTGCACATGTTGCCTGGAATGTCCTTTTCTCTGTGTCCATCTGATAAATTCATCCTTCAAAACTACTCTACTTTTTGTATTATTCTTAAAAATATTTATGGTGGCTTTCAAAATGCATAAAATGGGAAGAAAAAATACAAAATCATGGCAAAAAATACTCAGGGTAAGGAAAAGGAACAAAAATCCAGGGGAAGGACAAGATTCACCTAGAAAAATGCCTGCCAAAAGATTCTTCCAATGCTAGAGACGTAGACCACAAATATATTTCTAAGCTTTCCGGCAGCCAATGCAAAGATAGAAATCTGATTAGTTACAGGATTCACAGCATCCATAAGTTTAAAAAATACCCTCCCCACTTTAAGAGCTCAGGGTTTTTTTTTCCTGATATTTGAGAGAAATATCTTCAGAAGATTCCCAGAAAAGAGGGTACCATAAGATGTAGTAGATGGCAATCTTTACAACAGTCTTACAATGAATTTGATAGCAAATTGCTTTTTAAAATATCTTTCATTGCAGGCTAGAGTGAGCTGTGATCATGCCACCGCACTCCATCCTGGGCAATGGGAGTGAGACCCCATCTGAAAAACAAAAACAAAAACAAAAAAAAATGAAAAAAAAAAACAAAGGCCCTCAATAGGGCCCTTCTTTGTTCCCGTAATGCCTTATCCTTCCTTCTATCAGGCTCTGCATTGTAGTTCTTATATATCTGTATTCTGTCAGACTGAGAGCTTTTTGAGGACAGGTAGCATACCTTGACTATCCCTGATATCCCTTGTGCCTCAATTCCCTTATCTATAAAATGGAGACGATAATGGCACTTACTGCCTTGGGTTGTTAAGATGAGTAAATGAGTTAATGTGGGAAAAATGCTTGGGACAGTACCTAGTGCATGGTGATGACACAGTAAGTATTAGAATTATTTTATCTTCAGCAAATACAATGTCTGGCATCAGGCATTCAATCAATAGGTACTAGATGAATGCATACATAGATCAATGCATAAGCCTATGATGGAAGCTGGTGAACTCTCTTTTCCTAGAGAGCACTTAAACTATGGAAGAAAACCATTAGTGACCATTACTGTTAATTTGTTTTTTGTCTTTTGCTTTTTTTTTTGAGATGGAATGTCTCACTCTGTCACCCACGCTGGAGTGCAGTGATGTGATCTCGGCTCCCTGCAACCTCTGCCTCCCGGGTTCAAGAGATTCTCCTGCCTCAGCCTCCCGAGTAGCTGGGATTACAGGTATGTACCACCACGCCCAGCTAATTTTTGTATTTTTAGTAGAGATTGGGTTTCGCCATGTTGACCAGGCTGGTCTCAAACTCCTGACCTCAAGTGATCCGCCCCCTTCGGCCTCCCAAATGCTGGGATTACAGGCATGAGCCACTATGCCTGGCCCCCATTAGCGTTAATTTGCTTAACCCCCTTAAGCCTTTACTCAAAGATAACTTTTCGGTGAGGCTTTCTCCAACCCCAGTACCTCAAAACATTTCCTATATCTCCTTCCCTGCTTTATATTTTGCCTTGGCCCTTGACCCTATCTAAGATACTACAAGTTTAATTATTTATCATGTTTATTCCTGCCTTTCCAATTAAAATGTAAGCTTCCAAAAGCCAGGGATTTTGTTTGTTTCTGGAGAAAGACCTGGTAAATAGTAGATTATCAATAAAATTGATTGAATTGAATGCATAATCATATGGAAACAGGGCAGGGCAGTGCAGGGACTAGGATAGGGCAAGCTCTCAGGGTAGTGTGCTGAGCCTACATTTGCATGGTCTCAGAGTAAATGCCTCCTTAAAATTTGCAGCCGAGGCACCTCCTTGCTCACCCCAGTCCCAGCCCTGAAGCAGGGAATAGACCAGATCACCTAGTGAGATCTGTCTACTCCCAGGCAGTGGCATGCTGGTAGATGTTTATCAACCAGCTCTTTTAGGTTGGTAAGGTGGGGGAAGCCTTGATTTGTAATGTTTGCCAATATTCCCATCATGGCCAATTTCAAGCTATCAACAGAATGTTTATGAACAGAGTTGGGAAGAGATGTGCCCAGTGGGCTCTTGTGAGCTGGTACAAGTTGGCTCTAGCGCACCACTGAACAGGATTCTTTTTTTAAAAAAAAATAATTACCTTGTTTTTATTAATCTTTCTTAAATGTGTATATAGCTCACATTTATTTCAGGGTTTACCACTAGAAGTGTTTTGGTCTTTATTTAGAAGTTTGGCAATGTTTTGTGACCACAAATATGCTATAGAAACTTAAGTTGGTTTCATTATACATTGTTTCACATAAAGTTTCCAAGAACCTATCGAGGCTGTTAGTGAGGACTTACTGTACATCTTGACATGGGAGAATTGGGCATTAGGCATGAGCATGTGCCACTGCAGCAGGTGGTGGGCCGCTTAGGAGTCTGGATTACCAATTTCATCTGAACTCTTGGGCAGTCTTGAACTTTTGCTAAATGCAACCAGGGCCAGCATAAAAAACAAAAACTGCAAAGAGGAATTAAGAATAATGAGGGGATTAGCATTACCCATTTTCACCACTAAAATATATCCCAGAAGCGCATTATTCTGAATGGAGGGCAAGTAGTATCACTTTCAGGTTATGAGGGATAACAGAAAGGAAACTTCTGTTTTCCAAGGACTATGTGCCAATCCCTCTGCCAAGCACATACTCCTATAAAGTAGGTACTTCTACAATCCCCATTTTAAACAGATGAGGAAACTGAAGCCTAAATACAATAGATAATTTGCCCAAGATCACACATGCAGCAATGGCAAACCAGGATTCAAGTGGAAGCATATTTGATTCCAAGGCCCATGTACTTTTTCTTACATAGCATCATACTGTGCTATGGCATGAATATGGTGACATCTCCACAGGTATGGATTGAGAAACTTCTGTAGGCCCAGACATGTGTCACAGGCTGTATTTCATGAATTCCCTTCTCTGCATCTGGCCAAACCTGCACTTGTTCCAGAAGACAGGGGAAGTGGCTGTCTTATTCACCTCTCTATGCTCAGTGACCAGCATGGTGCCTGGTGGACAGAAGGCATTCAATAAATAGTTGTTTGAAGATGAAAGGAATAAAAAAAGAAATGAAGTAAATTGGAAAAAGGAAAGAATTTTTGTCCCATGGATATTGTTTGTGTTTATGGATCACTCAAGAAGACTTTAGACACAAAATTTGCATAGATACTCCTAAGCAAATTATTTCCAACTTCCATTAATTAATTGCCAGCAGTGGATTCCTTTTTATTTGTTATGCCAGAGATCATGAAAGCATGGAATCTGGGATAGATTCTGGAATTATCTTCACTGTAGATTGGCTTTCCTAACTGTTGTGTGCTTTGGCCGTGAGTCCCATCAGTCGGTACTCTCTGTGCCCATTCCAGTGTGCGTAAATGACTGGCAGCATTCAGGGATAACTTGAGTGTCAGAAGAAAAGGGCTCAGGCTTCAAAATCTCCATGGCTAATCTGTAAAGTAGGCAATCCTTCCGCAGATAATTGAACAGTGACTAGATTTAGTTACTGGCTAAATCTCAGGGGTCTTCCACTCAGTACCCTTACCCAGATATATTTCGTGAGATTTTCAAAAACAGATACAGACATGGTCTCTGGTTGTAAATTTCCCTCCTCTCTCTCTTTTCTGCTCATGAACATAACCAGTGCCAGGCCAAAGGTTGCCCAAGCTTAAATATTCTGGGCTGATTCAATGCCTGGGGATGTATGTTCTGATGCCTTCTACAGAGGTGGCCTGCTGAATGCATTTCGGAGATGCGTTTTGCTTGGAATGCTTAATATTTGGACATTATTTTTCAGTTAATTGACAGCATAAAAAAGCAAAGGAGATTCTGCATCAGTTCTTTTGATTTCTCTTGAAAACTTGGAGGCTCTAGGCATGCAGACTGACACACAGCAACATTGGGCTGGAGCTGAGTAGTGGCTGCCCTGTTCGAACAGAATGTGCATTCACTCCCTGATTCACCTCTGCCGCACCATCTACTCTTATCTGCCCAGCAGTAAGGCAGGCTGTCAGTTGCAGTTTGTTATCTCCCTTTGTGCAGCTATTTCATAATTTGGATGGGCATATGCTCTGTAGTTTGCCACAGAGAGAAGCCCACCACACCCACTAGACTGATTTCAGTTGCCTACCTGGCTCCTGTAATCACTATGTCTGTGTTTGAGCCTCTCATCCCTACTCTAAGGGGACAAAGCTGGTCTTAGGCATAGGCAGAGCTCGTAGCTGCCAGCACAGATCGGTAGGAAAAGTTGCCAACAGAAAGCCCGCATGCCTCAAAAATAGCTCCCTGGCCTGGTAACCTGCCTGCCTGAAATTCACACTATCAGTCACTTCTTGGGTTAAAGAGCTTAGTCTTCCCCTTCTCAAAGTGAAAACATATTACTTTGGAGAGGCAAACCATTATCCTGTGATGCTAGTTCCTGGGAACATGAGGGGAAAGGGTCTACTTTAGCAGCATCTCAAAAAGCATTGGGACTGCTGACACTGGCTCAGGTTACTTCTCTAGTCTCCAGCAAAGGAGAGAGGCAGAGAACAAGTAAGGACACAGGACAAGTAAGTTTGCTGAGGGGAAGCCACAGAGAAGGGCTCAGAGCCTGACAGCACACCCAGGAAGGGCAAGGCCTGGTGGCCAGCACTGGGGTCCTGTGGATAGGTGAGGGATAGAAGGCATTGCTCCAAAGGAGAGAGAAGTACAGAAGAGCATCAGCCTTTTGTGGCCAGTGGGCCCTTCAGAGAAAGAATGAATTTGTTCTTTAGAAAGGATTGCTTGGTTGGGTATAACTCACAGGTGGTGTGAAGGCCGGAACTCTATAAACAGATCCTCCTGCAGTTACCAGAGGCTATTTTTGCTCCTCGCAACATCATGTGCCGGGCAGACAGTGGCCCTGTTGGAATGCACAGAGAGCAAAGCAACACTGCAATTGGTAGCTCCCCAGGGAGAGGGCTTTTTTATTTTAATTTTTTCCATTTCCAGCACACTCTACACTGGTGCTTCACCATTCCCACCCCAGAAACCTAGCATTTATTAGCTACAACCCCTCCCCAGCAGCCTGGGGCCCTAAGTGTTCCATGTAAACCTCAGGCAAGCAAGACTCTCCCAACACCAGGGAACCGCCAAAACTAGCTTATCCACTGTTCCCAGCCCTGCTTCTCCAGACACCAGATGGATTCCAGGACTCTCCTGGTTCCTTTGCTTCCACTGCTCACAGGACATCCCACATGGCAAGAGGGGAGGCAGAGGAGAAAATGAGGGAAGTTTACTGGGCACAGTAGCTCACTTTTCTGTAATCCTAGCACTCTGGGAGGCCAAGATGGGAGGATTGCTTGAGCTCAGGAGTTCAAGGCCAGCCTGGGCAGTATGGTGAAACCCCCATCTCTACAAAAAATACAAAAAATTAGCTGGGCATGGTGGCACACACCTTTAGTCCTAGCTACTTAGAAGGCTGAGGTTAAAGGATCACCTAAGCTGGGGGAGGTTGAGGCTACAGTGAGCCATGATCACACCACTGCACTCTATCTGGGAGACACAGTGAGACCCTGTCTCAAAAATAAAATAGAAATAAAAATAAAAGAAAATGAGGGAAGTAGAGGCAGGTGATAGGAGGGATCATGAAAGGCAGGGGAAGGACTTTGTCTACCTTCATATTTTACTCTGACTCTTCCCCCTCTTACTGACTTCCAGCACAGGCTGTGTCCCCTGTGCCTCTCCAAGAGCTTCCCAACCTCCATTTGCACACCATTGTTCAGGGGCCTAGCTCTTTCCTCCAAGTTGCCTCCTACTACCTAGACACAGGCTGCATCATGCTGATTTACAGATTAGTCAGATGAAGACTCAACACCCACCTCCCCTCAGCCTTGGCAGCTTGCGTTGCCATGAGAGTGACAAGAAGGGTGGAAATACTTATTATCTACTTTATTTTATATTGAAGCCAATCCTCCCAGGGCCTACACTATTCCTCTCCAGCAGAGGTAGGAACTTGGAGAGACTGCATGAACTTTTCAGGCCGCTAGGAGTATTTGGAAGGTAATAATTTACTAAAGTCAGCCCTTGATTCCTCCCGTGACTTATCCACTTTGCGGATTATCTGTGGGTAATGCTTTTCTCTAAGCTGGCCTCCCCTGCCTTCCAGTGAGTTTCTGAGCTGTCTTTTTTCCCTGCTCCCACGACACCCTGTGGATATGTGCTTGAAGAATGCACACTTGAACATTTGCCTACGCAAAATGGAAATACAGAGGAAAATTGGGTGGAGGTGGGGCAATCCTCTAGTTCTTTCCTATGTCAGCCAGAAGTGATTTGGGGTGTTTAATTAAATCTGAAACTTCTGAGTGCATAGTATGCACAAAGGTGCTAGGGTTGGTATCTGGGGAGGCAATAATTTTATTTTTTCTACTTGGTTCCTTTTTGTTCCTTGGGAGTCCCAGGGATAGAAGAGAGTAAATGTGAATGAAATGAAAATGTGATTGACCCAAAATGCAAATTATACATCATCATCATCATCACAATGATACCTAACACTCACATAGCACTTATTATATACCAGGCAGAGTTCACAGGGCTTTATATGCATGAACTTGCTTAATCATCACCACTCTGATTCGAGATAATATTAACCCTGTTTTAAAGGCAATGAAAACGAAATACAGAGAGATCTAGTGACTTGCCTAAGATCATGCAACTGGTACCCAGGTAACATTCATCCAGGGTTCACAGCCTTGATACTATTCTAAACTATTTCTCACTACACACATTCTGTTGTTTCATTTTTCCATTGTTACAGAACTACCCCCAAACTTAATAAGTTAAAGCTGCAACCATTTTATTTGTTCATGATTCTGTGAGTCAGAAATCTCATCACAGTCTGAATGGTTTGTCTGTGATGTCCGGAGCCTCAGCTGGGATGGCTCAGACAGTTGGGGCATGATCAAGATGGCTTGACTGGGGGTCTCTGTCTGAAACCTCAGTTCTCACTGTCTACTGAGTTCCTAGATTGTCTTCCACATGGCCTTTTTGTAATGGCTGGTTTGGGCTTCCTCACATCATGGTGGCCTCAGAGTAGTCAGACTTCTTCTCTGGTAGCTGGCTATCTCTGAGAGAAAGAGGAAGCCTCCAGGCCTTTTAAAATCTGGGCCTGGAACTGGCACAGCATTACTTCAGCCATATTCCACTCGGCACAGTAAGACATGAGACCAGATCAAATGCAAGAGGAGAAAAATAGATTTCACTCCTTGATGAATGGAGTGACATGCACACATATATACTGAAACAAGTTATTAATGGTGGCCATCTTTGGAGACTATCACACTATTTATATATAGAACATACATACCATTTATATTATATTATATTATAAGTTAATATATTACTTCATATGTATGTGTGTGTGTATATAGATGTACACATACATATGAAGTGTATATAGATACACACACACGTTGATTTTTTTAATGTTGAAAATTGCAACTACATTGACCAACACCCTGCAACCACTGACCCCACTTAAAGATACTCAGTGAATTTTAAAATCCATTCCCAGGTCTGGATCCTGCTAAGTGTTTCAATGCCCCCTCCAGTATCTCAGCCAGGTCTCCTAGACCCCAATAACTTAGAAGACTATGATTCTAGGGTTGACACTGGCTGGGCCCTACATGCATGGAATTGCTTCTTTCTTCTGAGACTGTAACCAGGGGGTCCTCAAAAACAAAATTCTATCCCAAAGCAGTATCCCACTGGGGCTCAACCAGGGAACCCCAGACAGCTTGGCAGGTCCCATTGCCTTCAGCCATTGAAGACTGCAGCTGTGTGGTGGCAAGGGAGGAGAGTAGACCGAAGGACCTGAGGAAACCTGAATGGTAGTCTTGATTCAGCTTCTCTGCATGTGAATGGGAGGACATGAGAAGGAGGCACAACAGACATTTGGTCCTGAGTTATCATGTCACCTCACTGCCTGTAGACCTCAAATGGGCATGAAAAAGGAGTGTTTGGTTATTTCCCCTCCCCCAGAGATGCTTTCATTATCTCCTCTTTACCCCTCCTCATAAATGGCAGGGCCTTTGGCATAATGGCCATACTCCACTGCCATGCCCCGCCTCTTCTCACCTAAGCTAAGTCAGTTCCCTGTTATAGCCACTGATAGGTCATTCACTCATTCATTTTTTTCAATGTTTATTAAGGGCTACTATGTGTAAGGCACTGTTCTAGGCAATCGGGATACAACAGTGAACAAATTGGACCAAAATACCTGCCCTTAGGGAGCTTACATTCTATAAAAAGGAAATACACAATAAACAAAATCTGCAAAATACACAGTACATTAGGTGGTAAATGCTATGGAGAAAAATAAAACAGTAAGAAGGGTAGAGGAACTGGGGTGGTTAGGGGATTACAATTTTAACTAGTGTGGACAGGGAAGTCCTCTCTGAGAAAGTGACATCTAAGCAAAGACCTGAAAGAGGCGAGGGGGGGAGTTATGTTGAGAATAGACTCTAGGAGGAAAAGGACAGAAGCAAGGAGAACAGTTAGGGGGTATAGGAGATTGGATTATTGTTCTCAAGTTTTCACTCCCTTCCTGTTATAGAATTTTATATGCATACCCTCGTCATGCGACTTTGCAGTACTTCCTGCGAGAGCAAGCAGAGTATATTTTGCCACCACATTGATGCTGAACATTACCATGTAACTTGCTATGTCCAATGGAATGTCAGTGGATATGGCACTAGCAGAGATTGTAAATGTATTTGTATTATTTACCTGGCCTTTGTGCACCTGCCATCTTCTGTGAGAAGAACATGACCCAGTTGGCTGCTATTCCAGAATGAAGAGATACATAGAAAGGACACAAACCCAACACTCAGCCTGAAGCCAAACCATCCCAGTTGACCCCAGATCATTGAGCAAGCAAAATGAATGTTTGTTGCAAGCAATTGACATTTCAGGTTGTTTGGCAATGTCATCATAGCAATAGCTGACAGATAGAGGAGGTCATGCAATAATCAGGCCAAGAGATAATGTTTTAGACCAAGGTGATAGCAGTGGAGATGATTACAAAATGATCAGACTCTGGGTATATGCTAAAGGCAGAACTAACTGGATTTGCTGATGGATTGAATGTGGAATATGGAGGGAGGGTGGGAACTTTCTCTTTTTTTTATTATACTTTAAGTTTTAGGGTACATGTGCACAACATGCAGGTTTGTTACATATGTATACATGTGCCACGTTGGAGTGCTGCACCCATTAACTCGTCATTTACATTAGGTATATCTCCTAATGCTATCCCTTCCCCTCCCCCCACCCCACAACAGGCCCCGGTGTGTGATGTTCCCCTTCCTGTGTTCAAGTGTTCTCATTGTTCAATTCCCACCTATGAGTGAGAACATGCGGTGTTTGGTTTTTTGTCCTTGCGATAGTTTGCTGAGAATGATGGTTTCCAGCTTCATCCATGTCCCTACAAAGGACATGAACTCATCCTTTTATGGCTGCATAGTATTCCATGGTTTATATGTGCCACATTTTCTTAATCCAGTCTATCATCGATGAACATTTGGGTTGGTTCCAAGTCTTTGCTATTGTGAATAGTGCTGCAATAAACATACATGTGCATGTGTCTTTATAGCAGCATGATTTATAATCCTTTGGATATAGACCCAGTAATGGGATGCCTGGGTCAAATGGTATTTCTAGTTCTAGTTCCTTGAGGAATTGCCACACAGTCTTCCACAATGGTTGAACTAGTTTAGAGTTGAGGGTGGGAACTTTCAAGGACAACTCAATCGTTTTTGGCTTGAGCAACTGGAAGGAGTTGCCATGCAATGAAATGGAAAAGGCTGAAGATGGGGCAGTTTAGGGGGAGGAGAAATATAAAAATTCAGCTTGGGCATGCCTCTTAGATACCTCACAGTTCAGTGTTTCTCCCAGACTGTCCTGGCTTATAGACTTTGATAGCTCCAATTGCCTGATTTGTTTGTAAAAGCTCCAAAGCCCCTACCCCAGGTTGACCCAGCCCTCTGTTTCCTCACCTAATGGTGGCTTTGAAACCTCTATTTTGAAGAAGCTTAAAGAAAGGAATCTGGAAGGAGACCAGGCAACTCTTCTTGCTGCCTTTGCATAAAAAGCACATAGTTTTCACTTGGATTGTGTGTTACAAAACAATAAAAAGAGTAATTTTGTAAAAGATGCTTTTATTTACACACTACGTAAGATTGACAAAATATCAATTTTCTATACCACATTATACAAACCAGGAAAAAGATCTTATGGCCAATCTCACAGCACACATTAGAACAAAGCTTCCCAATAGCCAAGGGCCACAGGGCACCATTAATAGGAAGATCTATTTTGTTCCAGGAACTGTGCGAGGTGCTGAAAATGGAAAGGTGTAGCAGATTGTATTACTGTTTAAATTTTTCATCACCCATCCCTGAGGGTGCATTATATATCCTCACTCCACTAAACTCTAGAATTGCCACATGACATACTTTGGCCTATGAAATGTGAGCATGTGAGTGGAAGTGACTATGTCACTTCCAAGCAGACACTTTCAGAGCCATAGAGTAATAATAACACTATGATCTGTCTTCTCTCTGCAGTGAGAACGCTAATATCCCAGACACTATTCTGTGAACCCAGGTCCCAGAGTGAAGACACAGAACAGAGCCATAACCAACCCACAGCCACCATGTAATATGAGCAAGAAATACATCTTTGTTTTGGGGATCATTTGTTACTGCCGCATAACTTAGGCTAAACTGACTGCTCCAAGTTGTATATGAGATAGATGTGGTCATTGCTTTCATGGAACTTGCAATTCAATGGAGGAAGCAGTAGATAAGTATGAAAACTGAGAGAGAGAGGAAATTATTGCAGGAAATAGTATGTAGTGAAAGTAATTAACTCTGTTTTTATGTATGTGTGTTACCTACTTTATATAGGTGGTCAGGTAAGGTAGGCTGCAGACCCTTGACCCATAGAACAAAAAGCTAACACTTCCACTCTCTTCTCTTCTCCGTTTTTTCCCTTTTCCTCTTTTCTTATCATCTCCCGCCATCAAGTCTCTCTATCTCACCATTTCCTTTCCCTTCCTCTCCATTATTCCTTCTCCAGATTCTAGCTTTCTTTTCTTCCAGCTCTCTGCATTTGTGTATATATGTAAATGTGCACATATGTGTACATTGACATGCACTTGCACACATGTACACACACACACAGAGGTAGTGCTTCTATGACTGAACTTGATAACCACAACCCTGGGAGCCCTGCTTATCCTACCAGAATTGCTGCACTGTTTTAATTACAGCCATTATTCACAACACCTCGCACATTTTCTGTCTTGTTGACAGTATTTGGGAAGCAGCAGCTGCTCCCTTACTTTCACATTTATTGCCACTGTTTTGCCTTGGAAAAGAATATTAAATATCACAGTTAAATACAAATCTTCTTAAAGATCAAGACAGCTTCTGCTCTTAGCCATTCAGATTTCACTTCTCTCACTCAGCTGAGCTCCACTGAACACTTTCAGATTGGCTCCTCTGCTTGAGTTATTACAAAATGTCTGGCTTTGATTTGATTCCAATCCCCTTCAAACTCTCAACATCTCTGCTGCTTCTGCTGCTGCCTTCCTCCCTTGTTTCCTTCTGTCCGTCTCAAGACAGCTTACATTTCCCAGGCCAACCCTCTATGACTCCATTCATGCATTCCACATGGTTTTTATGGACTCTGGGGAAATCCCAGCCATCCACCTTAGCACATTGCTCTTGAAATGACACAAAATAAGTGCATTCCTTCATCTTAAGGCTTTTAGGCCAGTGGTTTGTACTTTTCTTTTTTTTTAATACTGTGGACTCATTAACTATGTTATCAGATCTGTGACCACTCTCCCATATACTCACAACATTTTGTGTTTATTATCAGAGGATTCTTGGAGTTCTTAAAGTCCATTTCTGCACCACCTCTCTAAGGATACAGGCATCCCAGTTGAGGTTAGCTGATGAGAACACCAGCCTCCTGGGAAAGGGTCAGTATCCATCAGTGGAAATGAGTATAATAGATTCATTTTAGAGGTTTTAACGAAGAGGGTAATATGAGGATGCAAGCAAACTTGGGTGACTTAAAACGGTTGCCTAACTCCAATTCTGCCTTTGCCCCACTTTGCCTTCTACAGTCCAATCTGTGCTCAGGCTGTTTCTTCACTATGACTTTCTCTCAACGGATCTGATGTGCAAGGGCATCTTTCCAAAGTACACAAGATGAAACACCAGGCCTGAGCTTTCTCTGCATGTTTTGAAGCTCCAGGCCAGTTGTCAAGGCTGGTCCAAGCACCAGCATTTTCCCTGCGTCCCTTCTTATAATTTCTGCATGTGCTTTCAACCCAAACGTAGCCTTAAGGTGTGACAAGGATGACATTAGACACTGTCCTCTCAAGTTTAACCTCTGAGTACTTAATAACACTTAATGTCGGACCCATCCTGGCCAGTGTTGGAAGCTGCTGATTTTTCTCCATGACTGGTGATCTCTGACAAAAGGAAAAAATGTAATGCAGATGGGATGTGGTATGTTTCCTGCTCCAGAAGGCATCCTAGGGCTTCCCTTGATTTTCAGAAATAAACAGGCAGATCTGGGATAAAAGGGTGGATATACAGAATTGCAGCCAAGAGGCTGTGCTGAATGAAGAAAATGGAGGAGTTCCTTTATGGGCCTCCACAAATGCAAATGAGATATTGGGGAGCATGAATATTGAGACCAATTGGCTGAAAATAGGAGGCTGTGGTGGAAAGGGCAGGGGATTTGGAGGGCTCCCAGCCCACTATTAGTTCTGTGACCTTGGGAAAGCCTCTCAGCTTCTTTCCCACCCTGAGACTCATTTTCCTGAATGTCAGAATCTAGAAGACCAACGGATCCCTATACCTATGTCATGCATGTGCTTCCTGAATCTTCTCACTCAATCAAGCAAGTGGGGCCTGGTTCATAACCCTTCTTTTCCTTAGGAAGGTCAGGATGAAGTGATGAAGAGCACAGGATCAGGAAGCAAGCTGCCTGGCTTTCCCACCCCTATCTGTAGAACTTCAGGCAAATCCCTTAACCTTTCTGAGTCTCAGTTTCCTCATCTGTAATATAGGGATGGGTGTATCTCCTCATTAGGTTGTCGTGCAACTTAAATGAAATAATGTAGCTTAAGTGTTCAGTTCGGTTCGTGGCATCTGGTAATCAATCAATTTGTACTAGCCATGATGGTTATTCTCTGAAAATAACCACTTTTATGTATAAAAGTGGACATCCTCAGTAGCCATGCCTACACTAAGTGACTCTGCTCTCCAATCATAGCTGAATAAGTCTGGGATAGCTCCTTGGCTCAGATTGGGCAATTGAATTCTCTCTTCAGGAAACATGAACTTTGGATGAATCAAGGCAGAGAGAACAAGCTGTTAGAGTTGAGTCATTTTCATGGCAACACTCTGGAACAGAAGCTGCAGACATGTTTTGTTTGGTCTTTTCCGTGTTTTGTTTTTTGGTTTTTAAAAATTTGAATTCATAGTCATTATTTAAAACCTCAGGGAATGTCATATAATAATCTACAATTCTGGCCTTACTGGATCTGTTAACACTGGGCCAAATTCCTGTATGGCAACAATTGGCTAGAGGAAAGTAGGCTCAGCATAGCCTGCTTCACCCCTGCTGGATCCCCAGAGTTTAGGATCCCTGCTCCTCAAGGCTGTGCTGGTTTCTGCTATTCCCTGGCCTTGACTGTTTCACTCTTCCTTTGGTTCTAGGAGATAACCCAGGATCCCGCAAAGCAATCCTCTCAACACTTTTTACTTCTCTCAGCTACCTAAAGTGTCTACAATTTCCATGACTCACAGCCAAAAGATATAAAGGATACGGAATGACTGGACTCCCATGGTAGATCCGCCACATTAGCTCTCAGTGTGACTGGCTCAAAAGAGCCAGTAAATTCCATGAAGCATCCTTCAGAAATGCTGTTTTACTTCTCTGATCGTCAAGGATTATAATAATAAAATTTCTATATATGGAGTTTATATATACAAATATCTAAGAGGACATGTGTTCTTACCTAATGTTCTTAGACAGATCCAAATTCAAACACTTCATTCTATTAGTCCCCAAATTACAGTTGCACTTTTCAGATCACGCGTTCTAGTCTGGGAGTTGAAAAACATACTCATTATCTACTTCAAATCCTAATTTTTAAAAATCATTTGAAGTAGCTCTGAAATATTAGAAGGCATAATAAGACCACTTGAAATAAATTCTAAAACATTTTAAAGATCTATTTAAAAGTGGTTTTCAATAGATATCTTCTTGGACATGCATAATATTATGTTCTTTCTGCCTAGAATGCTCTTCTGCTATTCTCTACCTGCAAAAATCCTACTCAGGCTTCAAGGTTTATCTCAAAAGTTGCCTCATCAATAAAATTTCTCCCACTCAGGAAGTGTATTTACTTCCAACAGTGTGCTCCCATAACCCTTTGTACATACATGTATTACATTACTTATCACATGGTATTACAAATATTGGTTTACTTATCTGTCTCCTGCACTTGACTGTCAGCTCCTTGACGGCAAACTTCATGTCTTAGTCATTTTTTAATCCCCAGCTCTTAACTCACAGTAAATGCATCACCATTGCTTGCTGTATGGATGTTTGTTGTGGAATTAATTGAAGTTAGACTAAAAAACATTTCTGACAAAGTTGTTTTCATAAGGGTTTCATGGAGGTGATGAACATGGATTAAAAATACTGAATGATGATGAATAGTAAAATATTTGGTGTCACCTAGACATGAAAAGCAAATGGCTTATATCACAAATAATGAGTATTTTTTTGCACCGTGAAGATATATTAAGAAAAATAACATAGCTATTAGGAAGAGATAGAAAAATGTTATCATATCAAAAATAACTATTTCCAAAGTAGAGACTCTTATAAGCAATGTTAAATATTTAAACATTATTTTCTATGGAAAATTACAGTGCCTTCAATTGAGGGTGACTGGTTAACAAAGTTACAGTATAGGCAACTATACTAAAGGAGGCCAGTGTATGAAAATAAATCATTGATCAGAAATAGAAGCCAGATTGAAACCAAGAATAGAGGTTTTAGGAATAGCTTCAGATTGGGAAAACTTAGCCTAGAGAAAGAATGAAGATAAGGATAGTCTAAGACAACCAGAGTGGAATCCTCTTTTCTGGAGGCTGGAAAGTAAAAACTACAACCCCAAATAACTCTATAAATGGAAACCAATTGAATAAACCAGTTGAAGCTCCATGAGAGACATCTATGAGGAACTAGAGACTTTATAATTGGTCTTCCGTGGATCCTCAGTGCCCAGGACAATGTTAGGAGAAACTGAACACATCAAGATTTTTTTAAAAAGTGAGAAGTCAGAAAATAAATCGGGAATATATTAAGCTGTGCTATACAACAGGTAAAGGAATAATAAAACCTTATACCTGATTATTTATTTGTCCAGGTTGTAGCCCAAAATAGCATACCTAAAGCCTTGTGAATGAGCCATCTTCTAAGCAGATCCTCAAGCCCCAATCAAGCTTTCAAATGACTACAGTCTCAGTCAACAGCTTGCCTACAACCTCATGTAAGATCCTAAAGTCAAAATTACCCAGCTAAGCCATTTCTCACCCACAGAAACTAAAATAATAAATGTTGCTTCAAGCCACTAAGTTTTGGGATAATTTGTTACACATCAATTGATAGCTAATACAAGGTACATAAGTGCTATGCAAAAGGAAATACAGAGTGCCCTGAAAACATATAGCACAGGATCTTAATCCAGTTTAGAGAATCAAATCTGTTCTTACTGAGGAGCCAGTTAAACTGAGACTTAAACAGAAAGGGGGAATTAGCCAGGATATAGGGCTTGATAGAAAAGGAAAAGTATCCTGGGCACAGAGAAACTTATGTGTGAAGGCAGAGAGGAGAAAGTAAGCATGTTGTTTCACTCTAATGGGAGTGAAGAAAAATCTAGAATCAAGAAGATCAGTTAGAGGAGAGCTACAGTCATTCAAATGTAAGAAGGTAGTGACTTGAAATAGAGGAGTGGTAAGAAGTGAATGGATTTGAAAGTTATTTGGGAAGTAGAATCAATAAAGCTTGCCTACCAGGAGATTTGTTGGCAATAAATTATAGGAACTCTCTTCTGATAATGATTTTCTCCTTGAAGTGGAGGTTCAGATAGGGATGGGAGAGGTAGGGAGTTGAGTATTTTGAAGAATATGGAGAAGGTTTGCAATAGCTGGAGTTGTGAGTGAGAGAATGCTGACAAAGGAAACATATTAGGATTGTTAGACAGCACTGAGGACCCAGTTCAGTTTGGAGACTACAAATTTATGGAAACACCAATGTGCACAGATATTTGATTTTCTCTATCTATATTTGACAGCCCAGATGCAAGAACAAGGAAGAAGTTTACTTAAATTCACTTAAGGTTGGTAGTTTTGCCTGGGCAGGTAACTCAGAAAACAGTGGAGCAAGTATTTGAGGGTACTTGAGTATGGTTGAAGTGAGGAACAATAGTATATATGCTGAGTAGGGAAGGAAATGACAGAAAAGAAGCTTATAGATTGAGATATGGTGGACACTGTGGTGCGTTACCCAGATTGCCTTTTAGGGGAGGACTTATTGTTCCAGTTGCTGAATATACTGTCACAGGTTGCCTTCAGCTGCGCTGCTGGGCCCTTCAGGGATTGCTTCATAGCTGCAGAGCTGCCTTACTCAAAGTCACACCTCTTACCCAATGACCCACATCCAGTGACTGATATAGAGGTATGAAGACTTGGCCATCTTGGCCCAACTCAGAACAACACTTAAGGGCTATTGTAGCTTTAGCACTTCCCTGTGAGGTTGGCCAAGGCTGTCACTAGGCCTGCATTGCATCCCAACTTCTTCCCAATTCTGCTTTCTTCCCCTCCTTTCCACAGATATTAATACCAAGTGCACACAGGATGTTTAGCTCATAAATATCCTGCATACTAAACTCCCTCTGAGAGTTTGCTTCCTGGGAAAATCAGCTTGTGACAGGGTATATATGGACTGGGAGTCCCAGTAAAGTTGAAGGACTTGGATATTGGGAGTAACTGAGTGAGCTGGAAAGATGGAAGGGTGTGATCACAATGTGAAATGTCTTAATTTACAATTTTAGAGCTGGCGCAATTCTGGATGAGACAAAGGCAACGTCACATGGACGTTGGGGTCACCAATAACTCCCTCATTCAACAGGTATTTATTGAGGGTTAACTGTATTAGCTATTTCTGTGCAACAAATTACCTCAAAATCTAGAAGCATAAAACAAGAAACATTGACTATCTCTCAGTGTCTGTGGGTCAGGAATCTGTATGTGGCTTCTTAGGTGGTTGTCTGTGTCTCAGCAACTCTGCAATCAAGTTTTTGACCAGGGCTATATCTCAAAGCTTGACTGAGGAAGGATGCACTTCCAATCTACTTCCAAACTCACTCACATGGTTGCTGGCAGGCCTCAGTGTCTCTCTGGCTGTTGACCAGAGACACCAGTTCCTTGCTGTGCGGGCCTTTCCATGGAACAGCTCACAACATGGCAGTTAGCTTCCTTCAGAGTGAGTCAACAAAAGAGTTAGAGAAGACATTCAAGATGGAAACCACAGTCTTTCCAACAATTTCTGAAGTGACATCCATCACCTCTCCTAATTCTATTTGTTAGAAGCGAGTCAGAGTCCAGCACACACTCATGGAGAGGGGATTATACAAGGACATAAATAACAGGAGGCAGGGATAATTAGGAGCCATCATAGAGGCTGCCTGACACACCTACTCTGTGCAGGGCATTATTCTAGGTGCTAGGGAGATAGCAGTGAGCAAGACAGACAAAAGCCTTTTTTCTTAGTACATTAAAGTTGGGGGAGATAGATGATAAACAAGTAAACAGGCAGGATCATTTAATATTTTATGTGCCATGAAAATAATAAAATAGGATAATGTGAAAGAAAGTGGCTAGTTGGGATGCAGGTAGGGAGTTTTTTTTTCTTAATTTTTATTTTTATCTATCTATCTATCTATCTATCTATCTATCTATCTATTTATTTATTTATTTATTTGAGACGGAGTTTCGCTCTTGTTGCCCAGGCTAGAGTGCAATGGCGCGATCTCGGCTCACAGCAACCTCGACCTCCCGGGTTCAAGCCATTCTCCTGCCTCAGCCTCCGGAGTAGCTGGGATTACAGGCATGCGCCACCATGCCCGGCTAATTTTGTATTTTTAGTAGAGACGGGGTTTCTCCATGTTGGTCAGGCTGGTCTCAAACTCCGGACCTCAGGTGATCCGCCCACCTCGGCCTCCCAAAGTGCTGGGATTACAGGCGTGAACCACCATGCCCGGCCGGGAGTTATTTTTATATGGTGTGGCCAAGGAATGCCTCTGAAATGGCGCTTCAGCTGTGAACTGGAAGGATGAGAAGGCAGTTATCCGAGCAAAAATTTGGAAGAAAAATTTTCCAGGTGGTGGGAATGAGCTTGGTAAGTTCAGGGACTCACAGGTTGTCCAATGTGGCTAGAGCAGAGTGAGAGAACCCAAGAACTCTAGAAGGGAGACCAGAGGTGAGAGCCAGATCACACAGGGCCTTGTAATCTACACATGAAGAGGAATATGTACTTTATCCCAAGAGCAATGGGAAAGTCATTGGAGGGTTTTAAGGAGATGAGTGACATGATCTAATTTATGTTTTTAAAATATTACTTTGCCTGTTGAAGGGAGAATGTAGACTGAGTTTTCAAAGTGTTGAGTAGAAATCTAGAAAAATGGCAGGACTTGGGATAGAGCAGAAGGCAGACAGGCATGTGCCTATGTATTCATTGAATGATGGAGATTTCAGCAGATGACCACAACACACAGGGAAAATAATGATTTTGTTGGCTGGAAGGAGCTTCAAAGGAGTAGAGGATGGATTTATTTATTTATTTATTTATTTATTTGCTTATTTGTTTATTTTTGAGTCAAAGTCTCATCAGGCTGAAGTGCAGTGATGCAATCTTGGCTCACTGCAACCTCTGCCTCCCAGGTTCAAGTGATTCTCATGCCTCAGCCTCCCAAGTAGCTGGGATTACAGGTATGTGCCACCATGCCTGGCTAATTTTTTTTTGTTGAGATGAGGTTTTGCCATGTTGGCCAGGCTGGTCTCTAACTCCTGGCCTCAAGTGATTTGCCTGCCTCGGCCTTCCAAAGTCCTGGGTTTATAGGTGAGAGCCATTGCATCTAGCTAGAGTAGAGATTTTAATGTGAATGTGGACAAATAGTGATCTGGAAGCAGCACCAGGGAGCAAAGAGGACACCTGCTTTACTTCTTCACTTATAAATTGGTAAATAGTGAGGGAATGAGCTGCCTCCATTAGAAAGGCCTTCTTGGGAAGCCAGATTTCAGTAAAAGCATCAGAAGTAAAGAACATTTGGAGAAATCAATGCCCGATCTCTCCATATCAGAGTGGGGAGCCCCCTTGTTATCTGACATCACCGATCCATAGTAAAGATCATCAGAGTCTTTCTCTGATTTAGAGTACCCTCATATAATTTGATGCAGAAAGAAAGAGACACTATAAATTCTGAGAGTCTGGTGTGAGTGTTAGCAAGATAAGCTGCTTTTCTAAATTAATTTAGGCTTTAGGCTTCAGCCTTTGAAATTCTAATTGGGTTATTAGCCGGCCATTCTTCACAAAACTTCAACTGCCCTTCATCCTTCAACATACGGCTTCCCTTTAAATGTCCAAGCTAGGGCAGCCTGCTTAGTAAAACATTATTTTCTGGCCTACTACAGTAATGACTAGAGAAATAGAAGGCTGAGCTGGAAATAAGCAGTCCAAGGACTGGATATGGCCCTTGAGGTTGGTTACTGTTACCCTAGCCCAGTGTGTCTCAAGTTTTGTCATTGTTCCTCCACTTAGGAGCATTTTCAGACATCTTTCCATTAATACCCCCATCCTCATGAAATCTTCATACCACAGGTATAGTATACATCTAGTTCTATATAGTTGCCCTTTGGAGGGCCACACACTATTATAATGTCTAAGAAGAATTCCCTGCCCGAGATCCAATTTTCACCCTCTTGCAAGCGAGATCACTCCTGTTGAGAATGCATGCCCCAATGCAGAGAAGCACTGCCAGTGGTAAGGAGTTTAGGCACAGGGCAGAGCCTGTTGTGAGATGGTTTTGAAGCTGGGAACTGGGGTGAGTTAGTCACTCACCCAAACCACATCAAGTAGGGAACATATTGCTGCTGCAGATAGATAAATAGAACTGTCATTAATGATACATTGGTGGTCTCATTTGGATATCAGTCTTCTGCACTTGTTTATTTATCCTTGGTTGATTCCACTGAGACCTGATAGTTCTTTTTGGGACTGATAGCTGAGTTGAGTTCCAGGGCAGCAGAGTAGACCCTGCACCAAAGGTGACCAGTTTGAAGCACACTGTTGTTCCTTGAAACAAACCATGGCATGCCTCTCTTGTCACAAAGACTTGGCAGTGGCTGTTGGGTAGAATCTTCCATTTTCTGTGTCACACTAAGCAGCCTGCTCATCTCTGCCTCCTTCCCCCTGCGGTGGCTCCTATAGCCATTTGACAGTGGGGAGGACGTGCAGCACTCCAGGAGGGCTTTTCTTTCCAGCTCTTCAAAGAGCATTTATCAGCTGAAAGGTAGCAGGACAGAGAGGGGCCTGCACTGGAGAGTCAGACAGCTGCCCAGAGGGCACTCTGTATGAGCTGCATTGAAGGAGCTGGAGAGTCCTACCTGGAAAATGAAGGTGAGGAGAAGCTGCCTTTCTTCCATTCACTTTCAGGCTCCCAGAACCTAGGCAGGCTGCCATGGCCACACTCTCTTTTATTAACCAAACTTTGGTTCACCTCAGCCTCCTCTCCCTGCTGAGCAGCAGCAGTCTGCCCACAATGAATGTTCAAGCCTATGTTTACAGTTTAGATGTTTCAGATAGACTGTATCTACAAAGACAATCTACTGAATAACTCTCAGGCTGTACTGTCCTATGTTCTCATCTCCCAAGTCTACCCAACCTCTGGGCATGCTCCCGGACACAATCTGATCTCAGATAAAGTAAAATTGATGAATTAGCTTCATTTCTCACATGTTAGGCCCATATGATGAACCTCAGTATGTTGCACTCCCCTGAGCTCAGTGATTTCCCTTGGAAAGGGCTCCCATGGGAACTACAGAATCCCATCAGTTAACACAGAAAGAAACCCTCTAGCTTGTTCTTAACTTAGACCAAGTGAGTCCCAAACTTTAGTGTGTATCAGAATCACCAGGGAAGCTTGTCCAGGCAGAGGCCCCAGAGATTCTGGTTCAGTAAGTCTGAAATGAAGCTTAGGCCAGGCACTGTGGCTCACAGCTGTAATCCTAGCACTTTGGGAGGTCAAGGAGGGTGGATTGCTTGAGCCCAGGAGTTCAAGACCAGCCTGGGAAATATGGTGAAATCCCCATCTCTACAAATTTTTTTTTTAATTAGACGGATATGGTGGTGCATGCCTGTAATCCCAGCTACTTGGGAGGCTAAAGTGAGAGGACAGCTTGAGTCTGGGAGGTTAAGGCTGCAGTGAGGCAAGATCACACCACTGCACTTCAGCCTGGGCAACAGAGTGAGACCCTGTCTCAAATAATTAAAAGAAATGAAGTGTAGGCAGTAATATTTCTAACAAGCTCCCTGAGTGACTCAGATGTTCAGCAGTCCATGACTATAGTTGGTAAGCAGTGCCCTAGGAGGCTCATGAATGGGCTTCAGGAACTTTATGGACTAATACTGTCTGCAAACTGTGTATTTGATGCTTTTGTCTAGGTAAGGGTCCATGCAATTAGGAGACACTGCTGTAAGAGAGTAGCCAGACCATACTCTGTATTTCATGGGAAGAAAGCTAGCAGACTTTGGTCAACAAAGGAGGCCAGTGGGTCCTCTGAGGCAGACTGCCTATAAGAGGGTAAAGTGTCACCAATACAAAAGAATGTCCCTCTGGCCCCTAGAGGGCAAGATCTGAAGTATTAACAACCAAGTAAATGTTTCCTCTTAGTATACTCTTCTGTGAAAAAAATCAAACTCTAATCAAATCACCCTTATCAACTGCCTATTCCAGTGGAACTAGGGGGACTACTAAAGTCTTCTTTGTATGTGAACCAGTTTACCCTTCAACAGCATTTTCCCCCTAAAGTGAGGATGTGTTTTGCTTGTACTTTAATGAAAGGAGAAAGGGAGATATTGAAAATGTAATTTTTGATCTACATATCAAAAAAGATAAAGATAACTACACATGTGATTCTCCCTCTAAACACACACACACACACACACACACACACACACACACACACAGTGGATGGTGTTAAAATTGGCTGACCATATATAATTTGTGAGACCTGTGCACAAGTGTCATTTCCCCATCAGTCACTCTATCTTTATACCTTTATCTGACTCTTGAGCCCTGAAGTTTTTCCTCTTTCAACTTTTCCCTACCAGAATTCAAATACTCTAGTTCGAGGTTAAGACTTAAACCAGAGATTATTAACCTGCATTCATGAATTTCCCTAGATTGTAGGATGCTTTAGTATGTATCAGAATTACCTGAATGTGTTTAAATATGTATTCCATGGCCCCACCTACTTGCAGAGTCTGGTTCCTTCACTCTAGACAGGGGCTTGGGAGTCTTTATTTTAAACAAGGTTCCCAAGAGAGTCTGATAGATGTTGTTCTTAGGCCACACTTCAAGAAATACTATTCTTCAGGAGGGTTGTAAATTCCCTAAAAGTAAATGCAATGTTGAAGGCGTGTTATATGTGTGTATATTTCTGGGCATTAGGTTCACAGGTTTAATTAGGTTCTGAAGGATTCCTTGATCTGAAAAAGGCAGATAATCAATTACCAGGTAATATTTGAGTAAGAAATATAGAGTCCGGAATATAAGGGATGTGGCCAAAAGGAAAGAAATTTCCCTAGTATAGAGAAGCAGGAAATGATCCCCAATAAAGTCACTTTTCTAGTTTTTCTGACTGAGAAGTGGGAGAAGTTATAAGAAGCATCATGAATAAGTAAAGAACCTTTATTCTAGGAAAAAATTTACAGCTTGCATCACAAAGAGCTAACTTTTCACCACATAAAGAGCTGCTACAAATTAATAGAGATAACTAAGCCAGTAGAAAAATGGGCAATTCTTGTGAACAAACAGTTCTCAGAAAAAGAAATGGCTCTTAAACATATGAAAAGATGCTCAGTGTCACTTTTAATGAGAGAAATACAATCCAGCATTGCAACGATATCTCACTTTTCATCTATTAGATTGAGAAATATGAAAAGGTTTGAGAACACATGGTGCTGGCTGTATGTAGATTGGAACATATCTATGGAGGGCAGTTTGGCAATATGTATAAAAGTTACACATGCCCACAGCATTTGATGCAGCCATTCCACTTTTAGGAATTTGTCATGTAAATATACCCCCACATGTGTAAAGATTATTCATTAGCAAAAGATTGTGGGAGACCTAAATGTCTGTCAATAAGAGATTGTGTAAATAGTTTATGGCAGCCCTTACAAAGGAAGAGTATATAGCTATAAAATGGCTAGTCTCTTTATGTACTTATGGAAAGAAACTTTAAGTGTATGGTTATGCAGAAAAGGCAGGTGCTAAACAATGTGTGTGGTGTGATATCATCTGTGATAATAATATATGTATATTTGCTTATGCTTGTATTGACTCTTTCCTAAAGAATACATAAGGAACTGTTAACAGTTGTTAGGCCAGAGAAAATTTGGGAAGAAAAGTTACGTTTTATTTATACCCATTTGCATTTTTCAGATCATTTACATGTATTTCCTATTAAAAATACGGCAAAGCAAGATGGCTGAATAGAAGTTTCCAGTAATCATCCCCCAGCAGGAATACCAAATTGAACAATTACCCACAGAAAAAAGCACCATCATAAGAATCAAAAATGGGGTGAGCAATCACAGTACCTGATTTTAATATCATATTAGGGAAAGAGGCACGGAAGAGGGTAGGAAAGGCAGTATTGAATTGCTAATGCCACCCCTCCCCTATCCTCTGGTAGTAGCCGTGTGGCTCAGATAGAAAATCTGTGTGCTTGGGAGAAAGAAAGAACACTGACTGTGGGACTTCACATTGTAACTCACTGCTGCCTGTCACAGAATAAAGTAACATAGGGCAGAACTCAGCTACCACCCACAGAGGGACTATTTAGACCAGCCCTAGCCAGAGGTGAATTTTCCATCCTCGCAGTTGGAATCTGAGTTCTGGCAAGCCCTGCCACCACGGGCTAAAGGGCTCTGGGGTCCTAAACAAACTTGAACATTATAGGCCACAAGGACTGAATTCCTGAACAAGCTCTGGTGCTCTGCTGGGCTTGGAACCAGTGGACTTGGAGTTCACATCACCCAGTGAGACACCAGCTGCGGCAGCTAAGGGAGTGCTTGTGCCACCTCTCCACCAATCCCAGGCAGTGCAGTTCACAGCTCCAGGAGAGACCCCTTCCTTCTGCTTGAGGAGAGTAAAGAGGACTTTGTCCTGCAACTTGGATACCAGCTCAGCCACAGTAGAATAGGGCACCAGGCAGAGTCCTGAGGCCCTCATTTCAGGCCCTAGCTCCTGGACAATATTTGTAGACACACCATGAGCCAGTAGAGAGCCCACTGCCTTGAAAAGGAGAATCCAGTCCTGACAGGATTCATCACTCACTGACTAAAGAGCCCACGGGCCCAGAATAATTAGCAGTGGTAGCCAAGCAGTAGTCATCATAGGCTTTGGGTGAGACTAAGAGCCGAGCTGCCTTCCAGAGTTACCCAGTACATTCCAAGCTGTAGTGACTACAGTGAAAGACTCCTTCTGCTTGAGGAAAGGAGAGTGTAGAATAAAGGGGACTTTGTCTTCCAGCTTGGGTACCAGCTTGGCTACACTGGGTTAGAGGACCAAGTGGGCTCCTGGGGTCCCCAATTCCAGGGTGTGGCTCCTGGACAACATTTCTGGACATGCCCTGGGCCAGACTAGAGCCTACTGCCCTGGAAGGAGAGACTCAGGACTTGCAGCATTCACCACAAGCCAACTGAAATGCCCTTGGGCCTTGAGTAAGCATCCACAGTAGCCAGGCAGTACTTGCTGTGGGCCCAGTGTGGTGGTAGCCACAAGGAGAGACTCCTCTGCTTGTGGAAAGGGGAGGGAAGAGTGGGAATGAATTTGTCTTGTGGCTTGGATGCCAGCTCAGCCTCAGTAGACTATAGCATCGGGTAGATTCCTAAGGTTTCAACTGCCATGGCTCTTGGGCAACATCTCTGGACCTGCAGAGGGCCAGGAAGAACTCACCACCTTGAAGGGAAAGACACAAGCCTGGCTGGATTTGTCACTTGCTGATTGTAGAGTCCTTGGTCCTTGAGTGAACATAGGAGGCAGTCAGGCAGTGGTAACAGTTGGCCTTGTGCAAGATCCAGTGCTGTGCTGGCTTCAGGTCTGTCCCAGGGCAGTCCCAGTAGTGGTGACCACAGGGGTGCTTGTGTCACCCCTCCCCGAGTTCTAGGCAGCTCAGCATAGAAAGACAGGCTCCATTTGTTTGGGGGAAAGTAAGGAAAGAGAATAAGAGTCTCTACTTAGTAATCCACGGAATTCTCTCCAGTCTTACTCAAGATCAACAAGGCAGTGAATCTATGAGTCTGCAAGAGCCACAGTGTTACTGGACTTGGAGTTCCCCCTAATGCAGCTACAACTGCAGTGAACAGACTTAGATCACAACACCTGAGTTCCTTTGAATACCTGGAAAGGCTTTCCAAGAAGGACAGGTACAAGCCCAGACTGTGAAGACTACAATAAATGCCAACTCTTCAATGCCAGACACCGACAAACATCCACAATTATCAAGATCATCCAAGAAATCATGACCTCATCAAACAAACTAAATGAAGTATCAGGATTAATCCTGGAGAAATAGAGATATATGACCTTTCAGACAGAGAAGTCAAAGTAGCTGTCTTGAGGAAGCTCGACAAAATTCAAGATGTCACAGAGAAAAAAGTCAGAATCTGGCCGGGCACGGTGGCTCATGCCTGCAATCCCAGCACTTTGGGAGGCCAAGGTTGGTGGATCACTGAGGCCAGGAGTTCAAGACCCGCCTGGCCAACATGGGGAAACCCCATCTCTACTGAAAACGCAAAAATTAGCCAGTGCACGCCTGCAATCCCAGCTACTCAGGAGGCTGAGGCAGGAGAATTGCTTGAACCCGGGAGGCGGAGGTGTGCACTTCAACCTGGGTGACAGAGCGAGACACTGTCTCAAAAGAAAAAAAAAAGGAACAATCAATATTGTTAAAATGTTCGTACTACCAAAACAATCTACAGATTCAATGCAATCCCTATCAAAATATCAATGGCATCCTTCACAGAATGGAAAAAAAAAATCCTAAAATTTATATGGAACCACAAAAGATCCACAACAGCAAAAGCCATCCTGAGCAAAAAGAACAAAACTGGAGAAATGACATTACCTGACTTCAAATTATACTACACAGCTATAGTGACCGAAACAGTATGGTCCAAGCATAAAAACAGACACAGACCAATGGAACAGAATAGAGAACCCAGAAATAAATCCATACATCTATAATGAACTTATTTTTTACAAAGTTGCCAAGAACATACAATGGGGAAAGGATAGTCTTTTCAATAGATGGTGCTGGGAAAACTGGATATCCATATGCAGAAGAGTGAAACTAGGCCCTCATCTCTTGCCCTGTACAAAACTCAAATCAAAATGGATTAGTGACTTAAACTTAAGACCTCAAATTATGAAACTACTAAAAGAAAACATTGAAGAAACTCTCCAAGACATTGGTCTGGACAAAGATTTATTGAGTAATACCTCACAAGCACAGGCAACCAGAGCAAAAATGGACAAATGGGATCACATCAAGCTAAAAAGCTTCTGCACAGCCAAGGAAACAATCAACAAAGTGAAGAGACAACCCACAGAATGGGAGAAAGTTTTTGCACACTATCCATCTGACAAATAATTAATAACCAGAATAAAGGAGCTCAATCAACTTGATAGTAAAAAATCAAATAATCCAGTCAAAATTGGGCAAAACGGCTGGGCACAGTGGCTCCTGCCTGTAATCCTAGCACTTTGGGAGGTCGAGATGGGCAGATCACCTGAAGTCAGGAGTTTGAGACTGGTCAACATGGTGAAACCCCATCTGTACTAAAAATACAAAAATGAGTCTGGCGTGGTGGTGGACACCTGTAATCCCAACTACTTGGGAGGCTGAGGCAGGAGAATCGCTTGAACCCGGGAAGCAGAGGTTGCAGTGAGCTGAGATCACGCCGATGCACTCTAGCCTGGATGACAGAGCAAGACTCCGTCTCAAAAAAAAAAAAAAGGACAAAGGATCTGAATAGACCTATCCCAAAAGAAAACATACACGTGGCAAACAGACATATGAAAAGGTGCTAAACATCATTGATCATCAGAGAAATGCAAATCAAAACTACAATGAGATATCATCTCACTCCAGTTAAAATGGCTTATATCTAAAAGCCAATAGCAAATTCTGATGAGGATATGGAGAAAATAGAGCCTTTTTAAACTGTTGGTGGGAATGCAAATTAGTACAACCACTGAGGAGAACAGTTTGAAGGTTCCTCAAAAAACTAAAAATTGAACTACCATATGATTCAGCAATCCCAGTGTTAGGTACATACCCAAAAGAAAGAAAATCGGTATGCCAAAGAGATACCTCCACTTCCATGTTTATTTGTAGCACTATTCACGATAGCCAAGATTTGGAAGCAACCTAGCTGTCTATCAACAGATGAATGGTTAAAGGAAATGGGATACATATAAACAATGGAGTATTATTCAGCCATAAAGAAGAATGAGATTCTGTCATTTGTAATAACATGAGTGGAACTGGAGGATATTATGGTACGGTAAGTGAAGTAAGCCAGGCACAGAAAGAGAAACTTCGCATATTCTCAATTATTTGTGAGAGCTGAAAATTAAAACAATTGAACTCATGGAGATAGAGAGTAGAATAATGGTTACCAGAGGTTGAGAAGGGAAGAGGGGGTGGGGGGCAAGGGGGAGTGGGATGGTTAATGGTTATAAAAATATGGTTAGATAGAATGAATAAGATCTAGTATTTGATAGTACAACAGGGTGACTATGGTCAACAATAATTTATTGTACATTTTAAAAGAACTAAAAGAGTATAATAGGATTGTTTGTAACACAAAGGATAAATGCTTGAGGGGATGGATATCTCATTTACCTTGATGTGATTATTATGCATTGCATATCTGTATCAAAATATCTCATGTACTACATAAACATATATACCTAATACGTACCCACAAAAACTAAAAATTGAAATAATAAATAAGGTGTTTAAAAATTGAAACTAAAGCAAGAAAGTAGGCTCTGGTTGCAATGTGAAGGGTGAGTTGGTTCACTGTGAGACTGGAGTGGAGATTCTCATCTGAGAAGCATAGTCTCCTAGGAGAGAGGCTAGGCCATGTCACTGCCACTGAGTAGAGCTTCTGGCATGCAACCAGCAATGTATGTGCTAAAAAACAAACAAACAAACAAACAAACAAACCAAAAAAAAACTTGACAGATGAATGGATGGATTTTTTATGTCAAAAAAATTGACATCATATTCCTTAGGCATGATGGAGTGTAAAAAGATTGAGAACTCCTGGACCACAGGAAGGGAGGCCTTTAAGGAAGTGATTCCTTAATGTCGTCTCTACCTTAAAATCTACTTCATCCTTCAGGGCGTGGTTCATGGGCTATCTCCTCCATAGAGACCTTGATTTTCCTCTCTAAGGCCCCCAACCTCATCTCCCATGGGTTAAGGCTCATTTCTTTCCTCTTTTCTCCCAGAGCATTTCCCTTAATCTGTTATTACAGGATTTACTTCAATTTGCTTTATGGTTTAGATATTAATGTGCTTATCATTCTCTCCCACTAGATTGAAAAAAACAAACAAACCCATAGCTAGAACCCTTTCTTACCCATCTCTGTCTGGCCACCTCAGTGCCAGCAAAATACCTGGCAGGGAGGAGGTGGCCAATGAATATAGAAGATCCTTAATAAAGGCAACACAGCCCTTTACAGGATGCCCTGGGCAGGAATGTGTCCTAGATTGTATTACAGGTGACATCGACCCTGTGGGTGACAATAACCACAAAAAATAGGTTGTAACTGGGCTACCTTCCCAGTGAGTCACTTGATGCACTCAGATGTTTGAAGGAGTGTCTCTTACCAGCCTGCCAGGCACTAGCAGCTAGGACTCAGCAAATAGTCTGCATTTCTTGGATATCTTTTCCAGGCCTGGAGCAGGGCTGGTGCCCTTATGTTTCCCCTCCTTCCTCTCCTGCCCAAAGCAGGTCTCATTTATCAACCAGACTCATTTTCCCATTCGACCCAGATGAGGCCTCAGATCCCTCTCAGAAGACAACAGCTACCTAACAATCATCTGGAGTTGGCACAGAAAATAAAACTTATTTGCTATACCAAGCTAGAGTGGATTCACATGCCTTGGGGGGGAGGCGGGAGAGCACCCTCCAGCATATTATAGAAGCCCTCCCAGGAGCATCCAGACCCAGGTGTATAATAGGCCTGCAAGCGCTGTGATCAAGCCACTTTGGGAAGTTTGCACACTGGTGGGCAAGTCCGTTGGTCCTGGCACTGCCAAGCCTTGATTGGTGTTAGTGATCAAGCTTACTCTACTGCAAACACAGAGGTAGAAAGACCTCAGGTAGCTGGAATCCAATTCATCAAAAACCTTAAGTCACTGGAAACCTTCCTGTCTTCCTCCTTTCTCCTACTCTCCTCCCAAACAAAATAAACATTATACTTTTAGGAAGTAGAAGAAAAAAAGATAACGAAGAAAACTCCTATCAGGATTTCTGTTTTAAAACATTACTATCAGAGCATGTCCTGAGACCAGGTCAAACTAGGCCTAATCCCCTACATCCTTCTCTAGTGTGTATTCTACTCTGTGTCTAAGTAGTAACCAGTGGTGTTCACAATTATGACCTGTGAACCTGCAAGACCCTTAACAGAAATTCAAGCAATTGTCACACATTCATGATCTCCAGCCTCTCCACTAATTTAGACCAGAAGTCAGCAATCTACAGCCTGCGGGCCAAATGCAGCTCACCAGCTGTCTTTATAAATAAAGTTTTGTTGGAATACATCCTTGTTCATTCATTTAGATATTGTCTATGACTGTTTTCACGCTACAATGGCAGAGTGGTATAGTTGTGACAGAGACCAACCATATGGCTCACAAAGCCTAAAATATTTACTATCTGGCCATTTATAGAAAAAGTTTGCAGATCCCTGGCTTAGACCACTTTGGGATCTGGTCCCAAAAAAGTGATTAATGCCTCCTCCTCCCTGCTCTTCTTCTCTTCCTTTCCCTTTCCTGCGCTGACACATACAGACAGACCCACAGACAGATACACACACACATGTACACACACACACACACACACACACACTACTGAAAGGAAACCAGTACTGGCTGGAAACAGAAACAGGAAGGGCATGGGAAAGCAGAATTAAATTCTCTTCATAGGCCTGGCCACCTTTCTATGGAACACAGAGCCAGAGAGCTATGTACTTCAGGGTGTGCATTTGTGGGGGTTGGGGTTAGAGTCAATGTGAGAAAGCATGTGTTTGAAATAGTATTTTTATGCATATGTAACAGGTGTGTGGTCTACAAGAGCGTCACTAAATCTCAGGCTGATTTGGAAGAGCCACCTGCTCTCTTTCAACCCAGAGCTGCTTTCAATGCTCTAGCTCTATTTTCATTTGGGGTTGGGGGTGGGGATAGGTATGGTACAGGATGGGACATGTAGGGAGAATTTTTTTTAGACATCTCCTCCCTTTCCTCTTTCTCTTTCCCTCAGCTAGTTTAGGCAGAAACATGGGATGCCAATTATCACGGAAATACCACTTCAGGGATGATTTCTGGACCATTGATAAAAAGCTTAGTCAATAGTGAATATAGAGTATGATTTCTTAGTTTTTATCTTTCTTTTGAATTGCTTTAAGTGGGTGGTAGCTGAATCCCTCGAGGGTGTAGTTTGGAAACTTCCTGAAAGGAAGAATGGAGACAAAATGGACTGAGGGCTGAAGATAAAATGGTGGTTTACTTTTGACTACCTGAGATGACCAGATTATGTTAAAACTAGTTCTATCCAATCAGCTTGTGGGCTTTGTGAAGGCCCATTAATACCAGATTGGAACATGCTGTGACCCTCAGATGATAAGAACTGAATGGTCAGTCATGAGGCTGAGCTAGAAGCTCCGGCAATGGTTTGCTCTGGTTACTCAGGAAAACAGATCTAAACTTAATCAAAGACGATTGATTGGAGGAAGTGTTAGTGGGAGGAGCCTTAAGTGAAAAGTTTGATAACTTGATTTTAATGAAGCAGAAAAAAGAAGAGAAAATGGCAAGCTTGGGAGATAGGAAAGAAAAGGTCTCAGACACTGTTCTCAGACAGGAAGGATACCGGAAATGAATCAGAACCTAGGGCCAGCTCTCTGGCTCTTGCCCACATTATGTTAGTCAGTAAATGCTATCCCAAATTCTGTTCCCTTACTGTGTCCTTGCTCTCTCCACACTTCTCCCTACCAAAACTAGCTCTCTCTGAATAGAATAAAAAGGCAGGAAAAAAAAGATAAAAAAATAAAAAATAAATAAACTAGCTCTCAGAAATGGAACTGAGGTATGCTCGTTCCAACTGAGGTACAAAGGATTGGGAAGGCTGAATATATTACCTTTTCAGGGAGATTTGCATTTTGATAAATCCAGTGCTTCTTTAATAATGGGTATTCATATAGAAGGGGAGCTACTCAGAAGTGTTCTGGGGGGCAAAGAAGTTTTTTCCATCCCTTGAAGTTACACCAATATTGCTGGATCTCCCTCTGCTTCTGGCTCGGATCATGGAAATGCTAGAATTATTAATATTTCTAATGTTATGAAGAGTAAATAAAATAATTAATGTATGTAAAGTATTTGGCATAGTAAGAAGAGCTCAATAAATACTAAGATCGTTATCATGATTACACTGCTTACTCATAGTGCCAGCCCTAACAAAACACATATTCTTACCCTAGGTGCTGCCTGTCCTAGAACACTGTATGCAGGTTGCACTTTTGCAATGAGCTAGAGAAGGCCCAGAGCTATCTTGGAGACAAGGGCTGCTGTATTAGGGAATCCTAAACAGATTGCCTCTTTTCTGTGGGAAAAGTTGAAGAGGATACCATCAAATGTATGATTCAATATGTGTGGGAGACTGCATAGCATATTGGCTAAGGACTTGGGATTCTTTAGTCCAATAAATCAGGGTTTGAATCCTGGATCTTCTACTTTCTAGCTTTTTGATTTTGGGAATGTCACTTTACTGCTCTGAGCTTCAGTTTCCTCAACTTAAATGGGCATACTAAGACTTGGATTCTGAGGATTAAATGGGAATTGAGAGTAAATTCTTTAGCCGAAATCTGCAATGTAAGTGTACAATAAACTTTAGGACTTATAAACTAAGTCCTAAAATTAGAGAACTAGAGAAATGGTACTTCTTAGAGCATGTCTTAGTCAGTTTGGGCTATTACAACAAAGTGTTTTAGACTGGGTAGCTTATAAACAACAAAACATTTATTTCCCACAGTTTTGGATGCTGGAAACCTGAGATCAGGGTGCCATCATGGTTGGATTCTGGTGACGGCTCCCTTCTGGGTTGCAGACTTCTAACTCCTTGCATCCTCACATGGAGGAAAGAGGGTGACAGAGCTCTCTGATTTTTTTTATTTTGTTTTATTTTGTTTGTTTGTTTACTTGTTTTGAGACGGAGTCTCGCTCTGTCTCCCAGGCTGGAGTGCAATGGTGCAATCTCAGCTCATTGCAACCTCTGCCTCCCGGGTTCAAGCAATTCTGCCTCAGCCTCCTGAGTAGCTGGGATTACAGGCGTGTGCGACCACGCCCAGCTAATTTTTGTATTTTTGTCAGAGACGGGGTTTCACCATATTGGTCAGGCTGGTCTCGAACTCTGGATCTCACAATCCACCCTCCTCGGCCTTCCAAAGTGAGGGGGTTATAGGTGTGAGCCACCACACCCAGCCTCTGGGGTCTTTTTAATAAGGGCACTAATTCCATCATGAAAACTTCACCCTCATGACCTAATTACCTCCCAAAGGCCCTGTCTCTTAATACCATCATGTTGGGGGGTAGAATTTCGACCTGTGAATTTTGAGGAGGCGCAAGAGATGATTCAGTCCTTAACAGAATGTGAAGGAGGCAATGCTAGCAGATATAAAAGGAAAACTTAATGTACCCTACACAAAGTACCAGGCATATAAACCACAATAACAGCAAGGGCTAACACATGTTGAATACTGTGAGGCAGACAATATTCCAAATAGGTTACATGTAATAGCTCATTCACCCTTTGAGGGGAATACTACCAATACCGTCATCCCCACCTGACAGACAGAGAAGGCTTTGGCAAAAGAGGTTAAGTAACTTGGCCAAGGTTACACAACTTGTATGTGGAGCTGGGAGTCAAACCCAGGAAATCTGGCAACAGTCTATGCACTTAACAATTCTGTTATTCTCACAAGAAATTTTACAGGTTGAGATTAAAAATAGCTTCAGGAAGAGATTGTGCTATGGGCTGAATGTTTGTGTCCCTCCAACCCCAAATTCATATGTTTAAATCCTACCCTCCAAGGTGATGGTACTTGGAGGTGGGGCCTTTGGGGTGATTAGGTTATTGGGATCAGTGTCCTTACAAAAGGAACACCAGACTGGGTGCAGTGGCTCATACCTGTAATCTCAGCACTTTAGGAGGCCAAGGCAGGCGGATCAGTTGATCCCAGGAGTTCAAGACCAGCCTGGGCAACATGACAAAACCCCGTCTCTACAAAATTCAAAAATTAGCTGGGGGTGGTGGCACGCACCTGTAGTCCCAGCTACTCAGGAGGCTGAGGTGGATGGATGGCTTCAGCCCGGGAGGCAGAGGTTGCAGTGAGCTGAGAACATGCCACTATACCCCAGCTTGGGCACAGAGCCAGACTCTGTCTCAAAAAAAAAAAAAAAAAAAAAAAAGAGTGAGAGAGAGAGAGAGAGAGACAGAGAGACCCAGAGAGCTAGCTAGCCTCTTCTACCACATGAGGGTCCATTGAAAAGTTTCTGTCAATGAACCAGAAAGCAGGCCCTCACCAGACACCAAATGGGCCAGTGCCTTGTTCTTTGACTTCCAACCCTCAGAACTATGAGAAATTTCTGTTGTTTATAAGCTACCCGGTCTATGGTATTTTGTTATAGCAGCTGAAAGACTAAGACAGATTAGATTAAAATCTCAATGATTTTTCCCTAAACTAAATGAAAGGTAAAATGAGATATTTAGGATATTTGGGACATCCTTGCTCTTTGAGGGTGATGTCAATGTCGTGTACCTCACACATGCCCCTCCTCATGCCCCCATTCACTTGTTTATGTCCATCTTTTATCTTGGTTTGAAGCCACTTTCCCAGAGGAGCTTTTGCTGATCCTCCAGTGTAGGTTACACCCTCCCCGACCCATCTCCCCGCCCTCATACTTCTCACAATAATAAGGTATATAATTATTTGTTTACTAGCTCCCATACTAGACAGAACACTTTAGTGGATCTGTTTCGCATATTATTGTATTCCCATCCCCTAGCACAGAGGTCATCAACCTATGGCCTGTGGGCCAAATCTAGCCTAACTTATATTTGTAATAAATTTGTATTGGCATACAGCCACACCAATTCATTTACATATAGTCTATGACTGCTTTCTCACTACAATAGTGGAACTGAGTAGTTGAAAGAGAGATCATATGGCCCAAAAGGCCTAAAAACATATTTACTATGTAGTTCTCTACAGAAAAAGTTTGCCAACCCCTGGCTAACGAATAGATATACAATACAGATTTGTTTAATGAATGAACATACTTATTTATTTAATAAACATTTACCTAGCACTTACTATTGTCAGACACTATTCCAAGTGCCTTGCAAATATGAATTCATTTTTTCCTCATAACAACTCAACAACTCAATAAGATAGGTGGTGTTATTATTCCCATGTTAGAGAGGAAGAAACTGGGAAACAGAGGTTCAGTATCCTCACCAAGATCACACAGTTTGTAAGTAACTGAGCTGGGATTCAAAACCCAGGCATTTGGGCTCCAGAGCCCATGCTATGTACTCAGCATCAATGGACTATGGCTCAGACCTAGTTTGAGTTTTTGTTTTGTTTTGTTTTGGTTTGGTTTGGTTTTTTGTTTGTTTTGTTTTGTTTTGTTTTGGTTTGGTTTTTTGTTTGTTTTGTTTTGTTTTGTTTTGTTTTTTGTTTTTTGGTGTGCTAATGAAAGAACTGCTGAGTGGCTTCATAAGGGGAAGGATGTGGTCAAAGAAGCAAAAGGAGATAAAGTGGCCTAACTCCACATAGCCTTTAGAACTTAGTTGATGCCAAGGAGATGCTAAAACAAATACAAATTAGCAAAGCATCATTAGGATCTCACCATAGCTAATGGAACCAAGGAAGTTTTCTCCAAAAATGAGCTGAAGTTTTTATTATCTCCCTACCTGTGACTGGTTAACACTCTCATTAAAGCTTTCAATTCACTCTGAGGCTAGATAAGTTTGTTTTACTCTCTTACATGGCCAAACGCTATACTTCTCCCCTGCCACAACTAATTGTCTTCCAATGCATCCCACGGTGGAACAAGGCACTTGGAATAGTGTCTGTTTGGTGCCAGTTCATCCCCCTCCAAAAAAAATAAAAAGCCCATAACTATAGTTGTTGTATTAGACAATTCTTCTTCCTGTCCCTGCACTGCCTGCGCTGTATTCCAGCTGCCAATCAGGAGGATCAGCAAATGCCATCCAAAGTAGCATCTTGAGCTATAATGAGTCCTTGCTGCTGACTGGGCTCCTTTGTAGTATGCTGGAAGTAGTCAACTTGTTTGTAAGGCTTGGGAGACCTTGTACATGAGTGTGAAGGGTCAACAGAATCAAGATAGCTGAGACCTAAAGGTCTGAGAGAGACCAAGAGAGTCTATTCTCTTCTTGGTAAGATAAGTAGGATCCCAGGATACTACATCCATACTGGGGGCCTGGGCTAGGAATCTGGGTTGAGCTTGGGGTTAGATCTGCCTGTGGTGCTCCAGAGCTTGAACTCAAAGGTGATCTGACAGCCAGCGATCAGGGGAGAAGTTGCTAATGAAATTCAATAGACAATCCAACTGAAGGGTCAATTCCAATGGGCACACTAAAGGGAGAGAATCTGGGCTCTGCAAAGCTAGTAAGAAAACGTGGCACAGCAGAAGAGAGCAAGAGGAGTCAGGACAGTGAGTCAGAGGTAGAGCCAATGGAGATTCCCTGAGCTCTTGGGATAGAGTTGCAGAAACTTTTTATTGGGTGACTTGGCCTTGCCTTTGAGTAGGGATGACCTAGCAACAGGCTGCCAGAATTTAAATTCCAACTGCCATCCTGGGCCACCAAGGAGTCCTGCTTATTAACTATGGGATCTGTGGCTAGCCACTCACCCTACTTATGCTTCAGTTGCCACATCTGTAAAAGGGAGATAGCAGTGTAGTACTTACCCTGTTGGGTTGACAAAATAAGATAACATTGTAAGTACTTAGTGCACATAAGCAGTGTATATTGCCTAATATTTTTAAAGGACATCCAATTGGCTCAAAGGACAAGTGTAAGCCAGTTTCAGACAAAACCTGCATATTGCCCACATCCTGACTCAAAACCCACAAGCAGGTCTCCCAAGTAGGGGGCAGGGGCAGTGCTAGTGCTGCTGTTCCTCTGGTTGGTTCTGCAAAGGCTACCACTTCACAGGCCAGTTGGCAGCAGGAGTTCAGGGCAAGTGAAACCACTCTTTGATCTCAACTTTTGGAGGGGGTCTTTTCTCATTCCCAACAATCTCTATTCCTCCAAGTGAGCAGGTCCTTCTAGCCTGATCCTGTGAAAGACAAAAGCTGCTTACATAGCCATAAGATATGGTTTGCATCTGCGTCCCCACCAAATCTCTTGTCAAATAGTAATCCCCAGTGTTGGAGGTGGGGCCTGGTGAGAGGCACTGGATTTGGTGCCCCCTCCAAAAGTTGAGATCAAAGAGTGGTTTCACTGCTGAGCAGATGCCAGCATCATTCTTCCTGTACAGCCTGTGAAACCATGGGCCAATGAAACATTTTTTCATTATAAATTAGCCAGTCTCCGATATTTCTTCATAGCAATGCAACAACAGCCTAATATACCATACAAACAGAAGTGCTCGAGACTTCATGTTTTCCACAGTCGAGAACTGTCAAGATTTCCCAAAGAAGGCTTGGTCACATCACTGGGAGATGTGGGAAGGTAGAAGGGTAACGTATGGATTTGGAAGCTTTATAATTACAGTGACATGGGGATGCTTGGTAGAGCAATTGCTAAAGAGAAGGCCCTGTCTTACATTACAGGCATCTTTGCCATCCTTTCTGTTTTGCAAAGTGTATAGGCCAGTGTTTCTCAAAGTATATTTCACCTATTATTCTTCTGGATTCCCAAGTTCTGACCCATTAAACTCAGCCATCTGCATTTTTAACTAGCTCCCACGTAGATTCTGTTATTCTATTTTATAATTTAATTTTTGAACAGATGATGTGTTCACATGGCACAACACTTTAAAAATATAAATGTATAGCATGGAAGTCTCTCTCCTATTCCTGTCCTCAGCTGCCTGGTTCCCACCTTACCCTACCCCCACCTGCCATAAAAATCCAGGTAACAACTGTTATTTATTTCTTATGAATCCTTTCAGAGTTTCTTTATCAAATATAAGCAAATGAAGATTATATATAGTACATCTATATATAATATAGAGTCTGTAACACATATGATCTATAAAATATATTTTATATTATATACAATCTATTATATACATAATATAGAGTATAGATTATATAATCTATATGATCTATATAATTAGTATAATAGTCTATAATCTATATATAATATATAGATTATATAAATATATATATCACTTCTTCCCCATAAGAATTAGCATACTTTACATACTATTCTGCACCTTTAAAAAATAATGTAATTTAAAGATCTTTCCGTATCTGTCATAGAGAACTTCCTTACTAGTTTTCACAGCTGTATAGCATTCCATTATATGGATGTACCAGACCTTATTTAACCAGTTACTTTTTGATGGGCACATGGGTTGTTTCCACTATTCCACTAATACAATCAATTGACATACTGAATTACCTTGTATACACATCATTTTGCAGATATAGGATACATTTCCAAATAGCAAGTTACTTCTCTAATTGATTCTGGTGCCCACTGGAACTTAGGAACCACTGGCTTAGGGGTTGCTGATGTGATAGGTCTAATTTACATTGAATGAAGCCTTTATATTAAGACTCACAGAATGGCAGAGCTGGAGAAGCCCTTAGATATCTTCTTCCTCATTTTACAGGTGAGAAAATTGATTCTATATCAGGGAAGCGATTTGCTCAAGGTTACACAGCATGTTGGTAGTAGAGCTGAAACTGGAACCCAGGTCTCCTTGCTCCTAGGGCAGTGTTCTGCTGCCTGTCATTATCATCAAGAAATAAATGTGGAGTGCTCTGTGCAGTATACTGTAATCTCTATCTGGGGCAAATAGGGGATGCATTGGAAAGGTAATGCAATGTAGTCTGTGCTAAATGCCAGATCTCTGTGGACATGGAATAGCAGACTTTCATAAGACATCAGAATTAAACAGGTAAACTGTTCCATAAACTGTTTTGAGCTCTTGACTTCCTTATACAGAATGAAGAAAGGCCAGTGGTTCCCTATGCATCTAATTTAATGTAAATTCTGAGAAGAGCAAAACTTTTGTGTCTCTGTGCAGCTTCTTTAATGGGTTTGTTGGAGAAGGGAAAGTGTAGCTATTGACTTACTACTGAAGACCAAACTCCTAAAGAAGGTGACTTGGAGTTGGTAAATCTCAGTGGGGCCCATTTCTTATTCTGTAGATCCATTTCATGATGTAGAAAAAGCTTCCTAGTGCCGGGCGCAGTGGCTCACGCCTGTAATCCCAGCACTTTGGGAGGCCAAGGAGGGTGGATCACGAGGTCAGGAGTTCAAGACCAGCCTGGCCAAGATGGCGAAACCCCATCTCTAGTAAAAATATAAAAATTAGCCAGGTGTGGTGGCAGGCACCTGTAATCACAGCTACTCAGGAGGCTGAGACAGAGAATTGCTTAAACCGGGGAGGCGGAGGTTGCAGTGAGCCAAGATGGGGCCACTGCACTCCAGCTTGGGTGACAGAGCGAGACTCTGTCTAAAGAAAAAAAAGAAAAAAAAAAGAAAAAAGAAAAAGAAAAGAAAAAGCTTCCTAGAGCAAACCAAAGTCTTCCAGAAAAAATAAGTGGTGATTGAAAGCCCCTCACCCCCAGAATCTCTTCCCCAACATTAGAGATTTATCTTTTTCAGCTATGGCCTCCCTGAGATGCTT